>NC_000002.12:79792625-80417625 GCF_000001405.40 Homo sapiens | reverse complement strand
ATGAAACTCAAGAAAGAATTATAAATAAAAGAAAATCATTTGAAAAAGACTAAGAATGAATAAACACCACATCAAATGCCATAAGACAAATAAAATAAGAAAAGTTTCAAATCCAAAAAATATTTTTTAAAGAACTTAAAAACCATTTTAGAAAATGTGACAAATATTGAAGATAGGCAAAGAAAAGTCAATACAGGGCTACCAGGGGGTCCATGAATAAAGAAAATCAAAACAAGAAAACAGAATGAATACCAAAAATTGTAATCAATGAAAACTTTCCAGAATATATGTATGTATTAAAACTATATTCTAATACTGTATATTTTTAAATTGCTGATAAGGTGGGTTTTTAATATTCTCACCAAAAAAAAAGTATATAAGATGATTAATATGTTATCTTAATTTAATCATTCATAATATATACATATATTAAAATATCATATTGTACTCCACAAACATATATATGTTAATGAAAAATTAAAAATTTAAAATTAAACAAATAACCTACAATCTGAAATAATGTATCATGTACCTGAGAAGACTGACCCGTAATTATCAACCAAGGTATTTTCCAGTAAAATGACTGAATTCTAAAGAAAAACGAGGGGGAAAAAACTGCATTTCAGCAAATATAGCATATGATTTATACAGGAAAAAATAGATTATCACCAGACTTTTTAATAGTAAAGATTTATGCCAAAGGAAAATATTGTCTTTAAGATACTCAAGGAAAGAGAATGTAAACTGAGAATTTTATAACCAGCAAAACTGACTTTCAAGGGTATAAGACATACAAAATCTGATAAAAATGCAAGAACTCAGAATATTGTTCTCATGACCTTTTCCTATCTAGTTATTTTAAGAAATAAAATATTTTAAGAATTAAAATATCTAGGAAAATATTAACTTAAAAAGTGATAGAATATAGTATAAATGTTTATATACTCTGACAATAAAGACATATTACAACATTGTGAAAAGGGGATGAGAAAGGGAATAGAAAACACCAAAATATTTTAAGTATTTTATGTAATTTTAATTATAGGGGAAGTATGAATATTATTATTCCAATATTATTGCGTTTAAAGGTAGAAGAAAGCAAATGATTAACTATGAAATTTTAATTCATCATTTCCTATGTCCTTGCTAACCAGGAGTGTTGGTGGGGAAGAAAGCAGTTAAAGAAAAATTCTCCAGTGTTAGATCTGAAGTAGAAATGTCAGTAGAAACACATCGGATTTGATTCAGCTTTCTTGAGGTATAATTGACAAATAAAATTGTATATATTTAAAGTGTATAACATGATGATTTGATAAACATACATTTTTTATAAACATATATATTGTGAAATGATTACCACAATTGAGTTAACATATACATTACCTCATATAGCTACCTTTTTTTTTCTTTATTGGTGAGAACACTTAAGATCTACTCTCTTAGCAAATTTCAAGCATACAGCACAGCATTTTTGCTAGTCATCATGGTGTATATTAGATTCTCATAGCTTATTCACTGTATAACTTAAAGTTTGTACCCTTTGACCAGCATTTCCCGTTTCACCACCCCCACCTCCAGCCCCTAGCAACCACTGGCTTACTTTTTGTTTCTGTGAGTTCCACCTCTTGTTTGTTTGTTTGTTTTTAGGTTCCATATATAAGTGATGCCATACAGTATTTGTCTTTCTCTGTCTGGCTTATTTCACTAAGCACAGTGCCCTCCAAGTCCATCCATGTTGTCACATATAAAATATTTCTATTTTTATATGGTTAATAATATTCCATTGTGTATATATCTATTTATCTGCCTATCACATTTTTTAATCCATTTATCTGTCAGTGGATACTTGGTTGATTCCATGTCTTGGCTATCGTAAATAATGCTGCAATAAACATAGGGGTGCAGATATCTCTGAGATATTGATTTATTTCCATCAGATTCTACCCAGAAGTTCTAGTTTTAATTTTTTGAGGCACCTCCATACTGTTTTCTATGATTGTACTAATTTACATTCCCACAAACAACGTTCAAAGCTTTCCTTTCTCCATATCCTTGCCAACGTTTGAAAACATGAGATTTTAAATTGAAAACATATGCATACTTGCAAACACTTTCTCAGTTCTGTCTAATGAAAAAGACTGAAAATAATGGCTAGCCTAGTAGTGATGAACAACTTGAAAAACAATTTTACACTACAAAAAAAGAAAAAAACAAAAAAAACAGAGCTTCATGGAGAAAGGGCTGACTCCAGGCACCCTGAGGCCAGGAGTGTACAAATAAGCTTGAAATATCTTGTCATGCCAGGTAGCAAAGAACTATCAAAGACTCCCAGGGGCAAGCCAGAATAACAGGAGGCTCCCATGGCCAAAGATAGAGGTGCTTTGAGTTGAAGATAAAAGACATTCCCTGCCTCCCAATTAAATTAGGCCCTTGCATACATGAAGGAAAACTGCCTAGTGTTCTGTTACTGACCCAGTATTGTGCATTATTAAGAAATGTAATTCTGCTGTTCGGAGCCTTTGTACATTTTGAAGTTTATTAGCTACGTAGTTGGCCTGCCCTAATTTAACCTGGAAATAGACTTTTTATTTTCCTACAAACTCTGCCTTCCCTTATTTAGATCCTTTCTACTAGAAGTGTGGGCCACTGACCAGTACCACTGCCATTTCCTGGGAGCTTATTAGAAATGCAAAACCAAGGCCCCATCCAGACCTGCTTTTAACCAGAATCTGCATTTTAGTAAGATGTCTAGGTGATTATTCCACAGTATAAAGTTTGAGGAATGCCTCCCTAGAAGACCTATTGTCAAATTCTTAGTCTCAAGCATTAGAAACTAATTCTAGCTGATTTAAGCAGAAAGATTGACCTGTCAGTTCACAAAATAGGCAAAATTCAGAAATGTTAAGGCACCCTGTGTCTTTGTGACAATAGGTTTTGATTCAAAATGTTAGGCAGACCTGATTTTCATCTGGGTGAAACAGAGACCAGAACTCTGGGTCATACGTCCTCAACTAGTTGCAAGAGTACAGGAGGTAGCGGTCGGGAGGAAAGTATTCTTTGAAAACAAGTGTTTTGGCCATTTAAGCTTCTTATACAGAGATTCATAACATGAGGAATTCTCTGAACACAGAAAAGGAACTCAGATACTGACCCGAAAACAAAAAAGTGGCCAGCAAAGAAAAGATCTGACAGAAAACTAATTCAGGGATTCAAGCATGAGTGGAAGTTGAAAATAAATAGAGATACATTTATAAGAAATAATTAAAAGGTGAAGAGTTGTTTATAAGGAACAAGATCAAAAGCTATGAACTAGGACAGGAATGGCAAGTATGCTACAATGCTTCCTTTCTATGTCCACACCAGACATGATTAATCAAGTGCTGCACTCTTTTATGCTGGGCTCAAATACTACTTTATAATCCTTTTCAACACAGTGCTCCAAGTAGCTACTACTAATCAATCCTGTTTCTCCTTCAGGATGAAAGCTTTCTTTCTTTGCTAAACCTTCCCTGCAGTTGAAGCCTTTTGCATGCCAATCTTTAGGCAGAATTGGCTATGTGTCTGAGCAACCCAATGCCATCTTGACTTTCAGAAATAAAAGTTAACACCCAAGTTGAGGCTGGGTAGATGATGTTTAATAAATGCCTGACCATTTAACATCTACCCTGTCATTTAGATAAATGTGTACAAAAATCTTGTTAAGAATAATAGTGTTAACTTCTTCATTACAATGATTTAAGAAATACCAGCCAAGGTCAAAACTGGGGTTAGAGGGTGATTTCAAATAGGCTCAAAAAATCTGAAGCCTTAAATCTTTCCATGAATATGGCTGCTCCAGGCTCTACATGATTACTGACATGTTCTGCCATATTTCCTTAAGCTGTGTGGTATCATTGTTATTAAAAATGTAAAATCAAAGCAACAAAGTGACTGAGCCAGGAGCCATCCAGCCTAGGGGGCTTGACAAGTAGTGAGCTTCATTAAGTCTGGCAAAGTTTAGCCAGTCTGAAGGTCAATGAGGGTAATCAGTCAGTGCTATAATCTACCCAAAGTCACTTTAATAAGCCAAGGTGCCATCAATGCACACTCCATTGGTAATGAAGGCACTCTTCATTGTTCAGGTTGGGGTGGGAGCAGGTAGCGGGAGGAGAGGCATATCTATAAAGCCTAGGGAAGACATTTAAAGAATAATCATGGTTCTTGCTTTATTTAGTTTTCCTTATACGAGAAACACGAAATTCTCTGGTCATTATCTTGATGAAACCAACTGTCTTTCATGAAGCAAAATCATTTTAATTGGGATACTAGCATCTCTTTTTAATGGAACCAATTAGCTCTATCAGGCCCTGTGCTTTTCCCTACCCATCTCATTCATTGTCCACCAAATTCATTCAGGTCTGCTGGATCAATTAAAAGTACAACTGTCATCATTAGCAACACTTATAATGGAGCCAGATCAACAGCCAGATCAACATATGTGCCCTTAGATTTTTTTCTCTGTGAGTGCTGATAGTCAGTATAAAAGTTAGGAACATGTCTCACTGATGGAATAGATAATTATAGTAGATTTGTTGCATGAATAACCTTATTCTTCTATCTCCTTCTATCCATACCATTGCCATGTAACTCTGTAGTGCCTGCCCTCTGTGACTCTGGGCTTGGCCATGTGTCATGTTTAGGGCCAATGGACGTTGGACACCATGATGCATGTGGACATTTGAAAGGCTCATTCAACGTTAGGCCGGCTTGGTCTTGTTCTCTGCCATCCCCATGAGAAGCATGTGCCCAGGCTAGACTGCCTGTCCCAGGAAAAGGGTGACGAACCTATTGACCATGACTGAGTCACCTCAGTCATCGATGTCAAGACCATCCTAGATCCATTAAGAGCAACAGAACCCAGACACAGGAGAAGGCCGGGCTAAGATGACCGCCTCAGACCAGTGAGCTACAAGTGCTATTGCTGTATGCCCCTGAGGTACTGTTAACACTACACTGTTGTGACAATAGATAACTGATAAGATGACATACATAGAATAAGTTTTCATGGTCACCAAATCACCTTTTGGTGAAGTGGTAGAGACATCTTGAAAATAATTTCTGATCAATTAGTGGACTAGTTTGGTGCCATTTCAATTCATTTCTTTGGCCAAATGCACTGAAATAACAGTAGTCTACTCCTCATGTTCCATTATATAGCCATGGGCTGTGTGTAAGAAAATCACAGCTGTAATTTACTATTTGTATAGATTAAACAAATGCTTTACTTAAAATGTTATAACAAAGAGACAAGTCATGGGGACTAGGACAGGGAAGGGTTGATCGGGACTTTTCCTGAAGGACAGTAACAGGTACTTAGTTCCTTCTGTTGATTTCATTTTCTGCCCCAGCACGCACAGGTCAGTGTCAAATTCCTCCTTTACCTCCACGATATGCAAGAGCACTTGCCTTTATGAGAAGAGACAGTGACAAGCTGCCTCAGGGTCCCAGGGAGTGCTGGGATCATTGTGGATCTCCAGATGGCTTAATCTAGCAGGTACAGCACCTTGACATGGTGCTGTTAAAAATGTTAGCAGAAAATGGAGCCCACGGTTGCTGGGTGCAGCACAAGAAAGCAAAGGAGAGGCTAGTGGAAGGGAGAGTATATGCAAAAGACAGAAGTAACTGCAGCGGTGAGATGAGGAGAGGTGGCAAGAGCAGAAAAGCATTGGGGAATATTAATATTTCATAATAGCAATCTTCATTTAGTGCTTATTTTGTGCCAGATACTGCTCCAAAAAATTAGAATAACTTGTTTATTTCTGTCAAAAATCACTGGCTACTATTTTATTCCTTTTATAGGTGAGGAGACTGAGACAATAGAATTAAGTCACTTGTCTACATTCACAAAGCTAACAGATGGCAGTGGCAGGATTTAAACCAATATTGCTTGGCCCCAGACTACATGCTTTAAATACTAACATACACAAGCTGTCACTTGTCTACTTTGTGCCAGCTCTGTGAACATTATTGACCAAAAGCAATGGTATATATGATGACAGCAGCAAACATTCCAGGAACAAATGTGATTCCTGAACGAGTAAAGTATATATACAAGGGATTCTGAAAGCTCCCCTCTTCCCCACCCATGATATAGTAAGACCAAAAAGAAGAAGAGCCCCTGTGGAGAGGATAAAAGAAGAGAACCCATGGCAGATGGACACCATAAGATGGAATCAGTGATCCTACCAGAGGTAGAAGTGATGCTGAGTCCTAATGAATCCCTACTCTGGGAGTAGAAAGAGACCTGCTCGATACTCACTATGAGATTCTCACTTTCTGGGGATTTAGGGATCGGAAAAAAAAAGGAGAACTTGTGGTCTAAGATAGGCCTACTTCAACAATCTATTTGATGAATTATACTTGCTCTAATGTAACCATTTTCTTATAACTCTTAATGATCAAAATGTTTTAAAATAGTAAATTGTAAGATGCTAAAGAAAGTGTGTTTCTTAGGGTTCTAACTGGGTTCAAGCCAAGGGCCAAGAGACTTCTCCCAGAAAGACTGGTATCCATTTTCCACGCTTTGATATGGTAATTATGGTTTATATGGAAATCCATAAGCCAGGTGGTGGCAGAGGTGAGCCTTACTATAGAGAAATCTTTGAAAGCTGCAAATGCAGCTTGATACTGTGACAATCTAGCATTCTAATTTGCATTCTCACTCTTAAGAGTATTAGGATCAAAACTTCTTCTTAAATACATCTTTTCCATAGTCTATAAACACAGGCATATCCAAAAGTGGAAGCCAGAATCCTCAGCAGCCAGGACCAGGGACATCTTGAACTTGGTATCAGCTAACAAGTGCAGAAACTCATAAATACTGCCTTCATTAGCTCATGGGCCCTGTGATTTGTGTCTCTGATGAGCAGGGGCACATTTTTTTGACCCCTCCAGTAAACAGGCAATGTAATTCCTCTGTAAATTGACTACTAGAATGGTTTAAATGCCCTTGCCTACAAGCTGAAAGGCATAGTTAACACTTTTTACATAAGCTAGAAGACCAAAATTTAGCTATCAATCAACCAGGGCAGAAAGGAATGACTTGACAAAATCATTCGTTAAGTCTGACAGGAGTCAAGAACACAAGACGTTTTTCCAATGGTTTAAACGTATGTGTGACAAAGGAATATTAATTGCATAAGACAAGACATTTAAAGGTATTAGCTCAGCACTACCAGTCTATTTTACCCAATTAAGGCTATTCATCAATGTAAATAACTGCATTTTCTTCAGCAAACCCAAAGGAATGCAGTCAATAGATCATACCTGCTCTAGCAATTCTTATTTCGTGGGAGCACACAGTCGTGAAAGAATAGACACAGTTTAACTCACTAACTCAAAAAGAAAAACAAACTGTCTCAAAAATGACCAAAAGTTGTCTACCTATTGGGTGGGGTATGAGGAGTGTATGCTGTACATTGAGCCACATCTAATACTGCAAAAGTATTTTGTACAAAGTCTAAAAATCTGCAACCATTTGATAAATATGAAACAGCTCCCTGCAAAAGACAATCCAAGAAAAAAATATCTCTCCCCAGTCAACTAGTTTTGCAGAAGCTCACACTTGCATAAGACTTTGAAGGCTGTGTGCCTCATTTTAATGTACTCAATGAAAAACACCTCTGCAATTCCTTTTACTGGAGAAATATTCATTCTTGAAAAACTAAAAAAGTTCTCTTATTTGCCTTTAATTGTGAAATTCAAAAATTCCTTTCTAATCTCAAGAGAAATAATGGATCTATAAAGAAAAATCTACACAAATGCCACAGTTTTAGTCAGGATTTTTAAGTGTTATGCCAAAGAAACGAAATGAGAGTAAACGTACCAAAATATGATGGTACAGATACTAATGCAATTAGCTCAGAGGTGGCAGGAACCTTATTATAAGAGAAATAAGAAGTCCTCAGAAAGAAATTATGCTTTATCACTTACTTACTTTACTAAACTGTACTCAAGGGCCAGTGTTCCGTCATTTATTCCTTCCACTGGCATTTAAGTAGCTCTTGGTAGATGAAGCACTGTTTTTGGCCAGGGATACAGAAGAAAACAAGACAAGCCATCTCCTCTCACTTTCTGCTGAAAACTCCTCCACTGTCTCAACTCCCAACTACTAACAAAGCTACAGCGATCAACACGACCTCACACATGGTTGACTGGCCTCATAAATGGTGCTTACAGGTAAGCATGAGTTATTCCCGTCAAATGTATTGGAGGCTGGCCTAAACAACACTGTAAAAAAGTCTAATGTTTCTACATTTCTTTCACATCATATTGCACTTTTTTTTTTTATTACTTAAAGATTCTCTTAAGATTTCTCCACCCCTCCATCAGAACAGGCATTCTTTCTATTGCCCAATGTCTAACTTAGCCCAGAAGAGTTGGCATTTCAAAAGGGTGAAATTTTAGGTGGCAAGGGTGAAGGTGGAAAAGACATTTCTAGCATAACTACCTTGCTCAGATCGCTGAACCCAGACCAAAAAGCAGGTCAACTTTTCTGCGTATTTGGAAGGGTCTACTCAGTTTCTGGCTGCTTATTTTTAATAATAATCCTGTGCATGTCCTGTTTTTATAGCTTGCAGAGAACTTTCCTAGACATTGTTTCATTTGACCTTCCTTACAATGTCACGGTGTGGGTGAAGGGTGCAGTTTGTAGGGTGAGCATCGTTATTTGTGTTGTTTAGATGAGGAAAGAGAGGATCCTCTGGTTGCATATAGAAAATGCCAGAGTCAGGTGTTCGGGTTCCAATAGTAGTGCCATTTTACTTAAGATCTATGTGTTTATGGACCTGGCTGTTGAAGTTCACAAATCCTAACTGGACAAAGGTCACTTTTCTTTCAATTCTTCACTCCCACCCCTAGTCGATTACTTACTCCCAGCCTTATGTCCCAACCACCATTGCTTGCTCCAAAGGGAGATCTAAGATCAGATGCCTGGATGTTTTATTCTGAGTATCTAATATCTGCCATTGATTAACTGGTGGTGAATAGGCACAAGCTTCTTGAGCCCAGTGTGAAAGGGTCAAAAGCTGCATCAGTAACAGAATAGCCTTACCCTAGCAAGGACCTTTAGGAAGCTTGTAATATGCCCCAAAAATGATTTAATCCCCTCACAATTTAATTGGTAATTGGGAAAGACAATTACTGAATGGATGGATTTGATGGCAGGCTAAGAGCAGAAGCCTATAAAAAATGTGTGGTTAAAGAGCATGAAGCAAGATATAGAGACGAGCTCTCAAAAACTATTATTTCTTTCTAATGGGGTCCATCCTACACACCTGTTACGGTGTGGTAGGATTGGTACCAGGTAGAGTCACCTGGCCTGTACTTCCACATGTCATGCATTCCACATTACAGCACAAGTCCTGTGGGTCTTAGAAGAACGTCTATTATAAATATAAGCACCTGGGGAGGAACCCAGACAAAACTCACTACTTCTCACTCTAGGTATGAGTGAAACCTCAGTTCACTGGAGTGGGATGGGTAACTTGGGGGAATAAGATGCTGTTGAGTGAGGAAGGGAGAATGATGAGCATTTACTTCTTGGTGCAGATGTCACTGATAAATGTACCTCTGAAGTTTCTGGCCATTTGTGGTCAGTAAAGGACTCAACACACTTTCTAAAACAGAAAACCATTTACCACACTCCCCTGTTTTACTCCAGTTATGGATAACGGTGTACCTCTGAGCTACCTTCCCTCTCCAGAGTTCTGCTGCCGTATGCAATACTTTTTACTTCCTGTCTTTAACTATTGCACAGCCTTGCATTTCCAACAGCTGCTGAATTTTTCCCTAGAGGTACTTCATTTCAGATAGAAGCCCAATGATTACTCCACATTCCCAACTTTGTGGAAATCCTGTAAAATGACTGGTGCTGTCGCTATTTAAGAGAAACGTAGTTGGATTCAAGGTCCTTTAGCTTTTCAGGGAATTCAGGTGCTTACACCATATTTGTCTTATCTCAAGCTAGGTTTACTTTTAGAGCAGGGATTGGCAGACTCTCCGCTGTAAAGGGCCAGGTAACATAGATTTTGTCCTTTGTGAGCCAGTTAGTCTCTGTCATGACTACGCAAGTCTGCAGTTGTAGCACAAAAGCAGTCAATACAACATTACATAATCAAACAGAGGGCTAAGTTTGGGACAGAGATAGTAATTGGCTGATGCCTGTTCTAGATGGTTTCATCAGTGGATTTTAGTCTTATATGCCTCTCACTCTATACGTAAGTTTCTACTGCAATCTCTGGCTATTTCAAGCTCCATTTACCCACTGCTTACTTATAACCAAGCATCTGCTGTGTCCAGAAGCTATCTCCTTAAGAAGAGAACTGAGGAGGCTAACTGTGGCCTCTAAGAGCCCCCAGGTGATCAGTGTGACTGGTATTTGACCAAACGACTTTTGTTATTTCCCTGCCTCATACTCTGCTAGAAAGCAAAGGTTATTCTAGTGGTCCCTAAGAAATTCCTTTTCTAATATAAGCTTTGAGGCAAGGAAGGAAGAGGAAAGTTACATGGAAGAGTAGAAGTTGTATCTAGTTGGGTTGGCTGGCCTGCTTAATGTAGGTGTTCTGACCTGGACTGGACCCCAAATCATGAATTTCCTGCTGATTTGGCAACAGTATCAAGGGTACTTCCACAGACCGCCCAAACACATAGAGAATGCACCCAGAGCAGCAGGCAAGCTGGTTGCTATGGCAACTTGTGACACAATGCCTACTTGATCAGTCACAAGTTATCCCTTTTCTTTTTTTTTTTTTTTTTTTTTTGAGATGGAGTCTCGCTCTGTCGCCCAGGCTGGAGTGCAGTGGCCCAATCTTGGCTCACTGCAAGCTCCGCCTCCCGGGTTCACGCCATTCTCCTGCCTCAGCCTCCCGAGTAGCTGGGACTACAGGCGCCCGCCACCACACCCGGCTAATTTTTTGTATTTTTTAGTAGAGACAGGGTTTCACCGCGTTAGCCACGATGGTCGCGATCCCCTGACCTCATGATCCGCCTGCCTCGGCCTCCCAAAGTGCTGGGATTACAGGCGTGAGCCACCACGCCCAGCCATCCCCTTTCAACTAGTTAATTTGGTATCTATAGATACAGCCTCAGGGCCACATTGATCTAAGCTTTTGTATTTCAAAGGAGGGGCTGAAGAAGTCTGCTCAGAGTCCATTAGTGCTGACTTCTCCCTGCCCCTTGGAACTCAGCAACCTCCCGCTCCCATTTTTCTGGTTTCCCAGCCTTGCTCAAAGGTGCATTTTTTTTTTTTTTTCGAGAAGGAGTTTTGCTCTTGTCGCCCAGGCTGGAGTGCAGTGGCGCGATCTCGACTCACTGTAACCTCCGCCTCCCGGGTTCAAGTCATTCTCCTGGGAACACAGGCGCAAGCCACCATGCCCACCTAACTTTGTATTTTTAGTAGAGATGGGGTTTCACCCTGTTGGCCAAGATGTTCTCGATCTCCTGACCTTGTGATCCACCCGCCTTGGCCTCCCAAAATGCTGGCATTACAGGCGTGAGCCACCGCGCGTGGCCCAAAGGTGCTTTTTTAGCTTTACAGTCACTCCCTTTAGATAGTTGCAACTCATAGTGTAGCTACTACTTAAGGCAGCCTGATCCTTGTTGAAATTGAAGGAATCAAATAAAAATCCAGAAGCCCTGCCCTTAACAGTTAAACAGGATTGATGCATTCGTGAAAAACTAAGAAATTATGGAAGGAAAGAAGATGGGTCTGGGACTGATTAATCACCCAAACTTCTGACATTTATGGTTGGATCAAAGAGAAAAATCCACTCTTATCCTCAAACTCCTCAGGACAAATGGTTCTCCTTTAATCCTGGAATGCTCAGGCACAATCCATTCAACCATTTCTCAATGAATGCACCAGGCAAGTCTGCTAGTCTCCTGATATGCATTTAATCAGATATTCCCCCAGCTAAAATGAAAGTCCTTAAGTTTTTTCCCTTACGATTAATTAGAATAATAATTATCAAAATCCCATTCACAGTTCAGTTTCTGGCATGGAGCTGGACACAGATATGAATGGCATAAGGAAGAAAGAAATGGTGATTATATTAGACACGAAGCCTATTATTATAATTATTATAGAGAAACTCAGGTCTCTTTAATAATTGATATTTACCTTATGCTCTTCCCATTAAAGAATTTTAATAAAAGCTATAAACTAAGAGCAAAGTGTACCAACTTTAACAACCACAGTCATTAAAAGGACAGGCTTCAGAGTCAACCCACTAGGGTTTTCTAACTTATGAGTTTTATATCAGCAAGAAATTTAATCTTATTATTGGAATTTCAATACTCTACTCGGAAAAAAAATCTTTTTGATAGTAATATCTCTCTGAAGAATTGCAGCGATCGTCAATAAAGAATCAAGTAAAGAATGGACACTAAAAAACTGTCAGTCTTAGTGGACAGCTTTACTTTTCTGACCTTCATACATAACCAGATACAAACAGGAGTAATAGATCAGATGATCAAGATGGCTGATTATTTCAGTTGTCTCAATGACCAGAGACATGCCCAGTTCCTAAGCCTAACCATTCTTAGCACTCATAGCTACGATAAGGCAAGGCAATTGTTGGTGAAGCCATGGCTTTGAATGCAATAATGTTTAATATTTGTACGTCTCTGGAACTCTAAGTAGAGCTCTTTACTGAATTTTTTATCTGGGGCTTAGACATAGGAAGAGAAATCAGTTTTGCAGCAAAAAATCAACATCAATGGTTGATAACTACAAAATCACTGATCTTAACTCAATTTTCTAACAAGTAAAATTACCCAATAATTGTACCAACTGCTGTAGTGAAGGAATTAGCTCCCATCTTTAAAGCTGAGGTAAACAAAAGGCATCTTAATATTCCTGAAGAAAGACCTCTTGCCCTGGGAAGACCCATAGTGTCCCTTCCACCCCTAAGAACCTACGAACCCACGATTTCTGAATCAATAGCTCCTTTTCAAAGATAGTTAACAAATAAGTCCACAAAACAGTACTATTTTTCCTGTTTCTCCTTTCCCCAACTCCTACCCATCTCCTCATTTTGGGGGTAACTGAAAATCATTAGACACATGTAACCACATACTTACTAGTCTGCTTTTAAAATAAGTGTTTAAAGAGATTATAACCTTATTCAAGTTAAGAAGATATGTGATATTTCCCCCCTCACTGGGGGACATTCTTTGTTGAGAGAATTACATATATTACTATTTTTTTCTCTATATAATGGGAAAATCAACAAATCCAGGAGCTGTGTTTTTTTGAAAAAAATAATAAAATCGACTGCTAGCTAGACTAAAAAAGAACAAAGGAGAGAAAATCAAATAGACACATAAAAAACAATAAAGGGGATATCACCACTGACCCCACAGAAATGTAAACAACCATCAGAGAATACTATAAACACCTATGCAAATAAACTAGAAAATCTAGAAGAAATGGATAAATTCCTGGACACATACACCCTCATTTTGTGAGGCCAGCATCATCCTGATACCAAAACCTAGCAGGATAACAACACAAAAAGAAAATTTCAGTCCAATATCCCTGATGAATATCGATGCAAAAATCCTCAATAAAATACTGGCAAACCAAACACAGTAGCACATTAAAAAGTTTATCCACTACCACCAAGTCAGCCTCATCTGCAGGTTGCAAGGCTGGTTCAACATACACAAATCAATAAATCTAATTCATCACATAAACAGAACTAAAGACAAACATCACATGAGTATCTCAATAGATGCAGAAAATATCTTCGACAAAATTCAACATCCCTTCATGTTAAAAACTCTCAATAAACTAGGTATTGATGGAACATACCTCAAAATAATAGTAACAGCCATTTATGACAAACCCACAGCCAATATCATACTAAATGGGAATTTTCCATACTCTAGTATGACAAAAATGCCTGTTCTGGGCACAGTTTCTTGAAAAGTGGCACCATATGTGCATCAGTAAACATTATGTGTAGAGTAAATTAAACCCAGCCTTATAATTAGGCAGTAAGGAAATTACTGTAGACCTGAAAGAGTAAATCAGCAGTATTAAAGTGTTCTCCATTTTCTCTAAAGTACTTCGGAATGCCATAAAAAGCCCATGTCACTGTGATAAACATCAAGAAGAAATGCATTTTGAGCAAGACAACCTAAAAGACAACCACAATTCAAATAGGTCTTCGAATCTGGAGTCCAACGTGTCATCTCATAAAATTTAAAAGCCAGCCCTTTTGTCACTACTGTGAAAGGAAAAAGAAAGCCATCTGACATTGAGACTTTGCGGGGGAACTTTCTCCTACAGCAGGTGCAATAAAGATTTTCATAGATAGAGGCTCTGGAGCACAGCCAGGACTAACAAGAGGTTCGTCCATGATGAAGAAAACAGCAACATTGTAAATACAGACAGAATCAGTATTGCTGATTTTCCTTTTGCTTCCAGCTTCAACATGACTCAACACTGCACTATCTTATTTATGATGATCCTATCTTTATTTACAACATTGATGTTTTGTTCATCATGGATTTCTGCATTATTTTTGATTTTTTAAAGTGTTGCACACAATATTATTTATTGTGATTACTGAGCTTTTTGGTAGCCCCTAAAATCTTGCACCTGAGGCTACGCCTCACTTGCCTTACCCTTGTCCTGGCCCTGCTCCAGAAAGTACAGATCTTTCCAAGCCCTACAATAAGAAGCAGTGAACAATCAGACCATTCACTTCTAACCTATGCCCAGAAGAGAGGAGCCTTGTGAAATAATAAGAAATATATAAATATATAGAATTATATAAATATATAATTTATATTAAACATAATTTATATATTATAAATTATATAAATATATAATATAGAAATATATAAATTTGCCATTGCCCCTGGTTCCTGAACCCCTCGTTCAGACCTCTGCCCTGGTTCCTAAAACCCTTGTAGATAAGGGGTACTAGGAGAATCTTTTGTCTAATATTTGATCTTTAACCCCAGTAACTGACACAGAACTCTTAAAATCTTTGTAATTTCCTAGGTGGTAACATTGGAAACAGCTTCTAAAGCCACTGAAATTTCTTGGGTGACAGCATCTTTTATTCTAATGAGGCAATTTTTGATGGGCTCCTGGATAGCCCCAGGATCCAGGCTGTTTGCAAGGGAAACCAACCATGTGATTAGAAGGTGAGAACTTTTAGCCCCACCCACCCCAACCTCCAGAGAGGTGAGAGAAGCTGAAGGTTGAGTTAATTGCCAATGGCCAATGACTTAATCAATCATGCCTATGAATGCATAAAAACTCAAAAGGACAGAGTTTGGAAATCTATTGGTTGCTGAAAAAATGGAAGTACAGGGAAGGTGGTGCACCCACAGAGGGCATGGAAGCTCTGAGCCCCTTCCCACATACCTCATCCTATGCATCTCTTCCATTTGACTGCTCACCTGAATATTCTTTATAATAAATAGGTAAAAGTGTGCAGTTTCCCTGAGTTCTGTGGGCCACTCTGGCAAATTAGGTGGACCTGAGGGAGGGATAATGGGAATCCCCCAATGTATAGCTGGTCAGTCAGAAATATAGGTGACAACCTACTACTTTCAACTGGCATCTGAAGTAGAAGCAGTCTTGTGAAAATGAGCCCTTAGTCTATGAAATCTGAAGTTATCTCCAGGTAGATAGTGTTAGAATTGAATTATAGGACAGACAGCTGGTGTCAAAGAACTAGTCAGTGAGGGAAAATCATACCGCATACGTTTTGGTGACTAGAGGTAATGTGTGCTATGGAGAGTGTGTGGCAAAACACTGTTTTTTTTTTTTCTGTCTCTTACAAGCCTCAAACATGGATTTTCTGCCCCTGAAAACAGGTATTGACTCTGTGAAGTGGAAAGGTCTAATAGAGGCCAAGGAGATTGCAGAAGAGTTGGAAGGCCTCACAAATCCTCAGATATACCACCTGAGGGACTGGGATGAGGTCTGAAAGTTCCATCTATCAGAAACAAAGACAGTGGAATTCAAACATGGGAGAATATCAGAAATAAGTAGGAAGCTTGTTATGACAGAGATTTTAAGGTGCCACCAGAGGTACATGAAGTCAGAATCTCCCAAAATGGAGTCAAATATCTTCATTTTAGCTGCTCTTGAGCTAAGTCTTCTCAAGCCAACTGAGTAACAGGAAACTACTGGATTAGGGTATCCTCATTAATCATGGAAATTATCCTCAAAATATAAGTAGACTTTTTAGACTAGCATTTTTAGCCCTTGAGACAATGGAACCAGAGACATGTGAGTTTAGAATGGAGGCAAGTTGATGATTGGGATATTTCCTGGGTGCGGTGACTACAGACAGGGGATTCTTCACTCTTTCAGCACCTGTGTGGTGCAGGCTTACTTTATTTTGGGCACTAGGATATTACCTGAAGAAACAAAGACTAGAAAGACATGAGCACTGGCAAAAACAAATAAACAACTAAACCCACTGCAAAATGTGTCATGATAGAGATATTTTTAAATGCTTTGGGAGTCTACTGGATAAATCCTGTTTACAGGAATTGGATAAAGTTGTGATGATAAGGTGACATTTAAGCTAAGCCTGGTAGGAAAAGATGTGAGTTTTCTTGGAAGAAAACAAAAAGGGTGGTGGGAGTATTCCAGGCAGAAGCAACACAAGTGCAAAGGCAGAAGGATCTGGAAACACTGGCTTATGATACTGTTGGGGCAATCATAACTGGGGTCTAGGAGCTACCAGGAGGCTGGGGTCTAGGATACTGGTTATGAGGTTGTGGCCATGGCCATCTTTTGTGTGTGTGAAAAGCAGTGAATTAGGGCCAATGGCAGTGGAGAGGAGCAATGGACTCAAAATGCATTTAGGAGGTGGTATCAATTGGATTGAATGACTGACGGAGATTTAAGGAATAACAAAAGGAGGAGTTGCGTGGGACTGTCACTGTCTTGAAAAGTGGATCACAGTGGGAAACACATAATTGTGTAGAGCCATGGTGGGGTGAAGGTTTGGTTTTAAGATAATCTGGAAATTTCATTCAGCTCAAAAAGAGGACAAAGATGAGTCAAGGGCATGTAATGTAAATAGAGGGTTGTTAAAACTAGCATCATCTTCTTCACAATTTTCCACCCAAGCAAAGAGCAATGTTGAACTCCCTCAGCCATCAGCAGCAGCATCCATGGGAATCACTAAGGCACAATATGAGGACATCCTGGAGCAAATGGGCTCCCACCAGGACTGGTGGCGACAGTAGGCATGGCAGAGCCTGCAGGAAGATGACTCACTTTCTGAATTTCAGATTTGTCCAGCCTCCTCAGGAAATGGGGAGATAAAGAAATATCAGCAGTCCTGATGGAAATTTCCCCTGGGAAAGATGATGCCAGAAGCCATTTCAGGTAATAAAAGGTAACCTCAGCAAGGAGGGGTCAAATGGAACAGATATATTTGGCTACAAGCTGACTGCAAAGATCCACTGAGTACATTCAGTCAGAATCAAGGCGATTAGCTGTTATCATCAGCTCTAGAAACACCTCAATTCAGGCCATAATGGTAGATGCACCACACACTCTAAAATTATCTCGTTTTCAGTGACAGTTTTGGATAAGAATCCCAGTCTAAACACAGCCTCCAACAACAAATATGGGCCAACCTCACTTAACCAGGATGGGTGTAGTAAAATGAATGTTCTGGTAAACTGAAAGGGCATTCTATGAAACAATCTTTGTTATTTCAGTCACCATGGTTGAAAATATTCTAAGTTTCCCTGCTTAGGAATTTCATGCTGAAAAATGTGATGGCATTTTTGTTTCATAATCCTACAGTGGATCTTCCAGTCTCAGGATCAGGATTCTTAATGGTATTATTCTCTTTGCTAAAAATAGAAGAAGGTGTTGGGAATTGAACCAAACACAGACATTATCTGGAAGGTGTTTTGGGGCTCAGTCATTGCTATTTACTCCTTCCCTTCCCACTTTTCCTTGATTTCTAGGGCCTAGAGAAATTAGCAGAAAAGAATAAATCAGTAGTTGAAGCTTCCACTTCATTGAGAGTTTTCATGTTCATACTTACGTTATAGATCCCTCTGCTCAGTATAGTGTACCATTTGATGAAACAATGTTGATCAAGCTACTAGACTCTTTGCTCCTTTGTGTGATCTAGACTTGCTAGTGTCAAGCCAATGTGTGAACAATCAACCATATGCTGGCTTATAGAAATAAATTGAACCACTTTGTGAATTGAATAGTACCTTGACAAGAGAACAGCTAGCCCAAGATGATATTTCAAGAACCGTTTCCAACTGATGAAATAATGTACTTTGGACTTGGCCTAATGACTATTTTCCAGGTGATAAGTAAATGGTGCTCTGACATTTAGGGTTGTTTTATCAGGATTTTCCTAAGGTAGAGGTAGCGTGACTGTACTACCCATCATCAAGGGATACATCCAAAGGATGACCTTTCACGGTATTGAGGTCAGGAGTTTGAGACCAGCCTGGACAACAGGGTGAAACTCTGTCTCTGCTAAAAAAAAAAAAAAAATTAGCCAGGCGTGGTGGCACATGCTTGTAATCCCAGCTACTTGGGATCCTGAGGCAAGAGGATCACTTTAGCCCGGGAGGTGAAGGTTGCAGTGAGTTGAGATCGCACCATTGCACTCCAACCTACTACCTACTCTGCTCCGCTCCTCCTGGTATTTTTGATTCTAATTTTTGGTGTTTCTGATTCCATTTCTTTCTTTCTTTTTTTTTGAGACAGAGTCTTGATGTGTTACCCAGGCTGCAGTGCAGGGGTGTGATCTCAACTCACTGCAACCTCCACCTCCTGGGCTCAAGCAATCCTCCTGCCTCAGCCTCCCAAGTGGCTGGGATTACAGGCACGTGCCACCATGCCGGGTGAATTTTTTTTTTTTTTTTTGTATTTTTAGCAGAGACGGAGTTTCACCATGTTGGTCAGGCTGGTCTTGAACTCCTGACTTCAAGTGATCCTCCTGTCTCGACCTCCCAAAGTGTTAGGATTACAGGCATGAGCCACCATGCCCAGCCTCTGATCCCATTTCTATTTAGCTGTCTCTGGGTTCATGTTTCTTGTATTTCAAATCCCATTTGCTGCATGATCATTTTCTGATCTCCATGTTTCCACAGCAGCTTGACAATCTGACCTAGACTCCAAACTCCAGGGATTATTAGCTCTTATGTAGGGTTTCAGTTTACAGAACACAAACCTTAACACTTGGAGGAACTCAATATTCTGTAATATATTTTGTTGCCATGTAGATAGCCTCATATCCTTATGAAGAAAAACAGATTCAAATCCAGAAATAAATGGTTTTAAAATTTTTTTACAATGAACTTAAAAATAATTGGCCCTATCATGAGCAGATGTGAGAAAAACAATAGAACGCCTTAACATTCTCTTTTTTCTGTAATTGTTCTGGAAAGTCTATAATTCATGTTTTGAGAGGCCAGATACCTAAACATAATTGCACTTTTTAAAAAGAGAATCCAATGAACCATAACAGCTGGAGACCCAAGAGATGATATATCACAAACAAGAACCATGTTTTTGACATTTACTATAGTTGTGTTTTTTCTTTCTTTTCACAGTGCATTCGTGCCACCAATTCCAAATCTTAGAGTTGTAGAGGTGCTGCTCAAAACCTCAAAGCACTTCTACGTATTTATGTGAACCTTCCTTCTTCCCCACGTGTATTTCCCAGAGTGCATTAGTATATGGTTGACCCACATGCTTATGTTGGTTCTACGGAGAGGCAGGATAGAGTAAAATTTATGAGTACAAGACCCTACAGCCAGATTGCCTGGCTGCAGCTTCCATACGTCCACACCCTATATGGCCATGGGTGCTGTACTGGTCTGTTCTCACGCTTCTAATAAAAACATACCTGAGACTGGGTAATTTATAAAGGAAATAGGCTTAATTGATTCACAACTCCACAAGGTTGGGGAGGCCGCACAACCCTGGAGGAAGGTGGAGGAAGAGCAAAGTCACATCATACACGGCGGCAGGCAAGAGAGCGTGTGCAGGGGAATTCCCCTTTATAAAACCATCAGGTCTTGTGAGACTTATTCACTATCACAAGAATGGCACGGGAAAGACCTGCCCCCATGATTCATTTACCTCCTTCCAGGTCCCTCCCATGACATAAGGGAATTATGGGAGCTACAATTCAAGATGAATGGGTAGGGAAACAGCCAAACCATATCAGGTACGGTACTTGGCTTCACATCCTCATCTGTAAAATGAGCATGGTGACAATCTTTTAGAGCTAGTGTGTGGATTAAATGTGGTCAATACATGGAGATAACTTAGAACAGTTCCAGGCACCTTGCAAAGACTTAATACAAGTGGGTTATAAATTAGTTTACATTTTATGGACAGTGATTTTACAAGCTCTCCATGGTAACTGTTCACCTTCAGCCAGAGTTTGTACATAAGGAATTGGGTCAAAAAGGAGACAGCTAAGGAATTTTTTAGTTGTAATTGTTTTTTATTAATCTTGGAAGATTTTTCTGTAGTACTACTTGGAAACACAATATTAATGAATCAGCCTTTAAACATTCCATCCAATAACATGTTTTGCTTATTGATTTTTAATGCTTTGTTATATTACTATTCTAAGTACTCACCCTAATGCAAAAGCATTCTATATATAAATTCTCATTGTTAAAAATGTTTTGATTGTAATAATAGAATTGAGACCTTTGTCAGGTTGACACTCACTAAATCTCATTGCTGGACTCATTGTGGTGGCTAGTAAGGGTGAAGGAATAAGAATTAGGCCTTTGATTTGTTTGGGGAGTGAAAGAGTTGCTAAGTTTAGCAACATTGCAATGTCATAGATATTATTTATTAGCTTCTCAGAGAGAAATGTTTGGGTGCTGATTTATCAACTTGGAAAATCAGGGACTAATAAAAGTACAAAAATAATATTCAGAATCAACTAGCATCCCTGTAATTGTAGGAAAAATTAAGAGATCATACCTAGAATAGTTCATAGGTGGCACAGAGCAAAAGGGAATAGGGGTACAGTTGGCAGAAACTGACTGAGTCTTCTCTGGGGGATGGACAGACCATGTGGGCCAGTAGGCACCCAGAAGGGGCATCAGCCAAGAGCTATTGTTTCCACACTGGGCTGATTCCAGAATCACAGCAGTGACAATAGCTCAGACACAGGGCCTGCTGTGCCCACAGCTTTAAAATGAGAACCCAATGCTTAAAGCTGGCAGTTATCATCCCCTAAATCCATTTTTGATTCTAAACAAAATACTCCTTAGGAGGATTCTGCTCTACCACTGCCCCCTGTCATGGGTTTGACTGGCAAGATGGATTCATGTTAATCAGTTTTAAATGGTACCTTTGGGTCCCTATAATCTTTTTCACCATTTATAATGCCCCAGTTCCTTGGGATATGTTGCCTCAAGAGAGGAGTTCTACTTACCTGAAAATTCCACTTAAACCAAAATCCTTTATATTCAATTAATCTTGATTTCTTTGAGTATCTACAAGTCTAATTCCACTTTCTTTCATTAGGAAAGTCCAAGATAATGATCATGATTGACTTTGTTTCTTTTCAATTTGGTGGCTAAAACTTTTCAAGGCTCCAGGGTCACCCTTCTGAAAAGCACTGCCCAAACTTAGCGCTATGAGGAGGAGGCAGGAGACTGAAAGAGCGGGACATGATGGATGTCACTAGAAATATTTTTTATAAACTAAAATATTTGATTTCACCTTTTTCCCCTATGAGATTTGATCTCTCTAAATATTATACAAAGGAATACATGTGTACAGGGAAGTGGACATGATCACTGAGGGATCTCTTTTAGAATCTGCTCTAGCATACATTTATCTGTAATTGAAAGAATAGAAAGTATCTCAGCAGTATACATTTGCTTGAGCCATTAGCGTTCTCTGAGCCACTATTGTGGAGGGGCTATCAGAGACCCAGGTAACACCTTGTTAATCTAATTACTAGTTACCCACATCTAAGCTTATGACCTACCTGGGCCAAACAAATTAGTCATTGCATGTTCCATCTGCCCAAGTGCTAGGTAGCTTCAATTTAGATCAGAGAAGCTTTTGTGCCACTACAGGTGTACATGGGGAGGCAAAGAGATGAGAAGAAAGACAAAAATATCTCAACATATGGGCAGGGATGAAACTGACAGATGGGGACCATCGTCATTTTAGAAAGGCAGATTGGAGAAGAGAAAGATGTTTCAACCAAATTCATGGATACAGTGTGAAATTATGCCATAACTGTTGGATCTTAATACCATGAAACATTTCTCCTTTTACCCTTATTCCTCTATATTTTGGAGAAAGGTAAGGAAAGAAATAACATACATGGAATAACTTCAGGGAAGGACACACTCCTTCCACTGCCATCTTACAGGAAGCTCTCCAAGGAGCTTGTCACCTAAGCATTTAAAATTCCACCATAATTTTTCACCTTCAAATTTTACCACTGTCCTCTGCTAAAAAGAGTCAACCCTTTCCAGGAATTGTAACATAAGAGTAAAAATTACTTTTTCATTCATTTCTAGTAATAATAATAATAATCCTGCCATGATTGGTCCATGATTGAAAAGAGCTGAGGGGGCTTGTTCTTGAATGTAAAAAAAAATGTAATCACTACTGAGACCAAGGGATCAGGAAGATGGGAAGACCCAGTTCATGAATTTTAGCTGGTTGACAATCTAGCCAAAGGCAAGACCTGGAGATGTCCTCCCACTGCTTTTAAAAATCTGTGATTATCAGTCATTGGGACCTCTGACATAGGAATGAGAATATCCCTTAGACTCACACAATCTTATACAGCTTAAAAAAAAAAGAGTTTGCAGATCTAGTTTGGCTCCTTATTTTTGTAAGACCAAGAGATGAAGGATCCACAATCACACTGCCAGTTTAGCGGCAGAGCTAACACTAAAACCAAGGGCTCTGATATCTAATTCAGCGTTTTCAACTAACCTCCATCCCAATTCCTGCCACCCATATCATTTCATATCAAATGGGGATATGTAGAGATGATCTAAGAGAACAAAGAGATAGAGACCTGGCCATATATTCATTTGCTGTTAGTTACTAATACCTAAAAGGACAATGTTGTATTCTGCCTTATTTCAAAGTAAAGTAAAAGGGAATGTTTCCCCCAAAAGGTTTGTTAGCTGGGGAGCTAGAATATTCATATTCCAGAAATAATTGTGATATCTTCTGAAGGACACCAGATCAAGTGTGTCTACACCTTCAGGTGATGTCTTGATAAAAGCCAAGAAGCTCCCCAGCAGTCATCAGAAGTGGTGGGTTCCTCTCATTCAAATCATTTCCAAGTTGCTGCTTGGCCATTCTCGCCCAGGCCTCTTGCTAATTTTGTTTGTACTTAACACACTGCAGGAGCAAATGCTGGATGTGGCCATGCTAACCCAATTGTTTCAGCTGCAGAAAATACAGCAGGTGCTGCCATGGCAGTGGTTGGTTTTAGCTGGCTGTCACAGTCAACAATTAGTGAATGAGATGGACATAGCCAAAGCTACAGCAGGAGACAGGATTCTGCCCTCCTGGGCAGAAATCAAGAAGAGGGGGTTTTATTATAACTCAGTGGGTGATAGAATCTCTTTCAGAGAAATAATACTACCAAAGAAAGAGGAGTTCATCATGGCCACATATAAAATCAGGGTTCTAAGGCAACATTTACCAGCGTTCATACAACACTTTCAAGGAGAAAAAGGGCCCTGACCGGAGATTTCTCCCTGTTAAGAAAAATAGACCCATCAAACTAATGATGTCATTAGCCATTTTATTCCCTGCTTCCCAAACAACCATCTGATAAGCAAACTTTCTCCTAGATTTATGTTCCCAAGGGAATACACTGGCCAAGAGACCTTAATTAACCCATCAGATTAAGAGTTGTATTTCTCATTAACCATTAGCATTCTGGTTTATCACTAAATTCCCGGGAGTTTGATAAGTAAGAACCAGCAAAGATCAGAGGCAGGCTCTTGGCATACCTGGATTTGGAAAACTAAAGACCAGATGTAGAAGTAGTGAATTCATCCAGTCTCCACTGGGACAGATTGGATCTGGGCAGTGAGAAGCCACCTGCTCAGGAACTGTCTCCTTGCTTGCAACTGGCTCGTCTCTGTCCAGCAATCTCTACCTTGCCGATAAAATGGGGTTTTTATTTGTATATGTAAATGTTATAAAGAATAACAACCTCATTGTCATCTCCAAGAAGACACCCTGGAAAAGGATATTGTTGGAAACCACTACTGAATATCATGGACTTAAAGTAAAAATAAAAAATAGTACCTGTCTCCTTAGATCTCTTGTTTTCTTAGTCATCTTATCAATCGCAATGTTGAGAGGATCTCCTTTTTCTTTCCTTCCAGTCTATTAAGAAAAGAGAAATAATTTCTGATTTAGCATATTCAATGTTAGAGACATTAAAAATTTAAAAAAATCAGGAAAACATGAGAAGTTAAATTCAAACAATTTTTTAAAAAGATTATTTTCAATACATAACTATAACATGATTTGGTCTCTAAAGTTGGTTTTTCCTGAAATAATAATTAAAATTGATAAAGACCAATACGTTCTCAGGATGGTTACACATATGTCCATATTCAACTCCACACAAATCTGTGTTTTCATCCCTCCTCCAGACGCTTAGCAGTTAAGTTAATATAACAAGGATGTTTTGTTTTTGCCTTCAAATACAAATGCTTTGTGTGTCTATATTGTGTAGGCACATTTCTGAATAGAAGATAACTGAGATAATAAAAACTAAATCGAAAAAGATTTTAAGTAAATCACCAGAATTCGGAATTTTATACCAATATTTTTTAAGCCATATTGCAACTTCTATATCAAATTCAAAAGAGATGCTTTACTAGAAAATACAGTATTGCTAATCTCTGCTCTGTCATGTAGTGGAATGCTAAAAATGATAATAAGCAACCCACAGCTTGAGGTCATGAGGAAAATTTCCCTTATGACTACAACAGGCAGAGGTAGAGAAAAAAAAAAGTGTTCTTTAATAAATTGTTCACTTGGAAGTTTCACTAGTTTCCTATTTCTTTGCTTTTTCTCCTTTTTTTGGTGGGTACAGAAAAACAATTAAAACTCAACAGAAAAGAATCCCCATTGTCTTTTTAAAAGAGCAACAAGATTCCCATGGATGAAAAGCTCTATAAACTTTATGGATGACAATAATCTTCCCCTTAAAAGATAAATGTTTTCAAAAACCTTGTCAAATTGATTAAATTATCTAAATTTTAGTCAAACGCTACAGATTGATTTATTTATGGTGCTAGTGGCAAGTCAATTATTGTGGCCTACTCAGTCTCTATAAAATCATGTAGGTCCCTGTAGTAATTTGCTTATATGATAAAATGAGATCCCAGATCTTAAGTTGTGCCTAATGGGATAACATGATTTGGCAATGCATAAAAATTACCATCCAACAGGTTTCTAAATGTTCTCTTTCCGTGACAAAATCCGGGAAGCATAAAGCTGATACATACATACCCGCTCTCCATAGCTGGGTTTAAAGTAGTCACTCTTCTCTGCCACTTGCTTAATTAACTATTTTTTCTGAACAAATGTCTGATGCACAGCCCTATAGGGTTTTCATTAAAAAGCCCAAACCAAGGCATATGTGCATATATTTTTAGTCTTCTAAAATCCTACCATTCCCCATCATCCTTTCCCACTCCCTAAACTCACACACTCACTCTTTCAGATGTAGACACTAAGGTTTTTAAGTAGAAAGAGCTTAAAATACAGTGGCTAACATTTTACAACTTTGAAATATCAGCCTACAAATAGCTCCAAGAAAACAAAAGTGTATGGAGAAGAATAACGTGCTGCTCTGTCTTTCAAGGGAATGTGGTTGTGCAGTGAGTGTGACTTCAATGCTCTGCCTCTCCAAGTTCAGATCTGCCACAAATTCAGCAGCCAAAGGCTATTCCTTTTCTGTTTGGTTCTCTCCTTGCAAATAGGTTGTCTGCCATCAAAATACAGGGCACCTATGTGGAGCTCTGGACCATGATCCTTCTGAAAATCATAATTTCCTGTGGCCTATTCATTTATTAGAATAAAAAAACTTACTTTCAAACATTAAAAGTTATGAGTTTAGTTGAAAACTTGGCTGCAACAGATGGAGGATCGATTACTAAACTTTTCAAAGTGAAAAGAAAAAAATTGAGACACTTTAGATACACAAAATAATTACTGAGTGAATGTAAATGCCAGACTCTGGGCTTATTCCATCCTGCCAGTGCCATATCTATACAACCACTTTTCAGATGAGAAGAATGAGAATCAAATGGGCCTGGGACTGGTGTGAACAGAGTGAAGAGGGAGAGAGGGAGTATAATTTAGATGCAAAATTTAAGGTGGCACCAAGGAACTCAGTCATCAAGATAAATAATATTTTAATGTAATACATACTTTTTTTTTTTTTTTTTTCTGAGACAGTCGTGCTCTGTCACCCAGGCTGGAGCACAGTGGCGCAATCTCAGCTCACTGCAACCTCTGCCTCCTAGGTTCAAGCAATTCTCCTGCCTCAGTCTCCTGAATAGCTGGGATTACAGACATGTGCCACCATGTCCAGCTAATTTTTTTGTATTTTTAGTAGAGACAGGATTTCACCATATTGGCCAGGCTGGTCTCAAACTCCTGACCTTGTGATCCACCCACGTCAGCCTCCCTAAGTGCTGGTATTACAGGCATGAGCCACCACGCCCGACCTAATGTAATATTTTTAAAATCAAAACTAACGCAAATAAATCCATGTTGAAAATAAAATATCAAAAATTTAAATAAAGACAGGATCCAATAGGGCTAGGATTAGGGTAGGGTGAATGAGGTGAGTTGTGCAAATGCAGCATCAGATGACATTTTAAACTTTTAAACTTAAAAAACAGTGCGGATATATTTATTCTTTAAAAATTATTGTTTACCTAAAATTCACATTAACTGGGCATCCTGTATTTTTATGTGCTGAATCTGACAATCCTACCCCCAGGGGAAAGAGTCATGTTCAAGATTGTAACTGCAGTTGCTACAGACACGTTTGGGAGGCTTGGTTGCCCCATTCTGTGAGCAGAAGGGCAACATGTGGGATCTGTATCCCTTCTGGCATCAATATCCTGCAACTGTAAAACACACATCCCTTAGATGTGAGGCGTCCTATTGGTCCCTGTGGGGAACACATGAAAAGTGATAGCCACAATTCTCACCATCAAAGAGCTCCTGATACAGGGGAATAGACCAGAACACAAGACCAGAACAATACCAAAAACTGTGCAGAAAGATTAGCACGCTCAATGACTGAGTTGCTCAGAAGAGGGAGAAGATGTTGCCTTTGGGAAGTCAAGTCACAGAGGAAAGAGAAAATTAGCTGGACCTTAAGCCCTGGGTAAGATTAGAATAGGAAAGAGAGAGGCACTTTGACTGGCAAAAAGAAAGTCATGTAGACAAGAAGGCAAGGTGGTTCTGGGAAGGCAGTGAGTGAAATGAGCCAGCTTTTTCTCCATGATGTGAAGAGATCAGTTTGACTAGCTACAGAGACAAATTATTTCTATAAGAGCTTCTTTATAGTGTGATTACTACTAACTTTATTTTGATCTGCAAGCCCAGAGAATCTCTGGTAACATTAATCATTCCATGTTACTCTTGTCCGGATTCTGTTTGTGTAATATTTGTGATCCTGGGTTTCTCCAGCCTCAAAGTCTTTGGCTGAAAACAATTCAGAAATGAAGTTGACTCTGGAGCCATATTTGTTGTGACTGTACATGAAGGCTGGGGAATGTTAAAACAAGGACTAGGGTTTAGGAAATTTGGGCCACTGGATGGGATAGTCAATTTACTGGCCCTTTCTTAGCTCCAATTTTAAAAAATAAGGTATTTGTGCAGGAATAACAATAGTAGCTTGTCAACGCTCAGCTTTGCACAGCAAATGGGAACTTGGAAGCCATTATGTCCTACTTTCCTCAGCTCTGTATGTCTAAATGTGGCCATAATTTTAAATTCATCAGTTTAAACTGGACAGGAAGCCAGCTACTGAGAGTGAGACAGAGAGAGGAAAAGAGGGAGAGATAGAGAGACAGAGACACAGACGGAGAGGGAGAAAGAGGAGAGGAGAAAGGGAGAGAGCAATGGGGGATAGTGAGGAGGGAGGAAGGAAGGAGCGGAGACTTGCCTCCTAGTATCAGCTCCCTATTATTAGCCTCCATGATCCTTGACTAACCATTTACCCCATTTTTTTTTAAAAGTCTGAGTTTTGTCATAAGCACAATGGATAGCATAATATATGCTCTGTCTTCTTCACAAGGTTAGCAGGACGATCAATCACAATGGCAATGTGCTAGAAACAATAAAAGACATTTAGACTATTCAGGGTAATTAGGAAAGTATTTTTGATGTGGAAAAAAAATGAAAGAATTGATTTAGAAACTACATAGAAACTATTTTTGGATCACCTGTCCTTCTGCTTTCTCCATCCAGGCAGATAATGTACGAAAACCTTGCCAAAAACTGGTATCCCTAAAGAAAAAGTTCTCTCCCTTTAAAAAGGCAATATTTGGGGCAGTTCATTTTAAATACACAACTAGTCTGAGATATTTCTAAGAGGTGAAATGAGGGGCAGAATCTCCAGTTCAGTCTTTTACACAGTAGGTCCTGGGACATATTTTGTCTAGTAACTAAGGATTTGATCATCACAAGCACATTCTAGTTCCCTAGGAGTCAACCAGAAGCCTCACCTAGCTCTCCATCCCTGACCCTCCAGGCTCTACAAATTAAGCATACTTTAACAAACTGAAGTGAAAGCAGATGTAAGTATTTATTTTGACATCATCACCTAATAATAAAAGCAAAATGTGTGGTGTTAAGTCAGTCATCCAATTATTCCCTGTTTTTGCTGAACAGAAGGAAACAAAAGCCAATTAGTTGTAACCACTCTCTGCCAATAACCACCTAAGTGACCTGGCCACATCTCTAGACTCCAACCTTATCATCTGTAGAATGAAAGGGCCAAGGATGAATTATGGAATCGTGAAATATGAGAAGCAGAAAAACCATCAAGCACCTGTAACTATACTTTCCTGTTACAGGGAAACAATCATAACACTGCAGAAAGGGCTGGGAATTGACAGGCAGTTGAAGTTTTTCTCTTCTCTAAAACGTGGCTAAGTGCTTGCTTTTGGGGAGCATAAAAAGACATAGGCCCTGTAATGTGTTTAGCCAATACCTAACCAGCAGAGTTAACTCAGTCAACGTTAGCTGTCTTTCTTTGCCCACCTCCTCATTCCCCTCAAAGATAAGGACAGCAAGGTCTAGAGAGATGAAGTGACTGATTATGATCACCTGGCTCATTAGTATCTGACCAGCACCTCCAGACTCCCAGCCAGGGCTTTTTCCATTCCATATCTAAACGATCTCCCTTCTCTAAAATTTCAGGATTCTGTGATTTCATAGTTTCATGTGTTTCTCTTCAAAGGCTACCAGTAAAATCTCACTTTGAGGTGTATTTCCTCTGCTGCTTTTTGTCCGCAGAACTTATATGCCTTTTTTGAGCCTGCTCCCCACTTTTCTTCTTTATCTTTACCTGCAGAGAATGAGTGTGCAATAGACATAGCCATTTAATAAATATCGTTATTAAAAAACGAAGCCAGGCGGGACTACTCTCTACATTGCTGTGGGCACCTTCCCTAGTTGCCATCTGTTGTGCTAGGGAGATGCATGTTTATTAAACTTTATTTGTTTTAGTCTTTGAGAACTATTTTACAAAACGCATTTGGGGAAGATCCATGGCTTGAATTCATGAGAGCAAAGGGAATAAATTTCCTGACTTGGATTTTTAATAGGAGATCCTTTATTCTCCCATCCTCTGGCTTTAAATTCAAGTCCAGTTTGCTAAAGGATCAGATACTACCTTGAAGACCTTTATATTTCGTTTGTCCTTAAATAGAAGGATTAAGCCATTAACAGAAATTTCTCTTTTTACAATTAATCTTCAGAAAAAGAACAATATTTTATTTCAACAATTTCTTTTTAATAACACTGCTCTTTGCCCCTTTGCAAAATAAAGGCCCCTCCTTTGGCCCACTTTGGACAAGGATCCCCACCCCACTGTCTCCCTATATAAATACCCATCACCCCTTCTGAAATTCTGAAGGTGTTTGTAATGGATTTATATAAACATGCTGAATAATACACAACTGATACTGACTCCCTAACTTATAAAACAAAAAGCAATAAAAATTATTAATTTATAAATCTCTGAAAATGAGTATTTCTTTTTTTTTTGAGACAAAGTCTTGCTCTATTGCCCAGGCTGGAGTGCAGTGGCACAATCTCGGCTCACTGCAAGCTCCGCCTCCCGGGTTCATGCCATTCTCCTGCCTCAGCCTCCCGAGTAGCTGGGACTACAGGTGCCCGCCACCACGCCCGGCTAATTTTTTTGTATTTTTAATAAAGACGGGGTTTCACCATGTTAGCCAAGATGGTCTTGATCTCCTGACCTCGTGATCCACCCACCTTGGCCTCCCAGAAAATGAGTATTTCTTTAAAGGCTGTTCCCATCCCAGCCCCTCATCCTACCATAAACACATAATCCAGTTCTGGGGGGTCTCTCATGGAAGCCCTGGGAATATAAATCGACCATCTTGGTGCTTCCATTGGATCCATGGCTGCACATCAACCATGTTTCAGGGTACTATATTAATATGTGGGACATGGTTGTAAGAAGGTAGATGTTTATCACTTCCTTTCTTTCCCTTGAAGGGACCTGCAGACATGACTGAATGTATAAGGAATCTTCAAAATATCATGTAGCTGTGACTGTAATATATTAGATGTTTTAGGAGCTAATCAAATGCCCAGTTTTCAAATTGTTGTCATTTGAAAGAAATGGAAGTCAAAATCATCAGAATGCCAGAAAGCAATAATATGCCATGCACTCTATCTCCAACACATTTTGCTGTCATTTAAACCTACAATTTAGACAACAGGAGGGAGAAGAAAAAATTATCTATTGATCCAACAGTCACACTATCATTTTTGGAGGGTTGCCCACCTACCCTGAAACCCTGGATATAGAAATCATATCCTTAGTACAAATAGCACCATTATTTATAGAACCTTGAACATTTCATAATATCTTTATATTATGTATAAATCTTAGTTGGAGCATGTGGACCTTTCTAAATATACCTTTTCACTAGCTAAGGACATTTCTCTTGGAAAAGAAACAGGCAGTATCTCTTTAGAATGGATGAAAGTTGAACAGTGGCCACAAAGCAAATCTATAATCAACATACTCTGACCACATCACAACCTAGCTTTCTTGGTCTCTGAGGTGGTGGTGGGGAAGGGAAGGAGGTAAAGGTGAAAAGGGAAACACTGATGTATCTCTGATTCTTCTCTGCCAGGCTGCATCCATTTTCAAAGAAATAATCCTCAATATATAATGTAAGAATATGGTAATATTGGTGAGACTACCAGGCCCTATCCGATAGTAGAGCAATATCAGGATATGCCTTGGACAATGCGCAAAGCAGGACTGGCTCAGAGAGATCAACACCTGTTCTCATCCCCCCATCAACCCATCCATGTTATTTCAGTAGCAGCCCTCGTAACTCCCAACCAAGACTCTGTGGGCAGGGAACAAACTGATAATAACATCCAAACCAGTGAGAATCAGCAGTAGAATCACAGGTTGTAGGTAGAATTATTAGGAAGGAGACATATTTTCCCACTGAGATTGATAAACTGGTACTAGATAAACCTTGAACTACTTGGGGAGTCTCCAAAAATAGACCCCACAAAAAGAAGAGCATAGCTGAAAGAAGGAGAGGCAGAGGAAGACGGAGAAAGACAGAGAGACAGGAGGGAGAGATGATGAGAGAAACTGCGGCAAGAAAGGGATGAAGAATTGGAGAAAAAGAAATTTAAGGGAAGAAGAAGGAGGGGAAGAAAAGAGAAGTCAGCTTTTGGAGTCAAATCAAAATGGTTCATATTTTCCATTATGTGTTCTTTTATTAATAATTCATTTGAGCTGCTATAACAAAAATATCATAGACTGGGTGGCTTATGACAACAGGAAATTTATTTCTCACATTTCTGGAGGCTGGGAAGTCCTAGATTAAAGCATTGGCAGACCTCTGTGTCTGGTGAGGGTCCACTTCTTATTCCAAGAAGGCTGTCTTCTTTTTGTGTGTTCACATGGCCAAGGGGGCAAGGGAGTCCTCTGGGGTCTCTTTTATAAGGGCACTTATCCCATTCGGGAGATCTCCACCCTCATGACATAATCACTTATCAAAGGCCTCCACTAATCCCATTCAGGAGACCTCCACTTTCATGACATAATCACTTATCAAAGGCCTCCACCTCCAAATACCATCACATTGGAGGTTTCAACATTTGAATTTTGAGGGGACACAAGCATTTAGTATATAAAACACATTAACCTATAAAATAATTGTTTTGCTTGTCATTATATAGAACCTGGAGTTGTACCTGGAATGCAACAGGTTTTCAGTAAATTTTTCTAAGTCAATGAATGACACACTTGGCCTCCTGAATCTAGTTGCACTTAAAGCCATAAGTTTCTATCCATGGGTTACCTGGTGCCATGAGTTAATAAATGCCTCCATGTTTATTCATGTGGCATTTCTGTCACTTACAAAGAAAAGGGTCTTATTAAACCAGAGATCTTAAAATACTAAGCCGCAGTAACTGGAAAGCAGAGTGGTGGGTATCAGGGCAGACCTCAGGCAAGGTCTGGAGCACTGTCTGAGGAGTTCATGTCTTGGCAGGGCATCTAGGTTCATTCACAGGGTTTTCCCCAGCACAAATTACTGACCCAGCTCTAAATCTTAATATCGTATTTCTCCCCTAAATCCAGTTAGTTACTAACCTTGAGAAACCACCCATCAAAAAGTCTATAAGGATTCATACTGTTCCTCAAATCTCTCTTTCCATGACACCCACTCACCACAGTGGAGATCTCGAATGCCACAGCATCCTTTGTTGACTGCGTTCCCTCATCATCCTCATTAAGGCCTGCTAAGAACAAGCTTTAATTTCCTCAGCTCAGTATTCCTGAATTCTTGTTTAGATTTTACTGAACTCCTATTTCCTTTTTTTGTTTTTGAATCTTTTTTTTTTTTCTTTTAACTTTGAGGTTCGGGGATACACATGCAGGTTTCTTATATAGGTAAACTCATGTCACAAGGATTTTGTGTGACACATTTTGTGTCACACACATTATGTGTCACATCAAATCCGTCATGCAGGTAGTGTGCCAAACAGTGCAGATATTTTGTGACATAAGTTCACCTACAGAAGAATTATTTTGTCACTAGACACTAAGCATAGTACCTGATATATATTTTTTCGGATCCTCTCCTTCCTCCCACCCTCCACCCTCAAGTAGACCTCAACGTCTGTTGTTCCCCTCTTTGTGTCCATGTGTTCATGTTATTTAGCTCCTATTTGTAAGGGAGAACATGTGATATTTGGTTGTCTGTTCCTGTATTAGTTTGTTAAGGATAATGGTCTCCAGCTCCATCCATGTTGCTGCAAAGAACATGATCTTGTTCTTTTTTGTGGCTGCATAGTGTTTCATGGTATATGTGACACATTTTCTTTATCCATTCTACCGTTGATGGTCATTTAGGTTGAGACCATGTCTTTGCTATTGTGAAGAGTGCTGCAATAAACAAATTAGTACGTGTGTCTTTATGGTAGAATGATTCATATGCCTTTGGGTATATACCCAAGTAATGAAATTGCTAGGTTGAATGGTAATTTTTTTTTTTCTTGGGCCTGTATGTTAGGGCTTCAGAATCTGGTCTCCCCTTCATAATGGTCCAGTTCTAATCTATTTGTATTTTCTCAACAACTCACAAACGTCCTCCTTCTTTATAGGCTCATATTGGTGCCTGACTGGAAGGGGCCATTCCCCTTCTAACTCACAATTCACCTAGCCAGGTTGTACCCATTCTTCAAAGAAAAGCTCAAAATCTCCCACCTCTGACCACATCTTTCATGTAGGTAGTGTGCCAAACCATGCATATATTTACAGTATGCTACCTAGTGTTACCTAATAAGTTTTTGTGCGGCTGCAGAATACAACCCAAGCTTTTTGTGAGTAGAATGTGCCTGGTTTTCTCCCAAAGAACTCAGGATGAAACTCTTAAGACATGGTCAGGAAATGCTTGTTTATTGATAGAAAGATGGATGGTCCAAGTAGGCACCTGGGGATAGGCAGCAGGTATGAAAGGGATAGATGATTTGGAAAATATGGAGTCCTAAAAATAAATTTCACCCACTTCACAATTTGCTGATCAAAGCCATAGGAAGTAGTTGGCACCTGTGTAAGGTTACAATTCTTGTTCCTTGATTTATTTTATCAACACAGGTGTAGTCCTCAGTGATTACTTGCCAGGCAACCCTGCATAAAAGACATTTTTCATAGTGCCAACCCCCTGAGCTTGGGTGATTGCTAAAAGCTGGGGTTAATTAACCACATACCCCTTCTAAGCCTGCAAGAGACCATGAACTGAGCAAACTGCTAAAAAATGCCATTTCATCTTTACAGTTGAGATAAAAGTAGTTAAGGCAAAAGTGCAAATTCCCATTGATTTTATACACAGATACACACACACATACCCAAACTGAATAAATAATTTAAATTTCAATGAAATTAAAAGTTCCATTTCATTTTTAAGTGCATATTCCCCAAACCACTCAGCTACTGTTAAAGCTTTCAACACCTAAAGAATCCCTAGAGTCTGGCATTTTTCTACCATCTCAAAAAGAGGTCAATAACTGGGTCCACATTGCTGAGAATTCACAGAAATCAGAAAACATTCAGGCAGAGGGTAACCTTAATTTATGGAAAGTATGTCTATGTGGGGATCCACAGTCTTGACCTCCCTGTGCCTCATTTACCATTCTATCAAGAGCCAGCTCATGTTGTAATTCCTCCATCACCCCTTCCCTGCCCTCCCAGTTCACAGAAACCCAGCCTCTTCTGTGTGCCTATAGCCATCTCTACCATTTATTTGGTTCTTTATGAACAATTCTCACCAAGGAAATAATTCTATATTGTGCAAACCTCTTGCATTGTTAATTGAATTTCCGATGTCAGACGGTATACAAATAATATAAGCTGCATCATTACTATCCTGTAGTGTTCAGAAACTTGTCATGAGCATTTTTTTTTTTTTATCCAATTAAAGGCACAGCTGCCCAAGGATAGGAAAGTGTCAGACCATTACATTTCCTTGAAACTGAAGTTTCTGGCACAGTGCCTTACACAGAATCGGTGCTAAGCAAATTAGAAATATGTATAGATATGTACATATAAATATGTATTGGCTATGAATGAAATAGTATTCTAGCTACTTGGCTTAATTACATGATACCGATCTTTGGAGACAAGGCTAGGTGCAGAGGTGGAATTGGTGGCTCGCTGCGACTTCACCAACGGTAGAGTCATATTGTTGCCTACTCTCATTCCCTTTTTACACTTTATACACTCATTCCCTTTCTTCCCTGCTCAAATACCTCCCCTATGCGGGAAAAAGATGGAAATTTCTAGGAGCCAAAGCTTTTGATTGTATGCATAGGATTAAGATGTATATACCCTTGGAAGAAGAAGTACAAAGAGTAAATGGCTTTTATCAAAGTAGTGAGTGGTGGGAGTAGATAAGCTTGAAAACAGTAGGAACTGAAAGAGAATAGATTCGATAAAATGGTGCTTCTAAGAGATGAGAACCCTTAATGGAACAAGGAGGCAGGATGTGTTTGAGAACACCTAGGACCTTTCCCATTGCCAGCCCCGCAGCAAAGGAAAGTGAGGAAAGTATGTGGGTGCCAGTGGGCAGAAGAAGTACAAGGTTTGGGAGCACCAAGGACTCTTTGCATCCTAGGGGATCCCAAAGGTATCTCCACTCTAGTGCCAGAGCCAGGGCTGTTTTGCCTGCCCAAATCAACTCTGACCTCTCTTTGTCTTTGCCAAAGCCTGTGAGAATGACCTCTTCCTGTCCTCTCTGGCAGCACCATCTTTCAATCTCTATCTCGTTGTTTTCTCCCTCTCATGTCCCCCTCCAAAATGCCAGCACTGTCTTCAAAGCAAGCACACAGGTCCCAAGCACTTTAATTCTTAACATTATGAGGGAACTAGCACAGAAATAAGGTCTTCTTTTTAATTATATGAACAGTTAAAACAACCAAAGAAATATTTTAACTATTTGCACACTAACAAGCCCCAATCTAGAGGTGCTAACCTTATTGTTAGCCCACTTATGCTGTCTTTTGCTTGCTTTGGGTGAAGCTTATCAAGCTCTGTGCTCTTCCTCGACTTCTCAAACTGATCTCCAAGCTGGGGGAAGGCCAGGCTGCCCCCAACCCCAGCACCAACACCCAGGAGACTACCACCTCCTGAACACGAAGGTGCAAGCCACTGGCACTCCTCAGGCTTAGGTGAATCAGGGACCTCACTGAGCATGCTTGGAGTCTGTCATACTAGTACTATCTCTTGGGGCATTCCCTCACACTTGGAACCAATGAAAACTTTATGAGGCAAAATGGAATTTTTGTAGCATGACAGTTAAAAACTAAACTATGTAGAAAGCAGGCCGAAACCCTGGAACACATGTCTCACATCGTCCCAAATATTCCTCACTCTGTGGCTCCCATAAACACCATCTGCTGTGTTAATTTGTAAAGAATTACAAGGTTCTTAAAATTACACTTTGCTCTCTGTAGCGTACACTGTGTCTATGAAGGGGGAGACTTGAGAATGCATATTACATCCAGTCATACACTGAGATCTTCCTTCCTATGCTGGCATCTAAATGAAAGTTTGCTAGGTCTGCATGGAATTTTAAGAAGTGCATTGTAATCTCTGCAGGCCAGCTGTAGGGAAGGAAAACACAAAAACAAAAAATACACACAATAAGACCTTTGCCTAGGTTATCATCCTACAAGCTTATACCTTTTCAGATTGCGCATATATCTCACACTTCACTGGATTCTTATGACAACACAAAGTCTTCGGCTATAAGTGAAAAAGGCTGAACAGCCAAAACTGGGAGAACTTCTTGGGAGAGACTTAATTCTCCATTGCTGGCTCCTGACCTCCAAGGCCTCCTCAGAGCCCTTGCGGGAGGCTGAGAGTTTCTCAGTTGTTCCTCCCTGTCTGCTTAGAAATTCAGAAGAGCAACATCTCTTCCCAAAAGTACATCTCTGGCCAGGTGCGGTGGCTCACGCCTGTAATCCCAGCACTTTGGGAGGCCAAGGTGGGAGGATCACAAAGTCAGGAGATCGAGATTATCCTGGCTAACACGGTGAAACCCCGTCTCTACCAAAAATACAAAAAATTAGCCGGGCATGGTGGCAGGCACCTGTAATCCCAGCTACTCAGGAGGCTGAGGCAGGAGAATGGCGTGAACCCGGGAGGCGGAGCTTGCAGTGAGCCGAGATCGTGCCACTGCACTCCAGCCTGGGCGACAGAGTGAGACTCCGTCTCAAAAAAAAAAAAAAAAAAAAAAAAAAGTACATCTCGAACAGTGCAAGACATTGATGAATGGCTGCTAATGAAAACTTTTACGTAACTTAGGTCCTCAGGGTGCTGCTGCTGGTTAAATAGTGGTAAATGGTGGCTAAAAAATGAGAAAATAAATAGGAGAGTCTTAGACTCAATAGTCCATAGGCTTAAAACTGTTAATAGGAGATAGTTATAACAAATGAAGATTCCTGGTCCCTTTCCCAAAATACTCTGTTTCAGTATCTCTAGGGTAGGGCATGGAAATTTTCCATTTTAATAAACATTTTTAAATTATAGATAAATTCTTGAAACAGGAGGATAGTTCAATGGGTTTCAAACCAACAAATCATTTGATTAATCAATCTCTCCAATTGTGGCCTAGGAATCTGTATTTTCATATTTCCTTCAAAATTCCATTGTTTAACCTAATTTGGGAACTTATTTTTGTAACCATTTACTGGAAGTACACCTGAAATAGAACCAAAATCCACAATTATGGCAATTCTGCTTAATTCCCAGTGAATTAGTCACTATATCTAAAAAAACCCAAGAGATTCATAATCAAACCACTTAATTAGAAGAGAAAAGCCACACTTTCTGACACACTAAAACAATACAGGCTAGGCATACCCTGTAACAACATTTCAAAAAAAGTCCCTGCACAAAGAAAGAAAAAGCTATACCAGCTTCCCAAATTCTTTGACTGTTATTGTCATATCCACCTGTAGACATCAAATAAGGTTAGCTGAGACGATGGACAAAGAGATAAAAGTGACTGCTGATCTTACTAAGGCATAAAGAGCTTAAGAAACTTTTGCAAGTTTACAAAAGTAAAACAAAAAACCAGGATCCTGATACAGGCAATATTTCAGAGCTTCTGCTTGTAAACCTGTCTACACTATGCTGATTTCCTAATATTTTAAGAAAATTCACTCCCAAGTTCCTCTTTCTATGATCCCAACCTTTCCGTTCCCTTGTAATTATGCCCCAGCCCTCAAGAAGAAGAGTTTCTCTGAGCACCCCATAATAATCTCCTAAATCCCACTTCTGCCCTCTTCCCCATCCTGAAGCATCCTCTACAGCCAAGATAAAACCCTGCCTCTCCCTGACCCCAGAGCCTACACAGAACTCTCTTCCCGATACCACGACAGATCAGTGCTTTCTGATGTCGGGCAGACAAAGAAAGCCCTGAATAGCCTTCTTGGGGAAAGCTGGCACCAAGTGGTCTCACCCCGCATCCCTCATAGTCAGATACCTGGCTGTAGCTACTCCCTGTCTTCCAAGCCCTGATGAAAAAGGCAAGAGTAGGGCTAAAGGTGGGTGCTTGAAGCTTCTCTGTTCACTCAGAATAAGCTGAGGGGAATGAACTATTGTTGCTTCTAATTATGTCATCGGCCCTATGGAAAACTGGATTTTTAACACTGATTATAGGAAACTATTGGAGTAGGTTGACAATAACTCCTAAACTGCTGATGATGCATTTGTTAATCATATATACAACACAGCAGAGTAAAATAAAAATGTTGTGATCATGCCTTGCATTTGAATGTGTGCATATGAATGAATGTGTGTGTGTGTGTGTGTGTGTGTGTATACTGCAAGTTCATGTGACATTATGTCTTCTCTGTTATTTATTTATTTATTTATTTATTTATTTATTTATTTATTTATTTATTTTTTGAGACAGAGTTTTGCTCTTGTTGCCCAGGCTGGAGTACAATGGCGCAATCTCTGCTCACTGCAAGCTCCGTCTCCTGCGTTCAAGTGATTCTCCTGCCTCAGCCTCCCAAGTAGCTGGGATTAAAGGCGCGCCACCATGCCCGGCTAATTTTTTGCATGTTTAGTGCAGAGACGGGGTTTCACCATGTTGGGCAGGCTGGTCTCAAACTCCTGACCTCGTGATTCGCCCACCTCGGCCTACCAAAGTGCTGGGATTACAGGCTTGAGCCACCTGCGCCTGGCCCCCTTCTCTGCTATTTGTAAGCAGGTACTCTCCCAGTAGATAGAGTTTAAACTATGTCAGGGAGAGACCACATCTCCCAGTGTCAGGCACAATGCCCCCAAAAGGAGTTTCCCTTGTACTCAATAAAGTCTTGTAGTGACATTAGACTTGGGAGTCAAAGAATGTTAAGGCCAAGTTTCCTCTGGCCACAGATGAGAGATGGGACCATAGATGACCGAGGAAGATAAATTCCAAAATCTTAGTTCTTCCAGAATCTCATACCAACCTGCTTATTTGCATCCAGAGCTACCTATCCGGCCATGTGTCGCCATGGAAAGCCATAGTGCTAGCTCCAAGGTTCATCTTAGTCTCCTAGAAGGCTTATGACACTAAGACTTAGGGTGGGGAAAGACGGATGCTTTGATAAATAAATCAATGTTATCTCATTTTACCTTCTTATGTAAAATCACAATGCAAATGCAATTTCCAGTCTTCCTACCTCCTCAACCTTCATGCTCTCCCACATGCCTTCCTTTCCTTCCAAGAGCTTTCGAAGTAGACACAGACTTACATTACATCTCAGCTGCTCAGCTGTGTGAGGCTGGGCAATTTTCCTAAACTCACTGAATCTCAGTTCTCATCTGCAGAATAGTGAAAATAATGCCTAACCCAAGATTATGGTAAAAATAAGAAAATGCATACAACATGTCTATCTCTGAGTCTAGCATGAAAATGGTATCCAATAAGCAAATTCCTTACCCTGATCTTTTCCTCTTGTGATAGTAAGCTTCCTAAGGAAAGGCACAGTGCCAAGAATCTGAACTATGGATAAATGGAAGACAGATGGATTGAATGTCTAGGGAGAATAAATTGTTTTATAGGCTGGATCTGGATTTACCAAGACTTGCCATTTGGAAATCTTTGAGCATCTGAGTAATATTTAACACTTGTGAAATTTTCACCAAGTTAAAATCCATTCATGACATACTCATATATGAGGCAAATGAAAAAGGAGAACCAGACATTGACCCTGATATTTCACTTCTATAGTCCAGTCATGAGGAATTCAAGCTCTGACAACCGTGGTAGCTTCTACTGGGGAAAGATGGGGAGCAAATGCTGGGGACTGATTCCTCCTTTTCAGTCCTCTGCATGGGTAATGAAATCAGTAATGAACACACCTCACTGATGATTGTAATCAAACTGAGCACCTGTAACTGCCAGAAAGAGGGAGATCCCCCAAGCATCAAGAGTGGATTCTATTTCAGTCACCCTCACTTGGCATATCAAGGAAGGGATGGCCTTGCAGAAATTAGAAAGCCAGATGCAGCAGGCTTTCCATGTCTGCCCCACACTGATGGGGAGTCCTCGAAGGGAATTGCTAATCACTTATACACACCTCAGAAGGTAGCAGCCTCCAGAGCTGGGTCTGAACAGCAAGAAAAACATTCTTTTCTAAATGTCCTCTCCACCATGATGCAAAGTCTAGAGATCTATCTATCATTCTTTAATGTACAATTCTTTATTGTAACTCATTTGTAATGACTCCAGAAGTTCCCTGCTAAAACACTAATAAAACTAAGAAGGATGTTACATAGACAATTTACTTACCGTTTTTTTTTTTTTTTCCTGTTTCTACCATTAGCCTATAAACCTCAATTAGGAACTTCATCTCTCTAGTTTGCTGGCATGTCTACTAAGTCCAGTAGCTGGCAAAAGTTTCTTAATGAAGGTGTGACCTAAAATGGTTGTCATTCTAGAAAATAGACAGCTGTTCCCTAAACAGATAGAATAGAAAGGCAAGATGGAAACCTCTGTGTGAAGGGTGGGAGAAGAAAACTTAAAGAGTTAAATAAAACAAACTCTGGTCCCATAGGAAATCAGTTCATTAGGAATTTAGGATTTAGGAATTAGACATATGTATGACTCTAAACAAAAAACTGAGGGGAAAAAAAATCAAATAATGGTAGAGATGTGGGAGGGGCAAAAAAAAGATTCATTTTTATAGTTTAAGGCAAAGAGTGACTCAGACCTTCAGACCTTATCCTGGAGCTTCTGTGTGCTGTGGTGGATCCAAAGCAGGAACTACCAAGGGAATAAAACTGGCCAGAGATCCCATTTCTACTACCAAAATAGGAGGTACTTAGAGGAAGTCAGAAAGGGAAGCCAGAAACCAGGAATCAAAAGTGAGTAAAAAGTCCTGAGTAAAACCAGCTATAAGTCTGACTTGAAGGCCAGGCATGGTGGCTCATGCCTGTAATCCCAGCACTTTGGGAGGCCGAGGCGGGTGAATCATGAGGTCAGGAGATCGAGACCATCCTGGCTAACACAGTAAAACCCTGTTTCTACTAAAAATACAAAAATTAGCTGGGCATTGTGGCGGGCGCCTGTAGTCCCAGCTACTTGGGAGGCTGAGGCAGGAGAATGGCATGAACCTGGGAGGCGGAGCTTGCAGTGAGCTGAGATCACGCCACTGCACTCCAGCCTGGGCAACAGAGTGAGACTCCATCTCAAAAAAAAAAAAAAAAAAAAGAAGCCAGAAACCAGGAATCAAAAGGTAGTAAAAAGTCCTGAGTAAAACCAGCTATAAGTCTGACTTGAGGGTGGGTCACCATGTTATGGGTTCAAGTCTTTTCATTACCTGTACAGAAGCCAGACTGGTGCCAAGCTCAAAGTTTCCTGGCAATCCACCCCTATCCCCACAACCTACATGTAAACAAACACAAAGCCAGGTTTATAAGAACCAAACTGTATACCTCCCTTCCCCCTCTCTTCCTCATCCTGAGAGCTCCATAGAAATCCCTACCTCCTGGGGAGGCCCTTTTCCCTCCAGAGGACCTCCTGTGCCTTTCCCGAGGCTATCCCAACCCTCTCTTCTCCCTTGTGTCCGTTCTCCTGTGATTAACCAAAGCCTGTTAAATGGAAAACAAAGAAAGAACTTCCAACCTAATAAACATTAAATACAGTCTGAGTATCATAATTTTGTTTTCTTAAGCACAGTGACTCCAGGGGTAGAAGGAGTAGGCTTCCATCTGTGCTCGCCTGGGGTGGGGAAGAATCTGCAGGCTGCAAATCACATCATCTGGGCTGAAGGAGCCTGCCACCACACTCCATTTCAAACGATATATCATTCCACTAAGTAAGTGTTTATTGGGCACCTATGTAATGTTGAGTCCTGTAGAGGTGTGATGTGGGCTGAACTGTGTCTCCCCCATCCTCAAATTCACATTGTGGAGTGCTAAACCCTAAGACCTCAGAATGTGACTATATTTGGGCGATACGACCTTTAAAGAGGTAATTAAGTTAAAATGAGATCATTAGTCCTAACGATCTCAGCCCTAATCCAATATGACTGGTATCCTTAAAGAAGAGATTAGGACACACACACACACACACACACACACACACACACGCACGCACGCACGCAGAGGAAAGACAGTGTGAGGGCCGAAGGAGAAGATCACCATCTCCAAGTCAAGGTCAGAGGCCTCAGAAGAAACCAACCCTGTTGACTCCTTCATCTCAGACTTCTAGTCTCCAGAACTGTGAGAAAACAAATTTCTGTTGTTTTCTGTGAATAAGTCTCCATCTTATTCACAACAGCAAAGACATGGAATCAAGCTAGGTACCCATGAACGGTAAATTGGTTAAAGAAGATGTGTTACATATACACCATGGAATACTGCACAGCCATAACAAGAACAAAATCATGTTCCTTCAGCAACATGGATGCAGCTGGCAGCCATTATCGTAAGCAAATTAACACAGAAACAGATACCAAAAACCACATGTTTTCACTTATAAGTGAGAGTTAAACATTGGTACAGAAAGATGGAAACAATAGATACTAGGAACTACCAGGGTGGAAAGAGAGGAAGCCAGGGAGGACTGAAAAACTACCTGTTGATTACTATGTTTACTACCTGGATGATGGGACCTGCACCTCGAACTTCAGCATCATACAGTCCATCAATATAACAAACCTGTACCTGTTGCCCTGAATCAAAAATAAGAGTTGAAATCTTTTTTTTTTTTAAAGTTTCCCAGTCTTTGGTATTTTGTTATGGTAGCCCTAGCAAACTAAGATATGGTGTAACAGGAAATACCAGAGTAATGGTTTGTTGAGGTTTGATGACATTACTGATTAGGCTACAAGGAGTTCTAGAGAGCTGAGATGAGGACAGGTAGGGAGGATGTGACAGGCTCCAGAAATCTCTTGTGTGAATTCTCGGAAAGCTCTTCAGTATTTCACAGCACAAGACTCACGTCAATCAGTTTGTCTGAATAACAAAAGAGCAGCATCTCATCCAACAATTAGAAATTTCCCAAGCCCAGGAGCAGGTTTCTTGGTCTGAATGCCAGGCTGGTTTCCTCAGGCTTTCTCAAGCTCCTTCTAGAGTCTTACATCTCTTATTAGAAATTGGCAGCTATAGGATGCAAAATAATTCAATAATAAGTAAGTAAGTAAATAAATAAATAAAGCAAAGTAAAGCCACCTTCCTTATTGGTCCTCAAATATTTCTCATTTCAGTAAGCATCCAGAGACAAATTTAATCTCATGCTCTCTCACGGTTTAATTCAGGTAAAAAATAGAACTTCTATATGCTATGTGAAAGCTTGCAGGTGCTTTTGATTAAGAAACTTGAAGTATTTTAGGTAACTATATGATACCTATCCCCTTATGGGCAATATTTCTTTAATGATGTCCCTTTCAGAGTTCAGGTTTACTATTCCTAGTACTCCAAGCAAGCAGTGGGTAGCTGTGTGCTTGAGATACCATGAAAACAACCTACATGTTGACTAAAGGGAGTGAAGAAATACATGCAAAGCTGGATCATGGCTAAACCATTGGTCCTGATTCATTCACTCCACTAATTAACACTGAGACTCATAGAATGATCAGGTCCTGATTTGTTCACTCCACTAATTAACACTGAGACTCATAGAATGATCAGGTCCTGATTCTTCCACTCCACTAATTAACACTGAGACTCCTAGAATGATCACAGGGCTAGGCACTGGGCCATGGCAACACAATCATGGTCACAATCTGCATGGAGTTACCGTCTAAAGCTTGTAGTCTAAATGTCAGCACTATTGACATTCTGAGCTGGATAATTCTTTGTTGTGGAGGGCTACCCTAGGCATTGTAGAATATTTAACAGCATCCCTGGTCTCTGCTAATTAGATTCCAGTGTATTTTTCCCCCAGTTATGGCAATCTAAAATATCTCCAGACATTGCTAAGTATCCTGGGGAAGGGGGGAGCAAAATTTTCCCACTTGGGAACAACTGGCTTAACAAATGAGACATAATTTTTAAAGTAATTAAAATAGAGTAAGACAAATGCTATGATACAGATACAATGCAAATTGACTGAGAAGTAACGTGGCTCAATAAAAAAAAAAAAAAAGCTGTTTTCCCAATGAAGAGATATGAAATGAAGACAATGTCTATTTTTTGGGTGTCTACTGTGTGTCAAACACTTGACCTTGATTGTTTATTTAATTCTTATGACATACTCATATGATAAACATTTTACAGGTATGCTCAAAGACACCAATGAACATGTTCAAGGGCCAAAGAGTGAGAGATAAACCCAGGATCAAATCCAGGTTCTACACTCAAGTCCAATTAATTCTTTAGGAAGGACAGAGAAATTTTAAGAAAGAGCAACCTTTGCTACATGAGGGCTAAAGTAGCCAACAGCTTAAAAAAAAAAAAAAAACTTCTCTAAAAATGGAGCTTGCATGGGGATTTGTGGCCCTAAATAAATATATTATTGAAATAATGTAAATTTGAGACTGGTTTAAGGCAATGAGTAAAGGTTATAGTGGAGAGGTTCTGGGGTTCCACAGCATCCATCCTATAGTCATGAGAGTCCATGGATTGGCCTTATGTTTGAGAGTCCTCAAATATCAACCTGCCAGCTAATTATCATCCATAAATCCAATCATCTCACACCTGCATGAATTTGTTTCATAGGGAGGGAGATGATTCCTTCAAAATTTCTTATATTGTCCTTGCATAGTTGATAATAATGCCTCCTTTCACTCTATAAAGTGCTTCAATTCGGACGACAAGTTTTATGACCACCTTATTATTAGTTCAATTAAGTCTGGAGCTGAAAAATTATTAGGCCAGCTATTTTACGTCATTTCATGTCACCAGTTTCACTCTGTGAAAATCAAGTCCATTATTTAATCATTACCTCTAATAAGCATACATTACTTCACTCACCTGCCTGAAATTCTCCAATGCCAACCTATCATCTACAAGATAAGTCCAAGAAGGTCCTGGGCAATTTGACTTCAGGTTTGCTCTCCAACCTTACCTTCCACCTCCATTGCTCAAATAGACTGTGCTTTCATGCCTCTAGGCTCTTTCACGTGGCATTCTCACTGCTGACATTCCCTCCATCATTTTATTCAATAACATTGACCACTGTGTTAGAATCTACAATGCTCCCCATTCTCTCTTCACCTGTTTATTGATGATCTCATTCAAATATTATCTTCTCTGTAAAAAAAAAAAAAAAATCCCTGATTTCCTCAAACATTATTTGTTCCTTTGTGTGTGTGTGTGTGTGTGTATGCACTGCACTTCATGCATCTTTCTACCATGGTTCCTGTCATCCTAAAATTGCAGGTTTCTTTGTCTATGCTATTCATAATACTACTATATCATCATTATCTTTATATTGTTAACACTTCACTACCTCATATTTAGTTGACATCTGATACATATTTGCTGATAATGACTGCTATGGGTAAATGTTAAAATCAGAATTGGCCACATTTTGGACAATTCATCTGAGTGCCTATCATGTGACAGCCATATGGCTTTTGCTGTGTAATGATGGAGTTCAGGACATGCTACCTCAATATATGGCATCTTGGCATTTGAGAAATCTGCAGAAGCAGAAAGGTCACTCTCACCTTCTTCTTGAATTTCTCCCCTCAAGCCAGTCATATGACCCTCATTTGAGAAGTACCCTTCCTAACCCTGAAGGGAAAGAACATTCTTAACTCTGAAGATATAGGGATACAGAAAAGAAAGTGAAAATCAGGCCATGCTGTTTCCTCCCGTTTCTTACCATTAGATCATATCGTTTTTGCTCAATCATACTTCTCTACAACTATTTATGTCATCATCAAACCTAGCATTAAAAAATATGTAGATTTACTTATTTCATTGGGTCTTCATTTCTTTATGAAGCCTCTTGTGTCATGTAAAACATACTAAATACACTTGTATGCTTTTCTGTTACTAATCTGCCTTTTGTTACAGGGGCCTCAGCCATGAACCTAGTGATGAGTAAGAAAAGATATTTCTTTAACCTTTCAGTAACAAACACAAGTAAGTGGCTGTGTGGTATAGTGAAAAGCCAGAATATCTTTATCTTATTTGCCATTTTCTTCTTTGTCTTTCTGTGAGGACAGGAAAGTCACTGAACTGTATTAGATCCCAGCTTTCTTATCTCTAAAGCAAGGTGTTAGAACTAGATAATTTTTAAGTTTTTTTCTCCTCGATAGTTAAGTCATCCTTGGTCAAGGTGACACACCAAAGTCTTCTGGCTAGTTGTCAATGAATCAGCATTGACTTGGCCTTATTATGGCTATATTTTTCCTCCATATTTAAAAAATGGTATTTAAAGTTACACAATAGTCTATATTAAACATTTTGAACAATATTTATATGAATAAAGTAAAAGGTGAATTCCCCCCTTTCCACAAACACACAGCCCTTCCTGCCCTGAAATTGTTGGTAATATTTCACTAGGTAGCTATAGATCTTTTTCCATTCACACACGCACACAAACACATACACACACACACACACCACTCAAATATGTTCATATACAATATTTTTTCGCTGAAATAGGATACAATGGCTGCACTGAGTTCTCCTACCTCTTTCACTCAGCAAGAGTTCACCAACACTCTTCCATGTTTCATGGCAGTACAATATAAATGCCTCAACCTTTTGTTGTGAATTCATGATACTTGCTACTTGGAGTGAGCTATCGTTTAAGTGTTTCCCTATATTTTAGCATCTGTGTTGCCAAATTAGTTTTCTACTGCTGTCATAACAAATTACCAGACTTAGTGGCTTAAGATAGCACAAATATATTGTCTTAAGTTCTGTAGGTCAGAAATCCTATAGCATTGAAATCAAGGTGTGGTCAGGCATACACTCCTTTCTGGAGGTGCTAGAAGAGAATCTGTTTCCGTGCCTTTTCCTGCTTCTGGAAACAGCCCACTTTCTTGGCTCATTCCTCTCTTCATCTTCAAAGCTAGCAATTTAGCATCTCTCTGGCTGTGCTTCTGTAGTTCCGTCTCTCTCTGACTCTAGCCAGGAAAGATTTTCTACCTTTGAAGACTCAAATGATTAAACTGGATCCACCTGATAATCCAAGACACTCTCCCCATCTCAGGGTCTTTAACCTTAATCACATCTGTGAAATTCCTTTTCCATATAAGGTAACATATTCATGGGTTCCAGGACTTAGTACGTGGATATCCTTTGAGAGCCATAACATATTCATGGGTTCCAGGACTTAGTACGTGGATATCCTTTGAGAGCCATTTTTCTGCCTACCACAATTTCAATATTTCACTTTTACAAAGAATAAGGCAGTGGGCATCTGTATATGTACATTCTTGCATGCTTGGGTGAGCACTTGCGTAGAACAGGTTCCTAGAAGTAGATTACTAGGTCAAAGAATATGTATATTCCCCAACTTTCTAAGATACAGAGAAATTTATCCCTTTAAGAAGTCCCTGCCTTATTTTTAAGTGTCCTTTCTAAACGTTTAGATATATGAAAATGGTGGGGGAGAAATATATCCTTTGTGGCAAAATAACCTAAAACGTTTAAAATCCTAGTTCACTATAACTTGCATAGGTATAAAAAGATAAGAATAAGATGGTGGGATTATCTGCCCAGGCACCTCTCACTCCTCTTTGGAAGCTTGAGGAAGGGGGTTGTAGGACAAACAAAATGCTCTATATAGTGAAAATAAACTTTATGAACCTGTTCTTCAAAGTATTGCTCTGAGCTGACTAACCCTATAGCTTTAGACATAGGGTTCAAGAAAAGTATACTACAATATCCTGGAGCACAGTCACCCAGCTGACCTGACAGTTCCAAACTTCACCAGTTCTCCTACCATCATTTCTCATTCCTACCCACTAGCCTAGCGTGCCAAATATATATATATATATACACACACACACACACACACATATATACACACACACATATATATATACACATACTGTTTTTCATTTTCTTTTCTTTTCTTTTCTTTTTTTTTTTGCTAAAAATGGCAAACCTATCAGCCATTGAAAACAGGCTGCTAAAAACAGTTAGAGATATTTAGAATATGCCCCTAAATTTGGAGTTTGCTGTCACAAAAGGAAAATTTGACATCTCCCAGAACATCTGTATCATGTAAGTGCCTTAAGAATAAATCTGTGCACAAAATAGATCAATCAGGCTAATTGGATACTTTTCACAGGCCTTTGTGTTAAGGCTTACTTTTTGTACCCACATTGGCCTGCTTTCTAAACTGAAGCAAAAATGGTTAAAAAAAAAATGGCATCTGTGTATAGTGCATTCAATTCTCCAAATTTAGCACATGCACGTAAAAATTTATAGAAAGGAGATTATATGATGGGAATTAGCTTTACAGCGTGAGACAATTTCTGTCCTCTACATGCACCCTATTACTACTAATAATTTAAAATCTAACTAGCTAAAATGTAGACAACATTTCCCAGTCTATGAAATACTTTTCAATGCCTTATTTCATTTTAATCCTCAGTGCAACCCATAACTTGGGTAGTATTTTATAATCTCTCTTTGCAGATGCTGAAAGTCTAAAAATGGTAAAGATTACATAGACAGGAGAGGGGAGAAATTCAGAGCTTAAATGTAAATATATGCCAAAACAGTGTATGACATTGATATGGCCTCTGAGGTTCAATCAAATTCTAAATTGATATTGTGTGATCTCTACCACAGGAATATCTTTCTATGAATGTGTCAAGCTTTCAGAAGTCATTTTTTGCATGCATTTATTTGGTAACGTGGATTTCTAAATTATGATGATAACAGTCTGAGCAAACTGATAAACATCTTGGAACTCAACTGCCAAAAGTCACATCTAAACACAATCCCACCTGAAATTAACAAGTTGCTACGAATCTCAATGGAGCAGATGCTTACTATTTCTGATATCCTACTCAGCTGAATGATAAAAACAAACCAACAAAATAAAAAACAACCAAAGGAAAGAAGAGAATGTAATCCCTACTAGTTAGTAGAGCTGATATTGAATACTTACCTCTTTTTTTAAAAACTGCATTATTTCAACATCTTTAAACATTTTTTTCACACCATTACAAGCAGGATATAAAAGTTATAAAAAAAAGTTAATCATAATGCTGGTTTTTACCAAGCATAAAGCTATTTATAAAGAGCTGAATGCTCAACCAACTTTTCAATTTGCATCTAGATATTGGTCATAGGGTAGCTGCTGGCAAAATAAAATAAAATAAAATAAAAAATAAAACAAATAAAAGTTTTAAAATCTTAAGATAATAATAACAGTTATCATTAAATGAATGTCTGCTACAGGCCAGGAGACTTATATTCGTTTTCTCCCACCTCCACAATAACCCCAAACCCTAAAGCTTCTTTTTATCAACGCATAAATGGAGCTTCAGAGGCCTTAAGAAATTTGCCTGTGGTTACAAGACTAGTCAGTCGGAGGTCTCAAACCTGGGTGAATCTGTGCACTCTCCACAACACCGCATTGTATACTCTAGTTCAGCAGCACCCAGAATAGAAGGGAAAAACAGTGTGATAATGAAGTATTTTGTTTTCCGTTTTTCTACGCAATGTGAAAGTAAAATAAATCTTGGGGTCCCACTACCCTAAAGGGAAAAGTCAAGCCGGGAACTGCTTAGAGCAAACCTGCCTCCCATTCTATTCAAAGTCATCCCCCTGCTCTTTGAGATACATGTGTATCTGATTGCCTCCTTTTGAAAGACTAATCAGAAACTCAAAAAAAAAAAAAAATGCAACCATTTGTCTCTCACCTACCTGTGACCTGGAAGCCCCCTCCCTGCTTCCAGTTGTCCCGCTTTTCTGGATGGAACCAATGGAATCAATGTACATCTGTCATATATTGATTGATGTCTCATGTCTCCCTAAAATGTATAAAATTAAGTTGTGCCTCGACCACCTTGGGCACATGTCATCAGGACCTCCTAAGGCTGTGTCACAGCTGTGCATCCGCAACCTTGGCAAAAGAAACTTTCTAAAGTAACTGAGACCTGTCTCAGATATTCGGGGTTCACAGCGATATGCCTGAGGGATTTGACACACTGCAACAACAGCAGCGGAGGAAGAAGGGAGAGGCAATGAAAGGGAGTTGAAGAGGTATTTTAGGAAGGCTGATCCAATATCTGGTGGATGCATGGCCACCACCACAAGGTTGGAGAGCCTATCACTAAATAACCATGTGACAGCCTTCATCGGCTAGATCTGCAGATCTCAAAAGATGATCTGTAGGACACCAGGCCTTGAATTTGCCCCTAAAAAAGTTATCAAATATGCAAATGCGTCTGTGAACTACTTTATACAAACAAATGCATGCATACACACACGCCGCCACTGCCACCACAGTGCACCTTTAAGAAAAGAAATCAATGCAAGTATCAAGGCACTGACAGTGACAAATAAAAGAAATCTGTTTAACTTGATTAACCCTGCTTTTCCAACTTCTACTGGGCCTCAGAAATGTTTTTCTCTTGTAATATCCATTAAAATCTTCAGGAGCTGATGTTCAGAGGAGCACGCCCATGAAGAAGATATTCTTTGTGACCTTTCTAACTCACATATTGTATTGCCCAAGAGGTGGGACCAGAACCCCAGAAGTCCTTAGGTCTTCCCTGAAATGCATTCTTCCTGGTAAACTGGTATTTGGGATGTTAAGTGTTCTGTGTGAGAATTGCCACATTCTAATCCCATTACCTTCCCTATCATTAAGGTAAGTGACAGCAATTCGAGTTCCCTGTCAGTTTAATTAGAGGAAGTGAAACACAATTACAGGGCATTAGTGGGCATTAGTGCAAGCCTGATGCAGGAGAGCAGCAGGCCCCGAGGGGCAAGCATAACAGCCGACCACAGGGGGAAAAATGCACTCTTCTCCTCTGATTCATTGAAAGTCTTAATTACAATGCTACTGTAGGGGGAAATTGTTTTATAAATGCCATTACAAACACAGTCTGATTGCAAAAATCTTTTTATCTAAAAACTAATTAAACCATTATTTCCTCTCAGATGACAATGGTAAGTGTAAGTTTTTCACTTATGAAAACAGTTACACAATCTTATGTTCCTCATATTTAGAGAGCATCTTTTTTTTAAAAGTGTCTACAGGCCAAAATGATTTTAGAAATTAGAAACACTATGAAGACCATAATAGAGTTGTTGTTGTTTTTTTTTTTTTTCCAAAAAACACAAACTATCATGTTGTAGGCAAAAGACAGTGTTTTTGCTAAAATGTAAAAATATAATGAGCTTATATGTGCCAGCTCATTTTGATGAGTACATTTTTAAAAAATCATGTAAAAAATAATTTACAAAATACTATTGCCAGATATGACAAAAACAAGATTTTACAACCTTTAAAATATAAGCTGTGAGAGGGCAAGCGGTTGTGTTTATGCAGGGCTGCACTGTCAGCATGTCAACAGTGAACAGTGGGTGCCTACTACTCATTCTTTGATGGGAAGAAAGCTACTCTCCAAGTGGCTTTGAAGTAGTCCCTTGAATTTCATGTTAGAAACAACTGGATATTAGAGTTGATTGGAATTGCACAGGTTTTCTTTGAACGATTTGATGTATGTAGATTAAGTTTTGAATAGATACGGTAAAGGTGGTGACAACAACCCCAAATAGATGCCATTTCCAATTACAGGGGAATGGGAAGAGGCACAAGGCCAGGTATGCAGGTATGTAGATAAAAAGAAAGAAGTGATGTTACATGAAGGCCAAACCCCACAGATGACTGGATTACAGTGTGTAGGAGCACGCTTTAGCCAATGCCACTAAATCGAGCTGTTACTATCGCATTTAACCCCATCACTAATCATAAACCCGAGTTTCTTCCCTGTTCTCCCCTCTAGAGCCCAGCTACATATCAAGGGAATCTTTCCCTTGCTTAGAAAAGATAAAACACTTTCTGCTTTAAGGAAAAGCTGATAGACTAAAAATCTGTGCAGAAGACACAGAGGTGATTATAAAAGGCTTATTTCCTTAACAAAAGGATTCTCTGCAGGCTTATTTTAAACAGTGAGCTTCTCTAATGAGTTGAAGTGTTTATTTACAGATCATCAATTACCTGGGGTGAGGAAAGAAAAGTATGAGGAGTGTCAGAGGGAAGATACAAAGTACTTAAATCAAGTAAATCATTAGGAGCCACTGACAAGTGAGGAACCATCAGAAAAAAAAAAAAAAAAAAAATTACTTTCTCTCAAATTATAATACAGACATCCATGGGAAACTTACTTTTAGAATACACAAACTGAAATTACACCCATAATTTTAGGAACGACTAAAATAAGGCAAAGAGTTTATATTTAATATTTTCAGGCTTCACCATCTCCTTTTTTGTAAACTGTGTTTTAAAAAGGGAAAGGAGAAAAGAGAAAAGAACATCTTGTTACAGAGGCTTTAATTTTAAAATTGACCCTTTCTATTGAACTCTGAAGAAGTGATCAGATAATTTATAAAAACACGCCTTCAAAAGTTTATTTTCCAAAGCTTTTTTCTCCAAGAGAATCATAGGCAAAACAGCAAGACAGGAGAACAGTTATTTTTAGCAATCTCAGTGGTACAGCTTTCTCCTGAGGCAAAACTTAAATCAGATAAGGGTCTCCGAGGACCTGAAAGGAAGGAAACCACCCACTTACTGTATTCAACTCAGTCCTCCCCACACAAACTCGATTTTAGAAACAGAATTAGAAAACATGTTAGAGAATATTTAAGGATGACACACTGCAGTAAACGCTAGGAACCACATTTCAACAACTGTTAGAGGCTATTACCACTCCCGTTGCATGCAAGAAAATTAGCTGTAATTGGGTAAGCGACACAAGTGTAGCACAGGAATGGGAATTGAACAGACACTTAATTAATGGTATTGGGAGAAGGGAAATGGGATTAATGAATGGTTGATATAAATTCCGTTTTGCTATTGGGTTAATCACTGGTCTCATGAAAATTTATTTCCTGGCTAAGATTTATAGCAGGGGTTTTAAATATTTTATTCCATTCTGAATAATTTCTAACTGGCATTGTAATTTCCAGAATCATACTAGCCACATTATTTATTGGTGTGTATACCTGCTACCCATATGCACGCACCATTATAAGAATGTGGCAGGACTCAATTCTAAGTACAGAAATCCTCACGCAAATAGAGGAGGATAGCTTTGATTCGACATCTTGTTTAATAATTAGGGCCTCACCAATGATTCATCACCACGAAGGTGATGAATTCCATGTCTGAAGAACAAAGCCCAATCTTAGCATTGTTTCAGTCACCAGAGCATTTACTGAGCCCGGCTTTATTTGAGAGAGCTGGTAAAATCATGTAGCATGCTTGAGATTTTTGAGTCTTTCAATCTTCAATTTAATTCTTATACTTAGCATTACCATGGAGCTATTTTTAGTTATTTTTGCTTTGCTTGTACTTTATCTCATGATATGTCAAATCTGTCAAATCGAAGTACCTCTGAATTCAAGCAATGGCATCATTTTTTTTTCTTCATGTTTTTAAAAATCATTTCTGAAGAAAAAATATTTCTGTGCTTGTTTTCCACCATATCTAAATTCATTTCTTGTACTTATATTTATTTTTGTATTAAAATGTATCTTGCAGGATTTTTTAAACCAAAATAATTATTTAGGACATGTCTTTATAAAAATACAATTTCTGAAAAATATATCTAGATGAATTAGTTAATAAGTTAGAACAGCTTGAATTTACTGTGACTTTTTTTTTTTTTTTTTTGAGACGATGTCTTGCTATGTTGCCCAGGCTAGAATGCCATGGTGCAGTGGTAATTCACAGGCCTGATATATAGCAAACCTAAGCCTCAAACTCCTGGACTGAAGCAATCCTCCTGGCTCAGCCTCCCAAGTAGCTGGGATTACAGGCATGCACCACCACGCCCAGTTCCTAACATTTATTGTTAATACTACTATGGAACAAGAACACATTGATAACAAGAGAATTCATACACAACATTTACAGAAAACTGGTTCTTATGGGTAAGACGTGCAGAGAGAGTAAATGTTCAACTCCAACCGATAAATGTAGAGCTGACACATTTTTGTTGCAAAAAGATTCTTGGCCTTGTAGAGAGAGACTCTTTTAAAAACGTTAAGTTTCCACTTAAATATTAGATTCATGTATTAACCAGTAAAGATATCTCATTTCTAGTAATTTCAGCATCTAAAATGACAAGTGAGTTTTGCACAGTTACTTTTCTTAGGCCCTGTGTGATGTGAAATAATTAAGAGTGTTATTACTCCCCTTTCACAGATGAGAAAAAAGATTCAAGAAGATTGAGTGGCTTCCTAAGATGTGTAAGGGTAAGCACAAATCAAAAAAGAAAAAGTAAATAATTCTCTCTGTTGAAAATAGAGAAGAGACCTCTCCCTCATCCTTTTTCTTGCTTTAGAAAACTTGTAAATTATTTTTCAGTCTCTTTGAAATGTATGTAAATCTTTTTCAAAGTTAAATAAGCCTCTTGCCAGCCTTATAATGGAGGAGTGTCTTTCTCAAGGACCTGGGAACTATCTCTTTGAAATGTTATCAAGGAAGAAAGCATCCTTATCAACCAGTTCTGTGGCAGGGGTAGGAACCTAACTTCATTTAGGTTCCTTTCTCCAAATTGCAAAACTGCCTCATGTCATAAAGATAAGAGTTTGTTTTTCTTTGAGACAAAGTCAATTAGCTAAAACAGATGGTCACCCTAATTACCAAGTGAATTCAGGTTGAACTGTGTGTGACAAATGGTGCTGTCAAGTCCTCTTACTAGAGGACTAGTTATAGTTTATCTTAAGAACATGTATGGGATGGGTTGCATCTATTTGGCTTTTTAAAAAGGTGTGATTTCTTTTTGTCTTTGCAATCTCTTAGTAGGCGGTCTATGATGCACATCATATTCTTGTTTAGTACTTATACAACAATGAAACCATTTTCTTTCTCTTCCACCTTCATGGAGAGGTTTTGGGGGGAAGGAGGAGATTTTGTTCTAAATTATATTTCCCCAACAGGTGACACACATAATAAACAACAGATGGAGTTCAGGCCTGGCCTCCAGAATCCATCCCTTGCACCTCCCTATTCATCACAGCTACTAATCCTGCTGTATTTTTCTAGTTGTGACCGTGTCATGTCATGATTTTTAAAATGTCCTTTTTTTGGGAACTGGTACTATGTGTCACCCAAATGGAAGTCAAACTACTGATGTGTTGTCTTAGAAATAAGAATAAGCCATTCAAGAAACTACATGTAGTTTGTGAACATTTACTTTAACCATACTCCTTAGGATTACCTTCACTTTATGAAACAAGAATGACAGTTTTTGTTGTTATATATTCAGAACCCAGTGAGCTACAATCCATTTTGCACCCACGCTGAGTAAAAAAACTAATATAATGGTGTGGCCCAAGTGAGGAACAAGTAAAGTTATGGTTGTTGTTTAATTTTTAACCACGTATTACTATTAAGAAATGCATTTCTATTTCCTCATGAGGACTCTCAGATAATTCTTATGATTTACTGAGAAGGCCTGAATATTTGACCTAGTTTGAGTAATAAAGATCCATTACCTCTTCAGGTTGATGTTCCATCTGCTAGAAAACCAATTTGTAGCCTACAAAAATTGGTATTACACAGCTCTTAATGGGAGAACAAAATAAAGGGGTTGGAGGCAATGAAGGCCAGCTGGGAGAAAAAAATGTGAGGACCTTGTTCATATGACATCCGTGTATACCATCCATTCCCAGGGTAAAAATCAGGTTCTGGAAAATCATCTATTTAAAAAAAACCCACTATAATACGTTTAATAATTAATAATAATAAACACAAATTAATAATAATCAATAGCAAGTATCAATAGAACATTAACAGTAGCATATTCAAGTTAGTGGTTTAGAGCGACAAACTCCAGGTTCTGCATAGATCTCCATGACATGAGAAATCTTATCAGAAAGCAAGTAAGTCAAAATGCTATCATTGTAGATTAACTTTAACTTCATTAAAAAAATAAAACATTTGCAAACGTCACCCTTCTGATTCACTTGTACTTCTGTTCTAGAGAAGTGGTTTGTAAGCAGGGCCACTTACATGTACTCCCTAAGCATATGCAGGGACTAATCATAGAGTACCCTATCAGGACAGTTTTAATAAAACAATTGCTAGATCCTCAAACTCTGTTAGTATTATGACCTAAAATTAGTCTAAGATGCTCCTGTGGTTGAAATTCTCCTTTTCCACTTTCACTCTTACCACTCTCCCATTTTACAAAATAAGGCACAATTCTCACCTATTCTATATCTTACTAAAGTATACTGCTCGGATGTGTAAAAAACCCTTAAGTACTACCAAAAGGGATAATTAGACAATTATTTTAATCCAAGTACCCTAATAGCTACCTCCATCTCTCTATACTATGTATTTTCAAAAAATATACGGTGTGTCATAATTATCCATCAAAATGGTTAATAGTTTTGATCAGTTGTGTGTTACTTATCATAGAAATAGCTCAATGCACAATGAACTTTTCAGCATATATAAACTTATGGTTCACCAGAAAAAATTAAGTATCAGTTTAAATATTTTGTTTCACTACCTCTTCCAATCCCTTCAAAACAATAAGAAAATTAGGAATAAATTTAATGAGAGGTGTTTAAGACCACTACATTAGAAACTACAAAACTTTGCTAAAAGGAATTAAAGATGTAAATAAATGGATAACTATATGATGGTAAAAGATAAGAAAATTCAATTTCATTAAGATGTTAGTTATCCCCAAATTTACTGACAGATTAAATATAATTCCAATCAAAATCACAATAGCTTGTGTTTCTGGTACAAATTAACAGTCTGATTCTAAATTGATATGGAAATATAAGAAAAAAGGAGTCAAGATTATGTTGAAGAAAAATTAGGTTGGAAGATTCACTCCATCAGATTTCATAACTTAGTGAAAAGCTATAATAATTAAGACAGCATATTAGTCCATTCTTACACTGCTCTAAAGAAATACCTGAGACTGAGTAACTTATAAAGAGAAGAGGTTTAATGGGCTCATGGTTCCACAAACTCTAGAAGCATAGTGGCATCTGCTTCTAGGGGGGCCTCAGGAAACTTACAGTTATGTCTCAAGGTGAAGGGGAAGCAGGCACATCTTACATGGCCAGAGCAGGAGGAAGAGGGGCAGGTGCTCACACTTTTAAACAATCAGATCTCATGTGAACTCTGTCATGAGAACAGCACCAAAGGGGGGGTGCTAAACCCATTCATGAAGGATCCACTCCCATGATCCAATCACCTCCCACCAGGCTCCGCCTCCAACACTGGGGATTACAACTGAACATGAGTTTAGGTGGGAATACAGATCCAAACCATATCAGACAGTGTATCATCGGCATAAATGTAGACAAAAAGCTCAGTAGAACCAGAGTCCTAAAATTCACTTAAACACATATGGCCACTTTATTTTTAATAATGATATCAATCCAATTTGATATGGATGGATAGAAGGAATTATTTATTTATTTTTTATTTATTTTAGAGACAGGGTCCTGCCATATTGCCCAGGCTGGTCTTGAACTCCTGAGCTCAAGTAATACTCCTGCCTCAGCCTCCCAAAGTGCTGGTGATTACAGGTGTGAGCCATCATACTCAGCGGCTAAAAAGGTTTTTTTTGTTTTGTTTTGTTTTTTTCATTAGTGAGCCTACAGTAATGGAGTCAAAAAATCAATAAAAATGTTCAATTCTAAAAATATATTGCTTTAGAATCAATTTCTGTGATAGGATAGAATGGAAACCCCAATGCAAAAAGGAAAAAGAATGAAGTAATATTTGAAAATGTTATAAAGAACCTCTTCATGTTTTTTTTTAATGGGTGAAGTGATATTTCTGTTCCGTTTGTTATATTTCAAAAGAGTGATGTGAGAGTTTTATTTTACAATGTTAACATATTCAATATACTAGAAAGTGCATCCTTTGCAACTGGTTAGACTTGAGATATAACATTTTATATATCTACTTAAAGATATACAAGGAAATACATACTTTTTCAAAAATTATTTAAGGGATGTACAAGCTAAACATAAAAGTAGAGTAGTGGCTGGGCACAGTGGCTCACGCCTATAATCCCAGCACTTTGGGAAGCTCAGGCGGGTAGATAACCTGAGGGGTCAGGAGTTCAAAACCAGCCTGGTCAACATGGTGAAACCCCATCTCTACTAAAAATACAAAAATTAGGCAGGCATGGTGGTGGGCACCTGTAATTCCAGCTACTCAGGAGGCTGAGGCAGGAGAATTGCTTGAACCTGGGAGGCAGAGCTTGCAGTGAGCCAAGATTGCGCCATTGCACTCCAGCCTTGGTGACAAGACCGAAACTCCATCTCAAAAAAAAAAAAAAAAAAAAAAAAGTAGAATACTACTGACGTAGAACTCATTCATACATTTATTTAGCAAAAATATTTTGATATCTATTACATGCCAGACACTCTTCAAGCCTAAAATACTAGTAAGCAATGGTTAATGACTATTGAAGGCTTACTCCTTGCCACGCACTGTCCTAAGGACTTTGTAAGTAAGCATTAACTGAATTTATTTTCACATCGCTCCTGTGAATAGGTACTCATAGTATCCTTACTTTCTGGGTGATAAAACTAAGGCACAAAAAGGCTATAGACGTTTCCCCAGTTCACAAAGATAAGGAATGAACAAGAAGGACATAGTGTCTGCCCCCACAGAGCCTACCTTCATGAAGACTAGAAGTTAGGCAGCCCCACTTATATCTAGCTTTGAGTGTCACATGCAAAGATAAGCGCCACCTCTACCCTCTCATGTTCTAAGAGCACCCTGTATTACCAAGTGTCAATAAAAAAAATCAATTTTAGAGATGGCTTCTCTTAGCACAGTTCTGGGTCAGGCAGTAGCTGTTGACAATCTATGAAGGTAAGTATCTGATGGTATTATCTATGTGAATCAAATAGGTTATAAATTTGCCCAAGTCCTTGGAACCAGGAACCCTGACCTTGTCTTTTATTCTCAGTGCTCGAGTGCCAAATAGGTGGTTTTGACTAGAAGAGTCATATTGATTCTTCTGTCTTTAGTATGCAGGCCTCAAGAAATATCAAGATACTGACGAGATCCTCCTTTTTCCTATATTCTGCCACACATCATTGGTCCCACTTGGAATCGGGGAGCAGGGAAGAAGAACCAGTTCCATCTATCTGTCAATTCGGTCTGTCCATAGAGGCATCTGCTTTGTGCCCGGCTCTATGATAGGCACTGTCAGAGATGAGGATATCGAAAAGACTTCCTGGCCTCTGGAGATGCACAAAAGGAGGGGCACTATGAATGTAAATACCAAATACAGATAGACTATGAGACTGCTGAACTATATCTACAGAACATCATGCTACCTTCTTTCTTTCCTTTCCTTCCCCTTTTGACTATTTTCCTTCCTTGCTTACCAAAAAAAAATAAAAAATAAAAAAACAAAAACAAACAAACAAAAAAAAAACAAAAAAAAAATGCTATTTTGAATGCCTCCTGGCAAGGTAACTAAAAGGTAAGCCTTCAGGGATCTGTGGTGATGAACAGGTACCATGGACTCATTAAAGAAAACTACTGTTTTCTATCATAACCATTCACTGACCTTTTTCTTTGCTATAATTTAAGCACTCCTCAAGGGGTGCATATGACTTCCAGTTTGTGCTTGATTATGAGTGGTTAGCCTGCCTGAAGTTAACACTGCTATCTACCTTCCTACCTTCTCCAGTGAGCTAAATTCAATCCAAAAATATTAATATGACTCCTCGCTAGGCCTCTAGCCTTTTGAGGAGATCCATAGCACTTGCCTGGTTTATTTTATACTTGATACCAAAAGGTATTTTGATTCAGCCATACACAAGTACCTGGCCTCTAAGTGCTTTCAAACTAGTTGAGAGACAAGAAAAATGCCCCCAAAGAGACTTCCTAAGACAGCTGACCGATAAGTGTTGAATGAATGGTGTCGACAAAAATACTTGGAGGTTCCCTGGATGGTGAGATTAATGATGGCTGCAATGATCCTGGCCATTAAAATGGCCAGGCACATTTTAGTTACTGTTTCCATTTCCCCCCTCTATTATTTTTTCCCATGACAGTTCTTCCTTCTGTTCTCTCTCATTTCTGCACTCTCAAACCTTGGTTTCTTCTCTCTGTATGGTTCATCCCCACATCTCCATTGCCAGGACAGTGGCTGGCCTATCATGGGTACACAATAAATGTTTATTATTGGATGAGAATAGCTCAGGATGTTTGAGCCGGAAGAAACCTTGGAGACCACTCTTTTATAACTGAGTTCCAGAGAGGCTAAGAGATTGCAGGATTCGCAGTTGGAATCAGCAGTGTGGAATCTTGGTGAGCTCACTCTAGGTATAATGATGTTTTTACCATGTCTTGCTGCCCCTGTTTATGTTCAAAGCAAATACAGATTCCATTTTCTGTCCATTAGTCACCTTTGTGCCAATGTGAGGTTAAATCCACTTACCTGGTTTTTGGCTTTTATAGACAGCCAACTTCTTTTATCACTAACCATTGGTCAAAGCTATTTTCAAGAAGAAAATCAGGCCCAGCAGGCATGTTCCCTATCTTATTGCTCTGCAGGCTGCTTTGCAGAGAGAGAAAAGAAACAAAGTGAAACAAAAGCCAAAAAGGGCCAAACTATTATATAATTGACATAACAGAGTTGCCAAGGATAAAGAGGGATCCAGCAGGTGGACAGTGATTATTTTGAAGAGTGAAATGGACAGGCTAAGAAATGGAATCTTTTTGGGAGAAAAAAAAGAACAATGTGACTGTGCTATTTACCCAGCAATATAGACCATGGAAGGTGAATACTTTTTTGGGGTATCATTAATTTTAACCTCTGGGCAGTAAAAATTGTTCTACCTAAGTAAAAATGGTCGTTTAATGTTCATGGAAAACAAGACTTTTAAAATTATATAAGAGTTCAAAAAAGAAAGAAAGAAAAAGTTGTCCAATGGGAACAAAAATAGAAAAGTTCATCATATACAACGGAGCATCTTTGCTGATGAGAAATGGTCTTTCCCTAAAACTAAAGTGACAAGAGGTTACCTGCCTGAGGCATGATGATCACTAGAATATCAGCCAGGACTGTGTCTGGCAGCGTGTAGCCAAAACCCAATAAAGAGCGGCTTAATAAGTATGATGCTTATTGTTCTTACATAGCAAGAAGTTGTTCAGAAGACTAATCAGGGCTTGTACAGTGGCCCAAGGGAGTCGAGTTGGCATCCCTATCATCCTTAGAATGTAGCTCTCATCCTCATCATCACAAAGGAACTGCTGAGCCTCCAGACATTATGCCCATATGCCAGGCAAGATGGGGAAAAGAGAAGAGCAAAAAGAGCATGCAGACTTTTTATCAGAAAAACGATCTGTTCTAGATGGCTTCTGCTTACATCTCATTGGCCAAAACTATGCCATGTGGCTTCTCCTAGCCGGAGGAGAGTCTGTAAAGTCAACATTTTTGCTTTTTAGCTGAGAATATTGCCAGGCTGGACAGTGATATTACTAAGGAAAAAAAGAGAGAATGGATATGTGGTAGGCATATAGCGATGTCTGCTACAATTAGGAAGAAGATTCATTGCCAAATGGCCCCTGACTAATACAGAAACTGCAGTGGTAAACTAGCACATGATAAACCAGCCCTTATCCTGTCCACATCAGTGCCCTGGACATTGGGAGGCAGAAAAATAAACACCATGAATCCTACCACTAAGTGCACTCCCTGTACAAGGTATTAGAGTGGTTTAGAGGTGAAAGAAACACCCACACTTCTCTGTCCACCCTCCCATCTAGAGCAACAATCCCTGACCCAGCACCCCTGACAGCAGATCTTCTGGCATACAACTGAAGCAAGGGCGATCTAGACCCTCACTGCCAGAGTATGGGCCCAGACCGGCAGCTTTAGCACCTGAGTTTGAGAAACACTGATCTAGAAGTAATATCACTTCCAGAGAACAGCTCTATTTATTAGAAAAAAAATCTCCCACATGCTGTGTTGGAAATATATTTCCCTATCATTCTGCACATGATCAAGTCATGTATTCAAATATTTAAATTACGGAAATGCTATCCTCCCTAAGACTTCTCTTCTAAAACTCCCCCGAAACTCCTTATCCCATTTGCTTTCACAATCCTCACAACACTGGTAATTCTGTTTGCGTTTACTTGTACCTTTGTCCCCTCAAAATTCTATCTCCAGAAATCCACACCACCCTAAAGATGCACTCTGTTTGCAAGAGGGAAAATGGAGGCCATATGACTCATGCTCTTTTCTAGTTGTGCTTCTAGTGGGTGAGTGATTTGGTTATGATGGCATTGGACAAAAAGACTTTTCAAATCAAGCACCTTTATCATATCCTCCCCCTTCCTCTCCTCTGTAGTATATTCCCATCTTCACCCACCAACTCCCTCCTACATGTACACTTCCTTCTAGAATTCCATCCCCTGATATTCTCCCGTGATGACATTTTAATTTCTGTCTTATTTGTTTCTTTCAATAAAGTGTTTGGATAGGAGTACTCCTGAAGTTAGAGTGCCACAACCGAAGAAGTGCAAGGGACTCATTAGTTGACGGTTAAGAAGAAGTTCTGAAAGAGGCTCAGTTGTGAGTGGTTAACTGCTTTAACCAAATTCTCAGGGGCAAACTCTGGTTCTCTCATTTACCTCCATTTACCCTGGCAACCACCTCCCTCCTTTGGCTGTATTAACATACCTCCTGAAACCTGGAGCACAGAGAGCTTGTGTCAGTGAAAAATGCATGTGGAATGAGGTTTTGTTTTATTTTTTTCATATTTAAGCAATTTCCTAAATTAGGCTCTTTTGGCAGCTGTATTAATTCAAGCCACTAAGATATTATTTAGTACCTTGCTGCTCCAGGGCACTAAATAATGTCACATTTTCAAAGCATAATGCCATTAGAGTTTATAAAGCACTTTCACCTGGGTTATCTCATTCGATCTTGGCAAAAGCTCAGTGCAAAAAGTAGAAGTGGTGCATAATCATTGTTTTGTAATGATATAGATGCTCCTGTTATGAGCTCATGCGGTAAATATGTGAGAGGCAGAGGTAGGTCTAGAACATCTGTCTCTTAACTATTTGTTCAGAATTGTTCTCACAGTGGCATAAAGGAGTAAAGAGCCTCAATTAAGGGATATGTGATCTTTGTGTTATATACATTTTTTAAATTTAAATGTATCCAATTCAACTGGACACATGGTAGCTCTATATATTATAGGTTATAGTAGAAAGGAGAGAATAGTTAACAAGATTCTAACCTGTATGGTATGTCCGATATTTGACAACAGAAGACAATTTCATCATACTTATGCCAAGCTACCACATAACTCCTTTAAGTCAGAAAATGGTAGTAGTTCTTGGGCTGTTGTATCCAGTCTTATATTGTCATGGCAGAATTTTGTCCCTTATTGCTTGAAAATTACCCCCTTCCCTACCCCCAGTACCTACTTTGCTATTTATCAGGGGCCTGATAATCTAAATGGAGAATCTAAATCTAAATCTAAATGGAGGGGAAATACTAATGATTGATGAGCAAGATCGCTCTGGCCATGATAAAGATGCTCTAGGACCTGAGCATTTTGGTGGAACAAGATGAACTAGGTTTCTTGGGGAAGACATAGTCACATCTAAACCTCCTGAACACTCATTTAGAGGGTTTTGTCTTCTCAAGCACTGATACATGTACTGTCCTAATAGATGTAATGAACCTACTTCCCCAGAAGAAACATCTTTTTTGGAATCTTTATTTTTTTTTTTTAAAGTAACCTCTTGATCTGACATAATTCATGGGAAATTACAGTGGAGGATCATATATGATCAGGAAGAAGTTAAAAATATCTTCATTGCCTGGTATTCCATAAAATGGAATCAACTGAAGATACATTTGTCTTATAATAAACTCAAATAAATAGCTTAATTAGATGAAGCACATAGTTCTCCTCAGATCTTTTATAGTACTCATTGACTATCATTTCAAGAAATGGCATATTTCCACAATCCATTAAATAATAAATCATGCCCTAAGAAAGGATCTTTTGGGGACCAAGCAACCATTCCTTTACAATTCTTAGAAGCAAAGTATTTACTTAAAGATCCCAGTGGAGGAATTCTTACTGCTGATGAAGTGTCCTATCAAAACATTTACCTAAAAGTACAATTGGCATTAGACTCATTGCCTGAATCAATGACTGCTGCTAGTTGGCTTTCTAATCACCAACTATAGTTGAGTTTACATTTAATATGAATACTGACCAGCGGAAATATCAGTTGGGGACATGTAGATTACATGGCAGAGTAGTAAGGCATTTTCAATATCCATTACATTAGCCTCAGGCAATAAAAAAAATGGCTCCTTTATAGGTCGCTCTCTATGTAGGTTCAAGACATTAATTCACTAGAAGCACTTTTTTTTATTGTTTTATTGTTATCAGCATGCAAATTTTCAGATTAGCTCAGCCTTGACTTACTCATGTCAGAGAAATAGCTTTAAAATGACCTGACTTTGAGGACTAACTTATATTACTTGAAAGCTGGATTGCTACATCGAAAAATATTAAAAACATAACCCTTGATTCCAAAATTCTCCCTTGCAGTGGGCACACTCAAGGTGAATGAGGGTTCCACTCTGGGAAGACAGACATGAAAGAACAAAAGCATAGCACCCTATTAGACGAGCTTCCCTCTGTGTCCCTGCAAAGAGAGGAAAGGTCTGGAAATGGTCAGTAGTTGTCAACTTTCCCCAACTATAAAATTGAGTGGCTAATATGCTGAATGTTAATTAGATGATCAACTAAGCAAGTAACTAGCACATGGTAAGTGCTCAGTTAATACTGACATTAAAGTGAGAAAGAGTGAGAATCATGGAAAAAAGATAAAATTAGCCCAAACTGGTAGACTAAAGTACCGAATTTGGCCAGAGCATCACGCCTGTTTTGAAGAAGAAAAATGAGAGCAAAGTATTATACCACGATTTTAGTTATTTTCAAAGTACCGCAGCAACTCTCAAATGTGAAATTAACGCCCCTCTGCTTACCCCCCATGCATGTTAAAGCAAATTAAATTTCATGCCAAATCACCCAGGCAGTTAGCGAGCAGCACAATTTCAATCTGTAGGATTTAAACTGATTGCTCTAAAAATATAATTCACCAATCGGGCAGCATTGAAGTCAAACATGGTCTTCTTTAGTCATTTCTCCTGACAAGCTATTTTCCCAGGAATGTGGCCATGGTGAACTGCAGGTTGACTCATCTCATAGAAGTGAGAGGTTTTATTCTCATCTGCAACCCAGACACAGCAGGGAATAATAAACTGACCTGTTGGAGGCATGGAGTTCTTCCCCTGGCTATAGGCGAGTATTACATTTAGGCTCTATTGACCAGACAACAAAATGCTTCCTAGTTCAAAAAGCCACTCTGCCTATGTGGGGAAAGAGGTCACTTTTGGTTCCCTATTTTTATCATATTTAATCACACTTGCAACTGGAATGTATGTCTGTGCGTGTGTATGTGTTTCATTTTTAACCTGCATCTCACTTGCTATAGTAGGAATCTGTTTCTTTTTATTCTTTTATTCTGTTCTCAATGGTTGTAGGAGTGTTCTAACAAAATGCATATAAGTGACTGTTAGAGCTCATCACGAGAAAGAATAATGATCAAACTCACTTGCTTTCTTCAGTTCAGGCTTTAGGTCATCTGAAGTGTTAGCTTAAACCCTGCATTATGCCTTATTTGGAGTTGTTTCAAAAATTATTGTCACATGAGAGTTTTTACTAAAGTCCCCCATTTTGAAAAGTGCAGGTGTTGGATTCAGACATCTAGAAGACTTCTGTCACGCTTGAGGCTGCTGTTAATATTAACAGAGGATCTCAAATTCCTCGATTCATGAAAACAGTCATTGAGCCATGGTTGTTGGGGCACTGGAGGTGGGTAAGCAGTTATCTTCCAGATATAATCAAGGCAATGCCAGAGTTCAAATTGGCTCCAAGTGCTTTACCACATTCATTTATTTAATTTTCATTAAAATCCTAGGTAGAAAAATATTTTTTCACATTATAAATTACTACAAGGTATGGACTCTTAGTCTTACTTGGAGAGGTTCATTCAAGGAATAGAAAGCTAGCATTCATGTAATCAGGACAAGCTCCTTTGTGTTTAACTAGAATGATGAATGCTCTATGTGCCACTTCTTGTAGCAACTGCGTTGCACTTGATCTTTAACACTGACATGTCTACATAATTATTTTGCAGTAAGCATAAGAAATCTGAACAAATGATTAGCGGGCATCTATCTAAATGATGGCACAGTTTTAAAGAAACTATTTTAGATTTAACATAGAGAATAAGAATGCTACAATAAAATAAAACTTACCATTTCATTCGGAAATCTGTGTAAATGTCCTTGACTGTCAAATGACTCAGTTGGCACTATGGGCATTTAGTGTTCAGGGCCAAGGATTCCAAACTTTCTGTCAAAGCCCAGCATTCCCTCATACTGAAAATTTATCCACTCAAAAATGCCAAAAGCACACCCCTAGATCTGAAGCATGATAGTTTAAAGAATACCTTCTCTTGCTCTGCAGTTATATTTATATTTAAATGATGCTTCTACAGAATTGAAGATTCATTCATACTCCATTGTATTTTAAATATCTTCCTAGAATTTATTGTTGCTGTTAATAAAATATTTTAGAAAATCTTTCATAAATATAGACTGTATGAAAATCAGCTTCAATTTAGCCCCTGGACTAGCCATCACAATTTCAAATAAGTTGAAATAAAACTTCTTAATCAAAAAAGATAAGGGAGGAGAGTGGCAATTCAAAGGTGAAAAGATGGGAGAAGAGAAAATGAACAGGAGAGCCCAGTATGGTGGCTCATGCCTGAATGCCAGCAACTCCGGAGGCTAAGGCAGGATGATAGCTTGAGCCCAACAATTCAAGACCAGCCTAAGCAACATAGCAAGACCCCATCGATTTAATTAATTCATTCATTAAAATGAACAGAAGAAAGGGTAGAATCTAGGGATATAACAAGATACCAGTGAAAATAAAGTGGGAGGCAGTGGAAGTTAAAGAAATAAAGACAAACTGAGGGGAGACCTGGAAAACAGGAAAAAAAAAGGAAGGTGGGAAGATCTCTGCTTCTGCATATTACTCATAAACATGGTGATTGTAACAGGAAATGGTAATCAGAACCTGGGGCCAGAACTCCCCTACCAGGATCTCCTTTTTGGCTTTCCTAGGGTTTCAGCATCAAGTTTAGAATAGTTTATGCCAGAATATACCCATCCCCAATACACAAACGAATCAACAAATCAACAAAGCTGCCTTTTTGCTAGCATTCTCTCAGTGTGATGCTATGGAGAAACATGAAGCCATTGGGAGCAAAGATGTTTATAAGCCAAGGTCCTTCTCAGATATACAGAAATTCAATCTCAGAAAAGAATTCACAAGGATATGAAAACAACCAGATGAAAGACTCTGCATTTTCAGACAGAACAATTCCAGTCTTCATCAGGCAATGAGAACAGTCAGGGACCACAGATGGCATGTTCTGGAAGCTATCATTTAACAAAGTCACTGCTTTGTTAAGTGCCTTTCATGGCTGGCTATGAAGTGGACACCAAAAATCTCAGCAAGTTAATCCATTTGTCCTTTACATTGTGCCATCTGCTGCAATATACAATCTGAAATAACCTTTTAGTATTTCTGATAGTAGTACTTTTTCCTTTCTTCTAAAGCTTGTCTTTCCTCTGTTGCTTCCTTCCAATCTGACTAGAGCAGCAGCTCTTAGTGAAGCATCTACCTCTTGCAAATTCTTTCAAGCTACCCTACCCAGCGCACCTAACAAACATCTCAATACCTTGTGCTCCTCAGTCACCTTCAATTCCCCTAACTTCTCTGCTTGTTTGTTGTTATTTAAATCAGAACCTAAGGGCATATACTACGTTTACTCAGTGATGGTTGGTGGAATGTCTTACACAAAATTTCAAAAAGCTACACATGTCTATGTGTACACTGCATAAGGCTACACAAAAATAAACCAGAAATGCTCTTTTTAAAGTTGCTGTTAATCATACACAGCTACGTTTTTCCAGAAACAGCATGGAGGATCAGAAAAGTACGGGCTTTAGGAATCAGATAAAGACTTTTCAAATGCCAAGTTCAACCTCTGGCTTTTCCAATGACCGGCTGTGCAATTTAGGCAGTTATTTAACTTTTTGAAATCTCAGCTCTTGCTGCTTTAAGAGAAATAACTACTGCATAGCATTGGTAAGACCTTTAAATGACATTCTTTAGACCATAACCTTCCCTCTGAAAACATATTCGGAAATGAAATTCAATTAAGCAAATCTTTTGACTGGTCTAGAATAACCATATAAACCAAAGCTATCCATCAATTTTCAAATAAGCAGATAAAATAGAAAAAGCAGTAAACTAAATAGATAACTTACTTGTCTCTGGTGATTAAGAAGACAGCTAACATATGAGTGGATAAAACACAAATAAAAATTTGTGGCTGGTAGAATGCCAGGTCACAAATTGAAAGTCTGTTTCAGAAATTGTCAACTCTTCACCATTCACATGTGCCTGAGATGCATTCTGGTTCTGCTCTGAACTAGAGGCTCTCAAACTCTGTTGTACCTTACAACCACCTGGGGAGCTTTGGAAACCCATCATGATCGAACTGAATCCCATACCAATAAAATCGGGCACTCTGACTGCAGGACCCAGGTGTCAATCAGTATTTTAAAAACTCCCCCCAAGGTGCTCCCAATGCACAGCCATGTTTGGGAAACAGGGCTTTAAACAACCCTTCTGGAAAAAAAAAAAGAAAAGAAAAGAAAAAGGAAAAGATAATGTGCAAATGAATCAGCTGGGGATCTTGTTAAAATAAAGATCCTGAGGTGTGGACACCAGAAACTGCCTTCCAAAAAGCTTCTAGGGTATTCTGATGCTACTGCTCCGGAACTACACTTTGAGTAGCAACCCTAAATCCAGTGTCAACAGCTAAGTATCCACATGGAATGTCAGATACAGTTTGTTGCTTATTTCCATTATGCAATGTGAGCTCAAAGAACACATGCTCCTCTTACTATTACCCCTCCCACCTCCATGAAAAGTTACTGAGAGTCTAAGGAGCGCTGTGCATTTCAAAATCAAATATAAATGAATTAGGTTGGATCGTTCATGTGACTGCTCCTCTCCCCTGGTGATGACATTCGTGGGCACATATATAATACACAGGCACTCTGCTAAAGCAGTCCAAAGCAAGTTTTCTTCGAAATCTCTACACTTGTCTTGGGGCTTTAGCTGAATTTCCTGTTAAATGGCATTAATGAGGACTCAGAGAAATAAAACCACAAAAATTGGTTTTACAGTGTAATGTGGGGAAAGTGACCAAGTGTTCACATGGAGGAATACATTCAACTCATCCCCACGTCCTGTAACTCCGAAGTGAACATTCATGATTTTGAGGCCATTTCCAATTGAAGGTGTCAGCCTAGTAGGGGCAGAGCGCTGAATCTGCCACTGCGGTGCTCGCTGATTGCTATATAGCACAAAGCTTGGTTTATCTCTAGCAGGAAATATGAGTCCACAGATAGCAAAGACTATTTACTGTATCAGCTTCTCTGCAGCCTTTAATCAAGACAGGATCCCAGCATGTAAGTCCAGATCTTCAAACCTTTCTAGCGGAAGCATGGTCACCCATAAATCCTTAATTCACAGAGACCATTTTCCTTAAGAAGTGCTGAGGGCAAAATTCTGCTGTCTTAGAACTTCTCAGCAACAAATGTGCCATTTTATTCAACACATGGGGGTACCTACCTAGGAGATGAATACAGAATTTTAAATTGGAAAGGCAGAAATTAAAATAATTTCATTCCTGGACATTTACATAAACCTCTTTCAAACATGATCTTGTAGGCATTTCCTTTTTAAGGTTTGTGAAATTTAGATAAATACCTTGGGAAGAGAGAAAGGGAGCTTTGGAAATGCATCATGATCAAACTGAACCCCTTATCAATAAAATCAGGCACTCCGATGCTGAGAGAAAGGAAAATGGAAGAACTTGAGGAGTATAAGCAGAAAGCTACAAAGGTGATACAGTTTGGATATTTGTCCCCACCCCAATTTCATGTTGAATTGTAATCCCCAATGTTGGAGGGTGGACCTGGTGGAAGGTGTTCGGATCATGAAGGCAGGTCCCTCATGAATGGCTTGTGCCATCCCCATGGTGATAAGTGAGATCTCTGAGTTCACACAAGATCTGGTCATTTAAAAGTGTGTGGCACCTCTCCCCGGGCACTCTCTCTCTTTTACTCTTGCCTGCTCCCACTTCACCTTCTACCATGAGTAAAAGCTTCCTGGGGCCTTCCCAGAAGCAGAGGCCAGAGCCATGCTTCCTGTACAGCCTGCAGAACCATGATCCAATTAAACCTCTTTTCTTATAAATTACACAGTCACAGGTGTTTCTTTAAAGCAATGCAAGAATGGCCTAATACAAAAGAGTTCAAACATGATTTTCCCCCTTGTAAAATTATGCTAGCGAAATTAAGTCCCCGAAACAAAATAAATAAACAGATCTGAATTCCTGTAGTTCAATTAAATGGTTCAAAAAAATTGTGATCAGAAATGAGTTCCAGTTTTATCTTTCTTATAAATAATTGTGTGAAAATGGAAAATTATTTTCTCCTTATGCCCTTTATCCTCAATCTGCAGGCCACCATGATTTAAGCAGTAGCAATCATCCAACAGACAATAGTAGAGTTTGGCTTTATACTTTGCCTCTTCCTCTAGGCCACGTATGATTAAACAGGAGTTCTTGGGTGTGGAAAACATCCTTGGAAAAATTTAAGAAGATACATTAGCTTTAGAATTTTAGTACAAATTATGTGGGTATAACTTTTTCTAAAAAAAAGTTTCCATAGATTTCATCAAATTTTAAAATAGTTCATAGTCTGTAAGCTAGAAAAGATTAAGAACTATTGAGTCATTCATTCAATTTTTTTTTTTTAAATTAGTCCCTACCATGCATCAGGTACTCTTCCGGGCACTGATGATATAGCAGTGAACTAAACATACAAATATCCCTGCCTCCTAGAAGCTTACATTCTTCTGGGAGGATGCAAACAATTAATAAAATAAGTAAAATAGATAGCACACCAGATGATGATAAATGATACCGAGAAAATAAAGCAGAGATAAAAGCCAAGGCTTGGGAATTGTGATTTAGAACAGTACAGACAAGGAAGGTCTTATGGAGGAGGTGCCACTTGAGCAAAGACTGAGGGGCTGGAGAAACAAGTCATGAATGTCAGTGGGGCAAGGGCCTTCCAGACAGAAGGACCTGCAGATGTAAATGGCTCTGAAGCAGGAACATTGCTGAGAATGGCAATGGGGCTAGTGTGCCAGGAGCTGAATGAAGAAGAGCAGTGGAAGGTAACATCTGTGAGATAAGGGGGAGGGGGCCACAGATGTGGCAGCTATAGACCACTGTAATGATTTTGGCAAACCACTGGAGGGTTTTGAGAAGAGAAATGATTCATTCTAGTTAGATTTTCTAAGGATCACTCTGGCTATTGTGTTGAGAATAGACCTGGAAAGAGGGTGGCAAAGGTGAATATAGGGAGAGCCATTAGGAAGTATTTGTAAAAATTCTGATGCAAAATGATGGAGATTTGGTAGTGATCGGAAGTGGTGAGAAACAGTAAGTGCCCAGATCTATTTCAGTGTAGAGGCAACAGAGTTTGCTAATAGATTAGACATGGAATATGAGAGGATGAAGGGACCCCAAGGCTTTTGGGATAAAGCACTAGGACGATAGAGTTGACTTTGATGGACTTGGGAAGAGCAGATAGAGAGGGATGGTCACTAATTTAGTTTCGGAGGCCATGTGTTGTGGCTCACACCTGTAATCTCAGCACTTTGGGAAGCCAAGAAGGGAGAATCACTTGAGCTCAGGAGCTCAAGACCAGCCTGGGCAACATGGAGAAACACCACATCTACAAAAAATACAAAAAGATAGCTGGGCGTGGTGGCGCAGGGCCATGGTCTCAGCTACTTGGGATGCTGGGGCAGGAGGATCACCTGTGCCTGGGAGATCGAGGCTTCAGTGAGCCAAGATCATGGCACTGCACTCCAGCCTGGGTGGCAGAGTGAGACTGAGGGAAGACATTTGGGAATGTTAAGATTGAGACACCAATAAAACATTCATGTGTTGACATTTCATAGGTAGTTGGATATAGGGATCTGGAGTTTAGCAGGTAAGCTTGAGTTAAAGACATAAATTTGGGAGTCAGCAACAAAAAGATGATATTTAAACCCTGACCCTGGAGAAGATCACTAAGGGTGTGGGTGTGCATCTACGAAAATGTCCAAAGACTGAGGTAGGAAGCCCTCCAGAGTTAAGAGATCAGGGAGATGAGAAGGACCTAATATGGAATGAAAAAAAAGAAATCCATGAAGGAGGAGAAAATCAGGAGCTTGTGAGTTCCGGAAGCCAATTGAAAGAAGTATTTCAAGAAGAAAAGGATCAAGTGTGCCCAAGCTGCTGATAGTGAGTAAGAGGTGGGCTGAGAGTCCTCCATTGGATTCAGGACCTTCACAAGGGTAGGTTGGGGCAGAGTGCAGGTGCTAAAAGCCTGATTGGAGAGGCCTCAAGAGAGAATGGGTGAATACAAATACTGGAATAGCTCTTCCCTTAAGAAGTTTTGTTACCAAAGGGATAAAGGAATGGGGAAATAGCTAGAGAGATACTGAAGTCAAGTTATATATATAAGTGTGTGAGGGAGAATTTAGATGTTTGTGTGCTGATAGAAATGATGCCACAGAATATTGTTTAGGTTTCTTAACAGACCTTACCCATCTTCTTTTCTTTCTATTTTTGACTGGTTTATTTTTAGCCAAAGTACCAATTGCGAGAGAAAAAACATCACTCCTTACATTTTTAGTAATTCCTTTTATTGGTTCAAAAGGATCGTGATCAGAAATGGGTTCCAGTCCTATTTTTCTTATAAATAATTGTGTGAAAATGGTAAGTTTGTTTTTTCCTTGTGCCCTTTATCCTGAATTTGCAGGCCAAGACGATCAAAGAAATGGTAACACACATACATTTCTTGGCAGTCGATAAAAACAGTGTTACAGAAGTAAATGACACAAAACCAGAGGATAATAAAACTTCCCAATTATATAATCATTTTCATCCTTTTTTCTCTGCAGGCTTGGAACACTGGAGATTTTTTTTATGTGTTTTTTTTTTTTTTTTTATCAAAAGTCACCAGATGGAAAATGACAAAGTCAGTCAAAGGAGCCCAGGTAAACTTCAATTCATACATGGATGATCTTAAGAGAACATCTATTCTTGCCTCATTACAATGGATTCCTCTGATTAAAATTATAATTTTAGCTAGGCCAAGAGAATATTAAAAAATTATAAGCCCTAGAATGTGACGTAGTGTTATGGATTGAATTGTGTCTCTCCAACTGATGTTGAAGTCATAACCTCTGGTACCTGTGAATGTGACTACATTTGAAAATAGTGTCTTTGCAGATGATCAAATTAAGATGAGGTCATTAGATATGCCCTAACCCAATGTAACTGTTTCCTCATAGAAAAGGGGAAATTTGGACATAGAGACAGACACACATAGAAAGATCACTCCGTTCTTTCACAGGGACACAGGGAGATCACCACCTACAAGTCAAACAACATTTGAGGCTACCAGAAGCTAGGAGAGAAGAATGGTACAGACCATCCCTCACAACCTTCAGTAGGAACCTCCCATGCTGATACCTTGATCTTGGACCTCTGTCCTCCCGAACTGTGACACAATACATTTCTGTTGTTTAAGCTACCCAATGTGTAGTATTTTGTTCCGATACCCTCTAGAAAATCAATACACTTAAAATTTAGTAAATAGAATTGAGGTCTTTGTTAAAACATTAAATGAGTAAACAAAAAACATGCAAACAAAAAACTGGCACTCTGCATTTTTTTTCATAATTTGAAATTTTGTATGAAAAGAAAGATTTTAAAAAAAATTAGGTGGCAGTTGATTATTTCAGTGCATGAAACATTTTATTTGCCTGGAAAGAAACTATTTTTATAATCAGGAAAAAATAAAACTCTTCAAATAAAATCTATCATTGTAATTTGTATGTTAATTTCAGGATGACCATGACTGCTTGCTCCCTGGCAAAGCCAATCTGACGACACTGTCAATTAGCTCTTACAGCAGCAGCATTGTTTATTTACAAGAACTGACTTCAAGTTCCAGTTCACCAAGTTCATCAGAGGGCAAATGAGAATTGCAGTGCTTGGAGACTTAATTTTAGATGTACTTATATGTTGTCTGGATGGCCCAACTCCAGGTGATACTATTTGCTGATTTTTCTAAACATCTTTATTTAGATGCAATGGATATGCCATAAAATTCACTCAAAGCATACAATTTAATGAGTTCAGAGTTGTGCAACCATCAGCACTCTCTACATGTAGACACTTTTATCTTCCCCAAAATAAATTGGTTACCCATTACCAATCATTTCCTATTCCCTCTACCCTTTCCTCCAGCCATAGACAGTCACTAATCTACTTTCTGTCTCTAGATTTGCCTGTTCTGGATATGTAATATAAATGAAATTGTACAATACACAGTCTTTTGTGACTATCTTCCTTTACTTAGCACAATGTTTTTAAGGTTCGTCTATGTTGTAGCATGCATTACTACTTCATTCTTTTTTATTGCTGAATTATATTCCATTGCATGGCTATACCATATTTTGCTTTTCTATTCATCAGGCAGCAGACATTTGTGTTCTCTGCAATTTTTGGCTGTTGTGAATAATGCTGTATGAACATTCATGTGCAAGTGTGTGTGGATGTGTGTTTTCCTATCTCTTGGATTATGCCCAGAAATGGAATTACTGGATCATATGGTAACTCTATATTTAGCAACTTGAGAACCTACCGAACTATTTTGCAAAGTAGCTGTACCATTCTACATTCCTATCAGCAATGAGTGAGGGTTCTAATTTCTCCATATCCTCTCCCACACTTATTATTGTCCATCTTCTTTTTTGATTATAGCCATCCTAGTGGGTGTGAAGTAGAATCTCACTATGGTTTTGATTTGCATTTCCCTAATGGGTAATGATGTTGAGGATATTTTCATGTGCTTATTAGCCATTTGCATGTCTTTCTGGATAAATATCTATTCAAATCTCTAGTATAATAAAAAATATTTAGTCTTCATCCTTTGTTCCTGTCACACAGCTTCTAAAACGCTTGGAAGCTCTAGAGTGATGAGCGTCTTTTCTATATTAATGAGATGACTGGTAGTCCCTAGATAGCTTCAGCATGGGGGCTGTTTGCCAAAAAGACCAAACCATGACTAAAAGCATGTAAATTTCAGCCCCTCATCCCCACCTCTGGGGAGGAGGTAGGAGCTGGAGCTTGGGTGGCCAATGATTTAACAAATCATGCCTATATGATGAAACCTCCATTAAAAAAAAATCTCTAAACATCAAGGTTCAGAGAACTTCCAAGTTGTTGTTCCAAACACATACACATTCTGGGGGAGGTGCACCCCAACTCCACAGAGACAGAAGATCCTGTATTCAGGAGTCTTCTGGACCTTGCCCTGTGTACTCCTTCATCTGGCTGTTCATTTGTTTCCTTTATAATAAACTGGTAAAGTTAAGTTAAATGCCTTCCTGACTTCTATGAGCCTTCCTAGCTAATTACCGAATCTGAGGAGGGGATGATGAGAACCCCCAATTTATAGACAGTCGGTCAGAAGTATGGGTGGTCCAGGATTTGAGATTGGAGTATGACATGGGGGCATTATTGTGGAACTGAGACCTTTAACTCATGAGATCTGATGCTAGCTCCAGGTAGATAATGTCAGAATTGAATGGAATTTTTGCACCAACCAAAAAGTCAAATATTTATAACTTGTTTCCCAAAGCCTGTATATAATTGTCAACAGAACTAATCAAACAAGTTCTAGGTCCCACACAGGAGATAGAATGAGACTCTAAGTCTGTGGTCTGGAAACCTTGATGTGATCATCATTGTATGGCTAAAGGGCTGTATGTCACCTGGTACATTCAACTAGCCTTGTTGTTTCTCTTTCATGAGAGATAAAATGGGAAGAGACTCAATTCTTCCCAATCTAGTAGAAAATTATGAAGATTAAAGAAAATTATGAACGTCAAAACCTTTTGAAAAGTGAACCATTATAAGAGGGTATTCACAGCAATCAAAACTTTGCCAAAGGCCTCTCTTAAAGCCATAAACTTGAAGACAGCAAAAGGCCATGAGAAACCTCACTGAAAGTTACCAGTTGGCTGATCCTTCTCTACAGGGTTCAGACAGATGAGCAAGCTCAAGGCAGTTCCTCCCCTAAGAGATGCCATTGTAGAACCAGGCTTGCAAATTACTGGCTGTACTGACATAACCGCAGGACTGCTCCATAGATTATAGTTATTATCCACGTCCATGAAGAATCTGGCAAGTACTGAGAGGGGTAGCCTGACTTCAAGTGATAAAGATTGCATGAGACAGATTAAGCCTTGTCAGTCGAAAGAAGAAAAATAAATCTTATTTATTTTCTCTGCAATTACTTGTATGTTTGATGAAAAAGCTGCATATACTTTGTAAGCACAATGGCCACCACTGTTAAGAAAGCTACGTTAATAACTTGGTGGTGTTCCAATGTAAAGGCGTCATTCTTAGATTAAAATGTCTGGGAAATGAACTCCCCAAAGACACACAAAAGGAGTTACTTGCTTACAGAAAACATCAAGATCAAATATCTTTGAGCTACTCCAAACCAAATAATCTCCCCTAGCTCAAAGTCATCTGTTGTCTGATTTCTTCAGTTATACCTAGTCCTAACTGTTAATAAATGGTTTGTTTCTTACACTTTCCTCTCATGGCTTTATTAAGATGGTGAATTCATTGACCACCATGAAGACAGGTTGCCTTACTCTTCTTTTGAGTCTCCAGTAGCACCAAACCCATGGTAGGTATTTAATCAGTAGGGGATGACTAGTTGAAGAAGCAATATGCAACATATATTCTTGAGGTACCTACAATTTCTAAATCCACACTGGAAGAGGTATTTCTACTTCTCTCTGCATAGCTGGGATAAGATTTGTCAGGGTATTCACCTTATATAGAAAGTATTTGGAGAGTTGGGTTATGGTATTCTATTTTTTTCTTTTAACATTGAGTTTATAAAAATGGCCCCTCAACCCAAACCTATCTCTAATAAAAATCAAATATTCTATCTGCTGAAAGTTTTGGCATAGACCTCATTAATACCCTTTCTAGGTCAGTGCCATAAACCACCTAGATGCAACTCAAACTATAAATCATAGTTTGGTGATGACTATCTGGCTATAACATATTTTATTCCTTGCAAAAGAGAGTTGATTATTGAAACTCAATGGATGGGTGTGATACACACACACACATGTGCACACACACACACGTTATATTATTAGTGAAAGTGGTTTGTTTTTGTAGATGTTAAAAAAAAATCTACCATATGTCAGCCTCAGCACTCCCTATATACACACTTCCATGGAGATTCATCTTTTCAGCTACTGGCCAATAGAGAGCAAATACCACTCATTGTGCCATTCTGGTACGAAGTACAGTGAAGTAGACTCATCAGAAATACACTAAAAATAGCCAGCTCTGATTGTAATCAGGGATAGAAAATGTGCATTCCTGTTCAACTTAATGTGCTGTTTCATTTTTAAATTTGTTCCTTTGTTGTTTTTATGTCTTTTGCTCCTGGCCTATCCAAAAGCTCTAGAGTCCCCCTATCCTGCCTGGTGACTGGAATTCTAATCACAAGCCTAGCTCTCTCAAATCATTAGGAAAACTACCAGGACTGCAGTAAGTTGGCACCATTCACTTTCTTCTGTATGTTAATCACTTAGAGGTTTTTATTAGGGCATTTGGACTGGCTTTGGCAAAAATAAAAGGGATGCACCTTCTTCACCAGTCAGTGGTGGAGGCAGCTCTCCAGAGTCGGCCATGCTCAGATGCCAAAAGAGAAGGCCTAAATGCATGCTTTTTAAATGCAGGGTCAGCATTGAAGGACTTCCACCTAACCCAACTGTTAGCATGTTCCCACAGTGCTCCCATAGCCAACAACTTGATATTATTTGTACTGCTCTCCCATTCCTCATTTTGGACCATCTGCTTTGGCTGAAGGCCCAGCTGTTACTGAAATGTTCTGTTTTCTCCAAAATGGTTTTCTGGAGTTCCCACAGAAAGACTTCCAGAATATTCCCTCTTTTAATCCTTTCTCCCCTCCCATTATCTGCTTTAAAAGTGAAAAAAAAAAAAAAAGAAAAAGAAAAAAAGGCCAGGTGCAGAGGCTCATGCCAGTAATCCCAGCACTTTGGGAAGCCAAGGCGGGAAGATCACCTAAGCTCAGGAGTTCGAGATCAGCCTGGCCAACATGGCAAAACCCTGTCTCTACCACAAATATAAAAATTAGCCGGGCGTGGTGGCACATACCTGTAGTCCCAGCTACTCGGGAGGCTGAGGCAGGAGAATCTCTTGAACCCAAGAGGCAGAGGTTGCAGTGAGCTGAAACTGTGCTACTGCAGTCCAGCCTGGGCAACAGAGTGACACTCTGTCTCAAAAAAAAAAAAGAAAAGTAAACTACATTCCCTTTCTGATTTTACTGCTGCCCATACATTCCGCTCTAGGAAGCCACCTGGGGAGCAGGCCTTTGGCAGCCTTGGGCTTGCTACTATCCTCTGGACCAGCCCACTTCCCATGGTGGGGTCAATTCGCTTACTATAAGGGGCTGCAGCAAGTCCTCCTATGACTTGTCTCTACCTTTTGACATAAAACATTGGCAGTTAAGGTGCTTGAAGTGTCTCCCAGTTGTTGGGTGCGCATTCCCCAGGGAGAATCCATCATGCCTGAAGCCAGTACTGAACCACTAGTCACCCACAGTTTCATCCATGAGAAGTCAGTTGTTTTTGGCTCCTTGGTACAATCAGGAGAGGGGTGTGTGTGTGTATTTGTGTGTGTGCACTCACACACCCTGCAGCATGTGTGGGAAGGGGAGCTTGTGAAGGGAGTGTGGAGTATCGTTCTTCTGCATCTGCCTCTCAAAACTGCTCTAGCTTTTCTGATTAGTTTCCATAGGAGCAAAAAAGAAAAAAAGGGTGGGGTGGGGGGGAGTGTAGTCAAATAGAGCATTCCTACAGCAGAAGCAAAAGAGCTTGTGACTTTTTTTTTTTATCCCGTTTACTTTTTTGTTTGTTTGGTTGGTTTTTTTTTGAGACAGAGTCTGGCTCTGTTGCCCAGGCTAGAGTGCAGTGGCACGATCTTGGCTCACTGCAACCTCAGCCTCCCAGGTTCAAGCGATTCCCCTGCCTCAGCCTCCAGAGTAGCCGGGACTACAGGTGTGTGCCACCACACCCGGCTAATGTTTTGTATTTTTAGTAGAGACGGGGTTTCACCATGTCAACCAGGATGGTCTCGATCTCCTGACCTCGTGATCTGCCCACCTCGGCCTCCCAAAGTGCTGGGATTACAGGGGTAAGCCACCGTGCCCAGCTCTGTCTCATTTTCTTATGCCCACACCCCACCCAGTTGAACATTTCCAGGTAATTTGCCTTTTTGAGATGCAGAGTGTGGAGATGGAGGAGTGAGGAGGCCCAAGTCAGCAATGGGCTGGGAACAATGCTCAATTTTCTATAAGGTTTTGTATCCCTCATGTATCCCCTTTGAATATCTCCACTTCTTTCCCACATGAGTGCATTTCCTTGACTTTGAGACTTCATCTTGCATGAATTAAAACTTGCATAGAGTCACTTCTTAAGTATTTGAACAGAGCACCTTACGGAACCTGCTTTTAAAACTATAGTCTAATGTTACACAAATCTGTTTCCTGTGAAAATGTTTTCTATATAAACAAGTACATCTTCAACAGCAAACAATTTTAAGATGATTGTTTAAGTAAAATGTAGCATGTTTTGAAATTTTTAAAATGGAAAACTCAAAGTACTATATAGGGGTTTGAGATGCATAGATGCAAGCATTTGTCAAAACTCATTCATTGTGTATAAATTTTACCTAAAAAGATAAGCAAATATCAAACTTTGGATAATAATCTGCATAAGGTGAAGTGTAGTAATGTCTGCAATTCTTTTGAAATGCTTCAAAAATAGGATGGACAGATATCTGATAAAGCAAGTATAGCAAAATTGTAATTGTAAAATTGAGGGGGCGGGTTGCTATAATCTGAATGCTTACGTCCCCCTAAATTCATATGTTAAAACCCAATCCCCAGTGTGAGGGTACTTGGAGATGAGGCCTCAGAGCCCTCACGAGTAGAATTAGGATCCTTATAAAAGGGGCCCCAAAGAGCTGCTTTGCCCCCTTCACCCTATAAGAATATGGTGAGAAGGTGACATCTATGAGGAACGAACCCTCACCAGACACTGAATATGCTGGAGCCCTAATCTTGGACTTCCCAGCCTTCAGAATCATGAGAAATAAATTTCTTTTGCTTTTAAGTCAGCCAGTCTAAGGTAGTCTGTTATTGCAGCAAAAATGAACTAAGACATGAGTACATGGGTGTGCACTATACAATTTCTTCAATTTTTCTGTACATTAAAAAGTTTTCATAATAAAATGCAGGTATAGAAGGGGAGACACAGCATTTGGAATTGGGAGAGTTGAGTCCTGGTCCCAGTGTGGCATGAACAAGCTGTACAATGTGGTCAACTCTTAACTTTTCTGGGTCTTGGTTTCCCCAGCTACAAAATAAGAATCTCAAATGCATTTTTGTGTCTAATAACCTATTATTTTCAGAAACAAATATGGATCAAATGGTCAGAAGCCTTCAATTCACAGGAATTGGGAACTCTCACTTGTGGAATTTATATAGTCTAAAGGAAACACTGAAAATTCTGTTATTCAACATTTTACCAATTGGAAAGCTCTAATGTGCCTTTCTGATTGTGTCATCTCTCCCAGTGCAAACTTCTCATCTGGTGCCAAGTACTGATGCCAGAAATACAGTAGGCAGGAATAACCTCTCCCAGACCAATTGGTCTGGAAAATTTGAGAAAAAACAATTAGACTGCTGTCCCATGGTGCTCTACCCAAACTATTTTGATGTGATTGTACACTGCGCTGTACTTTCAGACCCCACAGCCCTGTGGTCTGACCCCAGGCAGAGTGGAAGCTACCTACAGGATAAGGCATTTGGGGCCAGTCTGAAGGTAGGCCTTCCTCCTCACTCCTCTTTCTTACCCTCAAACTATATTCTCCATCCCCAGTTCAAAACGTCTGCCATTATGAGATGATCATTTGACTGGAGGTTCTATTTTTTATTAAAAATGCAACTACTCCTGGAGTAGGTAACACATTCAACTGTAGCAGCCATTTACATCACATTGTTAAGACCCTCCACATCCTTTCCAGGTGGCACTTAGTAGTGGGAAAAGAGGACGGGCTCTAATGAAAGTTTTCTCCCTGTCTACAATATTCTTTTCCTAACCTCATACTGAAACTGTAACTCATCCTTTAAGCTGAGATGGAACCTTATATGCAAAGCATCCCTGATTAACCCATCTGAAAGTCACCTCTCTGTCATTGTACTCCTTTCTTTCTTAATTCATTCAACCAACTAAAGTCTTTTGAGCACCTATAACTTATTGGGAACTACTCTATGTTCTGCAGTTACAGTGGGAAACAAGACAAATCTGGTCCTTGCCTTTGAGGGAATGATATTCTCACGTGCTGATCTGGGACATTCCTGGTTTTAACATTAAAATCTCATGTCCCTGCAACTCCCTCGGTCCTGGGCAGACCAAGAGGATTGGTCATGCTAGTTGGACACATAAACAATTACATCAGTTGCAATTCAATTATAATTATTAGAAGGAGTGAAGGTGCTCTGATTGTGTATCAAGAGAGGATTTCACTCACCCTCTGAAGTCAGAGAAAAACTGATAGGTAAAGAAGGGCAAAGCAATCACAAATAAGGAAAAATAATCACATTCAAAGACTCTATGTTAGAAAGAGTGTGGGATGTCTGAGAAATGTAGGGTGACTTTATATCTTGGTTTGCCTGGGACTGTCCTGATTATAGCCTGTTGCCATGGCATCATTATTAATAGTGCCTCCTTTCATTCTCACAAGTGTCTTGTTTTTGAAAAATGAATTACATATTCACCCTACAGAAACTGTAAGATGGCCACATGGCCAGAAGAAAGGAATTAAGGGGAGAGTCATGCAAATGAGGCTCTGAGGTCTCAAAAGCTGATTGTTCAAGGTCTCAAGAGATATGCCCAGATTTGGGATATTTTCATAAGAAATATGGGAAAAGTGAGACTCATCATACACAGAGAAGTAGCATGATTATATGTGAATTTTAAACAGAACAGATGCAAGAGTGGACGAGAAAGATCCATTGCTTTAGCTGAGATCCAGGCCAGAGATAACAGTGGCCTAGATTAGGGAGGAAGCATCAGAAATGGAGCTAAACTGACAATTCAAAAGATATTCTTCAAAAGGAAGAAATGACATAATTCATTCTGACAGCAGAAAGGTCCAGGGAGTTGGAAAGGCAAGGCTGCCACAGTTGGCCACATGGGCTAAGCATAACCCTGGAGAGTGCCTTTGACGTGCAACACTGTGCAGGGAGCACTGCAGTGCAAGCAGAGGCAGCAGGTGACTGGGTGTCAAAGACAGTGGCTAGGCCGGGTGTGGTGGCTCGCGCCTATAATCCCAGCACTTTGGGAGGCTGAGACAGGCGGATCACTTGAGGCCAGGAGTTTGAGACCAGACTGGCCAACATGGCGAAACCCGTCTCTAGTAAAAATACAAAAATTAGCTGGGCATGATGGTGCGCACCTGCAATCCCAGCCACTCAGAGTCTGAGGCAGGAGAATTGTTGAATCCAGGAGGCAGAGATTGCAGGGAGCCGGGATCACGCTACTGCCTGTGGGACACAGCAAGACTCCATCCCCCCCACCACCTCCCCCAGAAAAAAGAAGAAAAAAAAGGTGGTGGCTGGCTTTCTGGTCTGAGCAACTCACTGACCAATGGTATTATGCAGGTAAAAGGAATCTGAAGGAGATTCAGAATCTCATGTCAGTTTTCCTGAAATCCTCTTATACGAATGTGTCACTCTACCAAGTATTTTGATCATGCATATCTCTTATTTATCTCCATCATTTATCTTGCTCTTCCTCACATGCTCTCTAAACAAACTATAAGTACTCTAGAGCAGACACCAGATTGAATTCATCTCTTCAATCACCCACAAAGCCCAACGCAGGATCCACCATGAGATAAGCCCTTGGAAACTCTTGGAAGTAGGTGAGTAAATGGGTAAGTAGGTAAGGGGATTACCTTCTGCTAAGGGAAGACTAGATGAAGGAGGGTTAGACAGACCGGTGGAAAGGTGACAGCCTTTAGTAACTAATTCCTAGTTACTCTGAGTCAATAGACCAATACAGGGATCCGAAAACTTTTCCTGTAAAGGGCTGATATTAATAGTAAATATTTTAGGCTCTGCAGTCTCTGTTGCAAGGAATCTGCTCTTCTATTTTAATGAATAGACAGTCATAGAAAATATGTAAACAAATAGGTATGGCTGTGTTCCAACGAAACTTTGTGTATGGATACTAAAATCTGAATTTTATATAATTTTCAAATGTCGCAAAATATTATTCTTCTTTTGGTTTATTTCCAGCCATTTAAAAACATAAACTCATTCTTATCTTGCAGGCCCTATAAAAACAGGCAGCAGCTGAATTTGGCTTTAGGGCCACTGAACCCTGGACCAGTATATTCATTCCCCTGAGATGGAGGATAGCAAGGCCTCTTATCATACATTTTTCCAAGCAGAATTACTTAAAAGCTCACGCTAAATGCCTTCCTTTTCTTCTTGTCTCAAGAACAAGGAAGATATCTAAGATCATACCATGCCTGCTCTCTAACTCGTCTTTCTAAAATGGCTTTGATTTCTTAAATGTTTTCTCTTTCGTCAACCTTCTTCTGGGGCCTTCCTTCCTTCTCTGCTTTCCCTCTTTAACTCTCCTTTTTTATTAGGCAAGTTTGTTCTCTCACTAATAAATTTTGCTTTTGCTACCAGAAGCATTACTGGGCTTGACATTTTTAGTGAGGATGCTGAGATTTCTCCAGTTTTTGTTTATCACTTGCCTTTTCACAATCATGGACAGCCGCAGACCTTCCTAAATTAAGGATTGATGCCTACACAGCATGACCTACACCTGAAAATCTATTAACAATTAACAGCCAGTAAAAACAGACAACCCAAAGATCCAGAGGCTGCCAGCTTCATGGGAGGTGAGGGCCAATTTACAGTGCTGATGATGTGCACAGGACTTAATATAGTAATGCCTGTTCAACAGTATCTGGAACTCTACACTGGTCATAGAAACAGTGAGTGAGTTTGTTTGTTTAAGGAGAAACACTGTTCAATGCACACAATAATTTCCAAAAGTAAACTAAGACATGTAAGTGAGAAGGACAGTGTCATTCCTGCTTGTTTCATTATAGAGCAATTAGACCAAGGCTGGAGACCCTCACTAAAAGGCACTCCATTAAATGTGTTCTGCCAAGAGGACTCCTGTCCAACAGAAACCTTACTCCTGCACGGGAATGGTACCTCCAGTGGAGGATAGCATCTGCCCAAATGCACAGCTTACAAAATGAAAGAAAATTTGACACAACAAGCAGAAGGATTGGAGTAGCATCAATGGAGTCATTTTATTATTTTTTCCCAGATCGAGACAAGGTGTAAGTTATGACAATCATAGCCAAGATTCTGGAGGGGAGCAGTTCTTAAGGCTATGAATGTAATGGGGATTGGGAAGAAAAAGTGGGGACCCTCACTCTTTTCTCAAGCCAATCCATCTTTTATCTGTCATCGGGTGGAGATCACCCTGCCCTTTTGGTTTTTGCTAGCGAAAAGTAGTTGGTCATCATTGCTCGGGAATATAACCCTTTATCTGGGAGATAGCAGAAGTAGTGAAGGGAGGGAGAGAGGATGTGAGCATAGTGGGCATCATGCAAGAGATGCTTTCTCCCCATTTCCCACCACAGAGAACACTTGTAAAGACAACCAGCAATTATGGTCCTCTCCAATAAGCTAGGCCTTCTGAGCATCTCTGTTACTGGAAAGGTAGTGCTTTGATGTGCAACCCTATTTCCCAATCGACTTATCTCTGCAATCAGTTTCTTTGGAATGTTGAACTAGATGTCAAACACACCAGGCTGAATTGGAGAGTATTTAAACCCATACGCTTGGATGGCATTAAAATGAGCCCTGGCAATCAAACGGAGGCAAGAGAATTTGAGAGACAGCAAACACAAATCCTGCCACATGAGTATGTCTGGCGTGGTACCGCATGCCCGATGTGATAACGAATACCTAATGTGCTGACACAGTCGTGGCTGCTCTGCCTTTGATTCACCTCAGTTATGGCAGACTCAGCCTTGTTAGATAAAAGGGCTGCACTTCTTCTTTGCACCATTCACTGGCCCGTGGAAATGGACTGTTCTCACAAACTGCTAATTCTGAAAGCCTTTAGTGGATGCAGCCGGGGAAGGAAAAAAAAAAAAAAAAAACATACAGTTTAAAGGCATGCTCTGAATTTGCTAATAGGCATGCATGGTCCTTTTGGAACCAAAATAGAATTTTTGATGAAGTACCTTGTGGCAAATCTGAAATATTAGCCTGGGGGCCCCAACAAGACATAATTCACTCCACTGGTGAGAACAAATCTCATTTCCACATCCATTCCTCTAAACTCATTACTGACCCCGGGGGAAAATTCTAGCCTGGAGCAAGTTTTAATAAAGACACTGGTGGAGCCGTTGCTATAGTAGTAAACGCAATAATGAACAACAAGACTCTTGGTGGCAATGGACCCCTGGACCTGTGGAGACCCTGGAAGGCAGCTTCTGAAGGGCTTAACACTCCACCCACAGCAGAGCATAGAGTCCAGAAAAGACTTCATTACTTTATGTGATAATTTGTCACATAAGACTCACTCTGGCTTAAACGGCCTGATTGTCAGCTTGCCTTCAAATGAACAATGGCTAAGAATAATTTATTTTAAATTAATTTCAATTGCAAAAAAAAAAAAAGAAAAAAGTAGATGCAGTTGGGAAATTAATGACTTTGGGGTCAGAAAGACCTAGATTCAAATTTCAGATCCAGGACAAATCTTATAACCTCCTCAGGGCTTAATCTCTCCCACTAGAAGTAGTCTCTTAGCTAAGTACAAGTTATCTGTGGGCATGGCCTCTGCCTTTATTTTTTCCTGTTTTATCCCCAAATGCTTTGTCATGTAATTGACGCTCAGCAGGTACTGTTAAGTAGATCCACTTTAAAGGATTATTAGGAAGACTAAGAAAGTGAACATATGTAAAACCTTTGGCACCTTGCTTGGCACAAGATAGCTCCACAATGAATTCCGAGCAAATTAACTGCTAGTGTAAGACCACTGGTGGAAAGGCCAGAAGAAGAGCTTAGAGTGGAAAATCCAAACAAATGAAGAAGTTTGACAATTATTTGGTTCTGGTAGGAAGGGACCAGACTCAAGGAGTTGAAGGAAGTGTTCCATAGAAGGACATGGCAGGAAGGGGTGCAGGGCACCTTGAAAATGCCAGTGGGTACTTCGGAAGAGCCATAAGCCAGTTATAACAGGTGGGAGGTCATGCTTGCTAATCAATCCTCAGCTTTAACAAGAAGATTGAAAAGTTTCCCTGGGTTTCCAGAGTGGATCTATATCTAGGCAGGTACAGTCGAATACAAAACCGAAGCTTGTGGCTAGGGAACATACATACTGAGCCATTCCCCTATGGACAGTCACTTTCCTGCCGCACACAAACATGCCCTTTTACCTCACACAACTTGAAGTCACCACATCAAAGGTTCCAATGTTGCTTCCTCATTCAGGACAAAGAAAAGCTCTCAGGAGGGAAGTGCAAATGTATCTGGAGGCACACCCTGTCCTGACTTGTTAAGGTAGGTATTCTCCTTACTTCCCACCGCATCCTAACACAGCCCTTCCGTTTCAGTCTGGCCAACCTGTTCCCTACATCCTCTGTGACCACAGGATGACTTCCTTATTCCCATGTGTCTGCTCTTTGACCAAAACTACACATTCTTTAAGTCTGAAATAATCTATACAACCTTTCCATTCATTAAGAGAGAGAAAATGAGAGCAACCTGGTGCAATGGGATCATTCTCCATCTCCTCTCAGTCTTTACCACACTGTTTCATTTACTTCTACATAATATGAGAATTTTCTCTAAGTGTTTATAACAGACATCTTGTTTCCTCAAACAAAACATTACTTCTCCAAGCAGGAACTCCTTGTTGCATATTTTTCCATGAACACCAGGCTGGTTATTCACCCAAATGATCCAGCAAATACCAATCAAATAAAGGTTGAAAGGAAGTCAGCTGATACCTGCTTCACATCACATGGACAGGGGCAAACAGAGTTTGTGTGATTCTCGGGAACTTTCTGCAAATATTTTTAGTAAATATTATACAAAAAGTAATCAAAAGGAATACCAACTGCACTGTACAAACTTACATATAAACTTATACAGTCATAATGACACTCCATAATGGCATTTTGGCCAATGGTGGACTGCATATATGACCATAATCCCATAAGACTGTAATGGAACATATATAGAAACCTGATACATGGTCCTTCATATTGGCATTGCAGATCAAGTAGCGAAAATGACTTATATTCCGTAATGGTGCTGGGACATTTAGTTTTCCATATGAAAAATGTATATAAATAAAAAAATACATACCATCTAGGTTTGTATAAGTACATTCTACGATGTTCGACCAACAATGAAAACGCATTTCTCAGAACATATCCTGTCAATAATGGAAGCATGACTGTCATCAAACATACACAACATGCACAAATACATTCACACACCATTTAGCCCTTTTCACAGGCAAGATTCCTAAGCAGCCTCTGATTTAACTTCTGGCTGTAATCAACTTTTGTGAGCTGAGGCTGCCCATAACCAGCAAAGCCACTTGAGAAAGAGTCTACAGTCTCTGTAAGAGGATCAGGGCTGACCCACTCCAGCCACTAGGGCTGACTCTCTGGACTACCTGCTGCTCCAGATGACTGCTCCAAATCTATTCCCCTCTACACTGTCCTTCCTCTCAGTAGGTCCCTCAGTCTGGCCCCTCAGCCTAGCCATTCCCCTATGGAGAGTCACTTTCCTGCCACACACAAACATGCCTTTTTACCTCACACAACTTGAAGTCACCACATGAAAGGTTCCAATGCAGCTTCCTCATTCAGGACAGAGCAAAGAAGGAGTTGTTATCGGCCCTTTAATGAGGAACTGATCATGCTTCCCTGACAAAGACAGATAATGACAAAACCCAAAAAAGCAGTCCATCTGCTCTCTGATTGCTGGGATTAGAATGTGGGTGAGCGAGGAGACAGGGACAAAGAGTTTGTTGCTGTAAAGAACAGAATGGAGAATCCAGAGAGCTCTCCTCATCACTCCAGAATCATCAACTGTTCACTTCTCATTTCATATTAACTGTGAAATACATCTAACAGAGTGCTAGATAAGCCATCCATGTTAATAAGTCAACATTTCCAGGCATCCGAATTGTGGGAAAACAGAGAAAGTAACATAAAAAATAAAAAAACATTTATACATATAAAGCAGGGAAAGGAATTCTAGCTCAGATGGTTTCCCACACTGAGCAAACGGATACATGATTATCACAAAGTTGAAAGAAGGAAGTCTTGGGCATATGTTATATCTAAAGTCAAAGCAGGGGTGCAGATAGTAAAGCAGGAAAGAACAATTAGGGAATTAATTAAATAAAGCTCTGTTTATACTTCTATTGTCAGTGCTAATTATTTGTGGGTTTGAAGTAAGCTCCCCTGTCTTCATTAGTGGTTGTCAGTGAATGATAACATACTTAGATTTCCACACGTCCTCGTTGTTTCCAAGGATTGTATTTGCAGCGTCAGCTCACATTTTCACATGATGACAGTAATAATCAAGAAACTCATACTCACTAAAGCCAACTTTGCTTTTTTTTTTGTCTTAAATAAGAGGTATGTTACTGTTACTGTTTCCTTGCTCCACACTTTAGCCTCTGTCTAGTTGTTGGTATATCAAGGTAACAGCTCTTCAACTTTGAAGAAGACATGATGGTTAGGTTCTTTGGAACAGGATGAGTTAGCAAGAGTTCCCTCCACGTAGCATTTGCAGACCACCAAATCCATTCCCATCCTGTGTCCGTCCCATGTCCCTGCTCAGGCCTTCCTGATGCAAGCAAGTGCCTCTAGGCAGGAGATCTGTTTGCAAATCTGTAGGAAGCCTTACAATGAGGAATTGGTGACAGAATCCACTTGCTCATGCCTGTGATCATTAACTTTTCCTTTAATAAAAGAGTAGCAGCTATTCTTTTCTGTTGATTTCTTACAGCTGCCCTCAGAGTTACACTCAGAGAACAGCATGTGTTTGAACTTCTGCAATCCTGTAGGAGTTATGAGGATCTAGCTGGTAGGAGAAGGGGTGGGAGTGGTGGGAGCAAAGACTGGGAGGAGAGAAAATAAATGTCATCAGCGGTAGTGCCTTAGGAACACACCTAGAGAGAGAAACCAGGTTTCTAAAAAGCAAATAAATTAGGGGGCTAGGCACAGTACTTTTGACAACTGAGAAAAAGTGTGTAAAAGGGAAGGAGGGATGGAAGAGAAGAGACAGCAGAGAGACCAAAAATCACAGTGTATGAGAAATCTGACACTGCTCTTTTTTTTTAGCCAGTAACTCAGATAATCTAATCAAACCCATCTTCCTTTAAAGCTAGAGCTGGAGAAACTGACATTTTGTTTCTTTTGAAGATTTTTTTCCTTAAATGGAAAGTTTTCTGTGGTACATCTTATTTTAGAATCTCTATCTTCTCCCCCTCTCTTTTTTTAAAAAAAAATTAGAACTATTGGCTAATTTGTGATTTTGTTATTTCTAGGCACACTTAGATTGGCCTTCACAGTCAGATGCTAATGGAGTTGATTCCATTGGCAGAGGGATGGATCCACTTACCCATATCACCCTGAGCAGTACATAAAGATGAACTTCTCAGGGAGAGGCAAGGGGGGCAGGGATGGCAGAGGACAACATCTTCTAAGTATAGAAATAGATAAAATGACAAGAAGACTAGAGTTGCCATCTGCTGGAGGATGAAAAGAATGACATTTGACACTATTTGCAACAGCAAAGCTAAACTCATTAGTAAAAATAATAAATCTCCATGTACTGTGTACTGCCAGTTAAATGATACAAAATTATAGCAGTGTGTTATTATTTCAGCATGGCAGTTTTTGGATAATGTAGAAAATATATAGAGGTAGTAAAACAATAGCATCCACTTTCCCTAATTTGTACTCTACCTACTCTTAGAAGGGCTTACAAATACTGCTTTATTCCCTTTCAAATGCCAGCAAGTTCCCTCAATATGTATTTCTCACTTTCACCACTGCGACTTTGAAAATGATGATGGGGTTTCTTCTATGAGTATGCCTAGTCATTGCTTCCAGATTTTCTTTCTGCTTATGTAACATGACCAAATGCATGAAGCTCACTAAGGTTCAATAAAAAGACCGCTGGACGGAGAATCACAAGGGTGGGGTTGATAATCTGTTTGCCCACCAGCTACCAATGTAACCATAAACCAATCACTTTACTACTCTGGGTCCTGGCATTTTAAGCTGTAAAATGATAAATGCTAGGGAGGATGGGCTGCAGAATCTCAGTGATCTCTAAGGTCCTTTTTAGCTCTCAAATTTTGCAAATCTATAAGCATTCCAAACTCATGTAGCACTTATAACATGAATATTCAAGCTAAATTCTCATCATGGCTTCTACTGAATGCAGCAAAACTGTATCTAATGGCCTGATTAATCAGCCATAACCATCTTCTTTGCCAGTGAAGGGAAAAAATGTTTTCCCCCTTCTCATATTGTAGAGAAAGAGGCAGTTATTTAAACAAGATTTCTCTGATGCTGCTTTTGTTATGGTGAGTGACATAACAAAGTTCTCTGATCAGGAAAAATACAAAACAAAAAACAGCTTTAAGAACCACAGATTTAGAATGGCAAGTAGATTTACCTCTACTTTAGAATGGCAAGTAGTTTTGCCTCCAAGACCAAAAGTGGAGACTAAGGTTAAAGGATTCACCTATACTTGAATGTCTGGTTTGGTGCCAAAATGGATTAGATCATTTAATTGCCAAATACTTCCTTACCTGAAAGAAACTCATCATCCTTCTTTCCATAGCTATAAATCCTGCAAATCTACAGTATCCAAGTCAGGTATCTCCTCCTCTCTAATCAATTCTTCTCCCCTTCAGCCTAGAGTGATTCTTCCCTCTTCTAGAAACACTAGTGTTCAATGTCTGAAAAACCTCACTTGGCAAGTGACATAGTCTTTCATTCATTTATTCATTTGACATATATTTAATGAACATATTTTTAATGCCTTGCATTCTTCTAGGTGGGACAGAAGCATTGAAACCCCTGTTCTCATGAAGCTTATATTTTAGTGGGGAAGAGAGAGAAATATACATACATAGGAACATAATATCCAGTAGTAATATGTGCCATGGCAGAACATGAAAGCAGGTGCTATGATAATGATCTGATGCCTTCTTTAGATGGAGTGGTCAGGGAAGAGTTCTCTGAGGCAGTGATTCTAAATTGAAACTTGAGTGACGAAAAGGAGATGGCTATGCAAAGATGGGAGGAAGGGCATTCATAAAACAGATCCCGCATGGGGGAGATCAAAGGAAAGAGTGTGTCTGGAATAAAACCAATAAGAGACATAGTAACAGCAAGATGAGGGGAGGGAGGTGGTCAAGGTCCAGATGATTTGGAGTCTCAAGGTCACGCCAAAAAAGGAGTATTTTATTCCAAGCATTCTGGGAAATCACTTGAAGCTAAGAATTTAGTTCTCTTTTCATGTAAATCAGTCTCCCCCACATCCAAGAATTAACATCTCACCTTTTAAACATTTCTCACAATTCCTAGGTCCTCCAAACCTTTTTACATGAAAGGCTTTTTAATAAATAGCTGCTGGCTGATTGTGTTGTACATGAAATCTTTAAGTTAGTTAATAGTTTAAGTAGGGGCTTAACCCCGAGACGATCAGAGGTCATGATGATTGCAGCCCTCGACCTCAAATCCACAGGAAAGCTGAAGAAATGAGCTCAGCATGGAAGCAGAATGTCCTGACTTCGCCTATGACTTGACTCTGAGAGTCGTGAAAGTGCCTCACACTGCGAGCAGCGGCCCACGAGGATCCAAGAGAGCCCCTTTGTCGACCCCCTTCAAAGCAAAGCAAATCACCTAACTTTGGAGAGGTTCTGACAGTCTTCATATTCATGTGTCACTTAGCTTTAATTGAAACTTTAGAACAGGTAAATTTGTAACAATTCATATTTTTCATGCTCAAAAGAGTGTCTTTGTGTAAAACAGCAGCCTGAATAATGGGGGGTAGGGGGAGGATTAATTCAGAGAGGTTATTTGTTTTTTTCTCTCTTGATGCAAGCCCCATTTTTACATGCTTTTCTTTTGACTGAAGGGCAATCTTTAATTGCAGCTTTAAGGGAAGCTTAAAGAGGTCATTAAACATTATGAAAACTGAAATACCACTAATGTTAGCTGAGAGTAACCTGACTTGTTTTTTCATACTGAACTCTAGAAAAGGCAAATTCCTTGTAAAGAGTTAGGGTGGAATATCCTGCTCCACCCACCCCTAGTGGTCTAGGAGTCCTGTAAGCTATGATGGGAGGAATTTGTGGCTTGAAACCCAGGCAGATGCTAGAAACTTTTAAATCCTGATATTCATGGTGCTAAAAATACATATGGATTCACTAATAGAAAAAGAAGGAGGAGGAGGAGGAGGAGAAAAAGAAAGAAAAGAAGAAACACAAAGAACGTGATTAAGAAAATGAGAGGATGAAAGTACAGAGAGAAAGAGAAGAGGAGCTGGCAAGAGAGAAGGTCAATAAGAAACCACAGATGCTGCATAGAGGCAGAGATCATAACCTTCCAAGCATCTAGGACAGTGCCTGACACACAACAGATGCTTAAAACGTTGGGGGAGGGAGGAAAATACATGGGAAAATAAAAGAGGAGTTGTATTTGTGAGACAGCAGGCAAGCAAGGAGGAAAGAGAGAAGAGGAAAAGCTAGAAATGAAGGGGAAGAAAGAAAGGAGATCTTGGCGATGATTCTCACATCTGGATGCATATCAGAACCACCTAGGGAGACCGCCTCAAAACGCAGATTCCCAGGCCTGTTCGGAGCCCTATTACATCAGAAGCTTGGAGTTCTAACCCGTGTCTAACAAGTCAAAACCAAAAGCTCTCGCCAGCGGCTGCTATGTGCTGTGATTTGGGAACCCCACTGAGCTACACGAAAAGCAGAAGAGAAGAAAGGTGCGACCAGTGTGCAGTGACAGAGCCGGTGCCAGCACTGACCCTGGTCACTCCTCAGAGACAGGGCACCTGGGGGACCACGACAGGGCACGCACTTCTCTTCAAGAATATGGCTCATCTTCAAGAACTAGAGTTCCTCTCCGGTTAATACCCGTTCTCCCTTTTGCCTGTTCCCAAATTACATACCCTTCAGTGATGCCTGGAATGGCAAGGGGTGGGCTACAAAGGGAACTGCATGGGAAGGCGGCGTTCTCTTTTGCCCATGGCACAGGTTAGGGAAACAGCCTCGCCTGGCCCGAAACGTCTTGGATGCCGAGGCAGCCCCTGGTTGATTTTGGAGTATGGCCCCCGAGTGGCACCGAGTGAGAAGACAATCTCTCTCACATGCTGAGTGAGGAACCAGCAAAAGCGACTGGGTTTTGGATAATGGACAAGGCGACACTGGCACCCATCTCCCCACACACGCGTTTCCGATCGTCCTGACAACACACGCGGCGGCTGGGCTGCGGCCGGGGCAGCGCATCTGCGCCGGGGCCAGGCTGGCGCTTGGGGCCCCGCGGCCTCCGCCGCCGCGCGCCGTCCCGGAGCTGCAAGGGCCCGGGGGCTGCAGGCAGCCCCGCGGGGAGCGTAGCCGCCCAAGCAAGGGAACAATTGCCTCTCGGGATTAAGTCTACGTGGGCCCGAATTGTGTGTTACTATGACAATGGTAAATAGGTTCACTGGCTTTCAGGGAAGTGGCTCCGTGCAGAGTGAGCTGAGGAAGGCACAATTTCTCTCCAGTTCAGCACATCTACACCCATTCATGGGTCTGTTTTCACGCTACATAAAATGAGGGGCTTAGGGAAGACACTGTATTACCTAGTTTTAATCACTGGGCATTTTATTGACAGTGACGTATATTGAGTTTGCTTTAGTGGCTCCAACTAATAAAAGCCTGGTAGTAGACTAGAAAGAAGAAAGTTAAGCATGCTTATCAGATGGTAATTAATTTGCTCTCTAGAAAGAAAAAAAGTGAGCTAAATGTTTTGATAAAGTAGTTCTATGAAATTCTACACATACCAGGAATGTCTCAAACCTCATCTTAAAAAATACACCCACATTTAAAATGATGTTTTGTTCTGTTGTTGCTTCCTCAGCAGGAGGAATAACCACTCTACCCTGAAACCTAATACACCTTTTTAAAATAAATAAATAAATAAATAAATAAAATACAGAGAATCTTCAGAAGGGCTATAGCTTTTCCTAGAGTATAGATTACCTACCATGCCAGAGCCAGCCTCGCAAAACATGTTAGCAGAAATAAGGTATTGATTAAACATAGTCACAGTAAAAACTCAATTTACATTAACATTTCCCATTACTGGTGATTTAGCATTTCTCATTCATCAGAGCCCACAAGTACATGCGTGCATGCATTCACAAAAACGAAACCTTGCCACAACTAACTGGTTGTAGCATATACAGACTTTTTTGATATATCAGAAAAGACAGATTGTTTAAGCCCACCATGGTAGGCTTTTAAAAAAAAGATTTATTCCACAATTTTCCTGGTTGTAGTTCATTTGCATACATTTTATGAATTCATACACCACAAATTATTTTAAAATATGCTGTTCAATAAAGAAATAACAGATTCAAGACAAATCACTAGCTCTAACCTACTTCTTTCACTTCATCTCAATGCGTACTTCCCCCAGCATCTGTACTCCGTTCAATATACACTGTACTGGGAGTGTTTCTGTTCCTACCAGTTAGACTTCGTCCAGAACATCCTCACCACCAGTCAAGCCTGGATCTTAATACCCTTTTCCTAGTGCCATCTCCCTACGATAGAAAATCTCTAAACCCTCCCAATGAAACCTCCAAAGCCTCTCCAATTTCCTTTTTTTTTCCAGGAGGCCTTTCTATTATAATCTATACACTAAATATTTACTTGAGGGTTTATCAAGTTCTTCCATGTTATATCCATAATTAACTTTTCTTATATCATTTCTTTCAGTCATTTTTACAGGTGGGCATGTCAGAGAACCTATCATGTCAAAAAAGTTATATCCAAATATCTGTGCCATCTAGCATATTTTAAAAACTTTAGTAAATATTTGATTATGTGAATAAACATTAATATTGGCACACTATGGTGGACTGATTTGCTTAACTGAATAGAGTTATTCTTCTTCTCTGTCCCCACTTAAAGACATCACCACCCTAATGAAATGTGGAGACATATTTTGGTTACACATTAAAACTCATTCAACTTTAAAAAAATTGAGAAATAATTGGACACATCTAAATATGGACTATATATACAGATAACATTAAATAATGTCATTAATTTGCTAGGCTGCAATGACAGCATTGTGGTTATGTAAAAACAGCTTTTTAAAATATATACATAAAATATTTAAGCGTAAAATATTATGTATGAGATCTGTGATTTACTTTAAAAATGATAATGCTAAAGTGGCAAGATATTAATCACTCAGTCTAATATTAATAATTAAGTCTAAGTCTAATCAAGTAAATTTTTAAGGTTGCCTCTCTTCATCCCACACTTGATATTTAACAAGAAATGAAAGTAAGGGTTTCTCCACATGGCAATCATCGGGGGGTGAATTCAAATGGTCTGTTCCTCACCCAATTACTCTATGAGGCGAGCAGCTGACTGTATCACAATTCGGAGAAGGTGAAGGCTCAATCCTAGAGATAGGTACAAGAGCTGCTGAAGTCAGAAGAGAAAAGCAGAGGTGGGTTAAACATTAAGGCTTTTTCTAATATAGATCCCCACTTTGGGAAAATGTGCTTATTTGGCCAAATAGAAGGAGAAATGGCAATGCTATAAGCAGATCTACTATTTTAGAAGTGGTCCTTACAAAAGTGACAAAAACAATAAAATTATCTCATAGCTGCAGAATGTACCTGTGAAACCAACTGTGTATGTATCACTTTATGTTTATTTTCTTAAAAGTTGTGCTATGAGGCAAGACTATTAATCCTGTTTTTTAGATGAAGAAATTTAGGTTCTAACAGTAACTTTACATTTATTGTTGAGTTGTTTAAAAATATTACCTGGATGAAAAATAATGTCCAGAATGAAGGCAATCGCCAAATGTCAGAATCAGAACAAGATTATTCTCTGACATTCTTATTATTACTTTATAACATTCCATTCCTCTCTTATCTGCTCCCAAAATAGTTGGATAAAAAACCTTGCCTCATTTCCTACCAGCAGGCTGCAGGAAGAGACACTCTCACTTTTACAGAAAGGCTCAGTCTGTGAATGGTTACCGTCTTTATACAGAACATCAAATATTTCTGGAGGACTTTTGAATATGTCTTATTTTAACCCTCCTGACACCACTTCATTTAGGTGGGTGGTAAATGCCATCTAGTTTACTTTATGACTCAAGAATTCTTATTACACCTGGGATGGGGTGCTAGGTGGGAACAGAATCAGAGTGAAAAGCAGAATTGTGGAACTGGAGACCCAGATACAGTCTCACTACATCCACATCACCAAAGTCACAAAGTATTGCTTTTCATTTTCAGCCCTTAGAGATTCTGAAAGAGAAAAACCATCAAAGTAAACAGTACTTTGTTCTCCATGTTGGTTGAATAATATCCTGAGTGGTATACTTGGATCTCAGAAAGATTTCTAAAGCCTTTGCAATGTTCACAACAACTACAGAAGAAATATACTGTTCGCCATATTATGTAATGAAACAAATCCTGTTTGGGTCTGGAGATGTGGCCAGTTTGGCAATATGCCAGTCTCGTTTTGTTGAACAACTATTTAATTGTTTGAAATAAAAACAACAACAACAAAAAAAAACTGGTTGGTATCCATCAGCCCTTGCTAGGTAATTATATTCCAAATTGGTAGACATCCTTCAAATACCAATTATATTAAAAGTAGTTGATGAATTTAAATTCTTTTAGAAAATTATGTTTTTCTAAAATGAGTACTTACCCATATAGGGTTATTACTGTCTGAACATAGTTAACCTGTGCATATGGTCAAAGGAATTCAGAAGACCATTTGAATAGAGTTGCAACCAGGCCAGGCTCCCATCTGTGATGGGGTTTGATAAAGGGTGAGAATCTTTATTTGATAATACCTTCTAAAGCACAGAGATAAGCCACTAGCATATTATCTTTTTAAAATTATCAGTTATGGATTATTCCAACATACACTAAAACCTCTTCTAGGATCATTCTGATACTGCCAATGTTGACTGTCTAGTGTAAGGGGTAGCACCCTAAGAAGGCTGAAATAGAGAATTGGCTTACCAAGGGACTATCTCTTGTCTGCATTGCTCTACGGGCTTGGAAAGAATCCTAACCTAACACTCTGTTGAAAGGCCCAGCTTCACAAAAAAGGTCCAATCTGATTTTTCAATAGTTTGTTTTTAAATTTACTCTGTCTCAGTCTATAAGCCAGGGACAATGTTACATTTCAGTTAGAAAACCACCCACCACATAAATAAGTTAAAAATAAACGCCTTTGAAACAAGTTTTGTATTGCATGTTTCCTTCACTTTCCAGACCTTGTTAGGTATTTTAGAATTCACGAATCCATGAAACCCATGAATGTCAAAGCTCAACGGGATCTTAGAAATTCTCAAACCCAACTCCCACTCTTTATATAGAGAAGGAATTTACCCCCTAAATTACTAGTAAGTGGCAAAACCCAAACCTAAACATAACTATCCCAACTCTATCTTCACTACACCAGGAATACAACCTGGACTTTGCTCTTGAGAAATTTCAAACTAGAAGGCATAAAGGAAAACAGGGGAGGAGGGGCACACAGAAACAAACACAGAGCAATTTAATACAGTAAATTTAAATTTACTTAAAATGCTCTCTTAATTTTAGATAAGTAACATCTCAAAGAAGGAGGGGATTAATATGGACTTCTGGGAGTATGATTCTCCTACTAGTGAGTGAACTCTTCAAAGAAAAGACTATTATCTAAAATATTTTATATAGCTTAGCACTTAGCACAGTTAAGAAAACAGAGTAAGTACCCACTACATGATTGAGGAATGGATGGGTGAATACGTGGACATACGGATTTGTAGGGGTAGATGGGGTGAGGGGTAGTCTGGAGTGAGAATGGGACCCCTTAGAAAGAAGGTGGAAATTTAATAGGAGTTAGAATCAGAGTGACAATGCAGAGGCTAGAGAATATGGAAATAGGCATCATTTATTTAGAGGTTCTTGAGAAAAACAACCTGCTTGAAGCAGGTTACAAGGAAGTAGCAGGTGATGTATCTGGACACTGACATCTGAGCATCATGAAGCTGATGATTGCCTATTCCCATGACTTCAATGAGTTATGTTTAGATTGGTGTTGTAGTGCAGGGAGAGTTTGAGAAACTTGTTAATGAAGCCAGACTCCCACATACAAAACGAGATTTCTGAATGTGTGTGGTTGTCGGTATTCTGTTCTGTTCTTTTTCTACGCAAACAGCAACAGATGGTAGAAGGGGGCCGAGAGGAGTGGGAATCCAGGAGGAAAGTTTGAATTGCCCCATCCTGCCTCTTGTTGGGTCTAAACCTGGGGAAAGGAAGATTTTAAAAGGGTCAAGTTTGGCTTTTACAGAGTTAAAAAGTTGATTGGTATCCAGCCCTCTTAATTGTTCCATAAAAGGGTGTAGGGAATGCAGAAAAATCACTTTATATCATCAATACCAGCTGTGTTAAGGCACGTAGCTTAAGTTTACTGTGCCTTGATTTCCTTTGTATATTCTGAAAGTGGAAGGATCTCACAGAATTTTGATGAATAAATGGAATTAATATATTAAAGTGCTTTAATTTAGTGCCTGAGACAGAGCAATCAATCACTTTATAAGGTCTAGTGGAGGTTATGAGGATGCTGGTGAATGTTTGTCAACATTTATAAAAATGTGCATGGATTCTTTAAGAAAGCATATCCTGTGTTCAAAATCCTCCTTCCCATCTCTTCATCCCCGTCTCACTCACTTGAGCACACTAGCCATTTTACAGTCTCTTGGACCAGGTCTGGTTTAGTGTCTGGGCCTTGGCACCTTCTGTTCTCTCTGCTTGGTATGCATATCTCATGGCACTTTAAATGGCTTCCCCTTGCTCATCATTCAGGTGTCAACTCAAATACCACCACCTCAAGGAAGCCTTGCCTACCCGTAGATAAAGCAGGTCCAGTCCCTCAATTTCTCTCTTCCAGATGGTCTTCTTTAATTTTCCCTTTATCAGTACCTAAAATTATCTTATTAATCTATTTGCTTACCAAGTTGCTCAGTTTTGTTCCCCACTGTATCCCCAGACCTAGAATATGCCTGCATATGTGAAGTACTCAATAGATATTTGTTAACTATTGATTGGCTGGCTAACTGATTGACAAGAACAGGACCTCAAAGCATATATAGTTAAAAGAACATCAGTTATAGCTTCAAAGAAGTTGTCCCATTTTGAGAAGAGAATATGGCAAGCAAACATCACACAAAACAACAGCATTCGGTTTTAATGCAAAATTGCTTTTTCCTCTCTCTCTCTGTTCAGACTTAAGGTAAAAACAAACTAGGGGAGACCAGCAGCCGGCACATGCCAGATGCTTAAATTGTGTTGGTCTTATTAATTGTATAAAATCTTAAAGAGTATCCCGAGACTTGCACATGTTCTAGAGATATTTAAACTGCAGACTAAAGGTTGGAGAATCAATCTTTGAACCTTCAGAAAATCAAGGTCCAGTTAAGTAATGGTTCAGAAATGGAAAAGGTCAGTTTAAGTACATGCCTAGCTGTTTCTACTTCTTTAAAAATTGCTCTAATATCTGAATGGTGCTGCCTGGTTAAATACAGTATTTTTAAATATTTATGTACTGTTATCTTAATTTTTCAATTTCCATTAAAAAAAAGGCACAGGACAATTGAGCATAAAAATGTTATATCCTCTCTCTCTAGCTATTCACGCTGTGAAGCAACCTGTTTTACTGTATAAACCTGTGTTTGTTCTGTTTCAGTTGTGCAGAAGGAAACAGTTCTGGCACCTTTAAAAATCAAAGATCTATCACTCAACAAGAGAAGATAGCAATTCTAAGAAAGGGACTTAGGAGAAACAGCAAAAAGATACAGTGCTTCTAAAACCTTAGCGGGCTTATGAATCACTTGGAGATCTTGGAAAAATGTAGATTCCGATTTGTTACAGTGGGTCTTGGGTGGGGCCTGAGATTCTGCATTTCTAACAAGCCATAGGTGATACCTGCACTGCTGGTCCTCAGTGTTTATGGATGATACTGTTAGAGTCACATGGCTTGAGAAATAAAAATCACTTTAAAGCATTTCATACTTAGAGTTGTAATAATATTAAGCCACCACTGCTGCTGTACTTAAACTGCAAAAACAACTATAAATTCTTCCCGTCCCATCAAGAGGTGGAGCCTATTTCTCCACTCCTTGATTCAGACTGACCATGTGATTGGCTTTAGTTAACAGACAACAGCAATTTGCCAAATGGTGAGACTTGAAAAGTGTTTGCGCACTGGGACTTCTCCTTTGCTGCTCTTGGAACCCTACAATCACCACCTGATTGCACCAGAGCTAGCCTACTGGAGGATGAGACGACATGCGGGAGAGAACTCAGGTACCCTAACCTAAAGTTAGTTGAGTCCCAGCCAACAGGCTGCCAATTGCCATCCCTGTGAGTGAAGCCATCCTGGATTGTCCAGTCTTCTGCTAATTTTCCAGTTGATCATGGACACTTGAGCGAGCACCACAGCTTTCAGTCAACCTGGTCCCCACAGAAGTTATACTCAGCCAACACATATTGCCAGAAACTAAATAAAGTGATTGTTGTTTTAACCACCATGTTTTGGAGTGTTTGTTGCTGCCTTTTTCATTTTGATTTTGCTTTTTATGCAGCCTCTAAAGTAGGAACAGATATCTAAAGAGGGAGCAGTCAAAAGTCTGAGATACTGGGCACAATGCAATTTGTGCTTATGATTATTTTCCCTCCTTTTCTTCAATCTATAGGGTGTGATTTTTGCCCTGGCATAGTAGAAATTGATATAGGTAGTTATTGCAATAGCATTTTAACTATTTTCTGTTTTTATAATTCAACTCATTTTTCCTTTGTTTTACTATGTTGAATGTTTCTGCTCAGGGGTTAAGTCACTTGCCCAGATCACACAGCTTCTAAATGGCAGAACAGTTTTCAGGCTAATACGAAGTCAGAAATTTGAAAATGCTTTTCACAATGTTATTAGATGTCTCAAATTCTTCTGCTAAAATGCAAATATAGATTTGCCTCTGAAGGACATGACCTCCAGCCATCACCTTGTTCCATGTTTGAGGAAGGAATATAAGGTCTATCCGCAAAGGAATAATCTTACATTGATGTGATATGCCAATGGCAAACCCTCTTCAGAAATGATACACTCAACACCAGCTAGACATTGACATAGAACCATGAGGCAGACAGCATCATCCTTACACGTTTCCTTTGCAGCTTCACTCATGGTCAGGCATCCTCCCCCATTGTTGGTGATCTTGACCATCCAATGTCCTCTCCAAATCTATCAGGATCAACCATATTTTATCTCTTCCACAGCCACATGAAGTTCATAATAATGACAGTCCCATGGCCATCCCTATATGTTAAAGGCTGCTTGCTATGGACTAGGGGAGTGTTTCCTAATTTTACTAAACTGTCCTTCCTATTGAGGCGATCTCTACTTCTTCCGCCCCATCCTATTCTTTCTTGTTGAGAATCATCACTTAGAGGCTCTGCAAACTGGTATTCCTTAAGCTGAATACAGTTCACAATATCATTTGCTCACTAACAAAATTCAGTTGTAATAAATTAGAATTTGAATGCTTTTAATCAAAATCTGCACTTTGTAGGTAACACAAGGTCCTGTTATTCCTCATCTAACTGCTACCCCAGATATTACCTTACTGGACTGTGAAAACTTTTGATTGTGCATCAGCTGGTATTCTAATCTTTCTTTCTGGAATTTGCATCTACTGCCACCACTATAGCCACCAAGCACATTCCAGGGACTCCCTGATCTATATGTGCAGCTCTAATGTCTGTTCAGATCTTCAACTGCTCACTCCTGGCTCCAAGTGTGAGCTTAGCTGGCTTTTACATCCTACTCTTCCTTGCCTCCCTTCTCCCCTAGAGCAATCCATCTATTGAAATCACCTTTCTTGGAAAGAGTACCACTTAAAAGTTTGTCAATCCACTGCAGAGCTATTATTGCACCTGCTGCCCTGCCCATTTGTAATGTGAACATAGCCCACATAGTATCTCATTTGGGAAGATATGGTAGTCTGCCAACTGCTCTCATTGCTTTCAGTATCCTTTCTCCTCCATTCATGTTCAAGGGAGTCATCAGAATTATATTCCTTGTACTCACATTTTGGAAATCATATTTCTAGTTGAAAGTCTTTCCAATCTGGCACTAAATTCACACTCCTTTCTTACCCCCTTCTCCTGCATACCTGTGCTCCAGACATGGTATGCATCTCAGAAGTCTTCATATTTTTTTCACAGACTTTGCCTACTGACTGGAGTGGCCTTCTCCATCCATCCATCTGGTCAATTCGTCTTCCTTCCTCTACCTGGTCTTGCTCAATTAGCTAGAAAAATCTCTTCAACCACAGCTCTTGTTTACATCTCTGCCATAGCATGAATAATATTGGTTTGTTACTCATCATCTCCACTCCAGAACTGTGAACACACAGGGTAGGCACCACATTTTATCTAACTCTGCTTCTCATCGGGTAAAATTCCATCTGACTTACAACAAATGAACAAAAACAAGAATAGCAGCAAACACGTATGTTAAATAATTAGAAAGGCATTTTCAAGATTCTTGTCAGAGATTGAGGAGTGAGACAGCTTGAATGAAGAGATAAATGCATCTAACTAGGCAGGTTAGTTTACCACTGAAGACCTGTTGCTTATGGATGGTGAGGGATTTCCTACAACTAATAGATCTGCAACAGGAGGCCACACATAAAGGCATTAATCTGTGTGACTTCAACTCAAGAGTTTTGGCTTTGCTGGGCTAATGGCTTGTGTCTATATGTCAATGTAATATAGAGGTTTTTATATTTAATTTAGATTCCACAGGCTATTGATTAGGCAAGCATTCAAACTAGTTAATAAACTCAATTCAATGAGAGTGTTTACAAACCCAGAACTACGCAGACTGCACTAAGAGAAGAGAAAACATATTTACTAGTGCTATGTGGCAATTCTCATGTCTCTATATCTGGTCTCTCACATCTGATCTTCTTCTCCCTTTAAAGGTAGATATTAGAAGGTCTAAAACACAGAGAAAGTAATATGTCTGTTCTTAGAGAGTTTCATTTTATCTGTGAGGACAAAATTTCCAACATCTGTAAAATTCTATAAAACAAGATAATTAAGTGTCAAGGAATATCAGAGACAGAGCAGACAGAACTTACTATAGAATTAAATTGGTTCTGTTAAATATATTGAACCCCAAGTTTCTCTTCACAAAATCAGTACGTCAGTAGGTTCAGCTCTCTTATTCTTTGATTCTCCATTTTAAAGTTTAACTTCCTGGTTCTCTTTGCCCACTTGCTTCTAGTTTCAGTAAACAACTTTCCCACTAGTCCTAATCAGTAGTTCACATCTGTTCCCCTGGTCATCTGCTCTGTCCTGACTCATTCTGGTCACCTGCTTTGACCTGAGTCACCCTTGGTCACCTGCTCTGACCTAAGTCACTTTTAGTTACCTGTTTCTAACCGTTGTCCCCACCAACTACTCACCCCGCTACTCTGGCTCATACCCCCGCCCTCTTTAAATAGCCCATCAGAATTAGCTTAGACTGTGCGGTCCAACCCTAGCCAATAGGGGAACCACACAGCAGTAGGGGCTACCTGCGTAAGGAGTAAGAACTCCTGCCCCTCCTCTGTCCAGGTGTGCTCTGGCCATTGTTCCATCTGCGATGAGCACCCTTTCTGAAGAAAGTAAAAACTGCCTTGCTGAGAGAATCAAATTTATGTTCGAATGCTATTTCTTTGTGGCAATGAGGAACAAGCATTTCTAACAGTTCCTTTATTTATGGCTAGGATGAGAAGGTGAAATTTGCTAATAGCAAGTAGAAGAACTGTAGTTGTCTAGGTATCCCCCATAATTGATAAAATTATGACATAAAACAGGTTCCTGCACCAGCATTCTTCTATAATGCTTGAAATCTGAACCTTGGAATGTCTTGGTAAAGTGATAGCCAGTTTAAAGTCAAATGCAATATAAACTGCAATTAAATAAGTTTTCAAAACTGTTCTGGTTTAGTGTTAATAGAAATCCCAAATAAATGGCTGAAACCATGAAAAACAAGATTTCTTACAACTGAGATTGTGAGACTGAGATTTCTTATGAGAGTGAAACAGGAACAACAGAACAAAGCCTTGTGCATTTCACAAATGCATTTAAATACTTTTACCCTCGTAGAGCATTTTAAGTAATGCTGGATTAATCCATTTTCAGATATTAATGGCTTTGTGAAAATAATTTGGCTGGCCAGCTACTTAATAAGATGCAGGAATTAAGTCCACGTAAACTCCCAGAAGGAATCTTGAAGGCCCCAAGCCAGCCCTCTTTCTGAAGTGGGAATTGCCTTCATAGGATGGAATGAGGAAATGGGTGTGAAGAGGAAGAATGATTCCAAGGCATAATAAACAAAGGCAGACAGAAATACAGGTCGGGGCCCCAGCCAGATGAAGGAGAGGGGCCCCAAAACATGTTTTAATTTATGGTATCATGGGGGTTTCTCAAGGCAAAGAGAAAGCAGCAAAGCAACTATTGAGGATGAAAAGTGTGAAATCTTTCAGGATGACAATTTGGCATTATGTATTAATAGTTTTTTTAAAATCCTCATCCTTTGAACACCAATTCCACTTCTAGAATAAACATTTAAAGGCATGGGCGCCCATATATTCAAAGGTATAAGGATATTAATCACAGTAAATTTTATAATGACTAAAAACCAGAAACAACCTAATTAATAAATAAGAGCAGACAAATTCTGAAAGAATGTATACCCAAAACTTAATAGTTCATCTCTGGTGATTGAATTTTAGGTGACTTCATGTTCATTTAATTTTTGTCACTTCTGTGTTTCTCTATTTACATTTTTTTTTTTTTTTTTTGAGATGGAGTCTCGCACTGTCACCCAGGCTGGAGTGCAGTAGCGCGATCTCAGATCACTGCAACATCCGCCTCCCGGGTTCAAGTGATTCTCCTGCCTCAGCTTCCCAAGTAGCTGGGATTACAGGCGCCCGTCACCAGGCCCAGCTAATTTTTTGTATTTTCAGTAGAGACAGGGTTTCATCATGTTGGTCAGGCTGGTCTAGAACTCCTGACCTCAAGTGATCCACCCGCCTCGGCCTCCCAAAGTACATTTTTTATAATAAAGTATTCATGAGAAATACACACATGCCATAGTAGCAGATTGGCAGTGATAAGAAAACTGAGGAGTAATGTAAGCAAACTCTGTTAACATCAAAGCTTTTCCCAGAAAGACAACCCTAATGCACCTCCAACTTACCTCCCCTCACTTGTCCCTGCTGTCTTGACTCTTCCAAAATTGTATGTGTGAAGGGGCAACATGTTGGGCTGCCCCATGGGATCAATTACCATGCAACTCTGCCTGCCTTGGAAGACTGCAATCAAAGTCTTATGCCAGATGTCAGAATACCATTATCTCCTAGGATAATATGGGAATAAACCAGCTGAAAGATACCTAAAGCTAGCACCTATGAAGGCTCTACACTGCCTGCTGTACCAATTACAAAATCAAACTTTAAGAGCCCTGCTAAGTGCTCAGGCCTGTGGTACACATAGACTTTCCATTCTAAGTGTTTAAAATCTAATAGGAGAGAAAACACATTATTCAGAAAGTTTTATTTTTTTGGACCCAATTCCACTAGCAAGGGTGGGCAATCACTTAACATTTCTGTCCCTTTAGCTTCTCAATTACAAAACTAGGGAATCAATGATATCTGGGTTTTTATTTCAGGTTAAAATTTGTGAATGTTCCAATAATGCATCTCAAAATTTAATTACCTGGGGCTAATGGTTAAATGCAGATTTGATTCCATGGGTCTGGGGAGAGGCCTGAGAATCTACATTTCTAATAAGCTCCAAGGTTTGTGGTCTCAGGCCTACACTTTTGAGTGGCCAAACTCTATTAGAGTTTGTTCATTTAATCTTTGTGACTTCTGTGTTTCTCTATTTACATTTTTTTTTTTTTGAGATGTGGTAGCTGGGTGTGGTGGCGGGCGCCTGTAATCCCAGCTACTTGGGAGGCTGAGGCAGGATAATCACTTGAACCCGGGAGAAGGAGGTTGCAGTGACCCGAGATCATGCCACTGCACTCCAGCCTGGGTGACCGTGCGAGACTCCGTCTCAAAAACAAAAAAAAATGTAAATAGAGAAACACAGAAGTGACAAAAATTAAATGAACAAACTCTATAGAGTTTACATGATTTCATTTAATTACCCCAAGTATCCTCTGAGATAGCCATCCTTAGCCCTATTTCACTGACCAAGAAGTGACTTGTATAGGGTTATACCGATTAAAAAGTGGCAAAGCAGAAATCCCAACAAGGTCTTTTTATTCTTTATCTCCAAGATGTTTAATGTCCCTTTCAGTTTTAAAATACTATCATTAGAAATTATTGCCACACTCATATAAAGTGAACAGGACCACAAGATTGATAAAAGTAAGCTGCTAATGGAGTTCAGAAGAAGAAAAAGGGATTGCTTTATAGAGGGCAGGGGCCTCGGAGTCAGTTAAGAAATCATAGAGGAGATTTGCCATCAACCTTGAAGGATAGTTAAAATGAAGGTAAGCAAAGATGGAGAGAATATAAAAACATAGGTAAGCATAACATGGCATAATCAGAGCACCAGTATGTTCTCTACACCAGTATAGAGAAAACCTGTGGAGAGGGAGGACAGGCCTCATGAACTGGCATTTCTTTCTTTTCTTTCTCTCTCTCTCTCTCTTTTTTTTCTTTTTTCCTTTTTCTGAGACAGAGTCTCACTCTGTTGTCCAGGCTGGAATGCAGTGGCGTGATCTCGGCTCACTGCAACCTCCACCTCCCAGGTTCAAGTGATTCTCCTGCCTCAGCCTCCTGAGTAGCTGGGATTACAGGCACCCACCACCACGCCTGGCTAATTTTTGTAGTTTTAGTAGAGAGGGGGTTTCACAGGTTTCACCATGTTGGCCAGGCTGGCCTCAAACTCCTGACCTCAGATGATCTGCCCACCTCAGCCTCCCAAAGTGCTGGGATTACAGGCATGAGTCACCATGCCCAGGAGAACTTGCATTTCTATTTATTATTATTAATTCATTTATTATTTCTTTTATTATTTATTCTCATCATTTACATCATTCATAGAGCATGGCAGTTAGTTTCTTATTGCTATCCATGTTACCACGTTGCTTTAAGAGTTGGACAAAGTTTGATAAGTAGAATGACCTCAATTTCTAATTTGTTTCTCCTAAGTGGATCTCCTGAGAGCAGCCTTGGGGCCCCCACCCTCAGCCTCTCCATGCACCTTTTGAGCATTCTGTAAAATGCCAGCTGTATGGTATGTGCCCACAGAAACAACAAAGTTAATTCTCTCTTTTTGAAATTGTGACTCCCACTCTCCGCCAATTCTTCTAAAGGTTTCCTTTTAAAGAAAAGCCATGGTTCGCTGCCACTGAAAATTAAAGACAACAGCATAAAGATCAAGGTCCAGGCTGGTGCTAGCGATGACAGAACATTAAAATAATCACTCAAATTTCCTTCCTTGAACATTGACAAAGATTGCTAATGGAAAGCCAATCCCCAGAATGCAGATTCATTTCAGACTTTCTGCACTTGCACCTCTGTGTTCACAAATTATTTTGACTAAAATGAACAAATTGGAAGTGTTGAGATAAAACAGAAGTAATGACATACCAAAAAAAAAATTGTATGTTACTCCCCCACTCCACTTCACAACATAGAGTACCACGAAAAACAGGAGGGCTCATTAGGCAAAGGCTAATTTACAAGGTTGAAGAGAGAAGGAATTAATCGACTCTTCCCTCCGTCAAGCTATACTTCTGGCCTCTCTAACTACAACGAATTTGCTCCATGAGCTTCTCTCTTCTACCTCCCCTTAGTTCCAGATTATGTTTGGCCATCAGATTCATAACTCATATAACCCAGACTTCCTTCCCATTTGCTGAATCCATATTTTCAAGATTCTTATCATTTCTTACCCCAAACTGGAGGTCTGGCCTCAGTGCCCAATCACATGTTGGCATGATGGCTTGGGATGGTATTCTTGATGCCCAACTATTAGTACTAGACTTGCAGCTATAGCGGTTCAGCTAGATGAGCTCAGGTTCCTTCCCCTGACAAACATGGAAAATGTCAAGGGTATTTTCAAAGCATATAAAGCATCTCTTATCCAATATACAACATTTGAAGAAGAAGTTTGCCAACAGAAATCTATGGTCACCCGGGAAGAAGAGATTGATCCAGTACATGCAATAGCTACATTGTAACCTGGTGAATCAGATATTTTCAAAAGACAGGTACAGACATATGAGAGAATAAGCAGGAGGAAAGAAAAAAAACTTCAGGTGAGCTTTTTTTTTCTTTTTTTCCTTTTTTAGTTCATTGGACACTTACAGGCATGAAATTAAAACTCATGAAAAACAGCCATATCGACTTGCTGTGGTGACTCAAAAGTTGTCGTTTCTCGATTCAACTTTGCTGAAACACTCGATTCATGTTGTTCTTATTTAACCTAATTTGCATTGATTTAATCAGTGCTGGTATGCTTTAAATACATAATAAATTGGGATTCTGCAACTTAGATGACTTAGAATAGCTAAATTTCAATAAAGCTCATTTCAATCTGTTAATGTATACGGTTCTGCCAAGGGGTTTAAAACTGTAGAAAAGATGCAAACTTGCCACATTAGAGGTGGGAAAGGCTTAAAGATACCATATAGATGAAATGATTTGCAGGATAATAATGCAAAAAGCAATATATAGAAAATATATATTTATATATAATATATATATATAATTTATTTATTTTAATTACAGCCTAGGAGCATCTTGTAAGTTTTGAGTAGCACACTTAGAAGAAAACTCACATATAAATCAGTGAATTTAATTTTATTCCCTTTCTTTCTTGCCAACACTCAACTCTTCTGCCTCTCTGCACCAGCTCTACAAATCAAGTGACATCCAAAGTGGGACCTCTTCTTGCCCATTTGGCAGCCTCTGTCACCACTTTGCCAAGCAGCCAGCATTAGGAGGATTTTTTTTTTTCCTAGCAACCCTAGGGATTGGGTGGTGTGTACTCACAGTACTCGCTGAATGGCTGGCCGCTGTTTAACCCTGCGGGTGCCTCCTCAACACCCCTCCCCCACCTCCCAACCCTTTAGAGTTTATGGCTCCATCAGCTGGCCTGCTGTCACGAATAATTGTCTTGGCAAGAGGTGAAACCACTTGATGGTGAATTTGTTTGTCTGTCTGTTAAAGTGTTCCGCAGCACCTTGGAGGTGCCAGGATGAAACATGCAAATGCCTGATCCAGAGTTAGGTAGGCAGCAAGAGTGACAGAGAGGCAATCATCAAGAATGGCAAATTAAGAAAGAAAGAAAGAGAGAGAGAGAAAGAAAGAAAGAAAGAAAGAAAGAAAGAAAGAAAGAAAGAAAGAAAGAAAAGAAAAGAAAAGAAAAGAAAAGAAAGAAAGAAAGAAAAAACCATCTGTGCCAGTTGCAAGCTGTATGACCTTGGATAAACCATGATGTCTCTTGGCCTCAGTTTAGTCACGTGCAAAATTAAGGGGGTTGATTTTCTAATGTCTCTTCTAACTCCTAAGACAGCATGTGATGTCTAGGACATTTCAGATTTGTGTTCCTTCCAATTAAATGATACATCTCAGAGATGAATGACCAGGGCAGAGCTCAGATGAATACAAAATGGAATGATTCATGCCCCTGTTCATATGACTTTTCCTGAAAAGTACCACCAGTCTTTGGTGACTTTGATTCCATTGGTTGGCCTCTTCAGCTTAGATGCTAAGGACCAATCCAGTTACTTGTCCAGTCTATCTACCCTGGCTCTGGTAATCCACCCTCATTCCTATCAAAGTAAGTGCCACTACATATAATGCCTACTGATTTTGACTTCCTTAGAGGCAGAAACGATGGGAATTCAAACAGTGGAGCTGGAGACTCACATTTGACTCTCCCTACCATCTCCCTGGGCATCTTTGTCAAGAAGGAAGGCTTGCCCACACTCACTTCCCGCAGGCTTTCTCAGCCATCTTGGAGGACTTTGTTTAAACAGATGACCAACTGACCCTCCCCAGGGCAGACCCTCTACAGACCAGTAGGCACAAGGTGTGTGTGTGGGGAGGTGGGGGGAGAGCTCATTGTAAGGACTCCTATCTATAAATGATTATGAATAGAAATAATGAGGCAAAGGCTTCTCGTCATACTCAGAGGAAAAAGTGGCACAACTTAGTGCAGTCTCAAAGATTAATTAGGATGTGTGTATGGAGACGGGTAGGCTTCATTATGGCTTAAACTATCACGTCCCTACACATTCACACTCTCTTGGAGTGGGGTGCACTGCAGGGCCCAGTAATCACCATGAACAGCACAAGTCAGGGTAAGCCCTCCCCATGTCAGACAGTACAATCGTTCTTTAATCCACTCTGTACCCCATATGTATCTGTGGAGCCTGATGAAGCCCCGGAGGGATCTCAGTCAAGTCTCCCTGCACACAGACATACCTTTTTGCCACACTGGATCTCACACCACCGGGACTTGGATGGCTTCCCAAACTAGGTGGGTTTGGAAAGCATTTCCCCTCTCCACCTCAAAAAAGGGCTGGCTGACTGCAGAATTCCAGTACCCGCAAGAGGGGGAAAAAACCCCAAAAATCTTAGCCAAGCCCCAAATCATTGCCTTCCTGTGTCTTCTCTCAAGTTGCTTTTCTAAAGCAAAGGTCCAAACGTTGATTTCTCTACAGATTCCTACGTATCTCTTACACGTAGACAGTTTTAAAGGGGAAAAGAATATATCCCCAAAAGGCAAGGGGGAGAGCACAGAACATTTCAGTTTCCCACTTGGAAATATCTTGTCGTGGATGATGCTACCCCTACCTCCACCTCCCTCCCCCCTCCTTTTTTTTTTTTTTTTTTTTTTTGAAATATGGACAAAAAAGCTGAAAGTGTTTTCCGTTTCATCAAAAAACATATATTACTTTAGTGGTTCGGTAAAATGTTGGTTTTATGCCCACCCCTTTTCAATCTGCCCATGTCTGAGGTGCTCGGGGAAGACGCACAATCGTGAGCAGCTTACGACACTCAGTGAGCAGTAGGTGCCTGTGCAAGCTCGCGCCGCACACTGCCTGGTGGAGGGAAGGAGCCCGGGCGCCGCTCGCCGCTCCCCGCGCCGCCGTCCGCACCTCCCCACCGCCCGCCGCCCGCCGCCCGCCGCCCGCAAAGCATGAGTGAGCCCGCTCTCTGCAGCTGCCCGGGGCGCGAATGGCAGGCTGTTTCCGCGGAGTAAAAGGTGGCGCCGGTCAGTGGTCGTTTCCAATGACGGACATTAACCAGACTGTCAGATCCTGGGGAGTCGCGAGCCCCGAGTTTGGAGTTTTTTCCCCCCACAACGTCACAGTCCGAACTGCAGAGGGAAAGGAAGGCGGCAGGAAGGCGAAGCTCGGGCTCCGGCACGTAGTTGGGAAACTTGCGGGTCCTAGAAGTCGCCTCCCCGCCTTGCCGGCCGCCCTTGCAGCCCCGAGCCGAGCAGCAAAGTGAGACATTGTGCGCCTGCCAGATCCGCCGGCCGCGGACCGGGGCTGCCTCGGAAACACAGAGGGGTCTTCTCTCGCCCTGCATATAATTAGCCTGCACACAAAGGGAGCAGCTGAATGGAGGTTGTCACTCTCTGGAAAAGGGTGGGTAAGACACTTTTTAATTAAATTCTTTCCCGAAGATTTTTTTTTTCCTCCCTTTTCTTTGCTGCAGCATCTAACATGGACCAAATCACCATCTCTTTGATCTTTCCGTGGCTGTGAACTTTCTATGCTGCCCAGCTTTCTGCATGCTTAGAGGTGAACGTGTGGTTTTTGGGGAGGGGGGTCCTTCTTTATTTCTATGTATTTATTTGATTTTTTGCCCTTTTCTCCCCCTCCCCCGCTTCCCCTCCCTCGGAATAAAATATGATGTAGATTTCTGACCGAGCGCTTCCAATGGACATTCTCCAGTCTCTCTGGAAAGATTCTCGCTAATGGATTTCCTGCTGCTCGGTCTCTGTCTATACTGGCTGCTGAGGAGGCCCTCGGGGGTGGTCTTGTGTCTGCTGGGGGCCTGCTTTCAGATGCTGCCCGCCGCCCCCAGCGGGTGCCCGCAGCTGTGCCGGTGCGAGGGGCGGCTGCTGTACTGCGAGGCGCTCAACCTCACCGAGGCGCCCCACAACCTGTCCGGCCTGCTGGGCTTGTCCCTGCGCTACAACAGCCTCTCGGAGCTGCGCGCCGGCCAGTTCACGGGGTTAATGCAGCTCACGTGGCTCTATCTGGATCACAATCACATCTGCTCCGTGCAGGGGGACGCCTTTCAGAAACTGCGCCGAGTTAAGGAACTCACGCTGAGTTCCAACCAGATCACCCAACTGCCCAACACCACCTTCCGGCCCATGCCCAACCTGCGCAGCGTGGACCTCTCGTACAACAAGCTGCAGGCGCTCGCGCCCGACCTCTTCCACGGGCTGCGGAAGCTCACCACGCTGCATATGCGGGCCAACGCCATCCAGTTTGTGCCCGTGCGCATCTTCCAGGACTGCCGCAGCCTCAAGTTTCTCGACATCGGATACAATCAGCTCAAGAGTCTGGCGCGCAACTCTTTCGCCGGCTTGTTTAAGCTCACCGAGCTGCACCTCGAGCACAACGACTTGGTCAAGGTGAACTTCGCCCACTTCCCGCGCCTCATCTCCCTGCACTCGCTCTGCCTGCGGAGGAACAAGGTGGCCATTGTGGTCAGCTCGCTGGACTGGGTTTGGAACCTGGAGAAAATGGACTTGTCGGGCAACGAGATCGAGTACATGGAGCCCCATGTGTTCGAGACCGTGCCGCACCTGCAGTCCCTGCAGCTGGACTCCAACCGCCTCACCTACATCGAGCCCCGGATCCTCAACTCTTGGAAGTCCCTGACAAGCATCACCCTGGCCGGGAACCTGTGGGATTGCGGGCGCAACGTGTGTGCCCTAGCCTCGTGGCTCAACAACTTCCAGGGGCGCTACGATGGCAACTTGCAGTGCGCCAGCCCGGAGTACGCACAGGGCGAGGACGTCCTGGACGCCGTGTACGCCTTCCACCTGTGCGAGGATGGGGCCGAGCCCACCAGCGGCCACCTGCTCTCGGCCGTCACCAACCGCAGTGATCTGGGGCCCCCTGCCAGCTCGGCCACCACGCTCGCGGACGGCGGGGAGGGGCAGCACGACGGCACATTCGAGCCTGCCACCGTGGCTCTTCCAGGCGGCGAGCACGCCGAGAACGCCGTGCAGATCCACAAGGTGGTCACGGGCACCATGGCCCTCATCTTCTCCTTCCTCATCGTGGTCCTGGTGCTCTACGTGTCCTGGAAGTGTTTCCCAGCCAGCCTCAGGCAGCTCAGACAGTGCTTTGTCACGCAGCGCAGGAAGCAAAAGCAGAAACAGACCATGCATCAGATGGCTGCCATGTCTGCCCAGGAATACTACGTTGATTACAAACCGAACCACATTGAGGGAGCCCTGGTGATCATCAACGAGTATGGCTCGTGTACCTGCCACCAGCAGCCCGCGAGGGAATGCGAGGTGTGATTGTCCCAGTGGCTCTCAACCCATGCGCTACCAAATACGCCTGGGCAGCCGGGACGGGCCGGCGGGCACCAGGCTGGGGTCTCCTTGTCTGTGCTCTGATATGCTCCTTGACTGAAACTTTAAGGGGATCTCTCCCAGAGACTTGACATTTTAGCTTTATTGTGTCTTAAAAACAAAAGCGAATTAAAACACAACAAAAAACCCCACCCCACAACCTTCAGGACAGTCTATCTTAAATTTCATATGAGAACTCCTTCCTCCCTTTGAAGATCTGTCCATATTCAGGAATCTGAGAGTGTAAAAAAGGTACCAATCATTGATTTTTTTTTTTTTTGTAAACTAAAATGTTTAAAATAAAATAGCATTTACAGTTTTTACAGACTGGTGTAACCTAAATGAATTGTTACCTGTGTTACAAGAAAAGCAACAGTTAAAATTTCCTTGGTGGGTGGGGAGGGAGTTGTCCAGGGGCCAGAAGGAAAATCCAGGAGCAACGTAGTCAGATTCAATTTGAAATTTTAAAGAAGGGCAAAGAAAGCTTATCAGATTAATGATTTATGTTAATTTACTCCACATGTGTAAGGACTAGAAAAAGAAAAACTGCAAGACCCTTTATATTACTGGGGCAGGGACAGTGCAATCTAACCACCTTCAGGCAACTGAGAGGTGGACTGAGGACTGGGCACCCTTACTCAGCCTTTAAAGCAGAGAGCATTGCAAATGGTTTTTAAAAAGCAATGCCAGACAGTTTCTCCTAGGAACACGAAACATTTTTGCACTTAATGTAACCATCTTTCAAATCACCTCAAAATCTCATCCCCAAATGCCACCTGTTCTTAATTCTCCTGAGTCTTTGATTCACCAGACTTAGTAGCATTTGTGCCCTTCTTGTACCCCCTGTTAAAGGGAGCCCCTCAGCTCACTGCTCTCTTTGGTCTGGCTGAGGGGAAGGAGGCAGAATCCCGATGTTTAGGGCTGAAAGCTGTGCTTCTGGAGCACATTGCTAAGACTGCAGCAAGCTTAGGCTCCCAAACAGTGACAGCACATTCCTAGTTTCTATGGGGAATGAGGAGAAAAACCTACCTTAGGATGAATGCCTGCAGGGTAATGACTTGTAGCAAGAGACTTTAGGGGCAGAGGTGACAGAGCAGTGATGGGGTGGGGAGAGTGGGAGAAGATACTCATTTGATCCTGTGTTTGCATATTTCTGAGATGGGAATAATTTGTTAACCCAGGACAGAAAAGCTGCCTCTTCTCAGATGGCCCTTTTGTGTAATGCTTGCTTTCCCTTTTTTTTTTTTCTGTGTTGAGAGTGATGATTGCTCCTTCTCACCCCTCATAGGTTTCCAGGTCCATCATTGAGATTTCAGTTTCTATTGAACTAAAGAGTGAGGAGGTGGTGGTAGTGGCAGTTGGTGGGTGCAGAGAAGGGAAGGGGAAGGCTGTGTGCATTGGACGGAGGGCTCCTTCATCAGATGACAATTTAAGCAAATGTATGATTGAAATAAACTGTCATGGATGACAGATGCTGAACCAATGTAGCCCATGTCCCTAAGTCTTTCTCTTCCCTCTCTAACGGACACTAAAGAGTTGCATCTTTCTGTTTTTATTTTTCCTTTTTTTTGAGAGAGAGAAGTCCAAATAGCAGGAAGAGGGAATGGGGGGATGGGGAACCACACACTACCATCCCCCAACATGCAAATGTCTCCAGCTACCAATCTTAGGAGGCAAAATCAGCTTTTTGAAATGCAGAATGGTATCACCAGAAGGTTTCCTTAAGCTAAGGGTTGGTGGTAGGTTTCTCTTTTACCTATGGAGAAACCAGTATGCCTAAAAATAGTATTTCTAAGAGTCTCTTTCAAGAGAAATATTTTGCAAATGTCTTTTAAGATGTTAAGCCCTGGGAGACAGCTTCTTACACACACACACACACACACACACACACACACACACACACACACACACACACCCCAACACCCCAGCTCATTTTTCCTGGCCAGGAAACTTCATCTTGCTTTATTTATAATTAAAACATGACATTATGACACACATCATGCACATGACACCCATTCAGACTATTAGTGTTCTAGAAGAGAGGTGCTTTGTTTGATAACTTTGAGGAGGGGGTTTTGAATTTAAGCATAATCATTTGGGTTTGCCTTTCTAAATAGCATACCACTCCAAGAGCAGGGGTAGCAGGAAAAAGATTCTCTCAGGGATGTGCCTTACCTAAAACCCTACTAAAGCGACCTCCTCTAGAAGACGGCATACCTTTTTTAGAAAACAAAAAATGTAGCAACTGAAGGAGGGCTCCTTGGATTCCGTGAACTTAACCATCTCATAGGAAGGCTACAGGAATCCAGCGCCCAAAGCTGCTTTGGCTTGGTGCATTAAAGAGCTGTGTGGGTGTGCTTACAGGGAAAGCTTTCAGAAGCAAAACCTTTCTGGCAAGCATCAGAACCACAAGTCCCCTCCTACCCTCTAGAAATCTGAATATTGGAAACTGTAGTTTATCTCCTATCCCCAAGACATTTTTATCTTTCACTCTTCTTGTTTCAAGGTGGCCATAAGACAGAGAGAGAATAATCGTGCTTTGTTTTATGCTACTCCTCCCACCCTGCCCATGATTAAACATCATGTATGTAGAAGATCTTAAGTCCATACGCATTTCATGAAGAACCATTGGAAAGAGGAATCTGCAATCTGGGAGCTTAAGAGCAAATGATGACCATAGAAAGCTATGTTCTTACTTTGTGTGTGTGTCTGTATGTTTCTGCGTTGTGTGTCTTTGTAGGCAAGCAAACGTTGTCTACACAAACGGGAATTTAGCTCACATCATTTCATGCCCCTGTGCCTCTAGCTCTGGAGATTGGTGGGGGGAGGTGGGGGGAAACGGCAGGAATAAGGGAAAGTGGTAGTTTTAACTAAGGTTTTGTAACACTTGAAATCTTTTCTTTCTCAAATTAATTAATCTTTAAGCTTCAAGAAACTTGCTCTGACCCCTCTAAGCAAACTACTAAGCATTTAAAAGAGAATCTAATTTTTAAAGGTGTAGCACCTTTTTTTTATTCTTCCCACAGAGGGTGCTAATCTCATTATGCTGTGCTATCTGAAAAGAACTTAAGGCCACAATTCACGTCTCGTCCTGGGCATTGTGATGGATTGACCCTCCATTTGCAGTACCTTCCCAGCTGATTAAAGTTCAGCAGTGGTATTGAGGTTTTTCGAATATTTATATAGAAAAAAAGTCTTTTCACATGACAAATGACACTCTCACACCAGTCTTAGCCCTAGTAGTTTTTTAGGTTGGACCAGAGGAAGCAGGTTAAATGAGACCTGTCCTCTGCTGCACTCAGAAAAAATAGGCAGTCCCTGATGCTCAGATCTTAGCCTTGATATTAATAGTTGAGACCACCTACCCACAATGCAGCCTATACTCCCAAGACTACAAAGTTACCATCGCAAAGGAAAGGTTATTCCAGTAAAAGGAAATAGTTTTCTCAACCATTTAAAAATATTCTTCTGAACTCATCAAAGTAGAAGAGCCCCCAACCTTTTCTCTCTGCCTTCAAGAAGGCAGACATTTGGTATGATTTAGCATCAACAACACATTTATGAGTATATGTAAGTAATCAGAGGGGCAAATGCCACTTGTTATTCCTCCCAAGTTTTCCAAGCAAGTACACACAGATCTCTGGTAGGATTAGGGGCCACTTGTGTTTCCGGCTTATTTTAGTCGACTTGTCAGCAAGTTTGATGCCTAGTCTATCTGACATGGCCCAGTAGAACAGGGCATTGATGGATCACATGAGATGGTAGAAGGAACATCATCACATACCCCTCTCACAGAGAAAATTATCAAAGAACCAGAAATTATATCTGTTTTGGAGCAAGAGTGTCATAATGTTTCAGGGTAGTCAAAATAAACATAAATTATCTCCTCTAGATGAGTGGCGATGTTGGCTGATTTGGGTCTGCCATTGACAGAATGTCAAATAAAAAGGAATTAGCTAGAATATGACCATTAAATGTGCTTCTGAAATATATTTTGAGATAGGTTTAGAATGTCAAAAAAAAGGAATTAGCTAGAATATGACCATTAAATGTGCTTCTGAAATATACACACACACTCCTACCTCTCAATCTATCTCTGTATATATAACAGCACACACACAAATATGCACACATGTGTGTGTGTGTATATATATATATAATATATAATATATAAAACCACATAGTACCACACACACACACATATATAACCACACACACACACCCATACACGCGCAGGCAGGTGACCATTATGTAACTACCTTCTAGCACTAATCATCCTAATACTTTCTTCTTCATAATCAAACTTTTATTCAGGAAAGGATCTGATAAAATCAGTGACAGTTAAGATATAAATGACTGATATGGCTGATGGTATTTTCAGGCATTAGTTAATGAGTAGGTAGACGCTTTGCAGGCTGGGGAACTTCTGGGCTCCTTATGCCACAGCAGAGTGTAACCTGCTGTCTAGTGGGAAGAGCCAGCAAATGGGAATATATTTTTTGAGAGTATTTTCCACCTCAGTATTTTTCCATTAAAGTATGCTCTACTCTGATTTTTTTGTTTTTCTGGGATTCAGGAGGCAAAATTCTTACTTCTGATTGGGCACCATCTCCTGGCCTTGCTCAACTGGACACAATTTCTGAAGACTTTTGCTTTTTTTACTCAAAGTGAAGGGCCTGGCAATTGCATTCTTACAATTTAGACAAAGATATAAATGAGATGGAGAAATACAATTTACTGAGCAGTCGCTGGTATGGTGCCTTTATCTAGATCACAATAAGTGAGGGAGGTGCTAGCAACCTTATCTTCACATGAAGAACCTGAGGCTTACAGAAGTCAGGTACATTGTGCAAAGTCACCCAGCTAGTGATTGGAAGCACTGGGATGTGCTAATTGACTTGGTGGCCTTTTCACTACACACTGTTTCTTTATTCCTTGAATGGTTGCCCCTCCACTCCTACACCTAACAAAGAGCCTAGAACTAGACTGGGAACAGGATACATGCTCAACACATTCTTGTTGAATGCCATGGGCACAGTGGTGAAATCCAGGAATTCTGACCATGACTTGTTTGCTCTGGTCACTGGTAATTGGGCAATGCAGGACTCTGCCAATAGAGGAGACTTCTCCGGGGTTCCAGGAGAAGAAATGGCCAGTACATTCAGTCCGACCCCTTAAAATAGGATTTTAGACTCAGAGAGAGTAAAGTAGAGACATCCATATGTTATTGTCAGGGATTTATCTGCATTTCTTCCTTAGTGATTAAATGGATCATGTGTCTATGGTACTGGTTCTCAACCAGGGGCAAATTTGCCACCCAGTAGACATTTACTTGTTTGTGTCTGGAGACAGTTAAAATTTTTATGCATGGGTGAGATGGTGCTACTGGTATCCAGTAGGTAGATGTCTGGATACTGTGAAACATCCTACAAGCAAAGGACATCCCCCACATCAAATAATTATTTGACCTAAAATGTCAAGAGTGCTGAAGTTGAAAAACCCTGCTCCACGACAGAAAGTAATGGTGCTATCTAAAGCATCATGCTGTGCTTCAGCTTTACAAGGAATGGTCTTACTTCTGAGTTAGTTTTAGATTTACCTAGACTTATTCCTTTTAAGTCTTTCTCTTGCCAGGTAACTGGAAATCTAAATTAAAAGCCCTTAGGTTCACTGATAATCAGCAAAAGTTAACACATAGTTAACACATGCTTCTCAAAGAACATATGGCAAAACTTAAATTAACTAGGACAAAACTAGTCAGAACCCTCAATTGACCCACTTTTTCTTTAGCAATACCTCATTTAGGAAACAGGAAAAAAAAATCAAGTTAACAGTGGAGATTTAATTAACAAGAAGGAAAATGAGAAACTTGATATTCCTTCCAGGAGGGGTTCTGCAGTCTGAACAAATCCAACCCACCAGCCTGTGCCTTCTTCTTCCCCAACCAAAACTGTAATGTATGTGAGGTGGTGATGAACCTCTATTTTAAAAATCAGTGTGCTAAAAAAATAAATGCTTGAGGTGATAGATACCTCATTTTCCATGATGCAATTGTTACACATTGCATGCCTCTATCAAAATATCTCATGTACCCCATAAATTTATGCATCTACTATGTACCCGCAATAATCGTAAAAAACTAAAAAAAAATAAGCTAGAAAAAAATCAATGTGCTCAGTCTGGTGAGTAGGGTGCACATATTTAGGGAAATGATCTCAGTCCTTAGAAACAGGATAGTCTAGAGATACAAGAACTGCAAACTGAAATTCATCTGGGGACAGACAGGCAACACAGATGAGTGAGGTTCATGGGCAGATGAAATTATAAGGAACTAGAGAATTCACTTAAAAGAATATAATTCACATTTGGTTCTGGTTAATCATAACATTTCTGCAGGGCAGGTCAAGTAAGCGCTCTGGAAGAAATAGGGTCTAGAAGTCAGGAGTTATCATCTTTAGACATAGTACTGTCATTTACATGCCTGGGATCATCTGTTAATCATCTTACTGCAATTGGTCTCTGTGTCTACTTTTAGAAGGATTCTTCTAGGTATTCCCTAAGAACCTTTCCAGTTTGGGGCTTCTATTTTACCATTTTTTCCCCACAATAAAACTTGAAACAAAAGTGGTTTTCAAGAGAGTGTCACTTAACCAGAAAATTAAAATTCCCCTGAATTCCTATTCCTCCAGACATTCTGATTCATCAGGCTTGCCTGAATATTAATGAGCAGATATAGGTTAAAAAAAAATTCACTGAGAGTCAGGGGCTTCAGAGAGGTAGGTGGACATGCTGGAAAACAGAGGAGAAGATGAGAAAGCTCAGGCATGTATGGGTGGGAGAATTGGGTTTTTAGAATGTGCAGAAGAGATGAAAGGGAATCCTAGAGAGGACACACACACTCACCCGCACATGAGACCTGAGACACAGGGATGTGGTGTGAGGTAGCCCCCTACCCACAAAAAAAAAAAAAATTTGTTCAGGACTCTCAAAATGACATACTACATTGTAAGTGGCCACAATGGATATTAGGAATTGAGAGACCTTTCTAGTAAAATGGGGTATGGGATGGGAGGGAAAGAGAGAGAAAGAGAGATTGAGAAGAAAAAAAGGCAAGGTGGGAGAAGGAGATGAGAGGAGAAGAGAGAACAAAACAAAACAGAAAGAAAAAAGAAAAAGAGAGGAAGAGGAGAGAGTTTCAAGATCTGTGTTTTATGCTACTCAAGTTAACATAAGTAGCTGTGATTACACTGACTCCTCAATCCTTTTCAATCATTTCTTTATTCTGGTCCACCAGGTTAGCTATTTGTCTGTTCTCAATGTAATGTTGTAAAGTTATTTTCCCTCGTGTTATGAGAAGAAGGAATTCGTTCTCTAGCTGCATCTTATTTCTCTATTGCTCAGCTAGCAGAGTGCTTGTCAACCCTGGCTGCACACTGGAACCACTTGGGAGCCTCAATAAATACTGACTCCTGGACCCCACCCTCAACAGATTGTGAGTTAACTGGTCTGGGGTGTGGCCTTGGTGAGGAGAATTATTTTTATTATTATTATTATTTTTTTTAAGCTTCCCAGGTGATTCCATAGTTCAGCTAAGGCTGAGAAGCACTGAGCTAGCGGGTTGCCTACTCACAGCATGGACAACTCAGCAATCTACAAGATCCAAAAGTCTGACTGCAGCTCTTTAAAAAGACATGGTTGGCTGGTGCCTGGGCTCCATGGGGTCAGGGCTCCATGGGGTCAGGGCTCCATGGGGTCAGGTTACGTGGGCTACATGGCAGGGAGAAGGGAGTCACCTTCCCACCTCCTGCCATTGACTCCATCTGGTGGCACTGATAGAAGAAAGACGTGCAAGCATCGGTGTACTTAGAATTAGTCTCTGAGCACTCTAGTTTACAAAGCGCTGTTTAGAATTATTCTTATATTTGTTTTTACTCTCCCAATAATTTCACAAGGCAGACATAAACTTGTCCCATTTTTAAGGCAAGAAGACTCAAATCTGAAAAGGTTCAGTAGCTTGCCCAAGGTCATTGTTACTGCTGGGCTGGCACTGAGAAATGTCTCTTCTAAATTCTGAGTCCTTCTCCCGCTACCACCTTCCTTTCCTTCTCTGATTGGTTGTGTCATTATGAGGTAAAGCTAGTCCTGCTCAAAATATACAAATCAATAACTTCTTTAGGAGGATTCCTGGAAAACCCATTGCACACAGGCTCCTACACCTCCTCCCACTGAAGTCCTGCAGTTACAAAGTTTGACATCATAGTTTCACCACTGCCCCTCTGTGTCTCCACCCCAATCCCAAGCCTGACACTCTTTTCTTTGCCAAAGGAGACTCCACGACACCCAAGAGACAACCAAATAGGCATCAATTCTTTCCAAATACCCCTAACACCAAAATATTCCCTTTCCACTCAGTCCACTGCATCCGCAGATTTGCCACCAGCTCTTCCAAGAATGTAAACATAAATCCTAGTAGGACACTGATCGGTGGAGTGGTGATAATTCTACTCCGGGGATTTTTGCAACTTAAACAAGGATCTTTGGGGGAAATAACCAAAGGAAATCACTCTAATGCTGGAATTTCAGGCACTTAAACAGACGGGTAGCATACATTTGGCCAGGACATCCCACCTTGTTCCCCTTAAATGAAACAACACAAGTGAATGCTCTCTTACAAGAGCAGATTAGTCAACAGTTTATGGGGCTTAAAGTAAAGCCAGGATAAAGATTGGATCTTCTGTCATATTTTACCTCCTTAAACCAAAGTCCTCTTTAAAAATCACATATTTTTAGGTGTTCACCATCAGCATATTTATCCTCAGTGAAGAACTCTCAATATTGCAAACTATGTGTAGCAGGGCTCTCTATCTTAGAGATATTGTAGGCAGCCTTCAGTATAAGTGAGATGGCTCAGCAGCACACAGAGCTGGATTAGTCTGCCACAGAAAGGTCTGGAAAAGCCAAGTTACACACAATTAATGGAACAATGCAACAATCTGTCTTCAGCTGGCCAAGGCAATTCTGTCATTTGTCCCTCAGCTGCAGAACAACCACTCACTCTGTTATTTTGCCTCACTGTCTCTGCTCCATAGTGATTGCATTTATGGTGAAATCTATATTTCCCTGAAACTGAGACTGTGTTTCTTTTATTTTATTAAATTTTTATTTTAAAAATAATGGGACTTTTCAGAATGCAGCAGCACTGCTTTGCTGTCCAGGCCATTTTTTGTCTGAGTGTTTCATACTGATCTTTTTTGCATATTATTTCAAAAATCATAAAGGTACAAAAAAAAGAGCAAACATGCTGTAGGAAAGAAAAGGAGAAACCACATTATAACTGAAATGCCACTAAACATAACATATCACTCAGATGCTTTTAACTTCCGATTATATTGCTCAACTCATTCAATCAAAGTAGCACAACATTTCTTGTTCAGAGCTTAAGTCAACATTTGTGGAGTGAACAATAGAACCATTTAACTTATAAATGATTGCACCTGCGAAGGTGAGGCATTCTCAAGAGGACTATGCTGGCATAGGCCTATCAGACTCACCATGAGAGTATGCAGAAGAGGCCTCCACTTCTTCTTGATCCATTTATGAAACATGACCTCCACCTATAGGAGTGTTAATCATATATTTTACTTGCTAGGTGCCTGGCAACCTGCAAAATCCTTAAGATTTTCTCATTTAAGCCCTGCAAAAAGCCTTCATCCCTCCTCGTTCAGAGTAGTATTAGCATCCTCCCTTTACAAACAGGTAAACTGAGGTTGGGGTGGGTCAACAACTTGCCCAAGGTCACTTACCATGGTAGGATGTGTCAAGGGAGACACATTCCTTGGGTTCAAATTCTGGCTGAGTGACTTTGGCAAGGCAATTAACCTTTCTGATCCTCAGTTCCTTCATCTATAAAATGGACATAGGGTTGTTATAAGAATTAAGCCCATTGTTACTGAGAATGAAAGAGTTATTCCTTATAAAGTGCTTAGAATGGTGTCTGGCATGTGGCAAGTACTAGATAAGTGTTTTCTAAATAAAAGATGAACAAAACAAGGTCACATAGCCAGGAAGGGGTTGAATCAGGGTGTAACCAGGATTGTCATCCTGCAAAGCTAGGCTGTCACCATTTTCTTCTGTGATAGGATGAGACTCAAAAACCTGAATTCCTGAAAGCACTGGGCCTAAAAGAGGGATATGGAGGCAGTGAAGTCTGGAGTTGCAAAGACTACACATGGCTTCCTTCCCAGCTTTCTAACTGGCCAGGCCTTAGCCCATACACCACTCACTGACTTTGTTCTGGTTCTTTAGTGGCTTGCCTTTACCACTGTGGTCTGGCAGCCCTGGTGAACCTGATCCTGGAATACACGTGGCCATGTGCACACACATCTTCCAGTTTTCATAGGAGCTGAAGGCTAGCAGCCAGCTACAAGGGCCTTCTGGTGATGTGGAAAAACTGTTTCCACATCTGAGCTGTTTGCTATCTATAGTCAATTCCTGGAGGTGAAAAACTGCTACCCAGCTTGCAATTGTTATCCAAGCCCCAAACTCTTATTTAATATTGGCAATATTAAATCATACTGGCCCCTGGGACACTAAGCATACATCTTCAGCTGAAGCAGATTTGCTGGTGTTTATTTAAAGAAGCTTTTTCTTTGTGTAATCACAGCCATAGTTGGATGCTGCTCAAGGAAATTTAACAAATGATGAAGTACACATCTGAGGTTGACCCTTTCTTCTGGCAGAGGAGGTCCTGTATCAAGAGACAAACTCCATGTCCCAGCTTTGACACTAATTTGCTCCTGGCCCTTGAGCAAGTTGGTTCCACCTGTCCAGACCTTTCTTTCTTAGGTCTGTAGTGGTGAATTCTGGCTTTCCTTCTAGTTCTCCAATTTGTTAGGCAGGGTATGAAGTTAAGGAGGAGAAAATAAAAGTAAGAGTAACTTTCTATGCATTCTCCTTTGCTATCGCTTATCAACAGGCAAAGCGATGAACTTCCCCCAAGGGAAAGACTCCAACGTCTTTAGAGATCTACTAAATCCCACGAGGAAAAACTATCTTTGGTCAGAGGGAACATTCTCGTTTGCAACTAGGGAATTGAGATTCCAAAAGTTGAGTGTGTTTCAAGCCACACCTTGTTCTTTGGGATTCACTCACAGAATGATTAAAGCATGCTCTGTCCCAGCTTTGGACAGAAATATTGGCAATGCTTTGGCCATAGTGAAACCTCAATACTTGAATCTATACTAGCAGGGAATGCTAGAGCTGTTGGGAAATTGAGGACATCGTCAGTTTAGTGTTTTACGTCATTGCTGGCTTGTTTTATTGTTTGTTTGTTTTCTACTCTCCCTTCATTTTTTCTTTCCCTCCCTCCATCCTTCCTTCCTTCTTTTCTTTTTACCGAATTCATAGTTATGAGCTACACCAGGCATTCACAACAAGAGCAAAATGGCACTGAGGGAGCAAACATTGTTTCTTATGTGGGTGAAATAAATTGTACTAATTTTTGGGGTAAACCACAGATATACATATAGTACATAAAAAGATATACAACATATCTGTGGTATTAAGATTTCAGGGAGGGGGAGTAATTAGGAAAAAAAATGTCTAAATAGTATTTTCAAGGGGGCAGTGGGAGAATGAAAAAAAATGGCTGGGAAACACTGAGCTAGATAATGATTACCATGTGGGAGAAAAAAACAGCAAAAAGTAAAAGCATCACGGGAGCCTCACCAACCTCACCATGGTGAGGTTTCATGACGCTTTTACTTTCTGCTGTTTTTTTTCTTACCCACGGTAATCACTGGGGAAGAAATGAGAAGGTCAAGGAAGTTTGGGTACTTCAGTATTCAAAACCAGGACTGAGACTATTTGGACAGGTTCATGTGAAGGACTTTGTCTTATCAGCTCCTTCTGCATTCAACACATCCCAGAGTTGTCTTTATTTGGAGGCCTCATGATGTACTAAAAAACTATCTGGCATGGAATTAATTAGACAGAGCTTCTGCCATTTGCTGGCTTAGATAAATCAGCACTTTTCTGTACCTCAATTCCCTTGTCTATAAAATTCAGAAAACAATCCTTGCTCAGCCTGCTTCACAAGGATCTGGTAAGGATCAAATGAGATCATGTGAGTGACAGAACTTCAAAAACTGTGAGGTCCTATGCAAAGATTTAAGGCAGTGGGAGGAGAGTGATGAGAACCCAAGCTCTGTGGTTGGCCCCTCACACACAGTGACTTTTGAGGCCCATATCCTTCAAACTCTCCTCCACAGGGATTTAAATTCCTGCTCTTGGTCACTGCTGTGAATTAAGTCCTTCATTACTCCATCATCCGTAGCAGGGAGCAGGGAGGCAAGTACACTTTTGACTTCTTATTAGGAAGAAGTCCCTCCTGTCAGTTGACTTTTTTCCCTACCGTATAACACAGTCTGACCCAAGTGGGCTAAGTGGCCTTAGACAGTCACTAGTGTGACTCTGTGAACCTGGGTGTCCACACCTGTAAAATGGTCATATCAGTGGCTGCCTTGCTGGTTTTTAGGAAGATTATCAGAGAGCATGTGCATTGAGTTGGCCAAATTGCTGGCCAATAGTAGATTCTCAATCAGCATTAGTCCCACTCCTGCCCCATCACCACAGTAGAGTGACATGTTATGTTTATAAAAATAGCCTCAGGGGAAATGTGGATGGCATTAGGAGCAATTGGCTCCTAGAAGCAGAAGCTAAGAAGAGGATTTAAGAGGTTTCTTTAATGAGAACACTAAATCAGTAATATAAAAATTATCTCTAAAGAGGCGAGAACTGGGGTAGAGATTAGTAGGGCAAGTAATATTGCAGAATAATTAGTAAACAGGATGAAGAATAGCACCCTCTCTGTTAGTCAATGGCAACTGGAATGTTAAGAGGGAAGTTACAAAGATCCCTTAGCCACTACAGATGCTTTGACACTTGCCTCAGGTGACTGCCTTTTATTTATTTATTTATTTTAATATTATGGTTCTTCCCAGTTCTGTCAACAGATTCAGTCCCCAGTCCTCCTTCTCTGAGCAGACCTCTCATCCGCAGCATATATCTGCTAGATCTTCTAAGAGCTGAAATGGAGACTTCTGGAAGAAGGTGGGAAAGAAATCCATCTCGGCTTAATTAACCATTTATCGCATCATATTACTCCCATCTTAAAAGTGCACGCGTTGTTTTTCTGAACCCTCACACAAAGGCTACTACTGTGGTCCCATATCTGTCGGCCCATGAGAAACAGTGTTCTTGGACCTCACAGCCAAGCAGCACTGAACTGCAGCAAAATCCAGCAACACATTCAGCAGCGAGCAGCCTGCTGAGCTCCACTGGTTTATCCGGGGCCACCAACCCCAAAGAACTGGGATGAAAGCAGATGTGAGAGAGGAAAAGGATCTGTTTTTGTTTTATTTTCTACCAGGCCCAGCTCTTTGTGGGGGGAATAAAAAAGAAGAAAAATCGAGCTCCAAGCTGGTGCCCTGCCAAGCTTCCTCCCCTCCCTTCCTAGTCCAAGCACTCCACCGTCTGTGCAGACTGCATAACAGCAATTTCTGGAAACAGGCTGAAGAATCTGGGCCAGTCCAGAGGCAGTGGATTCCTGGTTTATGTGTGGTGGGGTTTTTAGGAATTTTATTTTTCACCTTAATTCTTTCAACAACTGCCAGCTGTTTGAAGCACATCTGTAATAAACAGCTTCTGTTTGTAAAATGAGACTGAAGTTATCCTCTCCAGAGAAATTCCTGAATCTTCTCTGTAGTTCAATGCCTTCACTGACAGTTTGGCTCAAAAAGTATGAGTGTGGTAAATATTAAAGAATGTTAATACAAGTGTAATGAAACACCTAGGGATATTTTTTTTTCTCCCCCCAAATTCTGCTTTGCTCACTACTAAAGTTAATCTTGACATAAAATTTACTTCTTTGATCCACGTCATTTCCCAAAGCAATTTTCTAACAGCAAACATAAATTTCTGGTGATCGCTTGGAGGTTTTCAATCCCTGTGTTAAGGAGGCCGTGGGGTTTCAACTGTTTGCCTCACTTTCAGTTGAATGTCCCCCACTTGGAATGCTATCACCAGAGGACCCTGGGCAGCAACTAAGGACAAAGGCCCAAAAATGGGTTTTGAGGTGTCAACAAAAATAGGGTTGGTAGCGGGGAGATGATTTGAGTATCAAGATCAAACCTTGAAGAGGCAATTAAGTCATTAACTAAGGAGGTAATTGCCTAAGCCCACATATCTGTATTCGCAAATAAGATGAAGCACTAAGTAAATGCAATGCCTTTACCTGGTGCTGAACTTTGAGCAGGTTAATGCAGATTACATTTGTACCCTATCGAAGGTGTGAGTTAAGCACATATCATGAGATGACACTTGTGCTCTTCCCTTTGTCATGTTTGTCAGCCGTTAGGGCTCTAGGGAATGAAAAATGACTGGACTTTGGAATAAAATAGACTTCAATATGAGCCCCAGTTCTACCGAACAACAGCTGTGTGATGCAGAGCAAACGACTCAACCCCTATTAATCTAGAGATGGCTTAAAAATTCGACTTTCAAGGTGTTGGGAGGTTTAGTATTAATATATGCAAAACATTTTGCACATGCTGGGCACATAGTGAGTATTCAGTAAGTGTTATTACTATCGTCAGTATCGTCACCATCAGTGTCATCCTCGTCATCATTACTTTTGGTACCAAGCATATCTATTACCAATGGAGTCCATTTTGACTATACACAGTGAATCTCCTTTACAATGTTATTTGCAATGGAATGAAATTCAGTCTATGGACCTCACTAGATGAATCATATAAAGTAGTATATGTGACAGCAGTTTCTAAGTTTTAAAGTTTGATGAAAACATAAGGTATCACGGGAGGGGGGAAGATGGTAGTCTTTCTGATGTACCCAAAATAACCAAAAGATGCTTAAGTCATTTCTATCATTCTCTCTATTTCCATGCCTTCCCTGTCCTCTCCTTTTCTTTCTACTCAGTAAAATTTTCATGATGACACAATATCCATCTCAAGTTGTAAAGACAGCTATGAGGCTTTTCTTGACGCCCTCAGCTCACCATGGTCCTCCCTCTTACCATCAGAAGGTGTTAGAACAGTCATTGTCCTTAGCAATCAACTCTGGACTGTTCAGGACATCTCTTTTCATTGTTCATATCATTAATTTACTTATGTACCATGTCTATATATTTTGTGTCCTGTTATATACTATTTATGGTCAGGGGACAACTAATTTGTATCAGTTCAATTCAGTTAGTTTCTAGGGACTGAAGATGAATCACAAAGAAGAAAACATAGCCCTCCTCTCAAAGGGTTTACATACCAATACAATGGGTACAACATCCACATACATAATGACAACCAAAGGTAGAATAGGATGAATACTATAACACAGGTGTAGCAAAGTCTTCCAATGATACAGCAAAAGGAAACGGTTTCCTCAATTCAGGGAATGTGTGAGAAGTTTCGTAGGGCTTGATGAAGAAGGTGGACTATACACTGTGTCTAGTTAGGTGGGTGGGATTTGACATGCAGAATGGAAGAAAAGGGTCTCCTAAGAGCACAATCCACGATGTGAAAGAGCATGGAGGCAGCCCAGCAAATGAAAGGGAAACACTGGCTAAGCGCACCAGCAAAATGCTCAACAGCATGTGATGATTTGATATTTTATAAGTAGCTACTTCATCACCAGGACAATCCAGAATCTAATTTTATTCCATTTCAATATGGAATGTATCCTATCTATAACAGGATGAGTTAGTGAGAAAACAACTCACCACTCTTATATCCTTCCCCTACACTCATCATACAAAGAACAGAGTCCAGACTAGTGTTTCCTAAGGCCCTCTGAGGAGAATATCATCTCACGGTGGGGCGGGGGGAAAAGAAGAAAGTACTTGAAGGAGGTTGCTGGACATGCAGACTCCATAGGGGAATGGGTACGGAGGGCTCCTTAGGAGGCTGGGTCATGGCCACCAGTGGGTCTATCCACAGAAGAGACTTCAATAACCAAACACGGCATAAAGCAGCAATTCTGCCTGCATTCAAGGGACCATGTGGACATAGACAATGAGCAGGTAAGTGGAAATCAGGTGGCCTGAAGATCAGAGCACCATTCCTGAGAGTTCTGGACCAATATTAGGCCACCTGGACCACTGCATAATCAAGATGGGTTGGCACTGTAAGAAAATCTTTATGGAAATTGACAGTCAATTTCCCTGGTAAGAGGAAGCATCAAGTGGATTAGATGCAATTTTGAAAAGAAAAAATAAAAAGGCAAGTGAAATGTTTTTACCTTTGTTGTATAGGGAATTTTATATCCGTTACAGTGACTATTATCATACAAGTCATGCCTGTCTAACAACATGTGAATAGCAGTGGCTGAAATGTTGCTGGTATTCTGTATCAATTCATATTTGAAGGCTCATCTGTCAGGAGACCATTTAATTCTACATCAGACTTTGATTATCTGATGAACATCTCTGAAGGGACATTCATTTGCATTCCCACTGGGAGTCCTGGCTTCTCTGAGTTTTATCTATTTATCCAGTGGGCTCACTGGGACAAAATAAAGGGACATTTTGGGAATAATGACTTGGTCCCCAGACTATGACCCTTGTACAAAGACCAGAAGCAAGATGACCATTCACCTCTCCATGGATCCCCTGGAAGAAAACAGAAATCACTCTGAGGTAAGAATGTCAAGACACCCAGGCTTGATCTTAAAGTGTTAGTTGACTGTCATCAGGGATGGACACATTTGAGTATGACACTGACTTTTATTAAGACATTAAAATAATCCAGTGAGAATGTGGGTAGTCCCACCGAATGTATAATGCTTCTTGCTGCCACTGCTGCTGAAGAAAGAGGGCAGAATCTCTTCCTTAGAGAATGAATGAGAATGAAAATTCAATAAGAGAGATACCAGTGTGGTAGATGCTACTGGCAATCTACTCAATTGCCATTCCCCACCTTCTTCATCCATGATGGCAGTCTGCTGCCATGATAAAGGCTAAAATCATCATGGTCTGGTTTTGCCAGTTTCCATGAAGCCAGGTCATGGCTGACCAGCTGGACGGACATCTACTTGGAAACCTCAGAGTAATATTTCACTTCCAGAAAAAAAAAGAAAGTGATGTCTAGAAGAAAGAGCCCCTCCTTTTTGGCCTACAGACAACCTTCCTGATTCTTGCAATGAACAAACACTAGGACTAAGTGAGATAGCAGAGCAGAAAATGGAAAGAGACTCCACTGTGCTCCACAGTCTAGCTGGGGGGATCCACCTCTAGACCTATTGCCATGTGGAGTAATAAACAACTATTATTCAACCATTGGAAAGTGAATTATCTATCTATGCAACCATAATCATCTTAACCAATATGACAAAATTCTAAATGGAGTGGGATAGAGACAGGAATGTGTGGAAAGCTCAAAGGATGAGGCAAATGAATATCCAAGGAGAAAAGGAAAATGACATTTCCCTGGGAACAGGTTCAAATCCTGCCCTGCCTCTATTAGGAATTTGAGGAATTCTCAGAGATGATGCAAAAAAAAATGTGTGATTGAATGTCAGAGATCATGGGAGGGATGGAACTGGTGGATTCATAGTAGAGGAAAAACCCAGTAATGAAGAGAAAACTGCATTGAACCACATTCAATGCTCTTCATTAAGAGCACTGAAGAGGAAACTGGTTTGAACCACTGTGTATCAGGATGGAGAGAGAAAAGGCCACCACTTCTGTCCTTTTTGGGCTCAGTCAAGGGAAGGAAAGGTTGGAAGAACTGCTCTGGATAGGGCTCAGAGCTGAAAACTACAACCAAAATCTTGACAGTTGTTTATCTTACTCCTTTACTGACTACTTTAAAATTGATTGGCCTGAGAAAGTTGGGACTACTTCTGCCTTTGGAGTAGAGTGTTATCTGGTGGTATTTTATCATCCAGAGTTAGGGCCCCTTATCCTCCAAAAAATTAGCTAGTAATTCCATTCAATTGTTAATTCACTATCCTCATCTTTTAAAACATGAAATCTGTATTAAGACATTAAAATAATCCAGTGAGAACTTGTGTAGTCCCGCTAAATGTATAATGCTTCTTGCTGCCACTGCTGCTGAAGAAAGAAGGCAGAATCTCTTCCACTTGGATTGCCATGAATGGGATCATTCTACTCACACTAATTGTTCATGGTCAAGGGAATTGAGATAATACAAGTCAAATACTTGGCATGATGCCTAGAATTAACCATTCAATAATTATTAGTGGTCAGCCCCCTTTTCTTTCCCTCCTCCTTCTCCCTCTCCTCCTATCCCCTTTCTTTCTTATCTCTTCCTTTCCTTACCCTTCTTTTGCCCTCCCATCTTCCATTCTTCCACTCCCTGTATGTTCAGCATATGCAGTGGCTGGAGAACTGCCCTTCTTCCTGCATGACTAGCTGTCCTTCCAGCTCTAAGAGAGCACAGGGGCACTCTTTCCAGCTTCTCTCAGCTGCATTAGGGTGAACCAGAGGCATATCCAACCTGTTATCATCTATTGTAACTCATGAGACATCTTCCCATTGAAATAATGCCAGAAAAATGGGTAAGTCCCTAGCCTATCAAGCAATACTCACTGAAAACTTAAACACATTCAGGTTCTATCTCAGAGGCTGCATTTTTAAATATGAGGTTACTGCCTTTTTATGTAGGTCTCACACACCAATACTATCTTGTTATTTGTCCTTTGATTATTTTTTAAATTTATATTTTAAATTGACATTTAGTAATTGTACAGAAAGGTATTTCAATACATATATACAATTTGTAATGATCGAATCAGTGTAATTAGCATATCCATCACCTCAAACCAGCATTTCCTTAATATTATCAAATATCCAGGTAGTGTTCAAACATCTCTGATATTCTCTCCCCTCCCTGCACCCTGACCTTTAGTTTGTTTGAGTCAAAATCCAAACAGGGTTCATACTCTCATTGGTTGATAATGTCTTTTAAGTGTCTTTCAATCACAACTCATCTCTTTTTCTCCCCTCTTGCAATTTATTTGATGATTAAAACTAGTTATTTGTCCTAAAGAATTACCTATATCCTAAATTTTATTGATTTACATGACTTTTTAAATGTCACCCTCAATCTCCAAAATTCTGCCTTCTTTAATTTAATTCTTATAAGATTGCTTCCCTTTTAAAGAAAAATTGCAACTTGTCATTCCTTTGCTTATTACCTTGAGGATCCACTAGCCCATATTTTGCCTGATTTTGACCAATATCTTCTCCTTTTAATATCCATTATTTACCTATTACTTCTTTCTGAAAAAAAAACTTGAACCATCTGGAGTGCCCTTTAAATCAGGTTTTAAAATGGATACTGGTCTACTCATCTAGAGAAGCTTGCTCAGCTCTAAGATTGCAAGACATAACTAGTAAGCAACAGGTGTTGTTTTGATTAACAATTGTGCCACATGACTACATTTTAAAAGTACATTTCTATTACTGATTAAACACATACATATTTTAAAAGTACATTTCTATTACTGATTAAACACATACATATTTACTATGAGATTATATATCTGAGATTTGCTTTAAAATAATAGGAGAGAGGGAGCAGTGGTTTAGATGTAGTAAGATTGCCCATGGTTGATATTGTTGCAGCTGGATAATACCTATAGGAGAGCTGATTGTATTATTCTATCTACTTCTGTTTAAATTTGAAATTTCACACCATGAGAAGTAAATGTGAGTTGTACTATGTTACCAAAACTAAGTAATGAGACATTTCACTTGAGAGGCCTACATTGTCATATTTTTTGCCAAGGGCCATCAAAAAATCATGTCTAAAGAAAAATGTACTCGCTTTTCTCATTCTACAAATCTGATTTGCCCAAGAAAAGTAAGTTTTAAACTTAAAAAAAAAACAGCAAATAAATAACATTTAAATAACAGGGAAATGGTTTGAAGTGAATGAAAATATAACTCATGTAGATGTGGTTCATAGGTTTTGGGATTTGTCTAAGCTGCCTTTCTTAAGACTCTACTGTGGCAGAACCCATTGGCATTTCCCTGTGACCTATCACTAGCTGATAGAAGACTCCCAGAAGGAAAGAGACAGCAAGATCCACTGGATCACTTCATAAGAAACAGTTGCTAGCATCATTATGAAGGCTGCACTTACATGCTTTTCCTACTACAATGCCGGATCAACATGCAGGTTCTATTATTCCAAGGTGAAAATTAAAAAAAAAAAACTTTCCAAAAACCTATTATCTTCCAACTTTAGCATTACTTCTTTTTATTCCATTCAAATGTTGAAAAGATAAGAGAATTTAATGCATTATATTACACTAACCATATATACTAGAGAATATTTTAAAAACTATATAGCCTTTATCAATAATAATTTTGTATTCACTTATTAGTATTATATTTAAGTAATTTCATTAATAGTAATTTTTAAACTATAATTAACTATACAACTGCAAAATTCATAGTGTTGATTTGTTTCAATATATCTTCTGAAGTTGCATGAATTTAACACCACATATGCAAGTTCTCAGTCAGTCCAGCTGAAGATAATGAAGGGAAAAAAAAGTAAGAACCAAGGGCCCTAAATAGAGAGGGAATAAAGACAGATGCACAGTGAAAGGAGGTGCTTTTGTATGAAGGTTTGGAGGACATAAGGAGAAATTGCCCTTTGACTATACCCACAGACACTAATGTACGCTCTTTAGAAAATAACTTCTTAAAAGCATTTAATGGCCTGTTTCAGTGATTAAATCCCTTATTCTCAAGTTCTCCCCCTTTAAAGCTAACTTGTGCATCCCAGATTAAACCCTCAGAAGCTGACCTTTTTATGAGCTCTAAGGACTTCACCTCCAGAAGTGAGTCACTTCTGCACGCCACAGGCTGCACAGACCTAGTCTTTAAATTTCCAATGACCTCATAACCCTGGCCTGAGCCTTGACAATGCACCACCCTAACAACACAGATCCTGAGCAAGTATCCAGGGACATTTCTGAATATAATTTGTGTGTAGTTAATCTCTGGTCACCCTGGGGATCTCAAATCCCTTCAGATCAATGAAACCAAGAGGCAGCATTTTAGCTAATAGCCAATAGCATTTTATGGCTCTCTTGAGAAGGCAGAGAGAAATGATGGCGTTTCCCTGCAGCATTTCAAAAATAAACCGAGGGGGAAAATCAACTCACCAAAGGAAATAATATTTTGTGTTCACTGAATGCCTTTCAGAAATACTCTCTCCCTTATTGGCAGGAGTATATTCTAAGACCCCCAGTAGATGCCCGAAACAATAGATAGTGTCAAACCCTATATGCATCATGGTTTTTTTTCTTATACAATAACAGGCAGGGAGCATATACAATGTGGATATGCTGGGCAAAAGGGTAATTTATGTCTCAGACAGGACTGAGCAGGACAGTGCAAGATTTCATCATGTTCCTCAGAATAGCATACAATTTAAAACTTATGCGTTGTTTATTTCTGGAATTGTCCATGGAACATTTTTGGACCACCCTTGACTGTGGGTAACAGAAACTGCACAAAGCAAAGCCTTGGATAAGGGTGGATGATTATCTGAGAGTCCTTTGCAGATCTATATCAGGCTGTAAAAAATAAAAGGTGTGTAAGATCAGCGCAAGATTGTATGAGGTCCAAGGTTAGCCATCCCACCCATAAGCTGAGTGCCACTGGCCTGAAATATTTGATTGAAATGTACCATTCTCTAAAGGGCTCAAATCAAGGGTAGGTGCCTATGTTTTTGCTGTATTACCTATCTAAGGCTCCAGAATTTAAGTTGATATGTATAGACCAACTTATGGGTTGACGTCCCCAGGGAAGTGGGTCAACAGTCAGCAGAAGGCAGCAGTTGGCAAAAGAAATAATGAATTATTACTATCAGCACCAGCACATACTCCAGGATTTGAGAAATACCAGAAGATTCTCATTGCTCAAATCCTGGAGTATGTGCTGGTGCCAATAATAATAATTCATTTTTTTGTTTTGTACTTTACAAAGTGCTGCAACCAGCACACAAGATCCTATTTGGTCAGCTCAGCAAAGGGGTAAAGGGACAAAAGGAAAACAAATATTACTTGAAGTCATACAAGGACGGAGGCCCTGACCTTAGCATGTATTGAGCTTTATGTCATTTCCTTCTTACAACAGCACTGTTAGGTGAGTGTTGCTGAACTGGAGAGAAAACTGAGACTCACGGAGGGTGAGGAAATGCACAACATCCCATAGCTAATGCTGTTCTTCCTATTCCAAATTTAACCAATATTGTCATTTTAGAAGAGATATAAATTTTTTTAAAAAAGCCTGATTCCCACCTCAGGGTGAGACAATCACCTATTTTTATCAGGGAAATCTCCCAGGAGCCCAGGCCATGACATAGAAATCTCCATGCATTGACCACTGCCTCTCACTTGGGCAAGGAACATTTCAAGGCTTTCTATGTAATACCATGCAGGGATCATGAAAAGTCCTCTGCCACAGAAATTGACTCTATTGATACAATCTTTTTTGTGGTCAGTATTTCATTCTGCCCATTGGTGGGTGCCATCAAAGCAATAAGCTGAGAGCTGAAGAGCCAGGACAGAAAATGAGTAAGCTTTAAAAGCGAAAAAAATAAATAGTATAATATTGTATAATTGTACAATATCACAACTGGAAGATGCCTTTGAAATCATCAAAACTAATGCCCTCATTAAACAGATGTAAAAGAAAAACGGTTTTTCTATGATCACTTGGAAAATCATAGTGGCAGCACTAGACGCTGTGTCCAGGCCAGTACCAATCCTGGAGAAGACACTCAACGTGTCTTTGCACCATAAAGGAACAAATGAAAGAAATATAACTCTCTAGAACTAGTCTAGTGGCCCTTCTCTCTATTATATCACCAGAGCCTGGAGTGCTGGAAAGGTGGGCTGGCCAGAGCTGCAGGACCTCCTCCAGTTCTCTTGCCCAGATGGCATGAGGCTATCAAGGTCTCTTGCCTCAGGAATGTTTCTCCAGGCTGTCCCTCCTAGTTTCCCTTCATTATTCTGTCTTCTTCATTTCTTCACTTCTCTCTCTCTCTCTCTGTTTCACACACACACACACACACACACACACACACACACACGTAAAAGTCATTAATGTACCAGGGAACAAAACCAAATTCAGTCTCCAATAGAATAATCCATTCTCCACTGGCAATTTTTTTGTAAGAGACAGAGTCTCACTTTGTCACCCAGGCTAGAGTGCAGTGGTACAATGGCTCACTGCAGCCTTAACCCCCTGGGTTCAAGTGATCCTCCTGCCTCAGCTTTCCAAGTAGCTAGAACCCCAGGTGTGCCCAACTGATATATATATATTTTTTTAATTTTTAGTAGAGATGGGGTCTCACTATACTACTCAGGCTAGTCATGAAAACTAGCACCTTTAAAATACTATTTTAGAAAGAGAATTTTAGTCCGAGGCAGACTGCCAGATGAGCCACGCCATTCTTTCTCTCTCCTTTAATCCATGACCTTAGGAGTTGCTGCCCCACAGCAACTCTAGACTTTCTTTCACCAATAGGATGGTAGTAAATATGACACAAATGGATACTTGGAAAACACTTGTGCAGCAGGATATGCCTTCTGGCTGCTCCTGGGAATCCTGCCCCCCTACCATGTGAACTAGCCCAGGCTGACTGGATGATGATAAGAACACTTGTCTGGAATCACAGATGCAGCCAATCAACCACCAGACCATGGGTGAGAACTTCAACCACCAGTAGGTGGCAAATACATGAAAGAGCCCACCCAAGATCAGCAGAACTCTCCAGCTGAGCCTAGCTCAAGTTGCCAGCACATAGAATCATGAGTTATTTTAATTTTAAGATATTAAAATCTGGGAGCTTTTTGTTATTATTTTTTATAGCTAAATCTAACAGACACGGTCCCTTAATAATACATCATATACATCAAATATTTACTATATTTGGGGCGCTGTCTTAAGTGCTTTGCCTACATTACTTCACAGAATTTTTACCATACTCTATGAGGGAATTATTAATATCCCTACTTCATAGAAGAGGAAACTGAGTTTCAAAGTGGTTAATTAATGTATACACCTGGACAACGGCAGGTGTCAAGCCACAATCTCTCTGATGTCACAAAACACACTGTTAACCACTACCCAATCCAGAAAGACAAAATCAATGAATGGGGAACTCAAAACCACATGGACTGAAGGATGGGGGCAAGAATTAGGTTGGCTTAACCCGGGGAAAGTAGACACTCAGAGGCCATGAAATAAACTCTCACTCTTCTAGTAACTGTTTCATGAAGGGCAGAACAGGGCTCTGAGGAGAAATTACCAGAAGGTTGACGTGGTTGATGACAAAGAAGAACCTTCTAGCAGAAGGAGTGATGAAGAATAGAACAGGTCTACTCAAGGGAAAAAGAATTCCCTATAACCAAATATTCAAGTAAGGAAATATAAACCATCCACAAATACCATAAACTTATTCCTGTCTCACATTTTCTCATTTTGTTCCTCTCACCAGAAGGTCCCTATTTTCTCCTTTTAGGATCCAGTTTCTACACATGCTTCAAGGTTTGGTTGAAGTCCATTTTTTTTTTTTTTTTTTTTCAGAAATCCTTCCCTGAGTCTCTCCTTCCCCACTGAGCTCTTTTTCCCTGAACTTGTACTGACAATGTTCATTCTCTCTACCTCTCAATTCATGGTGGGATTCATAGGTAGCTTCAAGATGGTGGCCAGTCATAGAAAGAGCAATCATGCAATCAGAGGATTAAAACTTTGGGCCAGCCCAACCTTCAGGAAGGGAAAAGGGACTAGAGATTAGGACTTAATCAATCCTGCCTATGTAATGAGACCTCAGTAAAAACTCTGAACTCAAGGATCTGTGGAGCTTCCTGACTGACAAACACATTGATCTGCTGAAAGAATGATGTGGCCAGATTCCACAGTGAGAATACAGAAAAGCTTTTCACCCCCACCCCTCCCTGACCTTGTCCTACACAGTTTCCCCATTTGGTTGTTCCTGAGGTATACCTTTTATAAGGAATCTATAATCTTAAATTTAGCTTTTTCTGTGAATTCTGTGAATTATTCTAGTAAATTTTTGAACCAAGGAAGTTGTCAGAACCTCCAAATTTTTCTTCAGTTTGTCAGAAGCTTGGGTGGCCCTGAGACCTACAACTGTCCCCTCTAGAGAGGTGTCTAAAGTAGCAATAGTCTTGTAAAGGACTTTGTCTTCAACCTGTGGGGTCTGGGCTAACTTTGTGATGTGGTTTGGATATTTGTCCTCTCTAAATCTCATGTTGAAATTTGATCCCCAATTTTGGAGTCTGGGCCTAACTGGGGGTGTTTGGGTCATGGGGGTGGATCCCTTATGAATGGGTTGGTGCCATTCTCATGGAATTGAGTGAGTTCTCATTCTTAGTTCCTGTGAGATCTGGTTGTTAAAAAGAGTCTGGCACATCCCTCCTCCTCCTCCTCTTCTTCTTCTTCCTCCTCCTCCTCCTCCTTCTCCTCCTCTCTTTCTCTCATTTCCTTCCCCTTGCCATGTGATGCCTTCTCTCCTTCATCTTCTGCTATTAGTGAAAGTACATTGAAGCCTTCATCAGAAGCAGGTGCTGGCACCATGCTTCTTATAGAGTCTGCAGAATCATAAGCCAAATAAACCTCTTTTCTTTATATATTCCCCAGCCTCAGGTATTTCCTTTATAGCAACGCAAATGGACAAAGACACTCTAGGTAGTGTCAGAACTGGGTTACAGTCCATACTATTGAGGTAGAGATGAAGCAGCTTGGAATTTGTATCCAGCCGGGCAGAAATCCAAGTGGCTTGAGGACAAACACCCAAAACTTATGTCTGGCATCTGAAGTGGGGACACTCTTGTGAAGGACTTTGCTTTTATCTGTGGGGTGTGTGCTAACTTCAGGTAGTTAGTTTCAGAACTACTCAATAGTTCTGAATTGTGGAATATCCAGTTCATATGGAATGACTGATGTCAGAACCTAAAACCAAATAATCAATCACTTATTGAATATCCGACTATCTCTTCCTGTATCAGAAAAATAATTCCAACAAGTTATATTAAATATATATGCACTTAGAGTAGCTTTCTTTAAATTCCCAACATTAATTGCCTAAATTATTTCCCTCCATTATAAAGTTGATATTTAGCATCCCAAAGGATGTCATTGATGGGAATAAAAAAAAATCTCCTAATGAAATTCACAACAAGGAAAATATTATGACATATAACTTAAAGTATCAGTTATTAATTTTAAAAAAGAGAGAAAATAATATGTCATTAAGTAAATTCTGATATTTTTACAACATGCCATAATATACACCATGCATTTTCTTTAAGCAATTAGTTTTGCTTGAGTGCTAAACTACAATTTAGATTATTTTTCCGTTTGGAAGTTTACACACATTTATTCTCTCTCTCTCTCTCTTTCTCTCTCTCTCTGAAAAATTCTTAAGAGTGACAGAATAATATTCTCTGTAATTTCCTGAGATAATGTTACTGGGGTAAATGAAGTGTCAGGTTCCACACTAATTCATCACTTATTAATTAACAATATCAACAACTCCTTTTTCATTACTGATAACACATTTTAGTGACTACCAGAAGGATTCTTTATTACAAAACTTATCTCAAAGGCTCTTTCCTGTTATCTACTGCAATAATAAAAAAATCATCATTCAATCATCATTTTAATGACTGATCATTTTTCCTCTCACTAAAATTAAATCATAAAAGCCATTTAATTAAATCAAATGGTAATTGAATGACTTTAATCATGCAAAGAATTAAAATGAAGAATGCTTTTTCTCAAAGCCTGACAACATGTAATGACATGGTTTGACCAATGTGGGAGATCCTGAGAGTAAGCAGGTTGATGATTGCCTTGCCTTTTGGTATGATCAACAAAAGAGCTACTGTTAGACATTTTGTTCTCTCTAGTTTTGGAACAGGGTTCAACTAACACATCTTCATGTGACCAAGAGGTCACGGGGGTTTGACTTAAGGGAGGTTATTATGAAGAACAAAGAAAAACAAAACCAATATCTCCAGAGAACTATATGTAAAGGAGCAATAATAAATTTCTCTGAACTTTACAAACTAAATTATCTAATGTGACTTAATAATCATCTAATTATTACATACCTTCTATATGCTATAATTGATGGTGGAGATACACAAATGCTCTATCTTCTGAGGGTGACAGATAAGTCAACAAATCATTATGGTATGATAAGGTCAGTCGCAACAAAGGTATGTGCAAGGCATTACGAAATCCTAGAAGAGGGACCAGTAAATGCCTTCAAGAGAAATGAAGAAAATTCTCCAAAGAGCTGACATGTAAGTTGAGTTGTGAGAGCTGAGAACTTCTCCAGGCAATGGAGGTGATTCTAGAGAGTGGGAAAAAACAAGAACAATATGAAAATGTGCAGAAGCTCAGTGTAGCTAGCCTGTAGAAAGGACAGAAGGAAAACAAGCATGGGAAAACAGGGGGAGGTGGAGTTTATTCCCAGTAGGGAAAAATGCTAATTGAGAAGCTAGACAATAATACGGCTTGATTAGTTCTTTAGGAAGATATTTCTGGAAGCAATGTTATAAGGGTCTTCGAATTGAGACTACAGCATAGAGCAGAAGAGAAGAATAGAAGCAGAGAAGAGTGGCAGAAAGATCAGTTGTCATAATACACTGTGTATATGATCCCCACAGCCCAGAGCGAACTGGGCTTTTAATTATCTTAATGTCTTCCCAGATCCTGGGAATAACGTGGGAGCTCCAGCACGAAGACTATTGCTATACGGAGTATTACTTTCATAGCGAGATGATAAACAAATACTTCTAGAGTCTGATTTTGCAAAAGGACAGTCTCTGGCTGAATTATAAAGCATCCCCAATACGTCTTCAGACAACCAAAGGCCTCATAATGACCTGCCTATCCAACTGTTCCCTATTGTCTCGGCCTTTTTCATCTCCTGCTACCACACTCTGAATATTCTGCAAAATGTGACCCTGACATTACAGCTACCCTGTCCTATGTCCATTCTTTTAAGACTGCTATTTCCAAATAAGTGTCTAACTCCAAAAGCAATTTGTTTAAAAACTGTTGCTGATGTATTCATTCGACAAATATTTATGGAGCACTTTCCATGTGCCAGGCACTAAGCACTGGGATACAGTAATAACCAGAATAAGCAAGAGCCACAACACATCTCGCATCTCCACAGAGCTTTCATTCTAGTGGGAGAGAAATGCAATAACAAGATAAACAGGGGAAAGGTAGAGTGTTTACAAAGACACAGGCCAGGCAGAAAAAAGGTAGCATAAGAAAGAGGGAGTAGAGGAGGACTGCAATTGCTGAGGTTGAGACATCTGAACGGAACTTTGAAGGAACCAAAGAAGCAAAGCAAACAGATACCTATTGCAAGCAGAGGAGACTATTGCAAAGCTCCTGAGGCAGGAGTGTGTCTGTGATACAGTGAGAGATTTGCAAGGGGGCCAGTGTGGCAGGAGAAGGGTGATGGGGAGGCACTGCAGGAGATAAACTCAGAGAAGCAGAATGGAGAGGAGTGGAGCTGGCCTTACAGGTCATTGTTAGGGCTTGACATGAGTGAAATGGCAGTCATTTAAGGGCTTTAAGTGACATCTCAGATTTAGATTTAAACATGATCCAATCAAAATGCTGTGTGGGGAGTAAACTGAAAGGGCAATGGTGAAAATGGAGAGAGACTGAGGCTACTACGATATTTCAGGTGAGAAATGATGGTGTCCTGGACCAGCTTGTTAGCAAAGGATGTGGTAGGAAATGGACAGATTCAGCTTATATTTTGAAGGTAAAGCTGACAACACTTATTGTTGGATTGGATTTGGAATGTAAGAAAAATCGATTCCATGATTTTTGGCTTGAGTAACCAAAAGGGTGAAGTTGTCAGGTTTCAACCTTCTTCTCCCCTCTCCACCCAGTGCAAGATTTATGGTTAAAAATTTTAAAAATAATAAAATAAAATAAAACAGTGACTGCATTTTGATCCTACTGCTTTCCTCCTTCCTTCTCTCCTTCTGCCAGGCGTGTGAGTACAGGGAACAAATGCCACCTATATGTTCTAAATTTAGGTACAACAGAAAGGCTTTCCCAACAGAATAATCTTTATAAACCACCTTTCACGCACGCCCAAAGTTCTACCAACAGAGATTCATTTGGGGGATCAAAGAAGAGTTTGGTCTTTCAGATTTTCTAATCAAAATTATGCCTTCAGAAAGATAAACTTTGACCCTACTTTTTCAAGCAAATATCTTGGCAAAATAGTTGTCTCGCAGCTTGGGTTGCTAGATTTAATAAACACAAATACAGAATGACCAGTTTCAGATAAAAGATAAATTATTTTTAGCATAAGTAGGTCTCAAATATTGCATGGGACATACTTATACTAAAATATAATAAACAACTATCTGAAATTAAAATTTAACTAGGTGTCCTGTATTTTTTCTGACAGCTCTATTTGTAGGTGAAAATATATGGAGTTGTTCTCAGCTATGCTAGAGATGAAGAAGGGGCATAAAAAAGTAGGGGAGAAGAGAGAGAATGTAGTTTTCCCTGTTTCCCTCTTTTCCCTGGGTCTGACTGCTAATCTGAAGGTTCTTTAGAGCCAATGGTTCTAAAAGTGAAATGTGCAAACACCACTGATGGTCCTTAGAGGAAATAAACATAGAAAGATTTAAATAAAACTTTCAGCCTTTGGAAATCACATTTTGAAAATGTAGCCAACTCTGTAATTAAGTTCCAAATTATTTGGTATAGTCGGTTTGGCTAACAGATGGAACGGTATTTTTGTTCCTCCTTCATCCCCGGAGTGAGTTTCCAGAAATCCTGAGTGGGGCATTTCTAGATTATTGCCTGAGTGACAGTTACAAGTGTCTAATAATTTACTAGAATCAATGGATTTCTTTAAACGAATTTAGTGAACTGTTATTTATGTAGATATGAATAATACATTTATAAGGGGAAAAGAAGCAGTTGAAAAGTACTTTCTAAAATGATGTATTGCAGTAATCATAAGTAATTATACAGCCACATACTACTTGCTGATAGGATTTAAGAAGCTCTGTTTCAAAAAGTGTTTCCTCCTATGGTCCACTGTGATTCATATTCCAGTGGAATCCAACCTAACCGGGGTGGCCTTCCACCTACAAGGCAGAAAGCACTCACTAAAAGACTCTCTTATGGATCAGTCTGATATGAAACAATGGCCAGATGAAATCCTCTAAGGCTTTAAATTGTCTTGTTTTAATATGATCCTTATATGGAATTTTCTCCCAGATATATTTTTAGTGTTTACCATATATGCCTGTGTTATTTATCACTAGAGGCAGCCCTCTGAAGTATTTCTTATATCCACTGTCATGAAAAAGTACAGTAAGACTGAGGATAGGCTGGGCACGGTGGCTCACACCTGTAATCCCAGCACTTTGGGAGGCCGAGGCAGGTAGATCACGAGGTCAGGAGATCGAGACCATCCTGGCTAACACGGTGAAACCCCGTCTCTACTAAAAATATAAAAAAATTAGCCTGGCGTGGTGGCTTGCGCCTGTAGTCCCAGCTACTCGGGAGGCTGAGGCAGGAGAATGGCGTGAACACGGGAGGTGGAGCTTGCAGTGAGCCGAGATCGCGCCACTGCACTCCAGCCTGAGCTAAAGAGCGAGACTCCATCTCAGAAAAAAAAAAAAAAAAGACTGAGGATAAAGAAGCTTGGTCAATGTGGTATAATTTGTGACTGGAAGACTGGAAGATCCTTCTTCTTACCCACCATATTATGTTAATGGAGCTAGCCAACTGGGCACATTGCACACTCTCAGTGTAAACATACACATACATACCCCAACCTAATATCACTATCACCACCACTACATATGTTACAAATATATTTCTCAGTCTTATATGACCCAAGGGGGGGATAAAGACAGACTCTCTTTATTGCTATTAGATATAAACTTATTTTTCCTAGATTTGTGTCTTGGCACCACATTGAAACTTTCTGTCATTTCACTAACAGCAAAATAGTCCACATCTGCTAGAGGGGCATCTCACATTACAGGATTGGGATTGAGAAATTGCAGGTCAAACTGATCTTGTGTCTTCTTGGGGGTGGGGACCTTATATGATCAAAGATAACTTTTCTTGGCAGTAGCTGCCAATTGTGTTTCTTTGCCATCCACTTACCCATTCACACTTACTCTCAAATTGCCAGTCCCATAAACAATCATCTGAATATACCAGGGTGGCTAGCATTTAATTATTAAATATTTTAATAAGCAGAATGAATTGTTATTGTAAATAACCTCTCCAAACTTTGTTCAATTTATTATAAATTATATTTTCTTTAAAAATCTTCTTCTGAAGTCTCAGACATGTTTACCTGATAGGTGTTGAACTGCCTATGACTGGTATTACTGAGTTGAAAATGATATCACTCAAAAAATTATAGTACTACCTCTGGTATGCCAATTTTTGTCAGACTCAGAAACAGTGATTTGAAGAGACTATCATATAGTGAGAACACAAACCATAAAGGGCTCTATGAAGACATCAGGTAAACTTTCACTGAATTGTGTCTAAAAATTTTTCTTCCTTAAATTAAGACTGTGGTTTGGGTTTGAACCAGTTATTTTGAATGCTGTAGGTCCATAATCTATCACACTTAAGACAATGAGTTCCCTGCTGAGTAAGAGCAATGGTTAAGCTCTGCACCCCATCAGTGGCAAAGAAAGCCTTTTAGTACATCAAGAAACCTCTAAGGCTTGTCTTTTCCATCTTCATAGGCTGTTTTTAAGTTACAAAATATTGGAAAGAAATTGGGAAAAAAATCCCTAAAAAAATAGAGGATTTAGTACAGTTTGGGCTGAGCAAAGAAAACGGAGGAATCACAAACTCAGGTACCCACAGGGGCTAAGCAGGAAGCATAAATGAGTGCATAGGGTAAAGTGTATCATTATGGAATGGGGGAGCCTGTGGCTAAGGGACAACATCTTTCTCATCGGAACGAATTCACCTTCATATGTAAATACAAATTATATTAGCCAAATAAACACACCTGGATTTGGCCTGCTTACAGTCAGTTTTACAACTCCTGGTTTATGGCGCTGATTATAGCCTCTTGTTTACAGCCCCTGGTTTATTAGGTGAGACTCCTGCTAGGTTGGCCAGAGCTGCTTAGGTTGCTGGCAGCTTTTCTCAAATGGCGCTCATAACACTTTAAGAAAACGCTAGAGGTGTTTCTATTTCAACTCAATATAAAAAATAATTCATAAATAACACAGTTATTTAGTTTTAAAATGTTTTAATTGTAATATATTAGTACTAAGAAAATGAGTGGGAAGACTACTCATATTTGCCATATTATCTGATGGAAAATAGTACTCAGAATTTTCTGTTTTAAGCAGAAGGACCACTTAATAGCATTCAGATTGTATAGTTCTTATATGTAAACATGTTTCTGATATTGAAAAAAAATTCATAGTTGAATCTGCTGGGCTTGGGATTGATAGAAACATATAACAGCATTTTTTTTTCTGAATGATATAGGACAATACTAACACTTTCTTCAGGAATATCTAAATTGCAAGAGCACCGATGAATTAAAATTAAGGTATCCTTTTGCATCAGTCTGTTCTCACATTGCTATAAGGATATACCCGAGACTTACAAAGAAAAGAGGTTTAATTGACTCACAGTTCTGAAGGGCTGGGGAGGCCTCAAGAAACTTATGATCATGGTGGAAGGCGAAGCAAACACGTCCTTCTTCACAAGGCATCAGGAGAGAGAAGAATGATTGCTGAGCAAAGGGGGAAGCCCCTTATAAAACCATCCAATCTTGTGAGCATTTACTATCACGAGAATAGCAAGGGGGAAACCACCTCTGTGATGCAATTACCTCCCACAAGACCCCTGCCACCACACGTGGGGATTATGGGAACTACCATTCAAGATGAGATTTGGGTGGGAACACAGCCAAACTATATCACCTTTTAATATAAAAATTCAAGTTGTAACACAACAAATGGGATGATACAATTTGTTAAGCCTTGACTTTATGTTATGGTCATGAAAACTTGCTTGCTTTCTTGAGCAGACAGCTATTTCTTTGACTACTGCATTGAAATACATAGATCTCTTCTCACTTGCATGAACTTTGCTACTTTTAAGAGGTTTTTGAAAAGTTATCATTTTCAGAAAAGGGTTGCAGGAGAGTATGGAGCCCCCAGCACTTCCAGCATCCTGACTGATTCTGGGTGTGTTTATCAGTTTCTGGCCTTGGACTATATAGTGGTCACCTGTTTCTATAAAAACCTTGGAAAAAATGAATTTTTCCTTTTATTGTAATGTTGTGGTCTCCTCAGAGTCGTCATATGTATCCCATACCAATGATTCAGAGCACCATAAATACACCTAATAGGACTGAACTAAATTAAATCTTTCTTTGATGATTTACAAGGCAGCTTGAGATTATTCTTGGGGGATATAAATTTTCATTATATAGGAGCTGAGGTAGTAAAGTTATGTGTGAGAAAGACTAAATGTTGTCTGAGATTTATCTTTCAAGAATTTCTGGTCTCAGTTTTCTTGTCATTTGTCTCCAAATGAAAAATGAGGGCTCTAATTAGAGGGTTACTCCTAAATGAAAACCAATAAGGAAAACTAAAAAAGAATATGGTCTGTGAACTTGGGCAATCATTTAACTTCTCTGTAATATGGTTTTGTCACCTGTAAAATAGAGATGTCCTGTGGATATCAAATGAAATAAAAATAGATGTAGGACAGGTTTGCAAATTTCAAAACACTACAAAAGGAAGCAGAGACCTCTTTAGGTCTGATAGCACTCTACACCCGTCCAGCCGGTACCCACCCCCTTTCTATTCTCGGGTTATAATTTTGCTTTAAAATAGTGCCAGCCTGTGCTTGCATCTGGGGTCCAGGGCTATGAGCACAGCCATGTCTGGCATGAGCACAACCTTTAGGGCAGCAGCTGCCATTCCAACTCTCAGGCTGGTAGAAGTTTCCAGAAAAGCAAGAGCTGAACTCTGTGGGCTTACAGCCCCTGCATAGCCCCTGGCCTACTTCCTGTTTACCAGAGCAGACTGCAGCCACTTCCAAGTATAAAGTCAGTTCCATATCTACCTAGTTTTCTTAAGACGCCTCTAGGGCAGTAGCTGGGAAGCAGAAAGGAAGACATCTTTAGGACTAAGGCAGCCTCCTCTGGTAAATTCCTTCTGGTCACAAAAGGAAACATAGGAACAGTCTTGCCCTTCCTCCTACTCCCCTTAGACTCTCATCCTCACTGAAAAATCCACTAACACAGCCTCTGTCCACTCATCTGAGAACAATTGTCAGCTCATCCTTTGGCTCCGGTCACTTAGATTGCATGTATTCATTCTACAGATGTCTCCTCAAATATGCTTTCCTCCGGAAAAACTTTTCCAGGTCCCCAGACCAGCCCAGGAACCCTTTTTTTATGTTCTCATTTAGAGCGAATCGTCTCCTTCCCAGCTTGTATTGTCATTTGTAGTTTCCCATCCAGGTGGCAATTTCATTCCATCTGTTTCCCTCCCAGACTGGAAGCTCCATGATGGCAGGGGAAGTATGTTTGCCTCAGCACTATAGTCCGGGATCCCAGGAATGCATGGATAGAAGAAAATCCAATTAGGCTATTGGTGAGCAGTGCATCAGGTACTGGGTCCAAGATTTTGCTGTCAGCAAATGCCAGTCTTATTCCCAACTCTCTCTTTCTCAACCCTTTCTTTTTCATTTTCATTTCTCTTACTTATTACTTTCCACCATGCTATATCTATTCTATTCTCTGAATGCTGTTCATAGACATATTTATCAAAGTTGTGTCCCCACCCCCTTCACCACCACATACACTGTATATCCTCTGAGAACTAGTGGGAAGATGTGGGGGAAGTGAGAATGAAGAGGAGAGGGAGAGGAAGCCATCGGAAGGAGCAGTCCATGAATGTGAGTGAAAGCCTAATATAGCCCTCAGGGAAGGATGTCTTGAGGCGGTGTCCCTCTGGAGACTGGGGAGCCTGACATAGGTGTTTTTCAGCTGGGGTTCTTCCTTGATCCTCACAACATAGAAAGTGACTTTTTCTCAATTCTCCAAGGGATGCTACAAAAATAACACCATTCTAGATGCAGAAGAAATTAATTCCTTACATACAATGGATGCCTTAAGGTATTAGGACTTGATCCACTTGCAGAATCTGGGATGACAGGGGCCCATCTGGAGGCAGAACATCCAGAGAGTTTTAGGAAGATGCCTGCTCTGTGCTGGGTGCATGTGTAAGGACCTGGGCACACACAGATCTCTCATTCTGCATAAGCGGCTCATTCCCTCGGTATACTTTGCAGTCCAGCTCAGTACTGACAACTTCACAAGTAACTTCTTCTGATGAAGTACAGCCAAGAAGGCAAAAATAGATCAAACTTATCTTTTTTAATACTGCACATCAATTACTCTTTATCCATACCGGTTAAACAAGGAGGAGCTTGCTGTCAGCCTAGCATAGGAAAATTCCTACTAGCTCTCCATGGAAGAAGAGGGCATAGAAAAATTGTATAACAAATCAGCAAGCTTTCAGCGCACCTGAGGTGTGGCTCAGGCATCAAGAAGGCCCTGTAGGCGAAAAGCTGGCAAGAGGCAGGGGCACAGCTGATGCTGGCCCACAGGCGTCTGAAGGGAGCCCCCACACACTCTCTTAGCCACCTACCACCATCTGGTGCTCTACATAGGACTCTCGACCACACTTCCCTGTGGGCGATGGCATTGGCCATGAGCTCTCTCTGTGTGCCCACCCAGCCTCCTCACATGGAGGTCCCTTAGGCAAGAAGATCCCACCAGGGAGAGTGACACAGAACATTAGCATAAGGATGCACTCTAATACGTTTGGGGAATTACCTAGTCTACTCCCAGGACAGACTCTACTCTTAAGGTGGGAAATTAGTTATGACCTAGAAAGCAACCTCATCTAGGCAAATCCCATGGCAGAAGTGACCTCTGACTCCAACTACTTCAATGCTGTAATTTCTCAAATGGGGAAATTGAAGCCCTCAATTTTTAGTGCCTCGATAAGACCACAGAGTCCAATATGACCAAAAGTCAGAATCAGAAACTCTGCCGACAGTTTAACACATCCAAATGGCCACCAGAATCAGCTGAAGTTAAAGAACGTACATTCCTGGATCTCATTCTAGAACTACTTAATCAGATGTTCCATGTTGGGACAAAAGAATCTTTAGTTTTCCAAGTTCCCAGGTAATGAATGGGTCAGATATGGGAAACACTATCCCAGACACTTCTCTTCTCTTCTCAGTTGTTATCTGTGTCCACAGAGGATGCAAAAGGAAGGTAACCAAGGTCTGTGACTTCTAGGAGCTTATATATTAGCTGAGTAGATCAGGCACATAGAGGACAGAAGTTACATGTCAACACAGAAAAATAGGAAATGTTTTGGCTCAATAAGGGATGCAGAAGCAGCAATCAATGTAAGGCCAGTAAGCAGACAAGGGGTGGTCTATGTCACCTCTCAGGTTTGGGAAGGGTCTCAAGACTATACTCTGATCATTTACATTGAAATAGGTGAAGGAGGGAAGACTGGGGAAATTCCAAATGTCTCCAGAATCCCTATGCATCTTTCCATTCCCAATGCCACTGCCACCATCTTTGTTCTGACATTTGAAATTCCTTAGTTTTACCAACAGCCTCCCAACTCATGTCCCCTGCTTGAGAACCACTCTCCTCTAACCTACCCTCCGTATTGTTGCTCAAAAAACGTTTCACAAATACAAAGCTGTTGTGCTCTTCTGCCTAGAACTCTTCCTGGCCGGGAGGAGTGGCTCACGCCTGTAATTCCAACATTTTAGGAGGCCAAGGCAGGCAGATCTCCTGAGGTCAGGAGTTCGAGACCAGTCTGGCCAACATGGTGAAACCCTGTCTCTACCAAAAATACAAAAATTAGCTGGGTGTGGTGGTGGGCGCCTGTAATCCCAGCTACTCAGGAGGCTGAGCCAGGAGAATTGCTTGAACCCAGGAGGCGGAGGTTGCAGTGAGCCAAGATTGCACAACTGCACTCCAGTGTGGGTGACAGAGCAAGACTCCACCTCAAAAAAAAAAAAAAACACCTCTTCCCTATCCTTCCCTATCCTTTCTCATTGATAAACTAAAGTCAAAAAGCATTAGAAATGCTTTCAGGATCCTTCCTAATCTCTAATCTGGTCATTGATTATCTGTTTGGCTTCATTTTCAATCTGTTCCTACAAACCTTGAGCTCCACATAAGAAGAAATATTTGCTGCCCCCATTAATATTGCTATCTTTGTGTATCAGTATCACCACCTCGATCCTTTCTTTCTCAGTTTCTACTTGTATGACACATATTCTTCAAGTCATAGTTGAAATGTTATCTCCTAATATTAATAGTATCCCACCCTAGAGATATTTGATATTTTCATTTTAATAGGGAGAAAAGCTAAGGGATTTTAGGCTAAGCTAAGCCTGGGATTCTAGGCATCAACCAGCAATGAGGAGGATGTTGGTGAGCATTGAAGCCACTGAAATCCCAGTCTGTAAACAGTTACCTCTTTCACCAATGAATAATGCAGTCAAAATCAAATGGAGAAATATATGAATATTGGGCATGAAATAACTTCTAATACATTTTTACCTGAAACAAAAGCAAACACCTTCTTGTGTGATTGGTGAAGACACAAATATTGATACTGTTGAGTCTGACATACAAGTCCAGATTAAATTTTTGGGCTCGTTTATGGAAATAAGTAAGCTGGAAAATGCAATTACTATTTGTAAATCATTTTGCTATAACCTTCTCCTCCAATATCGTTAAATAGCAAAATGATGCTATTTTAGCTACAAGCAGAAGAAAATAAATCGTTGTGGCAACATGCATCTGTCAAGGGATTTGATGTTCTCCAAAATACTCCTTGGTATTAAGCAAGCAATCTTTCACTTCTAAAGGGGATTCTCATTGATATGTATGAGCTAAGCACTCTATTATTTATGGTTAAGTGCAAATTGATATGTTTAAGAAAAATGCAAAATTAAGGGACGTGTGTATTAAAAGACTTAAAGTGGTAATTAGGCAACCAGTGTGGATAATTTAAATACAGTGACATTACAATATGCTTTAATAAGCCTAAGTATGGCTTTGAAATGCAATAATGCATTGCTTTCAAAAGGTCTCCACATAAAGTTACAATATTCAGGGTTGCTCTGGAAGACATTCAGTGGCTGTAAAAAATGTTTCAGTGGAACAGTGGAACCAATATTCAAGTGTTAGACTAGAGGTTAAAAAGCAGAGTTGGCTAGTAGAAACTTCTATGATAATAAAAATGTTGTATATCTGTATTGTCCTATATGGTAGCCGTTAGGAACATGTGACTGTCAAACACAACACTTATGTGGCGAGAGTGGCTAAGGAACTGAATTTAAATTTGCTACACATGGCCGGGTGCAGTGGCTCACGCCTGTAATCCCTGCACTTTGGGAGGCCGAGGCAGGTGGATCACTTGAGGTTAGGAGTTCGACAACAGCTGGGCCAACATGGTGAAACCCCATCTGTACTAAAAAGACAGAAAATTAGCCAGGCATGGTGGCACGTGCCTGTAATCCCATCTACTCGAGAAGCTGAGGCAGAAGAATTACTTGAACCCAGGAGGCGGAGGTTTCAGTGAGCCAAGACTGTGCCACTGGCACTCCAGCCTGGGCAACAGAGTGAAACTCTATCTAATAAATAAATAAATATATAAATTCACTTCACAAAATTTTGTCTCTTCACCTCTCTAGTCCTCAGTTTCCTCGTGTGCAGAATAGTTTTAACAAAATCTAATATTCTGTGGATTTATAGATTTTTAATTGTTCTCATACCCAATCTGCCGCCAATCCATCAAGTGAAACAGAAAACAAATAAAAATCAGTAAGGACATCCTCCTAGGACCAAAAACCCAGTTAAGCAATTATGTACAAACTCTCCCCACTCCACACCCTACCCCCCATGCCCCATCACATACACTCAGTTAAAAGAATATTCTAAAATTAGTCTAAAGAAATTCCATTTCCGAGGGCCAGATTACATAATTCCGTTCTGGCACGTTAGAATTTGTATTAGGTATTGTTATTGTTGTTTTTATTATTTTTGTCAATATTGTTGTTTTTATTATTTTTGTCAATATTGTTGTTGATGGAATAGACAGTCTTATTAGAATCTGGAAATTTTGAAAGGGTCCTGATTTTTAGTTCTTAAGAACCTTCTGGAGATGGAAGCTGAGGACATGTTGATAATTTGTAGGCATAATATAGGAACTAGCCAACAAGACAGCAGGGATGACAATGATATTTCTATGTTGTTAATTAAGGCATTGCTAACCCTTATCTGTCTAAACCTTTCAAAGGCCTCCCTCACAAACAAGAAAACAGCCCCAAGGCCATAGGACCCCGGAATGCATATGTGTAGATCCAAGGAGAAAAGGGGAGAGAGGTGTGAAGGACCACATTACAGGCCTAAGCAACCCTGCAGGGCACAGCCACATGGGCAATCCTCAGAGAAAGTCAGGAGTGAAAGGAGAAGCAGCAGCGAAGCACTTCTACTCAGCAGTTACATTTCGAAAGAATTCCCATTAGGAAATAAGCTTAAAATTGTACAAAAATATATATACACCAATTTGTTTATACACAAGCATTGTTGCAATAATGAAATCCTGGAAACTATCCATATTCCTAGCAATAGGGTACTGGTTAGAGGATAATCTATAGAACAGAACACTCTGCAGCCAATAAAATTTATATTAACAAATGGAAAGATTATCAAAATTTACTTTATAGTTATTATAAAATGAGTGAAAATATTGAGCAATATGATCTCCAGCTATATAGATGTAGAATCTCCAGATACATCTGGAGATCTTCATATACATATGAACAGGCACCAAAATGTTAATAGTAGGTCTTTCCAGGTGGTAGGATCTTGTGTGACTTAATGTCCTTTATATATTTATTCTAGTTTTTCTAAAATTATCATGTATTTACAATTGTTATTAATCATATTTTAAAATCTTTCTTAAATTTAACTTCTTATTGCACTAACAGAATACACTTCAACACAGTAACAGACTAGCAAGTAGTCAGCTTTGCAGATGTCACCACATTTATGTACAGTGAACTGAGAGGTTCATTAGCAATGTGTAATAACATGTCTTAGGGTAACATAGAAGGGATAATAGTCCTCCTAAAACACTCTATTTAGGCATAGGGAGAAAACCAAATTCATTTCATGTTGGATTTAGACTAATAAATGGCTACAAATATTCATCAACCTCTATTGCCTTTGGTTTTATGTAAAGCCTAAATATAATTTTCAAATCACTATTTATTTGCCCTTAGGAAAAGCAATGGCTACTACAAGTGATCTCTTTATAACACTGGAGTTAGCTGAGATTCAATTGGGTATTCAATTATTACCTCAGACCATATTGGTAGTGAAAGTCCCCAACCACGTGGACCCTACGGGGTCCCATTTCAGCGACATTTTTTATTTTGGCCATTTAAACAAGTGAAACCCGCCTCTCCTATTACATAGAAATAGCTCAAGATAGCTACAAACTGGTGTTAAAAAATATATTACGCAGTGCTTGAGAGCACGCAAACTGCTCTGTAATGAAGTCATTAAACTGGATGAAGCTAATTTCTGAGGTACATTCTAACCTACAACCTAAGCCAGCAAGCAGAAGTCAATAAACTTTTACGGGGTTCTGTAACCAAGCCATTCCTAGGAGCTAAATTATCAAAGCCTATTACAAGGGGTGTTTGACCAGCAAAATTTGAACTGACATTTGCAGCACACACTAAAAAAATAAAGTTAGCAAATACACATCTAAATTTTCTACTAACTCAATAGGTATATGTGTCATCTGAGGAGAGCCATATTTATGTATGAACCGGGAAGCAACTATTGCATGCTGTTTTGAACAATTTACCTAAAGTCAAGCAATTCAACCAAGGATCAAAATGCAAGCACTGGAAATGTTTAGAACCGTGCAGAGTCTGACTATCATTGTGGTGCCACCAGGTACTTAGGTGGATCGCTACACTGTCAGCACCATAAGGGCAGAGACTAGGTCTATCCTTCCACATGTGGTTCCCAGCACTTGCACTCGGCCTGGCAGGTAACAAATGTTACCTAAATATTTTACAATGATTGCTTTGGTGGAAAAAAAAATGTACAACTCAAAGAATACATCCTCAAATGCTTAATTCAATTACGAATTATCAGCTGACTTCTTTCTTAACCCTTTGTATTCCCACCAAAAATAGATAAAATGGAGCTTATTTTAACATGTGACGTGGGTTGGCTCTGCTCTTTGCTATTTTACAAACTTGGCTTATCTTTTCTGCTCTGAGAACTTGACGATTTCTCAGTCTCTGGCCTATCCATGCATCTTGGTGTCTCTGCATTCTTCCATTGGTTTATGTGAGTGAGGTCATAGCTGTTACCTGAAAGCCTCGCGTTGAAAAACAAAACAACGAAATAACCAAATAAGAAGAGAGGTTCCTTCAATTTGTGCAAATAAACAGATGTAGCCTCTACTTTGGGCAAGCACCAAGAATTAGGACTAGAAAGGATCTTACCATTTCAGTCAAACCATCCCAGACCCTCCAGGCAAAGACAGAGTTGTAGATACCAGTAAATGAGATATTTTTGGATATTAATGTCCTTCAGAAATAGTGCCATGGCTCCATGAGCAACTTCTACAAAATATACACTTTAGCTGACCCTCTGCCATCTTTCTTCACTGTCAGATTAATGGAAGAACATCAATCTTCCAGGTCGTTGCTTATTATTGTTATTACTAATTGCTACATTACTGAGGATGTAGCAATGATGGTTGAGAGTGCAGGCTCAGGGCTGAGTCAAGATTTCAATACTGGATTTGCCACATAATTGAGATACTAGGAAAATTTTTAACTTTTGGAAGTCTTCACAATAATGTCGGAAAATAATGGAGTAATAATGGTACCAAGCTCATTGGATTACTGTGACGATTAAAAGAGATAAAGTGTGAAAACTAATCAACACAGTACCTGGAACATAGTTAAGGGCTCACGAGGTGGCAGTTATTCTTATTCTTATTGGCCACATTGTGGTCCAAGATTATAAAACACACCTTTTAATTTTCAAACCCTTTGCGCAGCCACAATCTCATTTAATGCTCCCATCAGCTTTGTAACTTAGACAGGGGAAGTATTCGTAAAGGGAAAGAAGTAAATCCTTTGTCCATTATTACTTAGTAACTTAGTTGAAGAATGAGAAAACAAAGGCTGAAACCTATATCTTCTACATCATAGCTTAATTAATCTTTCTGCCACACAAAGGCTGAAAATAACAGATTAGATGTCTTGATTGAGACAACATTGTAGTAAAGAAAATTCTTGAGTTGCTTTATGTCCCAGGAACACCTTGTGAGATCCACAGAGACTCTGGTGAGTGAACTGAGACTTCTGGAAAAGGGTTAAAACCACACACTTCAGAACAGGCCACTTAGGACTGCGGGAGAGGCGCAGTGCCAGGAAGGAAGGTCATTGTGAAGAGGGATATATGACAGCTCACTACTGGAGGCAGCTCAGGGGCTCCTGTGACCTCCCTCAGTACTGTACATCATCAGGGGCTGGACAAGCAACCAGGTGGAATTGAAGGCCCTGCAGGAGGTTTGGCCTTGCAGATGTCAAAAACCCCAGTTATTCTGTGCAGTTCCGTCTCCTCACCTTGGTGCTCTGCTTGCATCCTCTCAAAACCCTGACATTCAGTGAACAGTGGAATAAATGGGGTCAATGTTAGGGATCATGTCTGAGTTGGGAAATGTCCCCAAATGGGCTGTCTAATTACATAATGCTACTCATAGCAGCTACCCAGTATCTAGACACTGTTGAACCGCAAAATCAAGAGTCAGTGTTCTTGCCCAAATAGAGAGGATCTAATTAGGGCCATGAGTCAATCACTCCTGGAACGAACAACATAAAGGCTGGGACAGGGTTTCAGAAACCCTGAATTCTATCCAGTTCTGACCTTGACACTGATAATTCTACTAACTCGACATTATCCAAAGCACTTCTCCTTTTTAAATGGGGGCCTCCTTCTCTGTAGAAGTAGACTTAATCATAATGTCAGTAACGTTTAGGAGAGGTACCATGTCTCTGGGAAGTGAGGCGGTAAGAGCAGAGTCCTTTCCACCAAAGGTCCTGCCAATCCTGGTAGTCCTGCCAAACTCAATATGTGTCCCTTTGTCCAGTAGAGGAATCCAGGTTCAATCAGCAACTGCCTTCCGACCAGGGTTGTGTCTAACATGTGAGTTCCTTCTGCCTTCCCTGCCGGTTATGGTTTTGATGCCTGTGAAATGCTCCCTAAAGATACTTCCACTGAAGCAGTTCTCAAACATGCAGAATTGCATGTGAAAAATATTCAATTTCCCTGTTGCCTCTGGAAACAGGGAGATGGTCTGTTTATCATCAATGGCTCAGTGGAACATTCCCTAGCTTGACTATATGTCTCGACTCCAGTGCAATACCATAATCTCACTCCCATCTCCACACTTTGCCATGCCCCTCACAGTGTGCGACATAAATAAAGCTTCTACTTTGCACTGTTGTGTGTTCCAGGACGCTGTCTTCTACTTCCCTTAGGACAAGGATCCGCAGAAAAAGTGTTGCACAAATTAAGTTGACTTTTCAGATAACAAATTTACTTTGATTTAGGAACAGCTGCAAGCTTCCTAAGTGCAAAAAAATAACCTGAGATTCTTAAGATTGGAAGATTTTTAAAAGGAAGTTTTGCTCACTTCAGTCTGAGAAGAATTGACTGTCATTCTGCCCAAGATAGGAAAAGCTCACACATAGAGCTGACATAAAGAACAATAAAATGCTTCAAAGCAAGAAAAATTTATCCTTTTAGCTAGCCCATACAGTACCTTACTTTACATCCATCTGTTAGAAACATATTGTGAAATGTTAGATTGTTAAAACCACACACTTCAGGAATTTGTCATAATAAATATACAACTCTCTAACGTCCAGGGTGTGTGTGATGCACCCTTACTTTGCGCAGTGTGCAACCTTCACAACTGTATGTGACAATTTTAAATTTGACCACAGATAGGATTCCTCACTCTTGGGATGCTTGTCTTGCCTTTTGAATACAAATAAAATTCAGAAAGCAAGTGGCAGTATAATCGACTGCACTGATGATTGCCCGGGTGTAGACTTCCCTATGAGCATCTCTGTATTCATGGACACTAATATCTGGCCTCCTTGTTCAATTATTGCTTATTCCTGACAGAATGCCGAAGGCAGAGTTGCAATATATACCAGAGCGCGAGTGCTTGAGGAGAAAATAATCACATCCACATGAATGGTTTAGGACTGAGCTGCACTGTGCACACTAACACACCATCCATGGATTGATGAATCCCACATTCATTGGAACTCTCCTTGGAGATCTACCTTCCAGCCTCTCTCCAGCACTGCATTCATCAGGGTGGCTACACCCAGGCCACAGAATATGATGAAAAGTCCTTTATTCTGTCTGCCCTTTCTCACAGCAGAGACAATCATTAACATTCACAGGGTTCTTTATATTTTCAAAAGTCCTTTTACTACATGTGTCATCTGAAAATTTGTTCCCTGTGGTAATGCTCTAGGGTTGGTCTCATTATTATTCTCACTTTAAAAACCAGCAAAATGATTTGCTGAGTGCAACACAGCCAATATAGAGTGACTTTGGGTCTAACAATTAAGATACATGACTCTAAATGATTATATACTATATATTTATATGTATGTATTTATATACATATATTTTACATATTTTAAAATTATAACCACGTAGCTCAAAATTAATAAGAAGGAGAAATGGTAGGTAAGAAGAATTAGAAGCAAAAAGAGGCAAGATAGTGCTGCACTGAAGACTATAAAATGCCCTTGTAATGGTGCATCTGGATCCTCAGAACTTTCCAGAGTGAAAAGACAGTCTTTAAACATGATACGTCGATTTTAACTAAAGAGGAAACACTGGGTCATATTCACAGATACGGTTAAAGTGAGGTCATCCTTCCTACAAAATGAAGCCCCAGTAAAATGGGGAACTGAACTCCTCTTGAATCAAGTGAGTGTTCTAGACACAGCAGCTTCTACTAAGTGCCCAGAAGAGATGAACCAATGGTGTTATTCATTCAGTTGCTGCTTCATGTATTAATAGTTCTTGTTGTTCAAGCTGTGAAATTCTCATTCACCTACAACTTTGCTAGAATCTGTCCTACGTCTGGCTTCAGCGAAATTTTGAAGTTTCTGCTTCATAAAAAAGCATGTATGAAACATTCCAGATCGCCGCAATGATGAACTGGTGTTCCTCAAGATCTGTGGGATTCTGCTTTACTGAAGTTGTTCAAGTGGAAGGCTGGATGACCGCTTTCTAGGGCTGGTGTGAGTCACTCCCCCAAGTGGAGGAAACTTGAATTGATGACATATTTTTATCCAGAAGTAGGGATTTTTTTTCCCTAGATGGTGCAACAAATGAGTTAGCAACAAAGTTCCAAAGGATTTCTAGAAGGATCCTGGATGTTTCTGGAAAAGAGAGGTTATTTTCTTGCCATGTTGTCACAGTTTCTACTGATTTTGTATTCAGATGTGCCGCAGCTGTCTCAACATCCAGGGAGATGAAAGCAGCACAGAGGAGCTACTAACACACCCATCAGTGAGTGGACTTCAGTGTGAGACTGAAAATACAGAGCCTATGAGGGAGTGTTGCTGGCTAGATAGAGCCCGTGTATATATTTTTGTGATGAATTTCCCCTGACACAGGGGAAAACTGAATTCACATGGTATGGCTGAGGGCAGCAACAAAAGGCTGTGCCTTTTAACGGGTTTCTGAAGATGCTGCATTCCCTCCTTTGACAAAGGAAGCCCATTAATAAAGGGAGAGTGGCTGGTAACCTGCTACTGAGAGTGGGGCTGTGCTGGCTGTCTGTGATTAGAAGGCTTGCTGCATTTAATACATCCCCTATCCACAATGAAAAAGCTTCATTTAATAAAGCAGTATTACTGCTGACACAAATGCATTAAAAAGTTCGCATAAGCAGTAGTCTAAAGCTCTTGGGAATATTCCACCTGCCAGAGGGAAGGGTGGCAGGAAGGTGCAGTCCTAAATAGGCCTGTATTTATTTTCCCGGATACTAAAAGACAATGGCAACAGCACGTGATTCCTGTGAAGCCAACAGAGTTCATAAATGTAAAATACCACTTTGGGGTAAGGATACACACACACATTTCAGCTAAACAAATCTGTCCTTTCATCCTTTCCTGGAACAATAGGAAACTCTTAGGTCACCAATATAGCTTTCTTTCAACTTATTTTTATCTCAGGGAAATGTGGGATCTTTTATTCAGACATGGCATAAACAAAGTTGCGGTAGGAGAGAAGTACTGAATCTCAAGACAAGGCCCGCGAGTTTGATGGACAAATTTTCTCTTTGAAACAAGTTAGTCATTTATCTCCTGGGAGAATTCATTACAGACAAGGCTCACAAATCTATTTGAAAGAAATCAGCATTATAAAATATAAATATGGGACTGAAGCCCAGCAATTACAGCTCATTTAGATCACTGTGCATTTTTTTTTTCTTTCATTCTTTCTGAAAGGAAAAAGAGGAAACAGCAGTGAGCTGTGAGAAAGGCACCAGAGCCCGTATGGAATCACTGTATTACCATGGGGCACTGGCTTTCTTCATGTGGAAAATGGGGATAATCACACGTTCTGTTCTTAACCCCCTGGGTTCATATGAGGATTCAAACAGATACTGTGGGTGAAATTATTTTGAAAGAATAACACAGATGTAAGATGTATCTAAAATTTCTGCTAACCATGAAAGGATTAGGAAATCAATTTGCTCAAACACAGATCAGTGGAAAGACGAACATCTATCGACACAGGAAGGCTGGTGGGTAACATGTGGAAGAGACATGCATTTCTGGGACTCCTGCCATGTCAGGACCCATTCATCCCCCTAGACCTGCTCAGGATAACCCTAGAAGCTTGAGCTCATTATGTTCAATTTCTGCATGAATAGCAGAGTAAGAGGAGGAATATGAAACCCATCCAACTCATAGGGAGAGTGAGAGCACCCAGTACCCAGGTTCTGTCTCTTCCATTTGAGATGTAGCCCAACTCTACCAGTTACTCACTGTGTGATCTTGGCCAGATCAATTTCTTCTTTTGAAAAACAAAGGAATTTCCTCAAACTTAGTAATTTAAATACAATTTTCATGACTTTATTAAATATATACACTACCTATTATTTAATGCTTTTCTAAATTTAGTAAGAAAAACCCATTGTTTCTGTAAATAGGAAATCAGTATTTTGCTAACAGTAATTAAAATACAAAGCAACTTTTCCAATGTATATCAAAACGACCAGCTATGATAATATAAAGGTGCTCATCTGTCTTCTTCCTAGGCTGCACAATTTGGGAAACACTAGGTCAGTCGACCCTTAGCTCAGCTTAGCTCTGGAAACCTGTGTTCTGATGTGGTTCAAAGGGCCAGACCTGTGCAGAGTTCCTGAACCAGCTCCCCCCATACCTTGGCTACACTTTTACAGTGGTTTCTTATTCTGTTTCAAATACTTTTCCTCCATCCTTTCTTTCTTATTTTTTCTACAGTCTTCCCAACTTTTAGTTTCTAGCCCTCTTCAATGCAAATTTCAGCAAGCTTTTTCTGAGAATCAATGTGGGCAGAAGCATGTGGTAGGTGTTATAGGGGCTTATAAAATGAATAAAGAATGCACATAATATATGAGTCAAGAGTCAAAACAGATGAAACAGGTTAAGAAAAAAACTTATAAAGAATTGCTGTTAACATACAATATTGTAATGTAATCTAATAGAGATATAGATAGAGTTGAAGAACAAATATGCATATTGGATTGAAAAGGCACTACAATGGCCCCTAAATTCATAACCTGTATACCAGAGGCCTAGGATTTGAATTCAACTGGCAAGCATGTTTGGCTTGGCATGCAAATTACTTAAAAAAATAATGGAATGCCTCTTTTCTTCAGCACTCTCTATGATCTTACCCCAGACCTATCTTACTTATTTATATGCTCTACCTTCCCATGAAAATGTTTGAGAATATACATTCTCTGATAAACTTCAACCCCCAACCCTATCTCCATGCCATTATTCAAAAGTAGGAGAAAGAGGCCCAAAGTGGCTAATGGCCTTGTTGTTTGTGGCAGATCTGGGACTAGAATCCTATAATTCTTGATTATCATTAAAGTGCTTTAGTAAATTCAATCTACAATGATGCTTCCAGAATCTATCACTCTTATACTGTGTCCTCAAAGAGATGATAATGAATCAAATCTTGAAAGAAGAGATTTTGATTGAGGAAGTTTGCAAAAAAAGAAAGGTTGAAGAGAGCAGATTGGGGAGCATGAGAGGTGAAGGAGATACACATTAAAACCAAGCCAGTGCAAAAGAACAGCAGGTAGATTGGAATGCAGCTCAATCCTTCCTAGGGCCTGCAAGGTAAGGAAGATGAGGACAGGCAAGATGAGAGAGCATAGAACTAGAGAGTCGAGGCTCCACCACAAAGGTTCAAAAGTTATTTTAAGAACTATTATGCAGGTACAAAGTTGTGTATCTGGACATACCCTGTTTTAGAACTAATAGGAAACAAGTCTAAAAAGTCAGGGTGGTCATGAGAAATAGAAGGGCTTGAAAATTAATTGAGATGTCTTAGTAAAATGTACTTAGATATCATATAGTGCAAACTGATTCTTCTCAAGAAGAGACAATGGCTCCAGAAAGGTTATGAAACTTGCTCAACTTTACCTGGCTGGGTAGACACAGAAAGGAACCAGGTACCTGGCCTCTGTACTTCCAGTTTGGTGTACTTTTCCACTTGTTTTGGGTTAGGGTTAATATAATAGGCAATAAAGATAATGGTGATGTGAAAGTATAGTTTGAGGAGTGAAGTTTGCTAAATGCAGGAAGGACTGGAGTAGAAAGTAAGGGGGAAAACAGATCTACATCTGCTACTACTGCTTCCTGGCCTTACTTTAGAGCCAGGGTTTCTTTGTTGCAGTTACCAATATCACCATCCCCCTTCCCAAGAACCTGATAAATGAAATTTAAAATCAATGCTCTTTGCAAAACTCACCAACTTACCACTCCCACTCACCCTACCCATTACGCCTCCTGCAGATACATCACCTTGCAAACAAGTCGCCGCCTACAAGTCCTCTTGTAACCTCGTGAGCTTGCATAACTTCTATTATAACATCATCGAGTGAAGGCACAGTCAACCACTAGTCATGGTAAAAAGCACCTAGGACATATTTCTGAGCAACTACAGGGCAATTTATTTTCCATCTGCCCAGATCCATGTCAACAGTTCACTTTCTGACTTTTGAAATCACAAAGAGTTTCTGTTGACCAGAATTTATCGAGCTGTTTTAGAAAACACCTAATGTCAGCAAAGGGAACTATTTTTATCACTGCATGTTGTTTAACAGCCCTTGATGGTGATCAAATTTACTGCATCTATAAAAGGCAGGACAACCCAAGAGGCTGAGCCAAGAACTTTGAATTTCTAAAGAACTAAGCATTACACAGCAAAGATTCTAGCTAACACCTCACAAAGCAAGGAATAAATGGTGCCACTAAACAGAAAAGTAAAGGCATAAAGAATTAGGCATATAACCAAACGGGTAAGTATTTAAATTATCTTCTTAATTCTAAGCCCTCCTCAGAGTTTAGTAATCCAGAAAATATTTATTGAGCAGTAACTATGTGCAAGGTTCTGTTCCAGATATTAAGAGGGTCAGTAAATAAATAAATAAGACTTCATCCTTTTCCTTCAAGAGCTCCCAAAATAGTGAGGCACAGAGAGATGTAAATAACTTACCGTAATATCTAATAGGATGTTTTAAGTATTATAATAGAGGTCTAAGCAACATGCTGAAGCTTGCCCAGAGGAATTGACTCTAGAAAGTTTTAAAAGTTTATTATACAAACAAAATTTAACAATTTGCAAGCAATAATGTGGATTAAATCAACTTCTTTTGACTGAAAATTAATTAAAATAACTAAAACTGCAGCCATTTAAAACGCTGACATTTTGTCTACAAGTTTATTACTAGAACAGGGATTTCAAAATGTGAAGGCAATTTTCTGGTAAAAGTTGGCTAGACTCCACCAGAAAGAGGAAAAGGCGTTAGCTCCAATGACTCTTAATTAAGTATTTGTAGGTAGTACTTCTCAGGTAACTGGATTAATATGGGGCCCAAAGCAGGTTTTGCTGTCTGCCATTTTCTTTTTCCTATTTTTGTTTCTAGCCTTCCAACAATTCAGAAATGAGCAATCATCCAATAACAAAGAGAGCCAGAGCCAAATGGATCAGATCGTGGCTAGACTTAGGAGAAGTTATATCACCTGTAGAAAGTTAGGATCTTTGGTTTGGTTGGCTTTCTTTATAATGTAATGGGAGTCATCACCCTTACTGGTTCCATGGGAGCCTGCTAGAGCCTTCTTTTTCATTACACAGTTTAAGAGGGTTTCATTCAGGTCCCCCTCTTCGTATGGATTTCCATTTTTCAAACTGGGAAGTTGGTGGGGGCCTCTGAACAGAGGCCAGTGATTGCAGTGGTAGAACACCAAACCAAGAATGAATGTCAAGACTGATTATTTGAGCAAACTCACTATATGGTACCAATTTGATTATTGCTTTCAATATCATTATTTAACAAATGGCATCTCAAAGAAGGAGAAAACAATATGTAAAGTTTAAGGAACATGCCGGGTGCCGGACGTAGTTGGCACATGGACTAGATGGACACCAAGATGTGGGTTCTAATAAGCCCTGCATCAGTGCTACTAAGGACTTACTTAAAATTGTCCATAAACGTGTGGGAAGAAACACCATTGAGGAGATATTAAAAGGGTACACTAATCACTCATGACTAAAATTAAAGTATAAAAATGGTACAGATAACAACAGCAATATTCAGAAGGTCAGACCTCCCTTAAGACTCCCTTAAGACTCATTTAGCCCATAAGTTGATGACTACTCTAGAGTTAATTTTTCCCCTTGAAGTATTTGTATTGGGTGTCTGGGGAGAGTTTAATACCTACCAATATCATAGTATGCATAGCACTAGAATTGGAGTGTATTTAGACAACTGTAATCCATTTCCCTAAATTGTATAGCTTAGGAAACTTAGGTTCAGAAGATAAAGTATTGCCCAAAGTCACTAAATGTTAGTGCTAGAGCCAGAACTAGAAGTTCAGCATAGACAGAGGAAGCAGGCTGCCTCTGAACCTTTTATTTTCTCCTCAGCCACAGCCCTGTGTCCTGCATGCTCATTATCCCAATGGAATGACACTTACTAACCTCTCCACTGGCCCATAGCATCAGATCCAGAGGGCAGTCTCCAAGTGTGTTCTCTAAAACATTCCACCTTCCTGGAACCCTCTGCTCCATTGAATGGAGCCCCTTTCTCTTAATTTTCTTCTGACTTCTCTGACTCCTTTTTCTCATTCACTATCACAGGTCTCTAAAATGTTGGTCTTCACTGGACTCCCATCCTCAGCCTGCTTCTCTTCTATCTTTGCGTTTACTCCCTGAAACATCTCTGCAGACTTATATGGATCATATGCTAATAATTCCTGGTTATATGCTAATAACTCCTAAAGGAATATCTGTGAGCCAGACTTGACCCCTGAGCTGCTGATCTCCTGGGCATCTCCATGTGGATTCCCTATAGTCATTCAAATTAACATGTCACCAACTTATTTCAAGACACACACACACACACACACACACACACACTCTCTCTCTCTCTCTCTCTCTCCCCCCATCCATGTATCTATCTACAAATGTGTGTGTGTATCGTGTCAGAAATAATATAGTTGTAAAAAGTGCTTTGAGCTTCAAGTTAAAGACACAGGGCCTAAGAAAGGGGGCGAGGCAAAGAAACAAGAAGCAAATGATTCCATCTTGTATATATGGGAGGAGGGGCTGGAACATGGTTCAATTCTTTCGACTCATAATCAGTTAAATGTAAGTTGCAAATTGCTTCAGAAAATAATAGAAAAAGAACAGAAAGAAAACATTAAGAAAATATAAAAAACAAATAACATGAAGCAAGATATCAGAAGTAACATTATTAAGCTATAAACATAATAATGATGAAGAATTTTTAATAACAGGTATGCTATGGTTTTTCATAACATGGGATGCTTAGTGAAATAAAGCAGGCTATGAAATTGCACGCATATGGATCACAACAATGTGTAACATGCCAGGATGTTGACAGGCAGCTGAATGTAATAGTTTTAAATATGTATCTTAGAATCCCGCAGAACAGGACTTGAGTTCCTAATCCACGAAGCACCAACTGTGTGACCGTGAGCCACCTATCAAACCCACTGTGCCTCAATGTCTTCTTCTTTTTTAATTAATATAATAATAGTAGTTTGTTGGTGAAGATTAAGTTAAAACTATCTTCCAGCTTTAGGAAAGTTCCAGGCACAAAGTACATGCTCAATAAGTGGTTACAATGATTACACTATTAACAGCTTGGTAAACAGTATGCCAGTGTCTTTGATTCATTCCCTAAGAGCTCCCTTCGCAAAGCAATATTGGGGACAAAGCTTGGAAGGGAAGTAAGGAGGCCTGAATCCTGGCTCTCCAACTATCAATAAAAAGCTCAGTGATGTTGAGTAATCCACCTGAATGCCCTATGCGACGAGGAGCTGGTCTCAATGCTCCTGCAGGTTCTTTAGAACTCTATCATAATGGTCAGAGGAAGGATAAATAAAAGGAGAAAAACAGTGTCAAACATGGACTCTGGCCCTTTCTTTGTGTTTTGGTTTGCCTTGCCTTCCAGGTTACTCTCTGTAGAAATAAAAGCATGCTGTGGAAATGAAACCACATCATCACCTTTTCTTCTGGAAGAGCCTGCTGATGATGGAGGAGAGAAGGGCACTGCAGGCTCTTTCTACTAAAACCCTGATTAGAAAAGTAAATCAGGCTCTGCCACCTGACCGTGCAATCACCATGTTCAGCATGTAAATGATATGGATTTCCACTTTTATCAAACAATATTCCTTCACCTCCCTTATTCCTCATCAGTAGCAATGGTAGTAAGATCCAAAGTTCAAACATTTTCTTAACTTACTGAATAATTAAAAAATAATTAAAGTTCATTGCTTCACTACTAAACTGGGCCTTTAGCCATTTCTCTCTCTACATTCTGAGGACCAATATTTTATGTCCTAGAGACATATTTGCTACCACCCACAGTGGCAAAGGGACCAGCCAATTACAGCCAGCACCTCTGAGAGAGATGGCACCTCTCCTGGGTTAAGGCCTCAATGATCCAACCAGCAGCTGCTGAGAGACAGACTCTCCGGGGAAGCAGCACAGTGGTTGGAAGACGGCAGACAAAACTGGGCTACAAAGTGGCTGAGTTTGTTTTTAATAACTATGATGAAATGACACACTAATGGGATAAAACAATTTTTAATGCAACGAATCTGGAGAAATAAAAGAAGACCCTGCAAACCCTTAGTTAGATGTTACAGCCAAAGCACAAAGAGTAGGGAATGAATTAGGGGTCAAAACTCTGGAATCTCTCCTGCCCAACAGACAAATAACAGTTCTTAATTTCCTCTGGCAGGAGATTGATGATCACATCTGAAACAACAAGAAGAATTTGTGAGCTGTTTCCAAAGCAGATGGAGAGGGACCGCACTTCAGACTAAGTCTAAAATTCCATCTATCTTGACAAAAGCTTGCTAACCGACTGAAGGATGAACCTCTGCTCAGTAGGCCAGGCATAAAAGAGGCTATGACAGGAATGGTGAGAGAGTTTCTTAAATAATAAAGGCAGACAGGGACACCCATTAGTTAGTCCAAACCTCAAAGAGATAGGGCACAAGCATAGCCACAGTTTCGATTATGTAGTTCAAAGTCCAGAAAAATGAGTCCCCTGCCCCCACAAAAAAAAAAAAATAAAGAAAAGACAAATGATAGAGGTACCAATTTTAAAGGCTTTTAGAATTCTAACATGCAGATTGCTTCAGTAAGAAATTCTAGATTTCAATAACCTGCAGACTAAGGCCACTTGGGATATTTATTCTGGGTTTCTGGTATCCAACCAATATAAGAATCTATTTAGTTCCTCTAATTTCATTTTCCTTCAGACTTCAGGCCTTATTAAATCCTGGATATCCACCTACATAATCTAAGTTACAGATGCTTATGGGTGAGTGTTTTGTACGTGCCAAAAAAAAATTCATTCAGAAGGGATCTGAAAGTTGGACGTAAACAACCCAAGAAAGATAGCACAGAGAATTCTAAAAAGGAAGAATGGAAAAACAAGGTTTGAGGAGGTAGAAGATTCTGATTAGGAAAAGTAAACAAAAGAGAGAGAGAGAAAAGCAGAAGACGTGGCACTATCTCCTCCATCCAAAAGGATAGACTTGTTGGAGATAAGCTACCGGTCTGGCTCACTGACATCCTTTAAGGTCTGTAAGTGGTGGTCAGCAGTCAGTTCCAAGTTAGTCAGGTTGGGGAGGTTCACACAGGAGGTCTGGAATAATTGATTACAGAGAATGGTAAGGCTTTAAGATGTCTGAGAGGTTAATTGCTCCAATCTTCTCCTTTCATAGGCCAGGAAAGAGAGGTTTAAAAGTACTGGTCAAAGCGGTACAGCAAACACAGTTATTATGAGTGCTATTGGCAACAGGGAGTCCAAAGCTTCCCAATTTAATGTTCTTGTGCCTATTGGACATCAGCAGGGATCAGCTTATGCACCTCATTCTCATCTTCATTATTTGAACTGTCTGCAGCTTTAGAAGAGCTTTCGAATGTCATCAAGATCTTAAAGCTTTCTCCATCCTTCCCTTGCAATGTGCCCCTTTATATTGGTTCTTTCTCATTTTTACTACTTCTTCATTGCCTTATGGTGCTGGGCACAGTATAAAACTCACTAAACGACATTCTATCAAGGAGGAGATGGTCACCAAAGATCCGAAGTATTCAGTGAAATATTTCCCATTTGGAATGTAAGATCCTGGGCAGAGATAAGTGGAATTGTATTTCCAAGGACATACTAAGGTACCATAGGCCTTGATTCTTATCTTAGACAATCTAGTGTCTCAGGGTCTCAGAGGTTCTGCAATTAACCAGTTAATGTAAGTGGCCTGGAGCTAAGGCTAGGGAATATGTGCAGATGCCAGAAGTGGTGCCTGAGTAATCCTTTCCTTTGCACAGTGCTTACTTCTTGCAAAGTGATTCTAGATCTAGCATCATGCCTAATGCACCCAAGAGGATCCTTCAATGCTCAGTGAGCTGTAGAGAGCAACATCAAATTTATGACATGTCCTGTTTGTGGTATTATGACATCATCACCACCATCTAGTTTTTGGTTTTGGCTTCCTAAGAGCTATTTATTCATTTGAGCGCAACTACTGAACAGGTCCATACTTGGCCTTTGTAGTGATTTGACAAAGACCTACATCCAATGCTCTGATTATTTTCTATATTCAAGTTATGCCCAATTCATTTGTTCAGTTTTCATTAAACAAGTTATTTCTGTACCAGCAAAAGGTCAATTTAATTGCAACAATAACCTTGAAAAAGACAATCCAATCAATACAATTGTATGTGCACTAACATTTACCTTGCTACTTCCAATAGCAAATTGCAAACAGTAGCAATTAACAGCAATTTATTTCTGCTTTCAATAACTCCCTCACTTCCCAGCCCCATTAAATAAATTCTTGTGAGACCATTCACAAACTGGGTCTTGAAATCAGCAAGCATTTGATGCTGGGATGGGCACTAAATGTGGGAAACAGGTAGCCCTCTATCTGAAGGAGTGCCCAATCTACTTAGAGAGGCAAGATATAAACAGGTAAAAAGTTAAATCATAGGCCAAGCATGGTGGATCTCGCCTATAATCCCAGCACTTCAGGAGGCCCAGGCGGGCGGATCACGAGGTCAGGAGATCGAGACCGTCCTGGCTAACACGGTGACACCCCGTCTCTACTAAAAATACAAAAAATTAGCCGGGTGTGGTGGTGGGCACCTGTAGTCCCAGCTACTCGGAAGGCTGAGGCAGGAGAATGGCGTGAATCCGGAAGGCAGAGCTTGCAGTGAGCCGAGATTGAGCCACTGCACTCCAGCCTGGGCTACAGAGTGCAAAAAAAAAAAAAAAAAAAAAAAAAAAAAGTTAAATCATAATCACAGTTTTAAATGGTTGTTCAAAATTAAAAATAAAAGAGATGTCATGAAGTACCACCTCATTAGCTGTCAGATTAATAGGACAGAAAACAGTTGTCATAGGGAGTCAGGGGAAAGAGAGGTCCCTATAGGCTTTGATGGTTTCATGAGTCTTAGAGAAGGGGCAGGAATGTACACACTGAATGACAAGCAGGAATGGGATGGGAAAAAGCAAGAAAAATATGTGAGGAAAGGCATAGAAGGCAGAAGTGAAATTGATGTATCTGTGGGACTATAAGGAAAATAACCTAATAGAAGACTGGTTATATAAAGACTCGTTGTGAATGTGATCTAAATATTCACCCCCTGGTTAAAATATTTCAAAGCAAAGAATGTGAAAATGAAAGTGATACAATTTTAGGGAAAGTACTAATAACCACTTCAGCTACAGGTAGCTTTCCAAAATACATGCTAGTAAAACAAATGATTAGGAATATGCCCTAAATCAATATTTTACATAGGCTCTCATGTTTGCCAATGACTCGAATAAGAGAGAGTTCACTGACAAAGAATTTGCAAAGAACAAAGCTGGTTCTGAACACTGCAGCCTGTGCAGGTTATTCTCAGAAACTTCAAGTAATAACAATACACATTTTCAGCTCAGCTGCCCCGGCTTTCCAAACCAAATGCTGCCTTGAGATAATGAATTCAAAAAGGGGAACTCGACTGTGAACACTTTGCAAGGTTCAGCAGCGTGGAAAATCCTTTTGTGCACTTCATAATTTTCTGTTTGTTTTAGTGTCTGAACAATAAAAACGCCCGCTTTGTCACATGCACATAAACTAGTTTTTGGGGCAGGTGAAGAGTCTCCCACCTGGCTCTCGCTTGTAGGTCTGCTAGATTTTCCATGTGGATTTTCGTATTTCTCTGTTGAGATGTGTGATATGGAAATGACTACAGAAACTCACAATATTTCTCTCTGAGCACCATGCTGAGGATGGTTAGATCTGGGATAAGTAAGCCCCAGAGCCGAGATCCCAATGACCCTAAGATACTGCCTGGTTATATGATTTTAAGATGTACGAAATGAGAGAAGTATTCGGTTGATGCAAAAATAATTGTGGTTTCTTGACGTTACTTTTAATGGCAAAACCCACAATTACTTTTGCACTAACCTAACAAAAGAGGTGCTATTGTCTGAAGCCTGACTTAGCTTCCTTATACTGTGGACTTGTTCTGTTTGAGCAGTGTTATGTGGACCATCTGAGTCTAAGTTACTTCACGTGCCCAGGCCAGTAGTTATGAATTCCTTAAATAAAAATCTGCTCCATGAACAAAACGCTTGACTAGAACCAGGCTTCCCCAGGAGGTAGTGAGCCTATGGGCACTTGTGTTCTGAGAAAAGGTAGAAGGGAATTCTGCTCTAGGCATTTGGGCTAAATGACTATGGTCAGAACCACTTTTCTCTTTGTTAAGAATCGTCTAAGGTAGATTTTTCTATCTCTGAACATCACATGTTAGTCAATCTACAAATAACATGTACTGGATTCTGTAAAAAGAAAGACAAAGCATATGTACTTTCCTTTCTTCCTTTATAATAATGGCCAGAAATTTTGATCCACATTAATTTATTACACCACGGTTCTGACAAACACTATACTGCAAAAGTTCTTCTTTAGTTATTTGTAAGCTCACAAAATAGATAGTTTCTCTTCATGTTAGGTCATTAATATCCCTTGGTCTGTGTTTTTCTTCTTCGTCCAGCCAAAACCTTGACTCTTTGATGTGTGGCCAGAGATGAGGCCACGTTTGATGCAGATGGCCCTGCAGGCTGCTGCATTGATGTCCCCTAGTAGAAACTGCAGCAAAAGCCAGCCAGGATGTGGAGGAATTGGGACTCTCAGTCAGTGGGAATATAAAATGGTACAGCCTCTTTGGAAAAGGGTTTGGTTGTTCCTTAAAAAGTCAAACATACTCTTTCATATAAACCTATTCTAGGTACCTACCCAAGAGTAGCTATTCTACTCCTACATATTTAACCAAGGGAAATGAAGGCATGCAAAAACTTGTACACAAATGCCCCTAGCAACTTTATTTGTTATAGTTCCAAGCTGGAAACAACTCAAATGTCCATTATCCAGGTGAATGGATAAACAAACTGTAGTATATCCACACAATGGAATGCTGCTCAGCATCCATCACCATCGATACACGATGCAATGTAGATAAATCCCAAAATAATCCTGTTGACAGAAAGAAGCTAAAACAAAAAGAGTGCATATTGTTTGATGCCATTTATATAAAAGTCTAGAAAATACAAACTAATATATACTAACAGAAAACAGATCAGTCGTTGCCTGGAGATGAGAGTGGGATGTGAAGGGGGTGCAAATAGCCCAAGGAAATATTAGGGCGTCATGGATCTTTTCATCATCTTGATGGAAATGATTATCTCGTGGAAACCATCAAATAAAAAGCTTATCAAATTGTTTATTTTAAATATGTGCAGTTTATTAGATAACAATTATATCCCAATAAAGCTGATTTTACAAAAGATGTGAAAAACAGCTTAGAAGAAAAAGGAAGACACAGGAATTCCCCCTTAGTGTCTGTGGGATGACCCCCATAATGTTTCTTACTACTCACTACTGAAATAAAAATTTAAACCAAATAACATGCTCATGTCTGAAGAAGGAAATTCATAAAATAGCATTCTATCTGAACATGTTGGTCTCTTCTCTAAACAACCTGACCGATACTTGTGGAGTCACCCTCTAGCTCTTGACCTAGTTCTGATCTGCATTTGGGCCTGTGTTCAAATGACTTCTGTTTTGCACCTCCAGAAACTGTTTCTGGCCCTTTGCTGCTCCCTCCGCCTCTCTCCTCCAGTGGTCCTAGTGAAAACCCATAGCCTGGACCCTGGTGGCAGCATAGCTATTCTGCTCCATCTAGCAGGATCCCTGCAGAATGAAGAAAACACACCACCCAGAGTTACCATCAAGAAGAGAGAACAGACCCAGGCTGGCAGAGGAACAGCTCGGGCCAGACTGCTGTTCAGCTGCCCTATCTGGATAAGGGAGGCATCTGGGGAGATGGAGCCAAACTCTGAGTGGGAAATGCCATTGTTTGAGTTGACACTTAGACAGTGAGGGCTGGGACAGATGTAAACGTTTCCTGCTGCAGCGCAAAATGGAAAGATCACAGGAGGCTGGCACCTTTGATTTGGCTCTTACAGTACCACAAGGAAAGCCAGCAATGCCAGGCTATTTTTAATGCTCAAAGAGCCTAGCAAAAGATTTATGACTACAAATATGTAGTGTGGGAGAGATAAATTGAAGCAGGACTCTCCCAGCTCCAACAGAGGAGTCAGCCTGCCAGCCTGGTCAATAAAGTATTTAAGCCCTGAGTGCTGTGTGGGTTGTCATAGATTAAAATTTGAAAATCTTTTATGGTGTAACAAGGTCCTTAATTATAACTCTGAGCTTTGGATCATTTTCAGGTTGTGCAAACAGCAAGAGTTATGCCACAGTGAACATCCTTGGATACAATAGCCTTTCAATCCAATGTCCATGAGAGAAAACACTCAATTCTCAAGTTCAGAATTATTTTCCTGGAATAAAGGAATCTGAGAGATTTCCACCATAAAATCTTCTCCAGTCTCAGTTGTACTTGGTATTATTTCTCTCTTTTATGGAATTCAGAGAATCTAATGAGCTGACGGAAGTTTCACGGTGATTTTGTTTTCAACTGTTTTTCTTTTGTCACTCAATATTGCTAAAACATTCTTTCTAAAATTTAAGATTCATTATGAGTTAACTTGCTGTGGATTTCAGCTGCTGATGAACTTCTTTGGCTGACAGTTATTAAATCAACAACCTCTCTTGGAAAAAAAGGAGTCTTGAGTCGGTAACTAATAGGACTTGAATAGCAAAATATTTAACTATCATCAATAGATTATACTAAAGTAGTTTTGATTCTTGAAGAATATCTGGCATTAATCTACAGCAAAGTTAACCTTATCCTTAGGCTCAGTGCTTGGGACTGACTTCTAGATCCAACTGCCATATAATCAGATAATCTCAGAATATCATTAACCTAGAGTTAGTTAAATGCCCTATACAGATGAATTTATCTTATAAAATAGAAATTATGTATAGGCCTAAATATAACAAAGATGATAGATAGATAGATAGATAGATAGATAGATAGATAGATATAATAGATGCATTGATAGATAGATGGAGATACAGATGTATAGATATATATGGCATTTTATATACAGGAATGTAAGAAGGGTGTTCATGGACCTGTATAGCTCATAATGAATATATATATCTAGGCCCCAGATGAATCTTAATTTATAAAACAGAAATGTTCCTAAAATGCTTTAAAGTAATAGAATCACTGTGCCATCTAGTAGCTCCTCCTCCTTCCTCCCTCAACTGACTCTACTTACCATTTACAAAGAAACTTCCAAAATTGTTTGATGAAGTTTTTGTTTAACCTATATGTCTCAATTTTCCTGGTCACTGAGTAAACAAATACTGCAGTGCATTAGAAGTACTCCTGATTAAAAAAAAAAGGACTCCATAAAATCAATCACATTTGCAGTGAAAATAATTTCCAGTTGGTTAGATATGAATTTGTGAAGATGGGATACTTTTACAACTGGCCCTTTAAATGTGAAGGCAGATTGAATAGGACAAAGTGGGTGTCCTGACCGAATTAGAACTCCTTCACCTGCCTGAATTGGCAGCCGACTTCCATGCTAACTTCCCCATTTTTCCAACCTTGTCAATTGAACTCAGGGAATTTAGGGCAGTGGGAAGGGCATTCATGGACCTGTCTGGCTCCTAAAATGCCACCCAGCCTCAGAGTTCTAACTATATTCACATGTAAAGTAAAGGGCAAATTCCTGAATATACATACCCTGATGCTACTTCAGAAAATGTACCCAACACATCCATGTTTTACATTATATGTTAACTCCCTCAAACAGTTAAATCCTGTCTCTTCCTAAAAACCCAGGTTGAACCTTGGCTCCACAGTGAAGATTTTAATGATCTTACATTCCCATATGAGATCTTCTTGCCTCTATACCTATAAATTACACTATGGTATTAATGATGAAGGAGCAAAAAAAACAGAATCATGTAACAGAGAGAATTTTTTTCCCGGGGTTATTAATGCTGTGTGGGAAGGAAAGAGAAACAAAGATTTGGACACAAAATGAGTACGAATATATGTTAATGTACCATGGGAGCCAAAGAGATTGGGTGGGTTTCACAGGGCTATACTCGAGAGATAATTTGAGCAAGTAATCTGGTGAGAAGGAGTGGGACTACGGTGCACATATCTGTGGAGATGGCTGGAGGCAGGAATAGCAAGCAATTTCCGTGGAAACATTAAAGATTGAGTGTTGCAGGGGAAACACAGGGTACTAGCATTAACACCATAGAAGTTCTCAAATCTGGGTTGAGTTCAAGTTATTTTGTGTATTCTCTAAGATATCCTAAAGCCAAGGCCAAGTGATGACTTATGTTGTTGATCATTATTTCATGTGTGTCTTAGAGTCACCACTTAGATTGGACAGGGACTTTGTTCATCCTTCTCTAATACCTTCCATTGGGATGAACCAGAACTCAGCTCACTGAGGGTGTTCAATACTCATTGCTGGGTTCTCTGAGTACCACCTAAGAGGTATGTAGGATGCCCATATGGTAGTCCCCACTTATGCACGCTTTCACTTTCCAGAGTTTCAGCTAACTGTGGGCAACCATGGTTCAATGACATGAAATGGAAAATTTCAGAAATAAACATTCACACAGCTTTTATTACAGTATATTGTTATGACTTTGTTTTGTTTTGTTTTGTTTTTTGTTTTTTTTTTTGAGATGGAGTCTTGCTCTTGTTGCCCAGGCTGGAGTGCAATGGAGCGATCTCGGCTCACTGCAACTTCTGCCTCCCAGGTTCAAACGATTCTCCTGCCTCAGCCTCCCGAGTAGCTGGAATTACAGGCACATGCCATCACGCCTGGCTAATTTTTGTATTTTTAGTAAAGACGGGGTTTCACCATGTTGGCCAGGCTGGTCTCGAACTCCTGACCTCAGGTGATCCACCCACCTCAGCCTCCCAAAGTGCTGGGATTACAGATGTGAGCCACCACGCCAGGCCATAACTATTCTATTTTATTATTAGTTATTGTTGTTCATCTTTTACTGTACCCGATTTATAAATTAAACTTTGTCATAGGTATGTATAGAAAAAAATAGTGTATAGAAAAAAAACAGTGTACTATTAGACCTCCACTGCGGGGCTTGGAACGTATTCCCCGTGGATAAGAGGGGGGCTATTGTATTTGCTTCAACTTAACAAATATATTTATACATATGCCCACACACTACATACAATCACAAACACACTCCCCACACACATACACAAACATCCCCACATGATACGTAAATGACTTTCTGACAATCACCCAAGTTTCGCATAGCTAAGCTGGGGGTGGTTACCCAGGTCTCAACTCTAGGCCAAAAGCTATTTTCAGCACTGAAATTCTCCCAGCATGAGAGCACTCTTCAGAGTACATCAAAAGTAGTATCTCATGGAAGAACTTTATCTAGAACAGACGTCTTAAAAATAGCATAATAATTGTAATCTTTAAATACACACATGGATGGAAGACGTAGAATTGGTTACTATATTCAATTATCCTCATACTCAACTTCATCTAATCCTGAGCTGGATGAATTGTTTAAGTGAAAAATTATGTTGTCTTCAGGCTAAAAATCTTCCCCTGCTCTGAAATATTTTACGCCCCCTCTTAACATTTTTATAACAATTAGCTTCTATTGTGAATACGGACTATATTAAGCCTCCCAGCCGACAGATCAGCATGTTGTTCCCCATTCTGCCACTAGGTGGCCGGTAGTAATTGATCTGATTTATCCCTGTGGCGTGAATTCCCAGGAGTGAGACTTAGAGACAATTCCGGATGTTTCTACCGTGTTGATGTCCTGTGGGGAAGCCAGTTTTACTTTACTTACCCTAATGACTATGTCCCTTCCCCCATTCCATCCCTCTATTTCTCTTTCAGAGCAAAGTGCTCTTTAACTTTTACGCTAGCTTCAGGATGTTTCATAAGCAAAGAGGTTCACTTTCTTCCAGTTAAGCTATGGGACTTGTCAGGAACTGTTTCATGTTCTTATTTTCTCTGAGTGAGCTATCATTATGCAGGGGCCTCTCTGCAGGCTGTCTACAAAATCTCTTTCACATCTGCATGGTTAACATCCTCCGTACTTCTCCTCCTCATTCCCTTTCCCAGCTTCATAATAAAAAGGCACATCAGCCTGTAACAAACTCTTGTCAAGACTCAAGGGCTTCTAATTAATTCCTTGTAATGTTATTTCTTATATCAATTAACTCCTGGGGAACCAGCAACTCCCTGTCAAGGCCAGCTCTTTACAACTGCAGAGTGGAAGTCTTTCTGTGCAGGAAGTGGCTACATGAACTCGACTGCACAACGTGCTGTCAGCCCCTCCTTGCCTGCCATGCCGCCATTCCCCTTGCCCTGGAGCCTCAAATGATCTTGAGTAAAGTCATTCCTTGAGGTCACAGAGTCATAAATGGACTTTTATTTCTGGATTCTCCTTGTGAGAATGCACTATTACAGTCCAGAACAGTGCTGGAGCCAGGGGAGGGAGTCTTACCAGTTCCTTCCTCTAGATGAGGTATGCTCATTCCTTAAAGCTTGTCCTTGGACGGCACAGATACCTAAATGTAGCTTTAAGAGACACGTCAGGGGAGTGGCTAGGGGGAGCAAGAAAAAGAAGTGTCAACTTAGAGAAGGTGCTGGACCAAGAAGAGTTGTCACCAACTGGGTATCCAGAATGAGCACCTTAGGAGAGGGTCCAGGCAGCCCTTCAATGAAGGGCAGGTTGAAGACCAACTCAACCCACCACCACTTTGCCCAGGATATAGAGTCTTCATAAAGCAAATCCTTTCATTTTCTTGCTTCATTTCCCAATCCTGAGTTTCATATTCAGGACAGAATTTTAAGAACTCATGCCTATGAAACATCAATGCAGATCCTTAGAACCTTGTAGTTGGAGGAGGTATTTAAAGTCTTGTTGCCCAGGGTAGGGCTATGCAGGTGTCTGTTCCACAGGTGCTTCCTCTGGCATCCAGTCTCACTAGCCCCTTCCACTGTGAAGGCCTGGCACATTTTGGAGTTAACAATGGTAACAAAAAAGGAACAAGAGTACCTCTCCTACTACTATTGCCAAGAACCACCACTGAGAAAACACAACAGTCAGTCTTTAGGTTTCCTTACACCTATGTATAGATGCTCCTCAACTTACAATGAGACACATCCTAATACACCCATCGTAAGTTGAAAATATTCTACATTGAAAATACATTTAATACCCTGATAAACCCATCCTAAAGTCAAAATATCATGCATTGAACCATTGTAATTTGGGTACTGTATGTATTTTGAACAAACACATTATTCAATTTTTTAGCAAAAATGCAGACATTTAGTAACATATCCAAGGTAACCACATTGGATATTAGCAGGGCTGGGACCAGTGTCTCCATATGCTTGACTCAATCATATAGAATATTCCTTCTCTTGTATGACTTGTAAGACACTTATTCTGAACTCATGTCTTTGTGGCTGTGTTTTCTGATCTAAGGATGAGGTTACATGGACTGACAATGGGAAGGGATCCTTGAAATTTCAGGGTAGTACCAGCTGTTGAGATGACACAAATGAAAACTGTGCATTTCTTTCAATATGTTACTGCTTTCTCTCTTAAAACAGAGGTTTGAAAAAGCTTCCTTCTCTTTGCTTTCCCTCTTAAAACAGAGGTTTGAAAAAGCTTCCTTCTCTTTTGTAGTGAAAAAGTCCATGGAGCCTATAAATTGGTGCCATCTCACATTTAATAGTGAGGAGAAGCCTACCACCATTGTGGATTCTCTGTGTCTGATTAGCCACAATGTTTTCCTTTTTGGGAATGAGCCCAGGAAAACTATTTCACTTATCCTAGTGATTTCACAGACATAAGGCTCCTTGACAGATAAATAAAAGCAAGTTCAAGTTCACTTGTGCAAACAGACAATAATCTATAGGCCTACTTTACTGTATTTTTAGACTGACTAGTTGTTCACTGAATCCATTTTCCTTTCCTCCTGCACACACTAGTAGATTACATTTCCCAGTATCCCTTGTGACAGACTGCTGCCTGAGTCTTCATTTGCAAGCAGGATAGGGAGGACTACAAGGCACTAAGTAATGAGAAGGCACAAGATGGAAAAAAGGCTAAGTAACAGTATGACTCTTTGGAAGAGACCACCCATCTCCCTCACTGCACTGCACTGATTTGACCAATAACGTCAACTCTCTTGAGAACTTCAGTGCAAGATACAGAAAGTGGGATTGCCATCATCCGAACGAGCAATCCCATTAATGGGTATATACTCAGAGGAATACAAATCACTCTACCATAAAGACACTTGCACACAAATGTTCAGTGAAGTACTATTCACAATAGCACAGACATGGAATCAACCTATATGCCCATCAGTGACAGACCAGATAAAGAAAATGTGGTACATATAAACCATGGAATACTACACAGCCATAAAAAAGAACAAGATCATGTCTTTTGAGAGAACATGGATAGAGCTGGAGGCCATTATCCCTAGCAAACTAATGCAGGAACAGAAAACCAAATACTGCATGTTCTCACTTATAAGTGGGAGCTAAATGATAAGAACTCATGAACACAAAGAAGGAAACAACAGACATTGGGGTCTACTGGAGGGTGGAGGGTGGGAAAAGGGAGAGCAGCAGACAAAATAACTATTGAGTACTGGGCTTCATACCTGGGTGATGAAATAATCTGTATAACAAACCCCCATGACACAAGTTTACTTATGTAACAAACCTCACGTACCCCTGAACTTAAAATAAAAATTTTGAAAAAATCAGAGAAGCAGTAGAAACACAGGAAGCCACTGATGTGCATTTATGGTGCGACCCTAAGGTAAGTGGGGTGATCAAGAGACTAACACCAGGTACTTGATTCTTCACTGGACTGTGTCTGTAATTCTCCCCTAAGGTGGGGGCAGGGCTCCTCTGGGTTTTCATGAGGCTCAGGCAAATGGGAGTGATCCCAATCTTCTTCTAATAAACTTTCACTCCCTGAATTAACCTGTGTGAGTCTCTGTTTCCTGCAACCAAAGGACTCTCCCAACTGACACAAAGGAGCCAGCAGCCACTTGTTCTCTCCTGCTTCCCACAACTTCCTCAGTCAGTATCTGTGCCACTCACCAGCCAGGCAGCCCCACACTTGGCCTTGACTGGCATCTACTGTTATTAGTGTTTGCAGTGATTGATAGTTCCTTCAAGAGCAGAAACAGCCCGAATACTTGGAAAAATCTCCTAGAGTGTTTAGTACAGTGTCAGGCTCTCCATTCACACAGAATTGCAGTGTTGTTTTCAGGGTTTATGGTTCCTAGAGTTAATTATGGAAATCCCTCTTTTATGGGGAAGAAGTGTGTTAAGCTTAACTCTATGTACTAAACAAACTTACTTTCATATATGCATATTTGAACATTTAAAATATTATTAAAGTAACAATGGACAAATATGAAAAAAATCACAAAGCTTAAAAAGGGAGTTACTAATCTTCAGAATACTAGTTCATTCTAAATTTTAATAAACATAAGAATTGGGTTTGGCATCAGGCATACCATATATCAACGAATGTAGTGCAAATTTTATAAACAAGTGATTAGATAGCCTGCAGGCCAAATCAGCAATCACCTTTCTTTGGTAAGTAAATATTTATCAGACACAGCCACACCCATTTATTTGTTATTGTTTATGGATCTTTATGGCTGAGTTAAATAGTTGTGACTGAAACTGGCCTACAAAACTAAAAATATTTACAAGCTAGCACATACCAAAAAAAAAAAAATCTGCCAACTTTTGGAATAGAAGAAATATTATATTAACCATTCCCCTGTCTTCATAATATTTCTCAGTACTGTGTCGTCTTTCTTCATTCCTTTTATTTCCCCTCTGATCTACATACTCAATCCTGCTCCTCTCAACTGCAGCAGTATCCTCCAATTCAACTCCTATCATCCATTCCTCACCCTCTTGCCTGAGACTTTGCCTGTGGTAATCTCTTCTGTAAGACTTTATCAGCCGAAAAACTCTTGATAGCATCAATCCAGCATTCAAAATGACAAGATCCCTGCTTTACCTTTGAGAGGTCATGAGTAAAAGAACCCTTCCCAAAGGAAGATTATAAGAGTATAATGAAAGATTAGTGAAATATTAACTAAAGCACTTTTCCTAGAAGCCACCAAAAAGAATTAGAGGTGTTAGGGTGGGGGAAAGGTTCTACGAAGATTAATACCTTCTAACATTTGTGCTTCCTCTATATGCAATATTTCCCTTAAAGTATAGTGAGACCTGTAATCCCTGTAGTTTGGGAGGCCAAGGCAGGTGGATCACTTGAGGTCAGGAGTTTGAGACCAGCCTGGCCAACATGGCAAAACCCTGTGTCTACTAAAAATACAAAAATTAGCTGGGCATGCTGGTGCGTACCTTGGGAGGCTGAGGCAGGAGAATTGCTTGAACCAGGGAGGTGGAGGTTGCAGTGAGCCAAGATGGTGCCACTGCATTCCAGCCTGGGCGACAGAGTGAGATGCCATCTCAAAAAAAAAAACAAATAGTGAGTCTATTAGTATCCTTTATTTGGGCATGAGGGTGCAGGAAGATTGTAAAAATCTACTTAGTCAAAGTAGTGATACTAGCTAACACATATTTTATTTACCACTTCTATAGTACTTTGAAGATCAAAAGAACTAGATATAGCCTCCTACAAGGACAACACTTAATATTATGAGAAATCTTTCCTTGTTCTGACATGTAATGAAATACTTCTTCAAAGCTATTAACCCAAAGTCTAGGTGGGATTGCCTGAGTGAATGAATATGGCATTCAATCCCTAACTTAGTGGGTGTCCTAAAGGTATGGATGATATTTTGCTGTGCAGATATTTCTCCATGGCTGTGTTTCCAAAATCTGACTGCTAATTGTCATCACTCATAAAGAGATGCCTTTTCTAGCAAAATATGATAGCATTACCTCAAATCCATGTCAATATAATTAAGTTTTAGTCTGTCTGTCACATCACAGATAATGGCTGAGTGGATTTTCATTAAATTTGGAGGCTATGTGTCATATGCTAAAATTAATTTGGGGGACTGATAGAAGGGGGAATGCCACAAAAGAGGGCAGTTATTCTCCAGAGCAGCTGCAATTGAGATAAGATGGAAGGTTTAGAAGCTTTGCATGTAGAAGAGACAGGCCATAAGTATTAAAATGCCATGACAGAGAAAACAAGTAGTGTCTTCAAATGAGTCTCAAATCGACACTTCCAGGGGGCATCTGCTCTTTTTCGGTGGGATTGCTTCTCACATGGGCAACTTTGTGGAAGAGCACTCTGCTGTGCACCTCAGCAGACATTTATTTCACAATAATTCACAATTTTTGCAACACTACCAAGGCCAGAGTCCTCAATAATTTAAAGAAGATACTCTGTATTTTATTACTTAGGTATGCAGACCTACAGTTACCATTACCCAGGTTCCTACTGAATTTTCAGGGTGGCAGTTCATAATCCATCAAGGATGTCACGAAGCAACTAAAGAGTAATTCTCTTTTCTCTGATATCTGACAGGCAACAGTCACAGAATATTTTAGGAATAAAGTAGATGAATTGATCTTTCTTGGTCACTTAACCAGCAAGTGAAATGGAAAAAATAAACATGATAAAGTTAGAAAAACTAGGCTGAATCCCAGCTGGCTACAAATCAGCTTTGGTGAACCTTTCTCATCTTTGATTGCATCATGTGTAAGTTGAGATGAACACGACCCCTTTTTGGGTCAGTCAAGGTTGTTTGGTTATAGGAAGTAGAAGCCATCCCAAGCTATCTAACGAAGTGACATTGGAACTCAAGGGCAGGAAGGTAGGGGCCATTCCTCATGTGAGACCTGAACCAAGGGCAGAAGGTCTGGCTTTCCGGGATGCTTTGGACTCCAAGACTGTGTCCCACTTTGTTTCTGCCCAGAAGTTTTCTTTACTCTGCACATGGCACAAAAATGGCCACTCCAAGCTTGCAATCCATCCAACATTCCAGTTAACATGCTCACTGATAATTTCTGTATCAGATTCACAATCAGATAATCTGATTGCTCAGCCCAGATTACCTCTAAGTCAGCCACTCACTCCTGGCCCAAGTCAGGACTGGGTATGGGAGATGAAGAAGGAGAAGGGTGGGGAAAGAGGTTACAATTTCTAAGTAGAGCTGCCAAAACTAGTGTTAACAAAAAAAAAAAAAAAAAAAAAAAAAAAAAAAAAAAAAAAAAAACAAACAAACAAACAAACAAACAAAACCCAAATTCTGTAAAATATTTGAAGAGATTTATTCCAAGTCAAATATGAGGACGATGACCTGTAACATAGCCTCAGGAGGTCCTGGGAACATGTGGCAAAGTGGTTGGGTTACAGCTTGGTTTTACATGTTTTAGAGAGACTTACGATGTTAATCAATACATGTGACGTATACATTGGTTTGGTCCAGAAAGGTAGGACAACTTGAAGTGAGGGCTTACAGTTCACAGGTAGAGTCAAAGATTTTCTTGCCAAGATTTGCAATTGGTTGAAAGAGTTAAGTTATTATCTAAAGACCTGGAATTGATAGAAATGACTGTCTGGCTTAAGATAAGGGGTTGTGGAGACCAAGGGTCTTATTATGTAGATAAAATCTCATAGGTGGCCACCCTTAGAGGCAATAGATGGCAGATGATTTCTATTTAGACCTTTAAAAGGTGCCAGACTCTCTGGAAAAAAAACTAGTAAGGGAAGGAGATTCTCTACAGAATGCAAATTTCTTCCATAAGAGACAGCTGTGCAGGGCCTTTCTAAAATATGTCAAAGAAATATATTTTGGGGTAAAATACTTTGATTTCCTGCGGGGCCTGCTGTCTGTCATGTGATGCTATACCAGTGTCAGGTTGGAATTTGGGATCTTATTGCCACAAAGAGCCTCTTTTGTCATTCTTAAGGTCTCTCTTTTAATGTTAATGTTGGTCAATTGTGTCTAACCTCCAAGAGGAGGAAAGTATAATGAAACATGTCTGACCCCTCCTTCCCATCATTGCCTAAAATAGTTTCTCAAGTTTTCTTTGGGTTCTCTGGGACCTGAAGAGGGGTCCACCCAGCTGATTGAGAAACTTATAATTTTATATTTGGTTTACACTGGACAGTAGAAATTGCCTAAGAAGGACAGTGCCTTGCCTGATCAGTGGGAAGATGACCTGAGGCATGTATGTATGAATGCCGTACCATCACAGGCAGTCTCAGAGGTGACGCTCTGAACCACTGTGACTGAGCTGGATGATCAGAATGGATTCAAACACCAGGAACAGGCCGGGTGTGGTGGCTCACACCTGTAATCATAATACTCTGGGAGACTGAGGAGGGTGGATCACCTGAGGTCAGGACTTCAGACTGAGATCAAGAGACCAGCCTGGCCAACATGGTGAAACCCTGTCTCTACTAAAAATACAAAAAAATTAGCGGGGGATGGTAGTGCATGCCTGTCATCCCAGCTACTTGGGAGGCCGAGGCAGGAGAATCACTTGAACCTGGGAGATGGAGGTTTCAGTGAGCCGAGATCATACCACTGCACTCCAGCCTGGACGACAGAGCGAGATTCTGGCCCATAAAAACAAAACAAAACAAAACAAAACAAACACCAGGAACACAATCATTCTACGTCTGCTTCTGCACTGTGTTAACTGAGAGGAATTTGGCTAAAAGTAAGATAATGTCCAATTCAACCTAGCATAAAGAATGAGAATCTTTATTGGCTGACAGAATAAAAAGTACAAAGGTAGAGCAAGCTTTGGGAATGAACTCTACCTAGTAGCTCCAGTTTTGGATCCCTGGAATTCTCTGTGATTTCCTTATGTGAGCTTCATCTTCCTCTGGATAACAACAAAATAGCTGCAGTGGTTCCAAGCCTTGTGGCCACATGACAATGCCCAGGAGAAGAGTGAAAACATCTCTTCTTGTGGCTTTCTCTGAAGAAAGAGAACACTTTTCATCATGGCCCAGAAAACTTTCCCTTTTCCGTCTGCTTTTTCAAATGGGAACAGGTTCTCATTTGTTTGATGAGAAACTGATAAATGCCACAAACTGTTTGGCTTACACCTGGATTCCTAGATGAATCCAGAGACATGAGGGCATAGAAAGTGATGATGAAAAAACACCCACAATGTTGATTATTGTAATACTGATTTATAATAATGAATATAGACCAGTGCAGTGGCTTACACCTACAATCCTACCACTTTGGGAGACCAAGGCAGGAAGATTGCTTGAGGCCAGGAGTTCAAGACCAGCCTGAACAACAAAGCAAGACTCTATCTCTTAAAAAAAAAAAAAAAAACAAAGAAAAAAAAAGAGAGAGAGAGACAAAGAAATATATACAGGCATGCATTGCTTAACAATGGGGAATAAGTTCTAAGAAATCTGTTGTTAGGTTATTTTGTTTTTGTGTGAACATCATAGAGTGTACTTACACAAACCTAGATGGTACAGCCTACTACTTGCCTAGGCTCTATGGTGTAGCCTACTGCTTGTAGGCTACAAACATGTCTAGCATGTTATTCAACTGAAAATTGTAGGCAGTTGTAAAACAGTAGTACTTTTATATCTAAAAATAAAAAGATACAGTAAAAATAGGGTATTGTAATCTTATAGGACCACCGCTATCATATATGGAGTCCCTCATTGGCCAAAACATTATATAGAGAACCCCTAAAGCGCCCAGAATTTCCTAAGTAATACAAACAATAAAAGTGAAAGGAGTGTCTTTTGCTGTTTATAATAAGTCCCTTTCATCCTTACCTGAGTTTATGTTAATGAGTAACTTTTGGAAGGTCTCTAAGGATAGAGACTGGTTGCCATGGGAATCAAGTATTTGAACACATTTGATTAGAGGGTTGGAACTTTCAATCCCCTGTCCCATCACCAATGGCCAGGGATTTAACCTATCATGCCTATGTAATGAGACCTCCATAAAACCCAAAGGATGGAGTTCAGGGAGCTGCCAGGTTGCTGAACACTTAGAGGTGCTGGGAGGATGGTGCACCTAGAGAGGGCATGACAGCTCTGCACCCATCCCTCATATCTTGCCTTGGCATCTCTTCCATCTGGCTGTTCCTGAGTTGTATCCTTTTATAATAAACCAGTAATCTGGTAAGTAAACTTTTCTTGCGTGATGTGAGCCATTCTAACAATTATTAAACCTGGGGAGAAGATTATGTGGACCTCTGATAGACAGTCAATCAGACAGCACTGGACTTGGAACTGGCATCTGAAATAGGGGCAGCCTTTTCAGACGGAGCCCTTAACCTACAGGATCTGATGTTGTCACCAGTTAGCTAGCACCAGAATTGAGTTTAATTGCAGGAAACTGAAGAAATACCTGGTATGAAAAATACTCCATATCTGATGTCAGAAATGAAGTATAGAGTGTAGTACTGGCATGAATTTCACAGACAGGAAAAAAGAGTTTCATTTCTATTATACACACTTGCCCATCTGATTCCTCAGGTAATTGTGACATGGAAAAATCTATTTGTTTACGAAAGGGAGAAGCTACCTTTAAAAAATAATTCTCTGTCATCCATTAGATATCAAGGAAGAAATAATGTCTATCTACTCTTAGAAAATAGGGCTGGGCATTTGAATCTAAAATGCATGCATAAAAGGTATGAATGACTAACATAAAGCTCAGGGTTTATGTTTGCTGTTACAAAATGAGAAAGAACATAAGAAGAAGAGTGAAGTAATATATTCAAGGCTAGTCCAATCATAAGGGAATAAGCAGTACACAAACTGTAAATGGTGACGTAAGCTCTCCTACAACCAGCTTTACCCCTCTATTTTGTCTTATGTGCTTCTTTTTAATTGTCCTCAATGTGCACTGAACAATAACACTACTATTTCAGATTCAGACAGTGACCTCAGAATCCCCTGTAATGAGTCCTCCCCAATAGGTGAGTGGATCTGTTTCTTGTGACACCAAATGAAGAAACACCTCAAAGGGAAGTTAAAGGAGAGGGGACAGTAAAAATAGGGTATTATAATCTTATGAGATACGATAGCTGCTATGGCCTGAATATTTGTGCTCACCCCCATCATCAGATTCATATGTTGAAACATAATTCTTGGTGCAGTGGTTTTGGGAGGTCAGGCTTTTGGAAGATGATTAGGTCATAAAGGCAGAGACCTCATGAATGGTATTAGTGCCCATGTAAAAGAGGCCTGAGGGAGCTTGTTCACTCCTTCCACCATATGAAAACACAGCCAGAAGACACTATCTATGAAGCAGAGAATGAGCCCTCATCAGACAACAAATCTGCTGGTCCCTTGATTTTGAACCTACCAGATTCCGGAACTGTGAGCAATAAACTTCTGTTGTTTATAAATCGCCTGGTCAAAGATATTTTATTATGGCAGCCCAAATGGACTTAGGCAATGGCCAGTCTTACTGACAACAAAATTTTGCTGAACACAGATCCTGACCATGTGCACTCATGGAGAGTTTGTCCAAGTTTGGTCTTGATACAGAAAAGCAGCTTGGTCTACATAGGACTCAAACACAGTACACACTGTACACTAACCACTGAACCCACCAGCCACATATCAAAGGGCATATTTTAGGAAAAAAAAAATGCTGCCTGGGCAACTTCCCTTTCTCAAATTTGTCCACACTTCCCCATATCTAGATCACACAATAACTTAAGCATGTGGTTATTCTCCACTGGGGTCCTTTAATAGTTGTTTTTTTTTGTTTTTTGTTTTTTTCGAATTTTGTCTTTATACATCAGTAAGCTGCTAAACACCCACCTTTCTCCTGGATCTCTCAGACAAGTCATAAATGTCATCTTCACTATGTTTCTTCATCAGTCAATCTGGTTGACATCTGTAACCAAGTGAAGCAAAACCACAGCAGGACAGCTAGAAAGCATGGGAGGCTGCCCTGTGCACATCATGAGGACCTAGGCCAACATTTGTGGGTCATCACGCCACAGGCACAACTCGGGCTCACATCCATGGACAGAAAGAGCCATCAGCAAAGTCAAGAAGCAGCTCCTGTCTGTGCTTCTATGGAGAAGGATAATTATCAAATAGATGGCTGAATGCCTGGAAATATCAGTAAGGGCTGGGCGTGGATTGTAACGTGAGACAAAAGACCCTAAACGCAGAAGTCAGAACAAACGTGGACAAGCTTCCAGTGCTTCATCTATAAATGAAGATTATATCACCCCCTCCTTATATTAGTATGTGAGGCAAAAATAAGTCAGAAAATATTTTGTAAACTTATCATTCAGCACCTGACACTTGGTAAGTATTCAAAAAACAGTAGTGCTTATTATTATTTCATGAAATAATGCCTAAGGTGGTGTCCCTTCTTGGAAACACAGGCCCATGAAAATTCATCCACAGTGGCAAAAATACACTAATTTATATCCACTAAGCAATAAGATATAATAAAGGGAACCCTAAGCGGAGGTTTGAAATGGATGATCTGTGTATTCAAATACTCCGTATCATCCTAAAATGAAGGTGGCATTTACAACAGCTGTGCCCATGCAATCCTGCGAATGAATTTGCTACATGATATATCCTAAAGCTGTTGTTAACCCAAGTTTAGCATCCATGATAACATACCCATGCTTCTATAAGCAGGAGGAACCTAGAGTTGATTTTAGGGAAATGAAATAAAAGTGAAGGGGGGTGACACTCGGGGCAGGGCAGAACAAATGCACTGCATCCTGGAGATGAGCTGGAGGGGAAGGGGCCCAAGGAGAGGTGTGAGATGGGATATGAGAAAGAGGGAGATGTTTCTATGTCAAGTATTTTAGTCTGAATTTCAGGTCCCTTTGGCCCCCAGAGTCATGAAGTAGGTTTGGGGAATTTGTCACTCAGGACCTCCATCAGGTCCTTCCTGTACGAAAAGGCTTCCCAAATTCAAGCTCGAGGGAAAAAGTAGGGTGGAGGGAGATATGAAGACAAGAAAGCATGGCTGTCTGTGTACAGCATATAAGCCACGCACTGCCTCACTCCAGGGGGACCAGTCAAATCAGAGTGATGCCAGTGCCGCAGTGAGTTGGATCCGAGAGATGTACACCACCATAGGCAGAAGCCCCACAAATTGTCAGTGACACTCTAAGTCACCTGTGCCGATGTGGCACCTGCCACGAACAAACACATTTGAACAGCCAACATCCCAAGTTTCAGGGCAGCTGTGTGACCTTGAACCTCTGGTAACACTCTCAAGATCTAGTCATAGGGAAAAGGCCTCCAGTCCCTCAGAGGAGTTCGGTTTAAAACCATGCCTTTATCCCTTCATCATGAAGTCATAGTTAAGTATTCGTCTAATTGAACATAGAATGAAATCACAGGCCTATTAAGAGAGACCAACTGTAATTATCCAAATGAGCTGTTTTAACCCTAGCAATTTAGGTATGTTCCACAAAACACATAGTCCCATTAGCTGAAGTCATGGAAGGCCATCATAAGGATGGATTATCTCAATCCTCATCTGATAATGAATGCCACAGAAAAAAAGATTATTAAACTTTTGGAGGAACTTAATATTGGGAATGATCAATTAAAAACTGTGATACAGAACCAATTCATTATACACAAAAAGGATAATGCCACACTCTTTCTGAATTGAGATCAAGAATGGCTCCTAGTATCTAATCAGTATTTTTGGTTGTTATAGCTATCACTTAAAACAACACAAATCCACCATCAGATAAACACTAATAGTACATCCAAAGGAAATTGAAATTGATTTCTGTATTAGCTTGCACTAGATCAACAAATTTCATTTATGTAGGATCCCATTGCTTTGACTTCAAGGCTGAATGAGATACAAAGCAACTATTTTAATAAAATCTAATTCCTCAGGAAAAAAAATCATCATCCTACATTTATGCTTCAGCTAGTAGGAAAATAAGTCTGACAGAACCATTATATGCTATTCTATATACATAGCTGTTTTCAATGAAGTTACTTCATGATGTTTTCCTACTATGGCAATGGAGAATGTTTTCAAAAAAAATTAAAAATAGGGAATTGCTGCTCTAAAACATATACATCACAAAGGACTCATATTCTGCATTTTTCTTAAACCACTTACCATAAAACTTTCATTTTTTATGGCCAACTCGGTGCTGATTTCATGATTTGCAGCCAGGAACAACTGATTTCACAGCATCAGTCTGTCATAAATCTTAAGAACCTAAGTTCTGAATCCCAAAGCAGTGCCCAGAGACACAAATGAGATTTCTCTTCACAAAGTGTGACCTGTGTTTGCAGTTTAGATTAAAAGAAACAAAGTTGAGAAAAGGGCAATCGGGCTCTGCTTTTCCAATATTTAGAGAAATGTTTAATTTCTTTTCCAAATGTAGCCATGGCCAGGTTGGAGCTCTGAGAGTGAACCTGCTGGATGGTTGTCACTTGGGGACAGCAACACAAATTCCCAAGGAGGAGACAGCACTGACCTCCATGGCACTGGTGGGGCCACTCATGGAACCAAACATTTATTTTATTGTGTGGCCCCCTTAAGGAAAGATACTGACACACTAGAATGGGGTCCATGTGATAGTGACCAGGCTGGTGCAGTGTGGGGATTTGGATGCAGCAGGCTGAGTTTTCTTAAGCTATTTATCCTGCACAGAACTGGGCAGGGGGGTTAGGTGGAAATGATCCTTCTATTTTAACAGCTCTAAAAGGACAATTAAATTTAATCTGTGGAAGCAAGAAAGGTGTGGGAAAGAAAAAAAAAGCTGTATAATTGAGGATGTGATCAATTGACTGAAGAGGGCCTAATAGTTTAGCAACTAGAGGTAGGTCTCTTGTAGCATTAATAAATGCAGCTGTGGCTGGGCACGAGTGGCTCATGCCTGTAATCCCAGCACTTTGGGAGGCCGAGGTGAGCAGATCACGAGATCAGGAGATTGAGACCATCCTGGCTAACATGGTGAAACCCTGTCTCTACTAAAAATACAAAACATTAGCCGGGCATGGTGGCAGGCACATGTAATCCCAGCTACTTGGGAGGCTGAGGCAGGAGAATCGCTTGAACCCAGGAGATGGAGGTTGCAGTGAGCCGAGATCACACCACTGTACTCCAGCTTGGGCGACAGAGCGACACTCCATCTCAAAATAAAATAAAAATAAAAATAAAAATAAATGCAGCTGTAGAGGACTGACTGAATTGACAGGCCAGATATGAAAACCTGGCAAAGAGATACAAGCCATGAGTATGCCAATGTCATTCCCGACTCTAAGACTTAGGTGGAGAGAATCTTGCTTATGGCCAGAAGACATATGCTTCATTAATTATAAAAGAGAAGAGGGTAAGGGTGGGTGCTAATGAAGATGATGTGGTTGGTATAAATTGAGAAGTGGCAGTGTGGGGTCTCCTTGGTAGCTGGCAGTTGAGAGTGTCCTTCTTTCTGTATTCTTTATGATATGAGCAGGATCCTAAGCTCTAGGGACATGAGAACAGAAGACAAGAGAGTTTATGTGTCAAGAGGGCTAGAACAAGTCATGGGAAGTGAGCAGCTAAGGCTGGTTCTCTGGCTGGGACAATCGAGGGGCCATCTAAGAGCACTGAGTGCCAATGGCACACTAGGAACTGGCACTGGCAGATTTCTTTCTTCTTAACTCCTTATATGTCAGCTTTACTACCCGTAATGCATATACTCAAGTGTGGTATCTAAACAGTATGATTACCTTGGACCTGGCAAACTACAACACCAAGGAGGCTGGGATAATACCTCTTTTTAAGATTATCAGTCACATCTGAAGCCACAGGCATGAGCATTGATTCAAAGCCTTAAATGGGATCAAATTTTCCAAACTAGATGGGAGCCTAGTTCATTCTGTAGAAAGCAAAGTTGCTTTTAGGATATATCCTAAGTGGTGGTCACTCTTTCCTTCCAACAGACAGATTAAAGAGTGTCCTGTGACAAGAACACAGAACTCTTGAGTGTTCTGTGATATGGCTGTTTAAGGAGACTGAGAAAATTTTATATGTAAGAAATAGGGCCAGGCGCAGTGGCTCACGCCTGTAATCCCAGCACTTTGGGAGGCCAAGGCAGGCAGATCACCTGAGGTCGGGAGTTTGAGACCAGCCTGACCAACATGGAGAAAACCCATCTCTACTAAATATACAAAATTAGCTGGGCATGGTGGCTCATGCCTATAATCCCAGCCACTCGGGAGGCTGAGGCAGGAGAATCACTTGAACCCTGGAGGCAGAGGTTGCTGTGAGCCGAGATTGCGCCACCAGCAATTCCTCTCTCTTCCCTTCCTCTATCCTGACTTCCTGATGTTTTCGTTTATCGCTTTATTGACCAAAAGCCTCCTGGAAAACAAGTATTCTTCATTACGTTCCAGAAATAAAGACCACTCAAAGAAAGCCTCTGTTACATCCTGAGAAACACTAACTTTAACTCAATTTGCCTGATCTTTCCAGTGCACTGGACAGCCCATAGAATTTACAAACTCAATAAACAGATAATAATATGGTCATGATGGGTATCTGAAACCTAGGATGTAAAAAAACAGATTATGGAGAGCTGCATGAGTACAATCAATTACTGAGATTTTCCCGAATACAAATCCTATCCAAGCAAAACTAATATAACCCCCAAATTAGGAGAAGTCCACAGTCATTTTAGATGAAATCTCAAAAGAAACCACAATCTCATTCTCTTTTTTTCAAATTTCAGGACTTTAACATTTATTAAACAACAAAAACAAAAATGCTGACATATTATATTGTACATATTTGCAAATCCAACTGTGTAAGAAGGTGCTTTGGTGGGATTTGAGATTATAGCTAAAGAGATCCAGGCATAAAGTTATCACTGCCTGATAGGGAACGTAAGCTTTATTTACAATGAGATGACAAATACTTTTGAGTTTTTCTTGTACATCCTTGTACACCCACCTGGCTTCCTAGGGTTTGTGTACCAGCTAACTAATTTATGTATTGTGACAGCAAGAGTGAAGAAGAAAAAAGTGCTTGGGCCTGGGCTTTAGAAGACCAAAATTCTAGTTCTGTCTTTGCCATTAACTAGTTGTACCATTTCAGAGGAGTCACCTATGGCATTTCTTTGGACCTTAAATTCCTTCACCCTAACCTTTAGGATCTGAGTCTCTAGAAGATCTGAGTCATGACTTTCTCTTTGCATTATATAAGATTTGCAAATATAAACAGCAAATTTAATATTTAAATATTAACAAAACTATGCATGGTATAAGGAAATATAAGTGATAAGATAAAGATATAATTTGAAATCAGGTAGAGTATGAGAATAATTTATTGTGGAAGTAAGACTTGCTTTGTGTATAAGCAGAATTTGGGACTCTGGAGGCAGAAAAGTAATTTAAAAAATATAGACCAGGATGATGAGATGATGGGGCCTATGGCTGATTTTCTAGCCTGGTTTTTGTCACCAGTGCTTTTCATCCTGACTCCTATCTCACTGTGTATTGACAAATGCCCTTGTGTTTGGCTTGGGCAAAGGGGATGTGTTGGTTTGCTCTCCATAATTCTACATGTCAAGTGTTGGCTGTTTGGCAGTGGTGGGGAATGGCAAAGCCTTCCAGGAGTCTGAGCACTGGTAAGCATTCTCAAAAGCAGTGGTTTTATTATGAAGCAATTTAGATAAAAAGCCAAACTCCTTCAATTTAAAGCCATACAACTGGAGGCAATTAAACCTGCATGATTAAATTTCAGAAATTAAAAACCTATAAAAAGCATCCTACCAAAAGGATCTGTCTTGCACACATTTTGATCATTAATCTGAAAGCTCTTTGGCTGTCCAATACCACCTCATCCTTTCCTTCATCTTTTTGATTGCTCAGGCAGTTTATAAGACATGTAGCACATGGAAAATCAAACCAAGGTAGTGCAGCATCGGATCCATTTCCACCCTTCTTCCATGAAATTTTCAATAATTAAGGGGAAGAGGTACCAATGGAAGAAAGGAAGCTGAATGCCAGGAAATGAGTATATCAGGAATAAGTGGCTCATGAAAGGAGATTTAGACTCAGTCTGCATTTTCTAGTATAGTCGCTGAATTGGTAAATCACCTTTCACTTAGCCATTCCTGGGACATGGTGCCCCAGCATGGGTCAGCAGAATTGTAAGCCCCTAACTTGGGCAGGGTGGGGTATTGTAAGAAATGGGATTTCTTTCCAACTTGCCAGCTGGCCTGAGGTCCCCATATCACTTCCTTCTCTACCATACACCCCTCTACTGCAGAAGAAAATCCAATCTGGGGAAAGAACTTAAGCCAACATTTGTCCCAGTAAGAAAGTAGTAGTCCTTGAAAGAGGGCAGTAATCCTACACTTAATGAGCTATCAGAACCTATGTGCTTGATTCCTATTATATGCAGCTGGTAGTCTTTAATAAAAACGGGAAGGGCTGGGCAAGGTGGCTCACGCCTGTAATCCCAACACTTTGGGAGGCCGAGGGAGGTGGATCACTTGAGGTCAGGCGTTGGAGACCAGCCTGGCCAACATGGTAAAACCCCGTCTCTACTACAAACACCAAAATTAGCCCGGCATGCTTGGCGGGTGCCTGTAATCCTAGCTACTTGGGAGGCTGAGGCAGGAGAATCGCTTGAACTCAGGAGGTGGAGGCTGCAGTGAGCCGAGATTGTGCCACTGCAATTCAGCCTGGGCAACAGAGTGAGACTCTGTCTCAGAAAACAAAAACAAAACAAAACAAAAACAAACAAAAAACCAGAAAGAAGTATTGTTATTAACAGACCCTTAAGGTCCTAAAGCTTAGATACTCAGATGGAAAATATATAACTCTAAAATAGCAGAAAAGAATTCTAACTTCTGATGAGAGGGTGTACAAGCTGAGCTTCAGCACACATATGGTGGGCTCCTACACCAGCAGCAAGAAGTCCAACAGAAGCAGCAAACATGGAAGAAATCACTGCAAAGTGTGACTATCCATGACAAATGCAGCAGTACCCAGAACCATGAAGGCCATCCCAAAGAAGGAATCTTTTCTTAACTCTTTAATTTTATTTTTAATAGAGCCGAGGTCTTGCTATGTTGCCCAGGCTGGTCTCAAACTCCTGAGCTCAAGCAGTCCTCCAGTCTTGGCCTCCCAAAGTGCTAGGATTACAGGCATGAGCCTCCATGCCCAGCTGAAAATTTAAAAAATGCAAAAACTAGGCAACTTACTGTTAAATTAATTGCCTTGAGGCAGAAGGAAAAAACGTGGATGCCATATAAAAGCTGATGAGTCTTCTATTATTTGTGAGCCCATGTGGCAGACGTCCTGAGTGTGTCAAAAATATTCAGTGTTGACTCCAGGAGACTGGGGAGAGAGGAGCATTGTGTAGCTTCTTTCCAAGTATCAAGCATGAACTGATGAATTAGTATGTCTATGGCAGAAGAAGAGGGCAAAGGAATTCATTTAAATCGTGAACTTTTACAGTTACAGGAAGAACTGCAGTCAGTATCCCCAGCAGTATCCTTGGTATACTGCATTCAGTATCCTTTGTGGTCAAAACAAAGTAAGGTATTAAAGGGATGCAATTGCACAGGAAGTTGGGTATTTTTGTTTGTTGGTTTGTTGGTTGTGGTTTTTGTGTTTTTTTTGTTTGTTTGTTTCAATTTAATGTACTGTGAGGGAAGGAATAAACATACATCTGTTATATCATAAAAATGTAAACAGTTGATATAAAATGCAGAGTAATTAAACATAAAGTTGCATAGAGAAACCTCTCTTGATGTGTTTATGTTAAATGGAGAGAAAATAAAGGGACTTAACAAAAAGAGTGCTAATTAAGAAGCAAGAGGGCTAGAAATATGAATCAATAATGGACACAAAATTGAGGTTTTGTTATATATTTAATTTTTCTTATTAGATATAGATTTTTGTTTTTGTTAATCAAACCCTTTCTAAAGGCAGGTACTGAGGAAATAGAATGGGCAAAGGTAAAGAACTATGTACATCAACTCTGCAGTGTTACAGGTATTACAGAGAAGATAGGTGAATGGGTCGATTGGTGAGTAGTCTGGACACAGACTGGTATTCTAGATCTTAAATTAGGTAGTATATATTTAAAACAAAAGCGATAGAAATTAGAAACTTTGATCCTCACCTAGATAATTCATAGGGATTCAAAGAGGTTGAATCAAATGTGAAAATATATAAAAGAAATTATTTTAAAATCATTAAATGCTATAGGAACATTGTGTATTAAGATAATAATAGATAACAGTGCTTCAAACCCAATAGTTTCTCAATAATTTGGTTGAATTATAGATATTGCTAAGTCCCCTCTCACTGTGCAGAATCCTGGGAATATAGTGGGATACTGAACAAAGTTTATTGCACAGAATTACTGCAATCAAAGATGGCATTGCAAAGGCCATGCAAAGATGGGATGCAAAGATGGTGTGCTCAAAATTACAATATGACAAAAGTCAAGGTCTTAGCAACCTAAGTCAGTCAAGGTTCAATCCTGGCTTTTTTTCTTTCTTTCTTTCTCTTTCTTTAGCTCTTGAAAATGGATTTCTCTATTTCCACTAATAATTGCCACGATATCCAAGTAACCTAAGTACAGTCTACACAGGTGATTATATTCTGGTTGTGGATCCTTAGCATGTGATTCTACATAACATTAAATTGAGGTTTTAATGTGTGTAATCATCCATTACTAAATGATACGATTAAATATTTCTCATAATAAGTATTATCCTATACCTCAGATAATTCTAAGCATTAAATAAATTGTAGCACCAATTCAACAACACAAAGTACTCTTAAATATATTTTCACTTTGTCAAATGGGGAGAAAGTTGAATGCATAAGGAGGCCAACATGAATACTAATAGCTATATTTATTGAGTCCTTACTAAGTAGCAGGCACTGGGCTAAGGGCTTTACATGCATTATGTCTTCTAAATCTCACAACAACCCTGTGAGTAAACAATATGACTACTCTCATTTTACAGTCAAGAGAACTGAGCCTAATAGAGGGTAAGGAATATGTTCAAGGTGACAGAGCTAATCATATCAGAGCTGAATTCCAATCTCCTCTGATTCCAGAGCCCTTGCTCTTAACTACTTTGTTGTACTGCCTTTCTATTCACCTTTTAATACATTGGTCAATAATCGGATGTCTGCCCCAAGGGCAATCCCTTTAAATATAGGTTTGTCTGGTCTTTTCATGAATCCATAAACTGCTGTCGGATTAACATAGGATGTCCTGAAGGTCTGCCCACCTCCAGGTACTGTAAGAGCTGTCACCTTGTTGATTGAGCAAATATCTCTGCCCCCTCAGCCTCTTCCCATAAGATGGGGCACAAACAGAGACCCACAGCCATTTTCTTCTTGCCTTCCAAAGCCCAAAGCAGTTTACTTCTCTCTGGGTAGAGCCAGACTTATGGGTAGTCAAGAGAGAGAGTTTTCCACAGTTGGTGAAAACAGAGATATTGAGAAGTACTCAACACCTCAACTGCTCCACCCTTTCAGCTCATCCCCAAGTTGGGAAAAATAAATAACCTCTAGCTGATTGGTGTTATGCTGGAATATTCATATTTAGAAACACATTCTTCAGAGTTAGGTAATAGGCAAATGCAAACATATTGAGAGGATACATCATAATGAGTTATTAACCTGTGATATGGCCTCATTAATAAATGAGATCCTTTTGCAACAGTTCCTGTGAAGCATGATGGCCTATGCAGAGGTTTTCAAGCTGTGTTCTGGGAGCGCTCTGCTCTGCAGAGGAGGCTCAGGTGTGCAGAATATCAAGTGGTCCAGCCCTGAACCCCTCTCCCCATTTCAACCACAGTGGCTCTGCTATTATCTGCTACTAGCCTGGGTTCTGCATTTCACTTTGGGGAAAACAAATGATCAACAACAACAAAATCATTACACAGTTTTTATAAAATGAAAATCACAGTTTAGTGGAAAGAGTGAAAATGTGTACTCAGCAATATCTAATATAGTGCCTACAACAATTAAGAGTCAGTTATCACTCCCTTAGAGCAGGTTTGGATTTGGGAGTAAGGAAGTAACATTTCTTGAAAGCCATGGGCTTTCAGTGTCACTCAATGGGTCAGACCCTGAGTCTGATCTTTAATTTTTAGGTTCTCTGTGGGGAAGGCATTAGGCCCATTTTAAAGGTAACAAAACTGAGGCTTTGAGAGGTTAGATGATTTGCACAGAATTACACAGCTGCTGAGTAGCAGAGCTGGCACTCACACTAAGGTGTCCTTGGACCCCGAGACACTGGGTTCCTGATGAAGAGGATGAAGTTATATGAAGTTATGGGTTTAGAAACCAATGTAAAAATGGGCATCTGAAGTCCATAATTTAAGCTTTGCCTGCTTAGCAATATATATATGCCAACCAACCCTGTAGTGTTTGCTTCAAAAGCTACATAGAAACTATTCATCTGGTTCATTATCATTTTGTGGGGCCTCTAAGAAGTAGAAATAGGCTGGGCTCGGTGGCTCATGCCTGTAATCCCAGCATTTTGGGAGGCCGAGGTGGGCAGATCACTTGAGGTCAGGAGATCAAGACCAGCCTGGCCAACATGGTGAAATTCCGTCTCTAGTACAAAAATTAGCTGGTTGTGGTGGTGTACGCCTGTAGTCACAGCTACGTGGGAGGCTGAGGTATGAGAATTGCTTGAATCTGGGAGGCACAAGATGCAGTAAGCCGAGGTTGTGGTACTGCACTACAGCCTGGGTGACAGAGCAAGAATTCATCTCAAAAAAAAAAAAAAAATGGAAATAGCTTAGGCTAAGTCAGGCCCCGGAGAAATATTTCCTGATTATGTCTGTGAATATTTTCTTTATTATTTTTACTAGTCTTAGTTAGAGCTACTATAACAAATTACTTGTCAACAACAGAAATTTGTTTCTCACCGTTCTGGAGGCTGGAAGCCCAAGACTGGAGTGCCAGCCTGGTTGGCTTCTGGGGAGGGCCCTCTTCTGGGCTGCAGACTACCAACTTCTCCTAGTATCCTCACATGGTAAAAAGAGAGATAGCTAGCTCTATGGCTTCTTCTTATAAAGGCACTGATCTCATTCATGAGGGATCAACCCTCACGACCTAGTAACTCCCAAAGGCGTCACCTCCAAATAATGAGATTACAGTTTCAACATATGAATTTTGTTGGACACAAACATTCAATATACATTATTATTATTATTGTTATTTTCCATATTAATTAAACTGCTGTGCCTGCTGAAAAGAATCTGTTCAGAGTTCCAGTTCCAAGCATGAGTGATGCAGAAGATGGGTCATTTCTGCATTTCCAATTGAGGTACCAGGTTCATCTCACTGGAGCTTGTCGGACAGTGGGTGTAGCCCACGCAGTGTGAGCCGAAGCAGGGCGGGGCATCACCTCACCTTGGAAGCACAAGGGGTCGGGGAATTCCCTTTCTTAGCCAAGGGAAGCCGTGACAGACGGTACCTGGAAAATCGGTATACTCCCACCCTAATACTGCGCTTTTCCAACAGTCTTAGCAAATGGCACACCAGGAGATTATATCCCATGCCTGGCTCGGAGGGTCCCATGCCCATGGAGCCTCGCTCACTGCTAGCACAGCAGTCTGAGATAGAACTGCAAGATGGCAGCGAGGCTGGAGGAGGGGTGTCTGCCATTGCTGAGGCTTGAGTAGGAAAACAAAGTGGTCAGGAAGCTCGAATTGGGTGGAGCCCACTGCAGCTCAAGGAGGCCTGCCTGCCTCTGTAGACTCCACCTCTGGGGGCAGGGCATAGATGAACAAAAGGCAGCAGAAACTTCTGCAGACTTAAATGTCCCTGTCTGACATCTTTGAAGAGAGTAGTGGTTCTCCCAGCACAGAGTTTGAGATCTGAGAACGGACAGACTGCCTCCTCAAGTGGGTCCCTGACCCTTGAGTAGCCAAATTGCAAGACACCTCCCAGTAGGGGCCGACTGACACTTCATACAGCCAGGTGCCCCTCTGAGACGAAGCTTCCAGAGGAAGGATCAGGCAGCAACATTTGCCATTCTGCAATATTTGCTGTTCTGCAGCCTCAGCTGGTGTTACCCAGGCAAACAGCGTCTGGAGTCGACCTCCAGCAAACTCCAACAGACCTGCAGCTGAGGGTCCTGACTGTTAGAAGGAAAACTAACAAACAGAAAGGACATCCACACCAAAACCCCACCTGTACATCGCCATCATCAAAGACCAAAGGTAAATAAAACCACAAAGATAGGGATAGAGCAGAAAAGCTGAAAGTTCTAAAAATCAGAGCAGCTCTTCTCCTCCAAAGGAATGCAGCTCCTCACCAGCAGCAGAACAAAGCTGGATAAAGAATGACTTTGACGAGCTGAGAGAAGAAGGCTTCAGATGATCGGTAATAACAAACTTCTCCGAACTAAAGGAGGATGTTCTAACCCATTGTAAAGAAGCTAAAAACCTTGAAAAAAAGACTAGACAAATGGCTAACTAGAATAAACAGCACAGAGAAGACCTTAAATGACCTGATGGAGCTGAAAACCATGGCACGAGAACTATGTGATGAATGCATAAGCTTGAGTAGCCGATTTGATCAAGTGGAAGAAAGGGTATCAGTGATTGAAGGTTAAATGAATGAAATGAAGCGAGAAGAGAAGTTTAGAGAAAAAAGAGTAAAAGAAACGAACAAAGGCTCCAAGAAATATGGGACTATAAGAAAAGACCAAATCTACGTCTGATTGGTGTACCTGAAAATGACGGGGATAATGGAGCCAAGTTGGAAAACACTCTGCAGGATATTATGCAGGAGAACTTCCCCAACCTAGCAAGGCAGGCCAACATTCAAATTCAGGAAATACAGAGAACGCCACAAAGATACTCCTCAAGAAGGGCAACTCCAAGACACATAATTGTCAGATTCACCAAAGTTGAAATGAAGGAAAAAATATTAAGGGCAGCCAGAGAGAGAGGTCGGGTTACCCACAAAGAGAAGCCCATCACAGCCAGAGAGAGAGGTCGGGTTACCCACAAAGGGAAGCCCATCAGACTAACAGCTGATCTCTCGGCAGAAACTCTACAAGCCAGAAGAGAGTGGTAGCCAACATTTAACATTCTTGAAGAAAAGAATTTTCAACCCAGAATTTCATATCCAGCCAAACTAAGGTTCATAAGTGAAGGAGAAATAAAATCCTTTACAGACAAGCAAATGCTGAGAGATTTTGTCACCACCAGGCCTGCCTTATAAGAGCTCCTGAAGGAAGCACTAAACATGGGAAGGAACAACTGGTACCAGCCACTGCAAAAACATGCCAAATTGTAAGGACCATCGATGCTAGGAAGAAACTGCATCACCTAATGAGCAAAATAACCAGCTAACATCATAATGACAGGATCACATTCACACATAACAATATTAACCTTAAATGTAAATGGGCTAAATGCTCCAAGTAAAAGACACAGACTAGCAAACTGGATAAAGAGTCAAGACCCATCAGTGTGCTGTATTCAGGAGACCCATCTCATGTGCAGAGACACATAGGCTCAAAACAAAGGGATGGAGGAAGATCTAGCAAGCAAATGGAAAACAAAAACAAGCAGGGGTTGCAATCCTAGTCTCTGATAAAACAGACTTTAAACCAACAAAGATCAAAAGAGACAAAGAAGGCCATTACTTAATGGTAAAGGCATCAATTCAACAAAAAGAGCTAACTATCCTAAATATATATGCACTCAATACTAGAGCACCCAGATTCATAAAGCAAGTCCTTAGAGACCAACAAAGAGACTTAGACTCCCACATAATAATAATGGGAGACTTTAACACCCCACTGTCAACATTAGACAGATCAACAAGACAGAAAGTTAACAAGGATACCCAGGAATTGAACTCAGCTCTGCACCAAGCAGACCTAATAGACATCTATAGAACTCTCCACCCCAAATCAGCAGAATATACATTCTTTTCAGCACCACACCACACTTATTCCAAAATTGACCACACAGTTGGAAGTAAAGCACTCCTCAGCAAATGTAAAAGAACAGAAATTATAACAAACTGTCTCTCAGACCACAGTGCAATCAAATTAGAACTCAGGATTAAGAAACTCACTCAAAACTGCTCAACTACGTGGAAACTGAACAATGTGCTCCTGAATGACTACTGGGTACATAATGAAATGAAGGCAGAAATAAAAATGTTCTTTGAAACCAATAAGAACAAAGACACAACATACCAGAATCTCTGGGACACATTTAAAGCAGTGTGTAGAGGGAAATTTATAGCACTAAATGCCCACAAGAGAAAGCAGGAAAGATCTAAAATTGACACCCTAACATCACAATTAAAAGAACTAGAGAAGCAAGAGCAAACACATTCAAAAACTAGCAGAAGGCAAGAAATAACTAAGATCAGAGGAGAAGTGAAGGAGATAGAGACACAAAAAACCCTTCAAAAAATCAATGAATCCAGTAGCTGGTTTTTTGAAAAGATCAACAAAATTGATGGGCCGCTAGCAAGACAAATAAAGAAGAAAAGAGAGAAGAATCAAATAGACACAATAAAAAATGATAAAGGGGATATCACCACTGATCCCACAGAGATACAAACTACCATCAGAGAATACTATAAACACCTCTGTGCAAATAAACTAGAAAATCTAGAAGAAATGGATAAATTCCTCGACACATACACCCTCCCATGACTAAACCAGGAAGAAGTTGAATCCCTGAATAGACCAATAACAGGCTCTGAAATTGAGGCACTAATTAATAGCCTACCAACCAAAAAAATTCCAGGACCAGATGGATTCACAGCCAAATTCTACCAGAGGTACAAGGAAGAGCTTGTACCTTCTGAAACTATTCCAATCAATAGAAAAAGAGGGAATCCTGCCTAACTCATTCTATGAGGCCAGCATCATCCTGATACCAAAGCCTGGCAGAGACACAACAAAAAAAGAGAATTTTAGACTAGTATCCCTGATGAACATTGATGCAAAAATCCTCAATAAAATACTGGCAAACCGAATCCGGCAGCACATCAAAAAGTTTATCCACCACGATCAAGTTGGCTTCATCCCTGGGATGCAAGGCTGGTTCAACATATGCAAATCAATAAACATAATCCATCAGATAAACAGAACCAAAGACAAAAACCACATGATTATCTCAATAGATGCAGAAAAGGCCTTTGACAAAATTCAACAGCCCTTCATGCTAAAAACTCTCAATAAACTAGGTATTGATGGGACATATCTCAAAATAATAAGAACTGTTTATGACAAACCCACACCCAATATCATACTGAATGGGCAAAAACTTGAAGCATTCCCTTTGAAAACTGGCACAAGACAAGGATGCCCTCTCTCACCACTTCTATTCAACATAATGTTGGAAGTTCTGGCCAGGGCAATCAGGCAGGAGAAAGAAATAAAGGGTATTCAATTAGGAAAAGAGGAAGTTAAATTGTCCCTGTTTGTAGATGACATGATTGTATATCTAGAAAACCCCATTGTCTCCGCCCAAAATCTCCTTAAGCTGATAGGCAACTTCTGCAAAGTCTCAGGAAACAAAATAAATGTGCAAAAATCACTAGCATTGCTATACACCAATAACAGACAAACAGAGAGCCAAATCATGAGTGAACTCCCATTCATAATTGCTACAAAGAGAATAAAATACTTAGGAACCCAACTTACAAGGGATATGAAGGACCTCTTCAAGGAGAACTACAAACCACTGCTCAACAAAATAAAAGAGGACACAAACAAAGGAAGAACATTCCACGCTTATGGGTAGGAAGAATCAATATTGTGAAAATGGCCATACTTCTCAAGGTAATTTATAGATTCAATGCCATCCCCATCAAGCTACCAATGACTTTCTTCACAGAATTGGAAAAAAACTACTTTAAAGTTCATATGGAACCAAAAAAGAGCCCACATTGCCAAGACAATCCTCAGCCAAAAGAACAAAGCTAGAGGCATCATGCTACCTGACTTCAAACTATACTACAAGGCTACAGTAACCAAAATAGCATGGTCCTGGTACCAAAACAGAAATATAGACCAATGGAACAGAATAGAGCCCTCATAAATAATACTACACATCTACAACCATCTGATCTTTGACAAACCTGACAAAAACAAGAAATGGGGAAAGGATTCCCTATTTAATAAATGGTGCTGGGAAAACTGGCTAGCCACATGTAGAAAGCTGAAACTGGATCCCTTTCTTATACCTTATACAAAAATTAACTCAAGATGGATTAAAGACTTAAATATTAGACCTAAAACCATAGAAAGCCTAAAAGAAAACCTAGGCAATACCATTCAGGCCATAGGCATGGGCAAGGACTTCATGACTAAAACACCAAAAGCAATGGCAACAAAAGCCAAAGTAGACAAATGGGATATATTTAAACTAAAGAGCTTCTGCACAGCAAAAGAAACTATCATTAGAGTGAACAGGCAACCTACACAATGGGAGAAAATTCTTGCAATCTACCCATCTGACAAGGGGCTAATATCCAGAATCTACAAAGAACTTCAACAAATTTACAAGAAAAAATCAAACAACCCCATCAAAAAGTGGGCAAAGGATATGAACAGACACTTCTCAAAAGAAGACATTTATGCAGCCAACAGACACATGAAAAAATGTTCATCATCACTGGCCATCAGAGAAATGCAAATCAAAACCACAATGAGATACCATATCACACCAGTTAGAATGGCGATTATTAAAAAGTCAGGAGACAACAGGAGCTGGAGAGGATGTGGAGAAATAGGAACACTTTTACACTGTTGGTGGGACTGTAAACTAGTTCAATCATTGTGGAAGACACTGTGGCGATTCCTCAACGATCTAGAACTAGAAATACCATTTGACCCAGCCATGCCATTACTGGGTATATACCCAAAGGATTATATAAATCATGCTGCTATAAAGACACAGGCACACATGTGTTTATTGCGGCACTATTCACAATAGCAAAGACTTGGAACCAACCCAAATGTCCATCAATGATAGACTGGATTAAGAAAATGTGGCACATATATACCATGGAAAACTACGCAGCCATAAAAAAGGATGAGTTCATGTCCTTTGTAGGGACATGGATGAAGCTGGAAACCATCATTCTCAGCAAACTATCGCAAGGACAGAAAATCAAACACTGCATGTTCTCACTCATAGGTGGGAACTGAACAATGAGAACACTTGGACATAGGGTGGGGAACATCACATACTGGGGCCTGTCATGGGGTATGGGGAGGGGGGAAGGATAGCATTAGGCGATATACCTAATATAAATGACGAGTTAATGGGTGCAGGACAACAACATGGCACATGTATACATATGTAACAAACCTGCACGTTGTGCACTTGTACCCTAGAACTTAAAGTCTAATAAAAAAGAAAGAAAAACAATGTGTTCAGAAAGTATGTAATAGGATGGCTTTAATTTGACATTGGAAATGGAAACCCTAAAGTTATCTAAAAAACTATCTCTGCATACTGATTAGAAGATGTGTTTAGGGTGAATTATTTAAAAATTGTAAAACAACATATATGACTAGGATCCTATCGAAAAAATTGTATTTACATATATTTATTCTTGCAAGGGAAAAGTTCTTCCATAAACCACACCAAGCTAACAGCAGTTATCTTAGGAAATAGGATTACTGAAGATATTCATTTTCTACATTAGGCTTTTCTGTAATATTTGAACGTTATGTAATAAGCATACCAATATTTTTGTAATCAAAAAAATGATATATAAATACTACAGGTCTATGCTAGCATTCGGGTTTTCGCTCTTTAACTTAATCATGTATAGCCTTACTCAGGTTGTTAGCTGAGGAACCTCTTAACTGACTGAAACAACTTGCAGGTACAGCAGAGCATCAGAATATTTCTCTTTGTACAAGCACAGATGTGAAATATTATGATGGTACACTTCAGGCAATTTGATGATCATGCTGTTTTTAGTATGTGTGTGCGTGTGGTGTGTCTGTGTGTGTGTGTGTGTGTGTCTGTGTGTATGAGAATGAGTGGGCTATGACAAAAATGTTCATAAGAGAATGAGATCTGAACATCGGTTATGGAGAGGATTTCAAAAATTTGTGGCACAATAAAAATACTCTGGGCAGCGTACAGTAGCTCAAGCCTGTACTCTCAGCACTTTGGGAGGCCGAGGCGGGCGGATCACCTGAGGTCAGGAGTTCAAGACCAGCCTGGCCAACATGGTGAAACCCCACATGCAAAAATTAGCTGAGTGTGGTGGCGTGCACCTGTAATCCCAGGTAGTCAGGAGGCTGAGGCAGAAGAGTCGCTCCAACCTGGGAGGCGGAGGTTGCAGTGAGCCAGGATCGTGCCGCTGCAGTTCAGCCTGGGCAACAGAGCAAGACTCCTTCTCAGAAAAAAAAAAAAGAATTAAAAAAAAAAAGAATAAACATACTCTGAAAGGCTAGTTTTTAGTGTGACAGATATTGTTTCCAAATGATATTTTCATTCATCACAAAGATGTAGTTGGTGGTTTCACAATGATGTCTCAGTCTTCCTACCTCCTTACTATGATATTTTCTATTTACTTTAAAATTCTCCTTAGAAAAAAAGAGTGAGTTATGTGTGTTCTTTTCTTTAAATCCCACTGAAGGAGCAGTTTATTGCCTTAATCAGGAATTCACACCCTCATGGGTGGTCACAAGTTTTCCCCCATAAAAGTCACACAGTAGAGGTGGCCAGTGTAAATGCTCCTAGGTATATTTCAATTAACATCAGGGGCTTTGCATAACAAATATTAGAAATGGCTTTTCATTGGTGAAATTGTTGGCCAGTTAATTAACACAACGGATGATTCATGGGTGAAAATACTGATATTCAACATTGTGGATGGGCTAAAATATTTTAGAGATACTGCCCACGATTATATGAAGAACAAATCATATAGCTATGCCTGAGGCCTGGATCCTTAGGGATGGTACGCGAGGTCTCAGCCCTAAATGCTCTGTGCCCCGAGACTGAGATGCAGAATTTCTGCCTGCCTGATCACTCCCATAAGGTAACAATCCTGCCTCCCAAAGGCAGCAGGTTTACCTCAAGTGCTCCTTTCATGCAAGCTATTGTTCAGAGCACCTATTAGGACAGGAAACTGAGAATCCATCAATACATTTTGTTGAGAATTTCTTTCCTTATAATTGTTAGCAGTATAGTAAGAGAGTAGCTGAAGCTCTCCTACCTCAAACATTTTGGTAGCCACTATTTATCTGTCTTATCTATCTATCTATCCACCCATCTATTTATCCATCTATATTTAACAGTTGCACATAACCAAATTGGCAACTAGGTTATTTTTCAACACTCCTATTTCTAAACAAACAAACAAATGAACGAAAATTAAAGCACATATGAAAAGAAGTCATAATGATCTTGGCTGAGAATGGAGTGGATTGATTGACCTGTGTGCATTTGTAGAGGTGTAATCCTTCTGTAAATAAAGCCAATTTAGAAACCTTGGCAAAGTACCCTAGCACAGGGATTGGTCTTGCTTAAGCAATAAACATTTTCTGGAAACACATCTGACTTCTCTCTGAGCTACTTATCCAGATCCACAAACCACTGGATGATTTCAGTTCTTATTTCATCTGATCTCCCTGCATGTGTTATTGCTGACAATTTCTTTTTTCCTGTGACTCCACCCTTCTTGTTCTTCTCTCAGCTGCCTGACTATTCTTTCTCAGTTTCCTTTTTTGGCTCCCTTTCTTAGTTGCTCCCCTAAGTTCTGCTGCTCCCCAGAATTCTATTCTTTGCTATCTTCCTTTCTCTCCTTGGGCAATCTCATCAATTCAGTGGCCCAAAGAGCCTTATTTATATATGGTGTGCTGCTGCACTCCAGATCTATAGCTATATCCCTAAACCCTCTCCCACACTCCAAACACTTATATAAAACCATTCACTCTGCCTGCATGCCCTCAAACTCAACTTGTCCCAGACTGAACTTAGCATCTTCCCCAGGGTTGCTCACCTCCCACATTAATTATGTTCCAAGCAATGCCAACTCTATCCCTTAGTTATTCCTCATCTGTCTCCACACTTCCTCATCCCTAATGCCATAAGCCCTAGTTCAGACACTCACCATCTCTTCACTGGATTATTTTTAAGGATGCTCTCTGCCTCCATTTCACCTCTCTCTCTACTCCAGTCTCCATGCGGTTTTAGTTGGATCTTTAAAGTACATAAAATCATATCTCCTTATTTTGCCTTCAGCATAAATTCAAACTTTCTAGCAAGGAGGCCAATGGCCCTGCTAGGCTCAATATAGCTATCATCATCTCCATTTCTCTCTGTCTGGAATTTCTATTGTACCACACCTCCTACCCTTCCTATAGACATAATGTCCAATACATCTGTAATTAATCTTTGTTCAAGAAAAGAATAAATGACCAGATTTATTTCAGTGGATTTAAAAATATATACAAACTATTCTCCATTCATTTCCCATGGCTATTTCAGGAATAGTCCTGTGCAAAATCAAAAAACCCTTCATTTATCAGGGGAAGAAACGTAGCCTCAGAGACTATAAGTAAGCAAAGTCACACAACCAGAAATGAATACGATGGAATGAGAATCAGATATTGAGATGCCCACCCTAGAACACAGGAGCCTTCAGATGCCAGCTCTGCTTTTTCTAATTGCTTATCAGTTGGCACTGGGAACATGCTTAAGGAGGAAGCCTCAGCCTTTCTCCAGACCAGCTTCTGTTAATACATCAGATGGCCATGAAAGAATGAGCTCTGCATTTAGAGGAAATCTATCATGCTCAAATTATTAGTGATTCATAAAAAAACAAATTGGTTTATCAATTCTAATGTTTTCAGGCCAAAACCATATCAAGCAAATGTGACAGACTTTCAAGAGCATTCAAAACACCACCTCAGAGTGGGAGATGTAGGGGAGGGAGGGACAACCAGAATCAGAATGAGTACAAGATGCAGGTAACACAGATGATAGAACAGGAACATAGAATGCACTCGCTTCTCCCTGCCCGCACTATATGTAGATACCTCTTCTCTCTTTTCACCATGCAAAACTGTGTTTTTGTTGCTTCTCCACAGAAGCTTATTAAACACTTGAATTTCAAAATTGATCATGTCTTGTTAAAGAACATTGGATGTGATGTGATAGCATCTTACAAATACAAGGATCTTCCCTATATGTGCAAGTCATATATTCAGTTTAGCCCCAAATAATGCATAGGCTTCAAATTGTTCTAATCCCACTGTGTGTGAGTACCTCTCCCCAGCAAGGCTATGCCTGAAATCAAGGATTCCTTGGGGTCTACATGATAGTGATGTTTACATAAGGGTTGGGAACACAATGGTGTTCTAAAAATACACATTCTATTCTAAAGAATCCACATCTTAATCTGTAGTGACATGGTCGGAAAAGTTCAGGTCTACATTCTGTAATGCCGTGAGACAAAAATAATAATAGATTTCCATATGATTAAGGAGAATATGCTGATAATTATGGAAAAAAGGCAATGGTGAGTCAGAGTATTATGGCAGCTGTGAAAAGAAAACACATGAAATGGATTACCATGACAAGAAAGCTGAACAAAATATAATTCATTGTAATGTGAAAGGCTATATCTAAAGTCACTTGATGATCTATATAAAGTGCTTTATAAATATGTTTTAAATGCATTGTCCTGAATCAATTTAAAAAACTTTTAGTGTCAGTTGTTATATTCAAGATGTCAGAACTTTGGATTTTTAAACAAGTATCTCTTTTTTCTTGGATTACAAAGAAATAAAATACTGCTGACATGAGAAACAATTTTCTCTTTTGAAACAATCGCAGTCACCTTCTATTTGAGGAGTACCTTAAGACATACAGAAGAGTTTCAATAGAGAAGGTTTAGCAATCTGGAAAACCGCAAGAGAGGCAGTAAGTTAACACCAAAAGCAAACAAAAAAGAAACTCATGAGCATCCAATATCAACCTCAGGATGACACAGTGTTAAATGTGTGTGGTCATTTGCTGATTGAAATATATTCCTGCTAAAGAAGAAAATTGTTTCATTTAATTCAGTTTTCAGGGAAATTTTTCACCATAAATTATCCATCTTCTTTACCTTCTGAAATGAATTTCCTTTAATCTAAATAAATCTTTATCTGCTGCCTCTGGACCGTCAGTGTCAACACTAATTATTGTGCTCTTTATCATGCAGGGACAACAGGGAGAGCTATTGAGAAAGCTAAATATCTGCTGTTATTTTTATTCCCTGGATCTGTTGGTTTTCAAAGAGGTTTTTTGTTCAACTGTTTCATAGTTTCTGTGTGTATGGTTTTTTTTCTTTTTCATTATTCAGGTGTTGGGGGTCACATTTTCCCTGGGATCAAAATACAATCCTTCAAATAACTCTCTACCTTTTAGGTTTGGTTATTGCTAATTGTCCAGGATGTCAGAAAGCCAAGAATATCAGAACTGAGTGTATGATATGGTTAAGGCTCTATGTCCCCACCCAAATCTCATCTTGTAGCTCACATAATTCACATGTGTTATGGGAGGGACCTGGTGGGAGATGATTGAATTATGGGGGCAGGTCTTTCTCATGCTGTTCTTGTCAGAGTGAATTTGTCTCATGAGATCTGATGGTTTTAAAAACTGGAGTTGCCCTACACAAGCTCTCTTTCCCTGCTGACATCTATGTGAGATGTGACTTGCTCCTCCTTGTCTTCCATCATGATTGTGAGGCCTTCCCAGCCATGTGGAAGTGTAAGTTCATAAATCTTTTTTTTTTTTTTGGAAATTGCCCAGTCTTGGGTATGTCTTTATCAGCAGCATGAAAATGAACTAATACAGTAAATTGGTACCAGTAGAGTGGGGCGCTGCTGAAAAGATACCCAAAAACATGGAAGCTACTTTGGAACTGGGTAATAGGCAGAAGTTGGAACAGTTTGGAGGGCTCAGAAGAAGACAGGAAAATGTGGGAAAGTTTGGAACTTCCTAGAGACTTGTTGAATGTCTTTGACAAAAAATGCTAATAGGCATATAAAAAATAAGGTCCAGACTGAGGTGGTCTCAGATGGAGATAAGGAACTTATTGGGAACTGGAGCAAAGGTGACACTTGTTATGTTTTAGCAAAGAGACTGGTGGCATTTTGCCTCTGCTCTAGAGATTTGTGAAACTTTGAACTTGAGAGGGATGATTTAGGGTATCTGGCAGAAGAAATTTCTAAGCAGCAAAGCATTCAAGAAGTGACTTGGGTGCTGTTAAGCATTCAGTTTTAAAGGGGAAAGACAGCATAAACGTTTGGGAAGTTTGCAGCCTGACAACGCAATAGAAAAGAAAATCCCATTTTCTGAGGAGAAATTCAAGCTGGCTTCAGAAATGTGTATAAGTAATGAGGAGCCAAATGTTAATCACTAAGAGAATGGGGAAAATATCTCCAGGGCATGTTAGAGAACTTTGCGGCAGCCCCTCCCATCACAGGCCCAGAGGTTTAGGAGGAAAAAATGATTTTGTGGTCCGGGCCCAGGGTCCCTCTGCTGTGTGCAGTCTAGGGACTTGGTGCCCTGTGACCCAGCCACTCCAGCCATAACTAAAAGGGGCCATGGTATAGCTCAGGCTGTTGCTTCAGAGGGTGGAAGCCTCAAGCCTTGGCAGCTTCCACATGGTGTTGAGCCTGCAGGTGCACAGAAGTCAAGAATTGGGATTTGGGAACCTCCGCCTAGATTTCAGAGGATGTATGAAAATGCCTGGATGCCCAGGCAGAAGTTTGTTGCAGGGGTGGGACCCTCATAGAGAACCTCTGCTAAGGCAGTGCGGAAGGGAAATGTGGAGTTGGAGCCCCCACACAGAGTCCCTACTGGGGCACCACCTAGTGGAGCTGTGAGAAGAGGGCCACCATCCTCCAGAAACCAGAGTGGTAACTCCACCAACAGCTTGCACTGTGCACCTGGAAAAGCTGCAGACACCCAAAACCAGCCTGTGAAAGCAGCCAGGAGGGAAGCAATATCCTGCAAAGCCACAGGAGTGGAGGTGCCAAAGACTATAGGAACCTACCACTTGCATCAGCATGACCTGGATGTGAGACATGGAGTCAAAAGAGATCATTTTAGAGCTTTAAGATTTAACTACCCTGCTGGATTTCAGACTTGCATGGGGCCTGTGGCCCCATTGTTTTGGCCAATTTCTCCCATTTGGAATTGGTGTATTTACCCAATGTCTGTACCCTCTTGGTATCTAGGAAGTAACTAACTTGCTTTTGATTTTACAGGCTCATAGGTAGAAGGGAATTGCTTGTCTTGGATGAGACTTTGGAATGTGGACTTTTGAATTAATACTGAAATGAGTGGAGACTTTGGAGGGCTGTTGGGAAGGCATAGTTGGTGTTGAAATGTGAAGATATGAGATTTGAGAGGGGCCAGGGACAGAATGACACAGTTTGGCTCTGTGTCCCCACCCAAATCTCATCTTGTAGTTCCCATAATTCCCATGTGTTATGGGAGGGACCAGGTGGGAGATGATTGAATAATGGGGATGGGTCTTCCCATGCTGTTCTCATGATAGTGAGTGGGTGTCATGAGAGCTCATGGTTTTAAAAACAGGAGTTGCTCTGCACAAGCTCTCTTTGTCTGCTGCCATCCATGTAAGATCTGCCTTGCTCCTCCTTTCCTTCTGCCATGATTGTTAGGCCTCCCCGGTCACGTGGAACTGTAAGTCCATAAACCTCTTGCTTTTGTAAATTGCCCAGTCTTGGGTATGTCTTTATCATGAGTGTGAAAACAGACTAATACAGTGTGATTTGCTTTAAGGAGAGGCTTTAAAAAGTCTTTAAAAGCCAATACAATCAGCTCAGGGCTTACAGGTAGCTTTGTCTTTTTCTTTTTTTTTTTTAAATCTCTTGGAAACAAAGTTCTTTGCTCCATAGTTTATGGCTGGTTTGATTATTAGTTGAGCTTTGTGCTATTTTAATTAATATACTATTTTTAATATGGACATTCCAAAGTGCCTTATAATATTTTCTTAATGGAAATATTACTGAGTTGTGTAAAAGAGATGAAAGGGAAGTCAATATCACTGATTATCAAGGTTTGCTATTAATGCAAATGAATTCTGGATTCAACCCATTTTTCTACCTATGGTATGGTCAATCATTCCAAATGACAGCCAATAGGGGAAGCCTTCCCTGCTACCAAGGCTGGAGTGGTAGCTCCTTCTGTGTGTTCCTGAATCTTCTTCTAATCTGTATGGTTGCCTGTACCACATTTTATTACAATTTTCTGTTTATGTGTCGGCCTCTCCTTTCAGACTGCTGGTTCCTGGAGACTAGAATTGATGCTTCAGTGTCCTGGAGCCTATTTCATACAGGTGCTGAGCTATGTCTGGGTGATTAATTAATTCATCAACAGATACAGGTACATACAGGTTTAGTAATAGGAAAAGAAATTAATACAGAGCAGATCAAGCAGGGAAAGAGGGAGGAGGAGAGAAGACTTATAGTCATATGCATATTCTGCTGATAATGAAAAGTAAACATAAACAAGGCTAGGCAGCATCAGTTGAAGCTAGTAGGGAAAATAAAATGCAAAAATGCAGTAGAGTATGAGAAGGGTGCAGGGGATAAGAATGTTTTCCTTGCTCAGTTGGGGTGGTGAAGGGAGTAGATAATAGGGATAAATTAGGCCCATTAAAATGTAGCGAGGGCAGCAGATTAATGTTTTCTCCAAAAAGGTGGCAGTCCTGAGATCATTCTTTAATTAGTGTTTAACAGAGAAAAGAAAATTGGGCAATTAGAAAAATAACAACAACTAGGCAAAAACATCTCCTGTTAAAAGGCTCAGGAAGAAAAGGAATATACATTAACTACAAGATTAGTCCTGCATGTTGAAACACTGGGAAACCTGGCATGTTTGCTGAACACTTTACCATGATTAGAAAAAGAATTATTGTGGCCGGGCACGGTGGCTCACGCCTGTAATCCCAGCACTTTGGGAGGCCGAGGCAGGCGGATTACGAGGTCAGGAGATCGAGACCATCCTAGCTAACACGGTGAAACCCCATCTCTACTAAAAAAATACACAAATTTAGCCAGGCATGGTGGCAGGCGCCTGTAGTCCCAGCTACTCGGGAGGCTGAGGCAGGAGAATGGCATGAACCTGGGAGGCGGAGCTTGCAGTGAGCCGAGTTTGCACCACTGCACTCCAGCCTGGGTGACATAGCAAGACTCTGTCTCAAAAAAAAAAAAAAAAAAAAAAAAGAAAGAAAAAGAAATATTGTGGATACGATAAAACATGCCCAAATATTCTTAAATAAAAGACTGATTTGCCTCATTTTTCTTCTTTGGGAATGTAGTCAGGCCTCCTTATCTGTGAGTTATACACCCATGGATTCAAGCAACTGAGCATTAAAAATGTCAAAAATATACAAATTAAAAATAACAATACAATAATAAAAATAATACAAATAAAAGACAATTCAGTATGATAACAATTAACATAGCATTTACATTGCATTAGGTATTTTAATTAATCTAGAGATGGTTAAAGTAAATGAGAGGATGTGTGCAGGTTATGTGTAAATACTATGCCATTTTATATCAGGGACTTGAGATTGCCATTTTATATCAGGGAATTGATTCAGGGGTCCTGGAATCAATTCCCCGTGAATACTTAGGGATGATTGTATAATCTTTGTTACTTCCTCAGGTATCATGGATCCCATCCCAAGACACTGAGAAGGTACAGGAAAAAAAAAAACCAAGGCTATCAGGTTGGCAAAAACACTCACTCACAGCCAGGCATGGTGGCTCATGCCTGTAATCCCAGCACTTTGGGAGGCTGATGTGGGTGGATCATGAGGTTAGGAGATGTATACCATCCTGGCCAACATGGTGAAACCCCATCTCTACTAAAAATACAAAAATTAGCCGGGCGTGGTGGCAGGTGCCTGTAATCCCAGCTACTCAGGAGGCTAAGGCAGGAGAATTGCTTGAACCCAGGAGGTGGAGATTGCAGTGAGCCGGGATCACGCCATTGCACTCCAGCCTGGGTGATACAGTGAGACTCCATCTCAAAAACAAACAAACAAACAAACAAACAAACAAACTCACTTTAATATGTCCATGCATAGGTTTATATAAAATACAAATGTATACATATACACACTATTCTCATACAAAGTAGTATGGTGATTTTCCCTGAACTCCAGATATCAATTACATAACACAGCATAATGATAGTGAGGAAGGCCACTGATTTAGAAATTAAAGAGCTTGGGTTTATATTCTAGGTTCATCCCTTCCGGGCCTCATGAACTTTAAGCTAGTCGTCTAAAGCAATTCAGAGTCTGTTTCTCATCTATAGAAAGGGAATAACAGAGTCTGCCTGTGGAATATTATATATAAAACATATGATACATTGTCTGGCACAAGGCAAATTACTCAATAAATGCTGATTTTCTTTCTTTCTTTTCTCAAGGGTCAAAATGGGAAAGTGGTGCCGATTCAATTTTCTTCTGGAGCATTCCTACTCTCCCAAACAGTTGGGTAGCCAAGGATAGTGAACTGGCTGTCGAGTTGTTTCAAATGTCTCCAAGTATCTAAGTGTGTTAGCTTTCTGGTTGTATCTAAGGAAAGTCAGAAACATAGGTGCCTAGGAGAGAGTCAGGTGAGCTCCTGGTGAAACCTCCTGCCCTCTGCTCTCCCTGAGAGAGAGAGAACAGGACATAGGCAGATCTCACACAATTCCTGGTTCCACTTTAGTTACACTTTTTCTAAGTAGGTCAGGAGCTAATAGCCCTTTCTTCTTTATGATGACATACCTGTCTTCTGGAAGCACATTTAAGTACATTTAATCTCCCTTTACTATCCTGACCAGCACTTTGTCCCAGGAAGGATCAAGTCTAAACAAATACCCACCTTGTGCTTCCACAGAGGTAACCATGATACCTAAGATTGGTCAGCAAGGTGGTTCAAGCTACTTTGCATTCTTCAAATATTTTTCTCTGCCTTTCTCCTTTGAAATGTACTGCCCTTTCCCTCATTCTGGCTCTCACCTCCCATGTGCTACTCCTGCTCAGGCATTAATCTGGACAAACTGTTTATGACAGCTGACTTATTAACAGGTTACTACCCTCAGGAATATTTGCATTTCTTTTGGCTGAAATATTCAAGACAGAGATGATCTTAGAAATGGTGATTATACTGCCATATTAAAAAGAATGTGTCACAGCACACAAAATCCTAAAGATCCTTAAAACCCTCTATGTCTTAACTCTCTTCAATTTCAGGGATCATGTCTTCAAGTTGCTCACCACATAGCTAGAACAGACAATTGAAAATATATGGCAGTGATTGCCTTGAATTTTCTAAATTAAAGAGTTTAGCACTGTTCCTATCAACTATGTACTGCAGTTCTTTTTTTTTTTTTTTTTTTTTTTTTTTTCTGAGATGGAGTCTCACTCTGTCTCCCAGGCTGGAGTGCAATGGCACAATCTCAGCTCACTGCAACCTCCGCCTCCTGGGTCCCAGTGATTCTCCTGTCTCAGCCTCCCAAGTAGCTGAGATTACAGGCATGCACCACCACACCCAGCTAATTTTTTTATTTTTAGTAGAGACGGGGTTTCACTATGTTGGCTAGGTTGGTCTTGAACTCTTGACCTCGTGATATGCCCGCCTTGGCCTCCAAATGTGCTGGGATTATAGGCATGAACCATCAAGCCCAGCCCTATGCACTGCAATTCTAAAGGACAGTTCCACTCATTTAAGGAAACAAAACAAAACAAAACTGACGTTGGGCATATGAGAAATAAATCAGTAAACACAATAATGAGCAATGACATCACGGGCAATAAGCCTCATGAATATAGTCAACATAAATCCTCTTCCAAGCACTTTGGGATAGGGGTCATAAAATTAGTAAATTCGGCAATGAATGGTGTTTCATATTTCAACTTCAGGAGAGAATATACTGTTCTGTCTTGTGGCATTTCACTTGCAAATTTGATTCTAATTTGATTGGTTAAAAACAGTCTCACACATTGAATGTTGAAAAGCACACTGTTAAAAAATCAGACTAACTGGCAATCTCATAAACTGAAGAGAGGTGAATATTATGGTTTATTAAGCATAGGTTAGATGTATCCAACAAAGACACAATCCCTTGATAATAATGCTTTATATTTTATGAGAGCTTAGCTTTCACTCCTTTCACTAATTTAACTGCATTGATACTAATTTCTTTCATCTTCTCATAGACATTATTGTCCAGAATTTAATCACTTTGAAAGCAATCTCCTTTCTGTAGTCCCATGTTCCTATAAATCTGAAAGAGCAAAGACCTCAAACAAGGGTAAGAGCAGAAGACACCCCTGACGTAACTGGTGAGCTCACTTCCTGAGGCGTCCTTAGGTGCTCTGGTGTCATACTTGAATTTTAACAATGGTGACTCTATCATGGGCTCACTACCAGCTCCTCCTCCATTGGAGTTTATTGTTTTTACCCAGATTTTTTCATGTGCATGAGGGGTGATACAAAACCCCAAACTCTGGTTCTAAAGCATCAATCCTTTTCTAAATGTTTTCTTATATTGTGAGCCCTGCTAGTATTTCAGAGTGACTATTGCCACAGTCATAAATGTTCAGTGGGTAGGATACATGGGGAAGTGGGATGTCCATGAGTCTATTCACATTGTAAGTTGGGAACTTATTTTCTCCCAAGCTCTAGACCAAATAATTTAGGTAGTAGCTACCACTCAAGTAGGGAATGCTTGGGCTCTGCCTAACCAAACAAACATCTCTAGGCTACAAAAAGCAAGTATGGATACTAGCTTATGACTCAATTACTGAGACTTGTCTACATGAAGATAATTCCACATCAGTGTGAGAGACTGAAGGTGAGCCTGACTGGACCGAGAAAGGCTGACACACACATCAAGGGTCAGGTTGGCACTTGGTGATGGCTCTACAGTAGTTATCTGTAGAGAGGATGGAGAAGTTTGGGCAGTAGAAAATGAATGTTCTGAGGTGGGAGAGCACAGACTTGGGAGTCAAAAAGATTCGGAACATAATTCTGGCTTCATCATGACTAGTTTTATGACTTGGCACAAATCACTACATGTTTATCATCTCCATTCTTGTAAGATGGGAATAATAACATCTGCCTTATATTGAGACTGTAAGGATTTGAGGTAATTCATGCTGATTTCTTGGTACATAAGATGTGACTGCAATAAACAATAATTATTCTTAGTAGAGTAGGGAAAGAAGCGATACATTATAATCCAAGCAGACAATCTGTTCATTTAATAGTTTAAACATGAAGTCCACAAACCAACCTACTCTACAAGTGAATCAATTTGCTAAGATTTGGGTATCCAGTGGTGAACGATGTGAGTCTGAGCCCTGCCTTCACAGATCCTACTATCTAAGCAGCCATTAAGCAAGTAAGACAACATAAATAATTGACTACAGATTGTGAAAAGTGCTCTGAATAGAGATCTCATTGGGAAAATAACAGAGTGTACCAAGGAAATAACATATTCACAGAGACCTGAAAGATGGGTAGGTATTACCTTTAAGAGCTTAGAGGGGAAAGGAGGCAAGAGATGGAAAATAGTACGTGCATGCAATATACAGAAAGAAAAAGGGCAGCGGGTTTGAAGATTAAAAGCAGTCAGTGAATAAGAGACAGAATGGCTTTGGAGGATTGGGCACAGGCAAGATTAAGCAGGGACTTCAAGAATCACATTAAAGAACTGTTTAATGCACTGGAAAGCCACTGGAGTAGTTTTGAGCAGAGATGCTGCATGATCCAATTTACTTTTTAAAGTGATCTTTCGTATTGGGGTGGCTGGCAAACGAGAGAACAGAAAATTATTGTAGTAGTTCAGAGACAGATGGTGATGACTTGGGCCAAAGTGTAGAGAACGGCTTCATAGAAGTCCAGGAAGAAGTAATCATTGGCCATTCCAGCAGCTAGGTAAAACTTTTCAGCAGGAAACTCAAAATTATCCAATAAAAAGGGAAATCAAAGCAGAAGATAGTAGGCATTTAGGGTTGTTGAAAATTGGCAATAGTTCCACTGCTGAGTTGGTATGGGTAAAGCAAAATAGGAATTCATTTTCTATAAAATCTGTGCAGTGCCAAGAGATTAAAATAGGGCCTTAGTTGTGACATGCAAGTTTCTGTGACTACAGATAAGGTAGGACATGGACGCTGAAAGTTACGAGGTAGGGGCACAAGGTCACAGGAAATAGCATAGTTTGCTCATGTTTGCCAAAGCTGAAATGATGGCTGGCAATGCATTTAATATCCTATAACTAGGAATAGGATCAGTCTCAGACACTAGGAAGAGCTGAACTAACAGATGAAAGCTATGAGACCCAACCTTAGGACCTAGCTGTCCCCAGGCAGCAACAAAGGGTGATTGTTGTGCTTTATTAACTTAATTTGGGTATATGTTTTTTACAGTCTCCCAGTAAGAAAAATCTATAATTACATGCATTTTACAAAAAAAGATGTTAGGTCAGGTAAAATGACACATTCAAAGACATAATTTCACTACCCTGCCACGTAAGCAAAATATCACTTATCTATTTTTAATATAATGGTATTTTTCATTTACTGTTTGATAGTGATGCAAATCCACTGTCTCAGGACTATAGAGAGCTCTGGCTATTAAAAGATGTGGACCTTGTCTTTTCTACAGTTTGGTTTGTGACCTGCGGTTCCCAATGCAACACTACTTCTCAATTTCTTGCCCTCAAGTGATCCTCCTGCCTCACCTCCCAAAATTCTGGGATTACAGGTGTGAGCCACTGCATCTGGCATATGCAATATCAAGTGGCTAGCAAGATAATGAGCAATGTCTTTCATGTCATTCCATGAATATCAGGAAGCAAAAACACATAGGTTTTCTACTTGTTTGTTTTCAAAAGCAAGAATCTTTCTGAATTGCTTTGCATTTTTAATGTCCTAAATCATATTGCTTCTATTCTAAAAAAAAAAAAAAAAAAGATGTTTTGGTTTTCCACCATGGGCTTGGATGGATGATTAAATCCGATTATCTCTAGAAGTCATTAAGGGTCAATCAGAAGGACTAAGGATTAAGATTGGAGTGAGGACTAAGATTGTAAACTTGGACTCGATTTGTCAAAATAAACAGTTCTATTCTTGCTCACATGGAATTGTTTATTTTACCTTTCAAATATGTTAAATCAAGATTCACAAACCAAAATATCACATGAATATGTTCTCTGTGCAGTTTGATTTTTTTTCCCCAGGCATGAAAATCAAATTTACAATGCTAATATTTCTCCAGAAATGTTCTGAGTGGTATACTTTTCTTCAAATGGGCAACAGATTTGTCTGTCTGTAAACATGCTTATAGTCCTATTGGAGTACAGAAAAGAGGCAGGCATACGGAATTCAATATATAGACTATAAAACCAAGAGAATACTCATACATTAGAAAGCTGTCATCAAGAACAGTCAACTGTTCCTTTACATAATTGAGTTCAACAAACATTTACTAAGAGTCTTTAAGTAAAGGTCCGCTAGTTGCTGCAAGGAATGAAAACTAGATAAAGCTCTTGTTCTCAAGGAAATTAAAATACACGAAGCAAACTAAATTATAGATTTTTTTCATTAAAGCCATTATTAGGCAGAAGGAAGAAAAGGTTTGAATTTATGTTTGAATTTGAATTCTGAATATCGCTTGTTCTTCAAAGCAGGAATCTAAAGTCAAATAAAGCCTGTGTGTATATATATACACACATACACACACACACATACATAAATGTATATACACACACAAAAACACAGATGTATATAGCATGATTCATCAATTGCAAATATATAATATATTAATAGAATTAATTTATATAATTAATATTAATAAGTATGTATAGTGACACACGGGTATTTTTCCTCAAATAAATAAAAAATCGCCTGTCTCCTCAAGGGTATAATAGAACTCCTTATTACCTAATCTTTTTTTACTACCTAGAGATATTTGCCTGGGTCTGGTTTTAAGCTATAATAGAAACTATATATACAGACATTGAGTCATACACCCACACATCACTCCCTATCCCCCACCACACACCTGCATACCTTAGTGTAAAAAAAAAAACTATCACATCATGTAAAATATAATTTTGAAGTTAAATTATGCTAAGCTTGTCTCAAATTGAAAACATGTTGAAGCACTGCTAAACTTAGTATAGTTGCCCTAAGAACATCTCACATTAATTTCTCTGTATTTAAAAAATGGTGATGTCCTGCATTTACCATCCACGGTATCACTGCTCTCTTGGCATGACGGCTTAAAGCCTCCTAATCTGAAGCATCAGCATGTGCAGGGAGTATTTCCTGATGTATGCCACCTTTAATAATTTAGTATGTTGACTTATACTTTCCACACAAATAGAATGTGTCTTAACAGTAGTAAATACAGCTACAAAGCGGTGAGAAATGGCAATTGGCTGAGGGCACTAATTACACTGCCTTGACTTGAATTAAAATTGCTAAACAGCAAATGAGATTACCAGTCTAAAGATAACCTTAATTTAAATGCCAAGCTGCATTTATCTCATCTACAATGTAATTTTCCAGAGGTGTAGAATAATACAATTTTAATGGAAATCCATTGTTTAAAAATATAATTAAAGTCCCTGGTCCCTCCCCACCACACCTTTTGATTTTGTTTTACAGGCAAGATATGCAGACTGATTTAGAGGTCAGAATGAAAACATTCAGATCCTGTCCTCATGGCCAGACATGACTTTCAGTATCATCTTCATTTTTAATGATTAACAGCTGGATATGGGAAAAGTAAATGTCAAAGGGGTGAGAGGTGGAGGAGGAAAAGAAAATGACCTTCTCTAATTCCTGGAGCTCTAAGGAATGTTACACATGATAAGAGCTCAAACCACCAATTGATTAATGAGAAAACCCAAGACCCAGAAAAGCCAAGTGATTTTTCTAAAAACACAGAGCAAGAAAGCAGCACTGCCCAGCAGAGATGCTGGCCTGGGATTTACAGACAGAAAATCTATGAATCCCATCTCTTTTCTTATTAGTTCTGTGAAGGCAACTTACTATCTTTCAGCCTCAATTTCTGCATCTGTAAAATGGAGAAGGGAATAATTCCAATCTCACAGGTCAGTGAGAATGCATACATGCCTGACTTACACAAGTGCTCAATAAAAGACACATTTTATCGTCAATGACTTCCCACGACCAGAACCCAAATATACCGATTGCCATTTCAAGCTTGCTTCTATTACACCTACTTTACCTTTCACTAACCCAAGACTATGCCCATGGTCTCATGAATCACACCAAACACTTGATGTACATGTAAGTGGAAAGGGACAAAGGAACAAGAAATAATTAAGAACTAATATTTCTCATTGGTTGATATGAATGAACATTCAGTTGATAGTTACCAATGAACTATTATTACTAAAAACACTAAGGTTTATAAGATAAAGGTCAAGGGTTTTTAAAAATCTGCTCATTTTATGAATATGAAAGCATATAAACAAAACAAAGCTGAAGGTTAGTCACTGAGAATTGAGGGACAGTAATTTCAATATGAAGTTCCTCAATCATCAATGACCTACAATCCTGTATACACCTTACACACTTACAATCACTCACACACACACACCACTATACACACTCCCAAAATACGCATCATAGTAGTTTCATCATTCTCAGTATGGTGGGACTGAGTAGATGCATGACTGAGTAGATTATATTTCTGAGGGTAACAAAGAGTTGGATTCTTTGAAAAGTTTACAGATTAGTGCACGGGTGCGGTGGCTCGCGCCTGTAATCCCATCACTTTGGGAGGCCGAGGCGGGTGGATCACAAGTTCAGGAGTTCGAGACCAGCCTGGCCAATGTGGCGAAACCCCATCTCTACTAAAAATACAAAAAATGTGGCTAGTGCCGTAACCCTAGCTACTCGGGAGGCTGAGGCAGGAGAATCGCTTGAACCCATGAGGCAGAGGTTGCAGTGAGCCAAGATTGTGCCCTTACACTCTAGCCTGGGTGACAAGAGCAAGACTCTGTCAAAAAATAAAAAGAAAAAAAAAGAAAAGTTTTACAGATTAGCCCATTTTAAGATTTATTTTACTATTCTCATTAATCAGAGAGAAGATGAATAAATACTAAAAGGGAAGACAAGAAATCAAGAAGAAAGGAAAACAGAAAGGAGTTAAATCATCATGACCACTGGGCAATAGAGTCTTCTTTACAGACAATCGTATGGTGGTTTTGGCTAAGGTAAGGCTTGCGATAGAGTGAAAACAACTTTGAATTAGAAGAAAGGTGTCCTAGTTTCTAACTTCAGTCTTGCCTGTACGTAGTTAGATTACATTTGATAGTTGTTTAACATTTCTTCTACCTATCTATAAAATAAATAATTTTCCTTATCAGTGTGAAAATGAGATGGTTAGATCAGAGTTCCTCCAAAGTTATGTCTGCAATTCTGTGATTCCATGAATATTCACCACTGCAGACCTCAAACTCTTTTTGAAGATGAAAAATCCCATATTTTCAATGTATAATTTTAGAGAAAATTCACTAATCAGTTTGAATTATGGTAGGACCTTTCACTGGGTCCTAATGCTCTGAATAATTCTACTTTCTAGAATGGGTCATGACTAGCCAATTAATCAGGATTTCCTTATGTCTTAGCTTTATGTCTAAACCTGGAGAAGTAAAAGATGTCCATGTTTGGTTATCTTTAACCACACCCTAAACTCTGAGTTGTTTTCAGTAAACTGAACTAAGTACTGTTTGTAGATGAAATGCCTTAATCAGTATCCATGTAGTCACCATCATTTACACTGCAGTGTTGAAATATATACGTAATAACTCACTCTTCCCTACAGAGATATATTAGGCATTTTTACTTCTCAAATAATGTTTTTTGTTACTCTTCATATTTTCAAGTTTCTCTAAACAGCACTTGCTCTCTCAGTCTCAACTTTAAGATGACTCAAGAGACTACATCTGAAGTTGAGTATATACTGAGATTACTTGATTTCCAGTTGGAAACCAGTGAGGAGTGAAGAAAAAGGTGAAGAAGGGAAGAAAAAGGGCATCTGAATGGGAAGAAGTGAGACTCACTTGCTCATCTAAATTGAAGTCAATCTCCTGACAGGATTTGCAGGGATTACATCTTAACTAGTCCTTAGTACCACTTCTGGCACACAGCAAGTACTGAATAAATACTTCTTGGAAGAAAGAGAGATAGTAAATAAAGACAGCCAATAAGGAAGAGAAGACTTAATTCATGCTGGGGTTTGTTGGAATACTGATAGGAAGTGTGAGTAAAATCTTACCAAAGTTTGTTTTTTTCCCTAAGCTAGTTTCATATCTCCTACTATTCTGTCTTATGGCTTTGTCTTCCCTTTTAAAATATTGGCAAATTGCAAATTTCCTCAGACAAGGAAAGCACAAAAGTGGTCATCTCCTGGCAAAGTAGTCCAGGAAAATGCTGTCTGATTTAACTTTTTGAATAGTGTAAAATATGACTATGATAGAGAACATTTCACTGAGGAAGTTTAAGGTCACCATACATATAAGACCCTAGCGGTCAAAACACTAGAACAGCTGCAGCCTATTTTAAAGGCGGTGGAACAAGTTGCACTTCAGATCATGGAAATCAGCTGTCTCGTCTCCTCCCAGGACAGCTCATAGGATAAAGAATAATCAACAGCAACGACTGAACAGCCAGCTGCCTCAGAGATGGACATTGCTGTTGCAAAAGGAATCCCTATAATTTAGAAATTAAGAAACCATAAGAGATGGCATTCTAAGTTGAAGAGACTTCACAAAATACTCAAACAGGAGTTTAATATGGGACTGTATTTAGGCCAGAAACCATAGAAGCCAGGATATTACCTTTTGCAACTGACCTCAGTAGTCAAACCAAGGGGCCACATAGAAGGGTAAATGCACCTGATAGCAATGATTTCAGCATACCCTTAGAATAACCCTGTATGGCAGATGCACCTCAATGTGTGTTTTGAGCTACAGATTCTGGGAGTGGCCAACCCTGAGATTTGTTTCTTATATATAATAAACATCTGAACCCCCGGCCCATCCTGTGGAACATGGGCCATACAGAGGACTGAGGCCCTGAGTTTTGGGGTAAATGAAGGTTGCCAGGTGGAGTTCATTACGGGGAAAGTGTTAACTGAAAATGCTATACAAACCGCATGCTGTTTGCAGGTGGTTGAAGTTTTCCTGCCCAGGCCACTGCCACTGAGCGATGCGGTTATCTGGTCCAGCCTGCCACCACTGGACCACTTCTGCAGGTAAGATGGTTTTCCTCTCCAGCCCACCACCACTGGACTCTCTCCCCTGTAATCAGCCCCTAGTAAAACCCCATGTCACATTTGCTGGCTCTGGGTCTCCTTCAGGCTTTTGAACCAAAGCCTTCCCTGTTAAGGTTAATAGGGGTTAACCTCATTAACCCCTATTAATCATGATACTGATGGCTTTAAGGTCTAGTTTTAGAGATTCAGTTTCTATGTGTGCACACATTGAATCTCTAAAACCAGACCTTAAAGGCATCAGTAATTAGATTTTTTTTTCATGGATTTCCCCATTCATGTTTCCTCTGACCTCAAAGTCTTAGTTAAGTGTATGCTTTTCATGAAGGAATGCTCCCATTTTAACATCTTCTGATTAACTGAGGATTAAACACACACACAACAAAACTCTCTGATTTATCCTTGTTAGTACAAATGCTTCCTAAATATTTGACATTATTACACTTCTACCTGGAACATTTTCTTATGGGGAAATATTTTTTTGTTTTATTGTGTGTGTGTGTGTTTTTGTTTTGTTTTTTTTTTAACTGGTTGAGGACCTTGTCTAGTCACCTCTAGTCTGGTATTGTGAGGTGGAACAACGCCACATAGGCGGCCCAGGCATGGGCCTGGAAGTCTGTGTAGGTCTAGGTTCTACATCTTTGCTAATTTATTTTCCTTCCCTGAGCTCCTCTTTGCTCCCTTAGGAAAATAATAGGCTTAGACAATGTGATCCTGAAGGCTACTAGGAACTCAATGCTACTGTCCTGTGGAGGGCAAACTTTGACGATGGCTGCCAAAGTCTCAGGATCCCATGCTGCAGGGAAGAATGGGATACAAGATTTTGTAAGCATGGAGAAGGAATCAAAGATGTGACTCCAACTTCTCTTGTGGCTAGCTCAGCTAGAGTTGAGAAGTGGAGGCTGACAAGACACTGACTTCAATTAATATCAGAAGAGAATCAGCACTCAGCATTGGCAGAAATTTCTGACCAGGCCCAGTACTCTTGTTAACTGAGGCAGCTTATTAAAAACACCACCAGGCCAGGTGCAGTGGCTCATGCCTGTAATCCCAGCACTTTGGAAGGCCAAGGCAGGTGGATCACCTGAGGCCAGGAGTTTGAGACCAGCCAGGCCAACATGGTGAAACCTCGTCTCTACTAAAAATACAAAAAATTAGCCAGGTGAGGTGGCAGGTGCCTGTAATCCCAGCTACTCGGAAGGCTGAGGCAGGAGAAGTGCTTAAACCTGGAGATGGGAGGTTGCAGTGAGCTGAGATCATGCCACTGTACTCCAGTCTGGTGACAGAGTAAGGCTCTGTCTCAAAAAAAAAAAAAAAAAAAAAAAAAAAGTGACCACCTGCACAGGACACAGTAGGTTGGAAAGAGTTTGTTTTAGTTAGTGCTTATGGTAGGCACTCCCCCAAAGATATCCACATCCTAATCTCAGGACCCTGCAAATGTGTTGCCTTACATGGCAAAAAGACCTTTTCAGACACAATTAAAGATCTTGAGACGGGGAGGTTACCTCGACTATCCAAGTGGTCCCAATGTAAATCATGAGTCTTTGATAGTGGAGAACCTTTCCTAGCTGCTGTGAACAGGATAGACAACAGTATGAGAAGGACTTGTCTTACTGTCACAGGCTTTGAAGATGGAAAGGGGCTGTGAGCCAAGGAATTGGGTGGCCTCTAGAAGTTGTACAAGGCAAGGAAATGGATTTTCTAGAGGCTCAAGAAGGAATGCAGCCCTGTCCACATCTTTATTTTAGTCCATTGAGACCATATTGGACTTCTAATCTCCAGACTATCAGATAATAAATTTTTGTTGTTTCAAGCCTCTAAGTTTGTTGTAATTTGTTACAGCAGCAATAGAAAACTCATACAGTGCCACCAGCTGAAAGGATCCAGGGACACTCCCATCTGGTCTTAAAACACTGTCACAAAATGGGCAGAGGAATTTGCTTAAAAAGAAAAAGAAAAACTAAAAAATCTTCTTATTTTGTAACTTTTCTCCCTTGCAAGGATCTTCACATTCACATTTTCTTATCAAAATTCAGTCTCATGAGACAACCTAAAACATTCCCTCTAGACTAGAAGGATACATGTGACTGATGTCAGCTTCAAATATTCAATATGCATTTTAGCATAGATAAAACCTTGAAATAACAGATGAAATTCGAAAATATTGTCTTCAAAGAGCAGCCAGTAATGGAGAAACAATAGGTTGGGGGCACTGGCTTTACTCGGGATCTTGTAAACATTCCACACAGGCAGGTACAAACTTCTCTGTCCTTCTGGCTACACCAGGACATCCTGTAAACTTTGTTCTGATGTCTTGGGAACATACTCTGTCTAACCTATACATCTACAACCTTAGCAATGGAATCTTAGGAAGAAAAAAAAGATACATATGGTTGTAAGGTGAGGATAAAAGGAGTGGAAATGAGGGATAGAAAAAAGCATTTTTTTTTTTTTTAGTGTTTAAATTTCTCAGAGATGTAGACATTCAAGGTTTTAAAAATTGAGAGGCATCTGTGATAACTATAAGCATCATTCTCACTATCATTCCCAACCATCTGCCCCTCTTTCTCTCTGTTCTTCCTCTACGGATGTTGCTGGTTCCAATTTCCCTCTGTTTTTCTGCCTATTCTCTGCCCTTTGCCTTGTAAAGTTCAATGGTAGCCCAAGGCCTTACTTTATTCTATTACTGCCCTCGTTCTTGGGCTGAACCACACAACCCTTAGAAATACAAACATGTTTTCTGTAAAAAAGGAAAGGCCCTATTTAGAATAGCCGTTTCCACGGGAAGTATAGATGAGCAACATACGTAGTTGATTTATAAACCAAACCAGAAACCTGTGACAGCACTTTGTTATATAGTGTGAATAAAACTTAACAAATTACTATTTAGTTGACTATCTTCTACTGTGTACTATTTTTCATCACCATATCTTTCTTCACCTCCCTCCTCCTACGTTATAAATTAGCACCATTTTCTGGCACTTTTCAGACACAACAGATGTAATGCTATCAACATTCTGATAATGCTGAAGTCACCACGAGCTCCAGGCATACTGTTTGCTGCCAGTGATCCCATGTTTTTATTATAAGTTTCTCTCTTTTTCTAATGCATTGGACCATATGAGATATATATTACATAGAAATGTGTGTACTACAATACCAATTGCAGAATGGGCCATAAACCAAAATGAGCAAATGGAAACATCTGCTCACCTTCAAAAGTCATCAATGAATAAATAATTTTTTAAAAGCAGCTGGAGCAAGCACCATAATTCACCAAGGTGTTTAATATGCTATCCAGTGTAAGTTCTAGATGCATCAACCACCCATAGATTAGTACTGAGGCAATATTCCAGCAGGAACCCTTCTTTTGCAGATTTCTGGTGAGTTGATTAGTGAGACTTCCTGGTGACTTTTGTTTTGCTGAAAGACTATCTCATGAAATTGTAGGAGACATAAATAAGAAAAAAGTGTGGATGTGCAGAGAGACAAAAATACATAAACATAGATGTAGACACAATAAAAAACCTGATTTAATTTAACTCATAAGAACTATAAAGAAGTGGGCTTGGCATCAAAGAGGTATGAACGATCAAAATCTTCTCTCCAGGCCTCCCCACTGGAAATGTGCAAAATAATATTTACAAGTGGCAGGAAATGAGAAAAAAGAATAATTATCAGGCTAAAATACAAACAAACATTGTTAATGTGTTCTGACATTTAACTATGAGCTAATAATAACCATGCTTATGCCCCACCTGCCGTGACAATCTACTCAATCCACCAAACACCCAGAGCCTATTTAGAAAAGTGTCCAGGGCACTGAACTCTGCTGTACTGGGGAGGGACATGCAGACATGCATGCTACAGTTCGTGATATCAAGGCCATGATATCTGTCTGAGAAGGACAAATCACATGGGCCATTAAAGATCCAAACAAGAAGTTAAATAGCAATGGAGTCCTTCTATACATGAGCTGCTGCAATTTATTGTTCATTTTTAAAGGAGAGACATGAGAAATAAAGTAAAATCAATAAGGCAATGTGTCTCTAGGAGTTGACAGTTTTTTAGAGTGATGTATGAAGGCTCCAACATCTTTATTTCCAGAGTGAAGAAGATAATGATGGATACTGGTGGCTTTCCAATTCCCATAGGGATGGGGGTGGGGTGGGGTTGGACTAAGGACAGAAGTGGCAGAGTTGGCCACAGTCTGGCTTTGCCATCCACAAAGGGAGAAAGGAGAGCACCAGCTGGAAGCTAATCTCCACAACAATTGGCTCACAGACATTTCATAAATGTGTTCAACATCAACTCTTACACTCTTTTTTACTTATATGGCTTATGTTGCCAGCAGCTGATGTAAGAGATGACCCAGTGGAAATCATGATCATGGTGGCATAAATAAACCATGTGTCAATCTAATAAGATGCAAAGAACCTAACAGCTTCAGGATAAGTGCACTGGCCCAGGTTCTGCAGCCAATGGCAATGCACCTCTCATATTCTCAGTAACTTCTGTGTCAAGTGAAAATGGTAGGCAGCCATTCACCAAAGGTTTTGAGAAAGGATCATTTAACATGCCGCTCTTTAACAAAAAGGACTCACCGAACAAACAGGATTGAGAAACACTCCATTCCATAGACCCTTTCCACTTACAATTTGCAATGCAGTTAGCATGCTCAAGACTCTGAAAGGTCCTGTGATAAACCTGACATTTCACAATCTTTTAGAACATTAAACCCTCATAACATTACTACCTGCCACAGAGAGTTTCTGAAATGTCTCCCAGTGATCCCCACCTCCTGGTATTCATGCTTTTTTGCAATTCCTTTTCCTGAGTGTGGGCTGGACTTAGTAATTAGCTTCTAATCAACAGAATGGCAAAAGTGATGGGGTGTCACTTCTGAGATTACATTACAAAAGACAGTGACTTCCCTCTTGTTACTACTCCCTCTCTTGCCCTCTGACTCGCTCAGTCTGATGAAGCTATATACCATGTTGCGAGCTGACCTACAGAGCAGCCCATTTGGCAAGGAACTGAGGGTGACTTCTGGCCAACAGCCAGTAAGAGACAAAATCCTGCCAATAACCACACAAATTAACTTGGAGTGGATCTTCTCTGAGTGAAGCTTTAAGATTCCTGTAGCCCCAGCTGACTTGCAGCCTTGTGAGACACCTTACATGAGAGATGCAGCTAAGCCATACTTGAATTCACAACTCACAGAACCAGGAGATAATAAACCCTGTTGTTTTAAACCATTGAGTTTTGGGATAATTTATTACACAGCAAATAGCAGTGCCAATATACTAGCATACAGAAGAACTATGCTATGGGAAACTGACTTTAGGATGTGCTGATAGGATGTTTAAGCATAGGATGTTTCTTGCACATCTTTTAAATATGTGAGATAAAGCCAATCATTGGAAATTTTAAAAATTGCATTAGCGAAGAAATTACATAAGCCTTTAAACAAAATGAACTCAATTGTTACTAAATTAAAATGACTGAGCCAAGGTTTGTCTTTTCACTGTCTATTAGGAGGGTATATAAAACAAACTAAAGTATAGAAAAGACAGGCACACATTCTTCAAGCACTCTGGATATACCCCAATCCATTGGGGAGTTCATTGCACACTAAATCCTATCCACTCAAGCAGGTGGTCAAAATGGCTCTCCTTGACCACACATTTTCAGACCAGTTTAAGTCTTGGTATGAAACTCACAGTATTAAAATTATATTTCATCAATACTACTGTTCCTTCTAGTTGGCCCCTGATTCAAACATGCTTCAATTCATCAAAACTATTCTGCCACTATAAAGCTATGATTCCATCATTTATACTCTTACCACTGTGAAGCAATATGAGAATGCCATCAAAGCCCTAAGCACTGTGATGGTGCATAATACAAGCTTAATGTTAGTATTATTATTATTTCTTTATCACACTTAATGAATATATAAATGTATAAACAAAAATAAATATGCATCTGTCTGTCAATGACATGCTAAAATTAATAAGATTGATTTCCTAATAAATATACAGAATGTACAAATACAAATGAGCATTGTCTCCTTCAAATGTATCACACTGAAGAACTCACACTTTTCTTATGATGCTGTCATCAGTTAGGTTTTTTTTGCATAATTTCCTTTTAAATTACTTTTAAAAGATAACATGTTTTGTGGTTATTATTATTATTATTATTATAGCCTACAATGGTAAAATCCAATTTTATTATCCATCTCATTCAACATAATTTGTTCAGAATGACTTTTAGTTGTTCAAAAAACAAGGCACAAGCTCACAAGTTGATGACTTGTTATGATTTAAGATCTCCCCAAAGATGCCCCATACAATGCTTACACACACACACACACACACACACACCCAAGAGCACACACTTCTTCTTACGTTTAATCGCGAGGTTAATCGAAAACAAACATGAAGTCAAAGTTGTATTGATATCTAAAAAGTTAAGTGAAGCAAAAAATTAAACAACAATCATTTCTTCTAAATATCAAGTGATTTACTCATCTAAATGCATAGGGAGTTAAAGCCATAAATTATTTTGCATCTGAATGATAATATACAATGTGCTTTGGCAGATGAAACATTATAAACAACATCCGGCTGCAGTGAGCAATGGAAGAATGTTTATTGCATTAAATCAAACTTATTTGTCTGGGGCAGCATTGAACAGAAGGCGGGCTTTCAAGTTTACCCTCCCTCAAAACACAGATAAAGACCATTAAAAGAAAATGTCATCCATAGAAATCTGAATGTATCAAAGAGGAATATTAGGAAAATATTCTTTTTACACAGCATTTTTGTGGTTTTGGTTTGCTTGCTTTCCATCTGCCAAAACCAACTATGATTGGAGGTAAAAATATGGGTGCTAGCTGTGCTGTAGTAAAATAAGTACCAGGTATTGAGTCAGAAAAGAAAACCCAAGCTGTGCCATTTATTTGCTTTCCTTTACTGGGCCTCCATTTCCACATCTGTAAACTGAAAAGGTTCCAGTCATTCTAATCAAGATCACTACCACCCCTGATTGACATGTAGAAAAGTGTGTATGCTGGTGAGGGAGAGGTTGGTATTTTCCGATAAATGGTGTCTGGGGGGATCTATTGACATTTAGCGGTGGGAAGCAGGCAGAATTTCCAGGAATAACACCAGGAATAATACCAGGAATACCATTCAGGTTGTATTCTATGTAAACAGTATTGACAAGCATTTTGCAGTATGATAATGCTCCTGCACAGCAAACTGTCCTAACCGAAGTGATCATGCTCCTTCTCCCTTTGAATAACTGGTTTTCTAAGGCACCTTCTAATCACACATGCAGTGGTGCTCAGATGTCATGCCTTTGGGTCAACGCCTTGCCCTTGTTAACCCTATGAATAATGGCATGTTAAAGTTTTTCTCATTTTCTCTGACACAGATAGCTCCTTACCACTGTAGGGCTTTTTCACTCACTACTGCTTCTGCCTGGAAACCTCTGTCCTCAACTGCACATAGCTGGCTTTTTCGCCATAAAAATCCAGCTCAAATGCAATGCCTCAGAGAGGCCTACTTGGGCAATCCAACTCTTCTCCTGAGGCCATTTTCAATCTAATCCTTATTTTCTATCACACCACCCTATTTGATTTTCTTCATTGAGCCTATTGTGATCTGCAATTTTTCTCATGTATGTGTGGGTGTTTTTTGTTTTGTTTTTGTCCTTCCCCATCAGAATGAGCATGGTATGTGTGATGATTAATGTTGAGTGTCAACTTGATTGGATTGAAGGAGGCAAAGTATTGTTCCTCAGTGTGTCTGTGAGGGTATTGCCAAAGGAGATTAATACTTGAGTCAGTGGACTGGGAGAGGCAGACCCAACATTTAATTAGCTGCCAGCACAGCTAGGATAAAAGCAGGCAGAGGAATGTGGAAGGACTAGACTGACTGAGTCTTCTGGCCTCCATCTTTCTCTTGAGCTGGATGCTTCCTGCCCTCAAACATTGGACTCCAAGTTCTTCAGCTTTTGGACACTTGGACCTGCACCTAAACCAGTGGTTTACCAGGGGCTCTTGGGCTTTGGTTACAGACTAAGGGCTGCACTGTCTGCTTCCCTACTTTTGAGGTTTTGTGACTTGTACTGGCTTCTTTGCTCCTCAGCTTGCAGATGGCCTACTGTGGGAATCTACCTTGTGATTGTGTGAGCCAATATGCCTTAATAAACTCCCTTTCATATATACATTTATCCTATTAGTCCTGTATCTCTAGAGAACCCAGACTAACACAGATGTTGTCACCAAGAGTGGTTCTAGAGGAACAGAATTTTAAGGATGGAGTTCTTTAGTTGATTTGGGGGCTTCTGGAGTTGGCTGCTTAATATGATTAGACAAAAAATGCTAAGGACTCTACTTCTAATAGCATGGAGAACACTGATAGTCCTTGGCATGAACTGTTTAGACAGTTATGCAAAATAAATTCATTTGATACTCCTGATTCACCATTTGTGAGTGGCAAAGAATACAGTGACTCTATACATAATACCTTTGACCATACGTGGAGAACCAAGGAATATAATGAAGTTGGTTGCCTAGTTCACTAGACAAAGTGATGAAAGAAAATGATGAACTCGGGGATTCTAGCTCCCAGCTTCAGAAGCACATACTGAGCCTCAAATCTTCCAAGATTACCCTGAGTCTTATCTCCTGTAGAGAAAGAGCTGAAATTGTGGAAAATCAGACACAAGCTCTTGACATGTGAGTGGCTGACCTGAAAAAAGGTGCACAGGTAGCCTCAATAGGTGTCTACTATTAAAGTGAGGGCATTGATTGGAAAAGAATGGGACCCTGCAACTTGGAATGGGGATGTGTGGGAGGACCCTGATGAGGCTGTGGGCACCGAACTCCTAAATTCTGAAAAGTCTCTTCTGCCAGAGGAAACAGCCTTCCCACCCCCAGTGGTGGCAACATCTCCTTCCCCACCCATGCTGCCATCAGCCTTTCCACCTTTGTCAGAGATTAATCCTGTACTGCCTGAGACAACAGTGATGGCCTCCCCTGAGGCAGTTGCTAGGCAAGACAATGCTGATTCTCCTTAGGACCCACCCCAAACCTGTTTGCTTCTAGACCTATAACTAAAGTCCTGGCAAGCCCCTAGAAGTGAGGTTGAGAGTGTAACCCATGAGGAAGTGCACTACACTCCAAAATAACTCCTTGAGTTTTCTAATTTATGTAAGCAGAAAACTGGAAAACAGGCATGGGAATGGATATTAAGGGTATGGGATAATGATGGAAGGAACATAAAGTTGGATCAGGCTGAATTTATTGATTTGGGTCCACTAAGCAGGGATTCTGCATTTAATGTTGCAGCTTGGAGAGTTAAAAAAATGGTCTAATCGTTTATTTGCTTGGTTAGCTGAAATACAGATCAAAAGCCACTGTGAGCAAGCTGCAAATGCCTGCTCTCCATTGGTTTAATGTAGAGGAAGGGATCAAAAGGCTTAGGGAGATTGGGATGTTGGGATAGACGAGTCAATTTAGACTTACTCATCTTAGCTGGGAGGGTCCAGAAGATATACCCTTTAACAATACTTTGCAAAATAGATATGTGAGAGCAGGACCTGCATCCTTGAAGGGCTCTGTGATTGCTCTTCTCTGTATGGCAGATCTTACAAGAGGAACCGCAGTCACTCAACTACAAAATTTAAATGCAACAGGAATAGTTAGATCCTGAGGTGGCAGAGGCCAAATGGCAGCACTCAACTGTCAAAGGCAAGGTGGGCATAGTTACCGTAATGGACAGCAGATGCAAAGCAGCAATCAGAATAGTCTGACTCATGTAGAGCTCTGGCATTGTCTAATTAATCACAGTGTTCCTAGAACTGAAATTGACAGCAAGCTTATTGCATACTTATTTAATTTATATAGGCAGAAAACTGCCAGGTCGAGTGAACAAAAAACTAATTTGAATTATAAAAATAGAGAATCATGGTGTCTCAATCAATTTCCAGACTTGAACCAGTTTACAAACCCAGAACCCCTTGAATGAAGGAGAGACTGGGTCCCCTTGAGGAAAGACCCCACTATACTATTGATAATTTATGCTGTTAATCTTTCTCCCATCCTTGCCCAAGGAGATCTCCAGCCTTTTACCAGGGTAACTGTGCACTGGGGAAAGGGAAATGATCAGAACTTTCGGGGACTACTGGACCCTGGCTTTGAGCTGATGTTGATTCCAAGGGACACAAAACATCATTATAGTTCTCCAATTAAAGTGGGGTCTTATGTTTGTCAAGTAATTAATGAAGTTTTAGCTCAGGTCCAACTTACAGTGGGTCCAGTGAGTCCCCAGACTCATCCTGTGGTCACTTCTCCAGTGCCAGAATGCATAATTGGCATAGACATACTTAACAGCTGGCAGAACCCCCACATTGGCTACCTGACTGGTAAGATGACGGCTAGTATGGAGGGAAAGGCCAAATGGAAGCCATTAGAGCTGCCTCTACCTAGAAAGATAGTAAATCAAAAACAATATTGCATCTCTGGAGGGATTGCAGAGATCAGTGCCATCATCAAGGACTTGAAATATGCAAAGGTGGTGATTCTTGGCCGGGCACAGTGGCTCACACCTGTAATCCCAGCATTTTGGGAGGCTGTCGTGGGCGGATCACGAGGTCAGGAGATCTAGACCATCCTGGCTAACACGGTGAAATCCCTTCTCTACTAAAAATACAAAAAATTAGCCCGGTGTGGTGGCGGGTGCCTGTAGTCCCAGCTATTCGGGAGGCTGAGGCAGGAGAATGGCGTGAACCTGGGAGGCAGAGCCTGCAGTGAGCTGAGATCATGCCACTGCACTCCAGCCTGGGCGACAGAGCGAGACTCCGTCTCAAAAAAAACAAAAAAACAAAAAAAAACTTGAAAGACATGGAGGTGGTGATTCCCACCACATTCCTGTTCATCTCTCCTATTTGGCCTGTGCAGAAGACAGATGGATCTTGGAGAATGACAGTGGATTATCATAAGTTTAACCAAGTGGTGACTCCAACTGCATCTGCTGTACCAGATGTGGTTTCATTGCTTGAGCAAATTAACACATCTCTTGGTAACTGGTATGCAGCCACTGATTCGGCAAATGCCATTCCTTTTCATAAGGCCCACCAGAAGCAATCTGCCTTCAGCTGTCAAGACCAGCAATATACCTTCTCTGTCCTACCTCAGGGGTACATCAACTCTCTGGCATTGTATCATGATCTTGTTCACAAAGATCTTGATCGCTTTTCCCTTCCACAAGATATCATACTGGTCCATTACATTGATGATATTACGCTGATTGGATCCAGTGAGTGAGAAGTAGCAAATACACTGGACTTATTGTTGAGACATTTGTGTGCCAGAGGATGGAAAATAAAGCCAACTAAAATTCAGGGACCTTCTACTTCAGTAAAATTTCTAGGAGTACAGTGTTGTGGGGCCTATCAAGATATTCCTTCTAAGGAGAAGGATAAGTTGCTGCATTTGGCCCCTCCTACAACCAAGAAAAAGGCACAATGCTAAGTGGGTCTATTTGGATTTTGGAGGCAACACATTCCTCATTTGGGTGTATTACTCTGGCCCATTTTTCGAGTGACCTGAAAGGCTGCCAGTTTTGAGTGGGGTCCAGAACAGGAGAAGGCTCTGCAACAGGTCCACACTGCTGTGCAAGCTGCTCTGCCACTTGAGCCATGTGACCCATCAAGATCCAATGGTGTCTGAGGTGTCAGTGGCAAATAGGGATGCAGTTTGGAGCCTTTGGCAGGCCCCCATAGGTGAATCACAGCAGAGGCCTCTAGGATTTTGGAACAAGGCCCTGTCATCTTCTGCAGATAACTAATCTCCTTTTTGAGAGACAGCTCTTGGCCTGTTACTGGGCTTTGTTAGAAACTGAACGTTCAACTATAGGTCATCAAGTCACCATGTGACCTGAACTGCCTATCATGAACCAAGTGCTTTCTGACCCATCTAGCCATAAAGTGGGGGAATGTACAGCACCATTCCATCATCAAATGTAAATGATATGTATGTACGTGAACAGGCTTGAACAGGTCCTTGGGGCACAAGTAAGTTACATGAGGAAATGGCTCAGATGCCCATGGTCCCCACTCCTGCCACCTTGTCTTCTCTCCCCCAGCCTGCACTGATGGCCTCATGGATATTTCCCTATGATCAGTTGACAGAGGAAAAGGTGACAAGGGCCTGATTTACACAGGCTTTGTGCAATATGCAGGCACCACCTGAAAGTGGACAGCTGCAGCACTACAGCCCCTTTCTAGGGCATTGCTGAAGGACAGTGGTGAAGAGAAATCTTCCCAGTGGGCAGAACTTTGAGCATTGCACCTTGTTGTGCACTTTGCTTGGAAGGAGAAATGGACAGATGTGTGATTATATACTCATTCATGGGCTATAGCCAATGGTTTGACTGGATGTTCAGGAATTTGGAAAAAGCATTATTGGAAAATTGGTGACAAAGAAATTTGGGGAAGAGGTATATAGATGGACCTCGCTGAGTGGTCAAAAACTGTGAAGATATTTGTATCTCATGTGCGTGTTCACCAAAGGGTGACCATAGCCAGAGGAGGATTTTAATAATCAAGTGGAAAGGATGACTTGTTCTATGTGCACCACTCAGTCTCTTTCCCCAGTCACCCCTGTCATTGCCCAGTGGGCCCATGAAAAAAGTGGCCATGGTAACAGAGATGGAGGTTATGCATGGGCTCAGCAACACGGACTTCCACTCACCAAGGCTGACCTGGCTATGACCACCACTGAGTGCCCAATTTGCTGGCAGCAGAGACCAACACTGAGCCCTCAATATGGCAACATTCCTTGGGTAATCAACCAGCTACTTGGTGGCAGGTTGAGTATACTAGACTTCTTCCATCATGGAAAGGGCAGCAATTTGTCCTCACCGGAATCGACTTACTCCAGATATGGATTTGCCTATCCTGCATGAAATGCTTCTGCCGAGACTACCATCCATGGACTCACATAATGCCTTATCCACCATCATGGTATTCCACATAGCATTGCCTCTGACCAAGGCACTCACTTTAGAGCTAAAGAAGTGCAGCAGTGGGCTTGTGCTCATGAAACCCACTGGTCTCACCATGTTCCCCATCACCCTAAAGCAGCTGGACTGATAGAATGGTAAAATGGCCTTTTGAAGTCAAATTACAATGCCAACTAGGTGACAATACTTTGCAGGGCTGGGACAAAGTTCTCTAGAAGGCTGTGTATGATCTGAATCAGCATCCAATATATGGTACTGTTTCTCCCATAGCCAGGATTCATGGTTCCAGGAATCAAGGGATGGAAATGGAAGCGTCATTTCTCACCATCACCAGAAGACACAACAACGATTCTATTAAACTGGAAGTTAAGATTGCCACTTGGCCACTTTGGGCTCCCCCTACCTCTAAGTCAACAGGCAACAAAGGAAGAAAGGAAGTTATAGGGTTGGCTGGGGTGATTGACCCAGATTATCAAGATAAAATCAGTTTACTACTCCACAGTGGAGGTAAAGAAGAGTATGCATGGAATATAGGAGATCCCTTAGGGCATCTCTTAGTATTATCATGCCCTGTGATTAAGGTCAATGGAAAACTATAACAACCCAATCCAGGCAGGACTACAAATGACATAGACCCTACAGGAATGAAGGTTTGTGTCACTCCACCAGGTAAAAAAACCACGACCTGCTGAGGAGATTGCTGAAGGCAAAAGGAATACAGAATAGGTAGTAGAAGAAGGTAGTCATCAATACCAGCTATGACACGTGACCAGTTGCAGAAACAAAGATGGTAATTGTCGTATTTCCTCTCTATTTTGTTATGAACATGTTTCAGCTTGTATACACTTGTACTAAGAAAATATCTTCATTTTATTTCTTTTTCCTTTGTCATGTGACATAAGATTTATTGACTTCATATCAGCATTTCAGTGTTGTTAAATTTATCTAATAGCATTTGGGTTGGGAATTGGTAGTTTCTGGTAGTACAAAGGATAGCTATATTATGTTAGGCATAATTATGACCTTATTATTGTCTTTATTTGAAGATTATGTATGATTTCAAAAGATGTGTATGGGTTTAAGGTGACAAGGAGTGGACTTGTGATGGTTAATATTGTCAACTTCATTGGATGCAAAGTATTGTTCCTGGATGTATCTGTGAAGGTGTTGCCAAAGGGGATTAACATTTGAGTCAGTGGATTAGGAGAGGCAGACCCACCCTCAATCTGGGTGGACACCATCTAGTCAGCTGCCAGCACAGCTAGGATAAAAGCAGGCAGAGGAATGTGGAAGGATAAGACTGGCTGAGTCTTCTGGCCTCCATCTTTCTCCTGTGCTGGATGCTTCCTGCCCTCGAACATTGAACTCCAAGTTCTTCAGCCTTTGAACTATTAGACCTACAACTAAACCAGTGGCTTGCCGAGGCTCTTGGGCCTTAGGCCACAGACTGAAGGCTGAACTGTTGGCTTCCCTACTTTTGAGGTTTGACTCAGACTGGATTCCTTGCTCCTCAGCTTGCAGACAGCCTATCGTGGGACTTCACCTTGTGATCATGTGAGTCAGTACTCCTTAATAAACTCCCTTTCATATATACATTTATCCGATTAGTCCTATCCCTCTAGACAACCCAAACTAATACAACATGAGAGAGCAGGAATCTTATTTGGAAGCACAGTTCCAAATATAGAAGCAAACACATGTAGGTGCTCACTAAATATTTGTTGAAGGAGAGAGTAAATTTCAGCAAGAAATTTTAGCACATGAATTCCAATATTTAGATTCCTTATTTTGCCTAAATAAAAGGCATTGGGCTAGACACTGAGAATACAATAGTGAGGAATTATTAATGCGTATCCTGCCAAAGTAGATCCTACAGTCTAGAAATAGGCATTGACCAAACAATTAATGAAAAAATATAACATTTGACTCTGAAAAGTGCTATCAGGGAGAAGCAGTTCCTAAGGTGCAATGGGAGCTGATAATGGGGGCATTTGAGCTGGATAGAGTGATCAGGGAATGGTTGAGGTGGGATCTGAAGAGTATTCCAGGCACAGGGAAGAGCATACGCAAAGGTCCTATATCCCGAAAGAGTGGGTTGAAAAAAGCCAGTGTAGCTGATCCAGAGAAATCAAGAGAAGGCCAGAGGTGAAGTCAGTCTTGAGAGGTGGAGAAGAGCTAGACCATGCAGGACTTTGAAAGTCATGTCAAGAGTTTTGTGTTTGTCCTAACAGCAATGAAGAAACATTGAAAAATATGAAGCAGTGGGAGAGAAGTGAAGGTGAGGGTGATATTAGATTCATATTAGGAAAAAGGCCAGAGGGGTTGCTAATAAATCAGTTGGGAGGCTGTATGGTGGTCCAGGTCATATGTGATGTAGTACACATGTGGGTGGTGCTAATGTAGACAGAGAGATGTGAACAAAATCAAGAGGTATTTAGGGGATAAGATCCAGGAACTCTGACATGGAAGTGATATGGAAGGTAAAGGAAAAGAGAGAAAGATAACATAAACATAAGTTGCCATTCTTTGAGAAAGAGAAAAAAATAACAGACTGGGGGTGAATGTGGTGATAATAAATGAGCTTGATTTGAATATGTTGAGTTTGGGGTGTCTTTGTGACCTTCAAGATTGGCTTCAAGGAGACTATCGTTAGGAACTCAGAATAGCAACCCGGTCAGAGGAATGTGTTCATGAGTAATGAAAGCCATGGGCAAGAATGAGATGGCCTAGGATTGTGTAAATGAGCTCAATTATGGCATAAATGGTCCAGAGTCTTGGAAAAACAGCCCAAGGAAGGTAGCCCCAGAGGATGACGTCTTAGATAACTAGGAGTCAGGGTGAGTGCCTGGCACTGCTGTGCTGCGGGTATCATAACACAAGAGTATACATAGGTGAGCACCATCATCAAGGTATGCTCAGTTCCCAAGTTTAGTAACAACTTCCATTTTCAATATTATCTCACCCCTCCAAATCATATTATGAGGCAACACAGTTGGAAAAAAGCAGTGTATGTATGGGAATTAGAGAAAGGCTAGGGAGAACTAACTACTTATCTATCGGATAAGGCATTAAGAATTCCACATTTTTTATTTCTCTTATTCTCTGAGGCCATATTTGATATTAGCATTGAGAAAACGACTTTATATTGGCACAGTGCATGTGCCACTCATCAATCTATTACCTCCCAGCTACAAAGTCTGCCCTTAATTACTTGTTGTGCAATAGTGGAATGGATCCTTTAGCATTTCTTTGTTGCAACAGGCATGACATTAAATTATGTCAGTAGAGGGTGTTGGAGCGGGAGAGAAGAAGAGTCTTTTCTTCCCGGTTCTGGTGTACTGCTCTTCTTTTCACATCTTCCTATTGCAGGCTACTAGTGGTATACTGTAGGGGCATCCAGTGTTGTGTACATTCCCTAGGTGAGCTCAGGGCTCTGTCTGCAGTCCAGTATCCATGTAACTGCAGACCTCCTGATGCAGACGCCATGCACCCTAGGCCTTCCCTTGACAGGCAGCAGGTTCCTGGCACCTTGCTTCCCTCTGATCCCCCTCACCAGCATTGTGCAGCCTATACCCTGGAGCATACAGGCCAACCCATAAAACGTGTTTACCATCCAGTGCGAGGAAACTATACCTTCTCCAGTGAAGTCTGAATTCAAGCTTTGGAGAGAAGGTCCCTTCATTTAAAATTTGTCCCTTCCTTAAATAATCTCCCTAAGTTCTAAGGTCTTATTTAGAGTTCTTTTTATACCTTTATAATTACTCTCCTCTAATAGATACTAATTTCTCTGTTCAAATGAATTGCATGTCTGTCTCCTGACTGGATTCTGACTGATACAGTCATGCTTTCCATTTTTAAATATTTGGTAAATCTGATAGTCCTTACAATATTCTTTTGAAATAACTATTCCAATTTTAGACATGAAAGCACTTTGTCCCACTTTTTTCACTCATCCAATAAGTGTTTACTGAGTGCTGAATATGAGCCTGGCACATGGCTGTGCACTAAACGTGACGTGGCTAGGGTAGGTTCAGAATCCAGAACCCAAGACTAGGCTGCTTTCCATTACACATTAAAGGTGGTAGTAAGTGTGTTGGTGGCACATTATTTTTTGAAGAATGTTAAGGCATGGCTTCTCAAACTTTAATGTGCATACAAATTACCTATATAAGTACAGGTTCTGATTCAGAGGTTTTTATGGATTGAATTGTACCCCTTCCCCACAAATTTATATGTTAAAGTACTCACCCCCCAGGACTTCAGAATGTGACCTTATTTGAAGATGGCATCATTGTAGATGATTAGGTTAATATGAAGTCACACTGGCGTAGACTGGGCCCTTAATCCAATATGGCCAGTGTTTTGATAAATAACGGCATGTGAGAAGGCACCTGCACACAGGGAGTGCACCATGTGAACTTGAAGGCAGAGATCAGGGTGATGCATCTATAAGCCAAGGGACGTAAAGACTGCCAATTAACCACCAGAAACTAGAAGAGCTGCAAGGAACACATTCTCCCTCAGAGACAATAGATGGAACCAACCCAGCTAACACCTTGATCTCAGACTTCTGGCCTCTAGAGCCATGAGACAATACATTTCCATTGTTTAAGCCACCCAGTTTATGGCACGCTGTTATGGCAGCTCTAGGAAACTAATACAGTGGGCTTGAGGTGTAGCCTGAGATTCTGAATTTCTAACAAACTCCCAGGTGATGCTGATGCTATTGGTCTTTAGATCACACTTTGAGTGGAATGAGGAGTGAGTATATAAAAGAGGACACCATACCTTCTCCCCCTGCTTCCTTTCAGAGAACAGTGTCCTTCCTACAGTATCGGTTAAAGGAACAAACCCCATAGTCTGGCCAGTAACCTAGAACCTGTATAGCCTGTCTCAAAACAATGAAATGATTTTCTGGTTGGCATAGAGGGAGAAATTATATATTGCTAAAAGGGAGAGTAAAGCTCAAGGCAGTTCATATACAAGCATAAATTAAGAGGAATAAGCAGAACAAACCAGTTAGTTGGGCTGAAAAAACACATGTGACGGTATAGCCAAATCATTTTAGTGCAGGAGGTGGCAGATCAACAAAGTCCAACTGCAGGGGTCCCCGAGTAGCCATAAACATGGAAACCGCTCCCTGTCATGATCTTTGTGGGGTCTGATCCTGCTAGGCTTGCCTTTTCTATGATTTCTCCCTTGCTGCTTTACATGCACCCTCATAATACTTCCTCTTTGCTTTCCCTCATTATTTGTAACCAAAGTGTTCTAACTATTAAAATACACAAAGCATTTTAGTAAAGATGAACACATCTGTCCTCTGCAATGGATCCCCCACAGCAGAGATATTAAATTGTCTCCTGCTAGCCTTACTTTTCTTTCTTCCTTTTATGAATTTTACCAGGGCATATGGCCTCCTAGCTGATGATTTTGTTTCCCAGCTCCCCTGCCACTAGGTGTGGCCATGTGACTGAGTTTGGGACAATGGAATATGGGTTGACGTGATGTGTGCAATTTCAGCATCATGTCCTTAAGGCAGAGCTTTCCCTGGGCATCGCTTTTTTTCATTACAACAACCTGGGAATCAGCAACAAGAACAGCAGCTGTTAGACTCAAAAATGGAAGCTGCATGGAGGAAAGTGCATGAGACTCGCTAGCCTAGGTGCCTTGAGCACTGATGCCTCCCCATCCTAGATTGCTGTTACCTTTGGGTTGTCACATATTTGGGGGCTTCTTTGTTACAGTATCTTAACAGATACCCTAAGAAATCACTGTCTAAGAAACTGTCCACAATGTTTACTTTTATAGAACCTTGCTGTCCATCTCCAATTCTAAGCCTTGGCCTGCCAGCTCCATTCTGCTTTATTTGAGATTGGCGGGACTTAGCAGTACTAAGGTATCTGTGCCCATGCACAAACCAGAAGATCAGCACCTTCATTTTTAGTCAGGGCTGTACAGCAGCTTCCGGCCATTGCATGAGCCTTAAGGACATGCTTTTCCATCAAGCACGATCGTGCCTGAACTGAGATGGGCTCTTGTCTTCATTTGGAGCCAATGTTATTCCATCCATGTATATGCACAGGCTAAAATGTTAAAACAGATATCAGCCCTGCAAAAAAGCAAACACAAATGCTGGATGACTAAGGAGAATTTTAAATAATAAAAAATCTCTCCTTTTTCAGAGCTAGTATTTACACAGCCAGGTCTTCTGCTAATCAACAACTTATATTGAGAGCAATGCCCAAGAATTCCCAGCACTCAACTAGAGCACCTAGTTTTATTAAACATTTTTCCCTGTTTAGGCAGATACTATGGACCTATTTTATAGACAGGGAAACTGATACACTGAAAAGTTGTACCCTTTCAGTGTATAGAGCAGTTAAATATAAAAGCAACCCCAGCATAACACCTCACCCACCCAACAGATGCTTATTCACCATTCATTCATTTGTTCATTCATTTAATTTATTCTTACTTTTTAAAAATTTACATATTCAACCAATAAACATGTGGCTTGCCTGTTAATTAACATAAAATGGGCCAGTTATATAACTTATCATTTGCATATTATTTCATCGGATAAGCATTAACTTAGCACTTACTATGTGTGGCCCAGTACACCCAGGAAAGGGTATTGAACAAGGAGCATACAGTCCTGTTTTTGAAACACTACAATAGGTTGTAATAGGTCATGGTTAACCTCTTGAGACTGGAGTCAGTCCTGCCTCAGTTTACCAGCACATACTGAGTGCCACTGGCTGAGTACACCCAGGCCAAATGACCAGGCTCCATCCACATATCAGTTCTACTGGTCTCACTGTAGAAAACCTAGATCAGGTGACGGTTGGGTGAAGAAGAAGATAAACTGTCAAAGAAAGAAATATGAACAGCCTTCTCCTCATAAAAACTCAAAGTGCTTGGCCTCCTGATAGTAGGCTAGTTGTCACTTTGATATATGAAGGATGTACTCCACACACACACACAAACACACACACACACACAGAGAGAGAGAGAGAGAGAGAGATAGAGAGAGAGAGAGAGAGACAAGCAGGCAGAACTAAGAGTTGGAAAATGCATTATAAAAAGAAAAACAAAAAATATCAATTATTTAGTCCAGAAAATGTAAATAAGAGGGGTAGAGGAGAATTGTTATTGTTTTTAAATGAATTGCCCTTACTTGATAAACGGAAACAATTATTTACTGAGTTCTTGCTACCTCTAGGCACTGTGCCAACACTTTTCCATGCTTCCTTGTTTCCTCATTTAGTTCTAACACCATGCCAGGTAGGTATTGCTAACTCTGATTACAAATATAAATATAAATAATAAAGAAGCCAAGGTTTAGAAAGGTCAAGGATGTCACCTAAAGTCACGCAAGTGGCAAGTGGCAGAACTAAGACTAGAAATCATGTCTATCTGGCACCAAAACCCATGTATTTTGTATACTGTTACAATGCTATATATGCAACCATGCAAGAGCAGGAGCAGCTCACAGCCAAAATGACACGGAGCTAGTGAAAGGAATCCAGAGGTGAAATCTCAGTTGCTCAGGGCTCTGTGGGTAACAAGAGGAAGGTGCCGCCAAGGTAGGAAGCATCCATCAGGCCAACACCTCCTACCCACAGAGTTTAGGCCACAGAAACAGATAGAGCAGGGGTGGTCACAGGCCAGATGCTGACATTTCCAGAGCTCAGCAAAGAGTCAATATGGGGACTGAAATACCATATCTTAAATATTTAAGTGTTATAAGTCAAGCAAACAAACTTAAATATTTTCCATTCTTCTTTTGTAACACGTATACCTTTATAACGTATACCTTTGTAAAAGCTGGGAAGGCCAGATTCTGATTGGATTTCTCCAACCTAAGTGGTTAATCTGTGACCTCAGCCACCACTATCATCCCAAGGCCTTCCCCCTCTCCCCTCCGATCCCAGCTCCATGGTGAGGAATTTCGTGCTCATGACTATGGACATCCAGTTAAAATCAATGTCCAGGCTTGAGTCACACAATCTTCCCTACAAATAACAGCATTTGGGGGATCCATCCACAGCATCACTGTTTTCTGCCCCCAGGCAAGAGGCCCCACAAACCCTGGAAGCCAGCTCGGAGCTATTTGGATAGTCAGTTTTAAGGCCTTGGTACCCATAGTGTGGTGCAGGATAAAGGCATGGGCTCCCAAGGTCAGGCCCCGTGGCCCATGGATTCCTTATCTCACGGAGCAGAGCCCAGCCAGGGGAGGCCAAAGTGGGGGCCTCTAAATCGCATGGCTTAGGATAGGTGCTCCTCTTGCCAAGATCAAAGGTCAGTCTTGTGGAGTCACATACTTCTCTTGCAAAGGGAGAAGAAAATTTGGTTTGCGGGAATCAACTGGGTTGGAAATGTTCTAATTCGTAAGTTCTCATCCCCTACTATACATTCGAATCACCTAAGAAAGTCTAAAAAAAAATGTGTACCTGAAAAAAAAATACATATACCTGGTCCCACCCATAGACAATCTGATTTAATTGATATGGAAAGCACCTTGGGTATCAAAAAGTTTGTAAAGCTGCCCAATGGGATGTAAATGTGCAACCAAGATTGGATACTACTATTAATTACATAAAAGAATGGATATTATGGCCTGGAAACAACTCCTCCCACTCTAACCATGTATGTGTCTGTGAAACTTTGATGATCACTTAGGGGTGAGAGTGAGAATAGTAGGAAGGTGATCAGAAGGAGGAGGGGAGGTAGGGGCCCAGGACAGAGGTAAGACACTGAGACAAGACTGTACCATTCATCTGACACCAAAGCATTTCTCCAGGAGTAATGATACGTGATTTCTATGGGCAGGTGGGGGATGGAATTATTTTATTTGGCTTTTATAGATATTTTCTTTCTTTCAAATTGTCCCCACATCCCTGCACCTCAATGCCTGTCACCTATTTCAAACTAGTGGTTTTGATAAAATCTTACTTCTACTTAGGGTCAGAGAGTCTTCCAGGATCATGTCCTTGAACTTCCCTTTTCTGAGAGCTGTGAGGCTGGAGGGGGAAAGAAAGGGAGTGCAGAGAACAAATACCTCTGCTCCTTTCCTCTGGTACTGCACCCAGCCATGCCCCTCCCCTGGTGGTGCCTCTCTGATACCTATTCAGGAGATGAAATAAACAAACGTACAGCCATTCCCTGCTTCTCCCCCAAGGCACTGATTTTGTGTCCTCAGGGTAGACTGGTTATGGCAAAGAATAAAAAGTGGGAAAAAGTGTTTCAGTAAAGTGAGCACACAAATACACGCTGATTAAATGCTTCCCTCACAAACAGCCGCAGAGCCCCTGCTTTATCTCTATCAATATTATCAAAGCACACCTTTCCTAAGGCTCTACTGGAAATTCCAGTTACAATCACGTATTAGCTACTTTATTTTCAGGCATTTTTCCCTCTAAGAGCTGAATGGAAAACTCAAGCTGAATGCATTAGTGAAATGATGGAAAAAAAATCCGTGCATTACAACTAATTCCTGATAACCATTCAAGACAAATTCTGAATATGGCCAGAGAAGAATATCTGACTGTAGTTATCTTTTAGGCTAAAGGTCTAGGCAGATGTTTTGCTTAAGCAAATTTTGGTTAGAACAATGATCTTTAACACTGGTACCCTCAGGTCCACATTCAAGGACAGTTATGAGGGAAACAAATTCCATATTTTCACTGTATTTACTCTCTCAAATTGCCCAAGAATGTATGATGTATCTTTTTTCAAAAGTCCTCCCATTTTACCAAAGATTGCATAACTGTTAGCCAACATAAATATCATTACTGCATTGCCCTGAGAATAGACATACTTCCAAGCACCAAAGGGATAAAGCTAAATATTATTTTCTAAAATGTGGTTTAAAACTTTTTGATAAAATAACCTTGTATATTTATTTCAATTATAATGATTCCTCTTATTTCACTCTCTGAGCTGTTTCATATTGTCAAGCTTCTAATAACAAGAAAAATATATTTGAACTTTAATTAAAATGTTTAAATATAAACAAAATGTGTGAGATAGACTTCTTGGAAGATACAGCGTTAGGTTGGTGCAAAAGTAAGTGTGATTTTTGCCATTAACAATAATGGCAATTACTAATATATATATATACTTTTTTTTCCTATTCCTCCTGCTAAGTACCAGTAAAATCTGTGGCCATTATGTATAAAACAAGTGTAAGAAGAATGAAATGCAAGAAGAAGTCAGGCTGGCTAGGGATTACAGGATCTGTAGAAGGACAGTGGTGAGTCCCCTGGGTTTTCTTTCTGTAATATCTTACACTTGAAGCTGACGGCACAGACAAAAAAAAAGACCCAACCTAAAAGAAAAACAAACTGCTTCCTAATTCTGACAGAAAACGTGAGGGTTTTCCATACCAAACAATTTTCCAGCTCTCCAGACACCAACTGAGTGTCCCACAATTCAACTATGACACCAGCTTCCCAGAGTTAATACAAATCCCACAAGTAAAGGGCTCATTCCCACAAGACTGCACCCCTCCCAGCTTCAGACACAGATCACAAGCCCCAGACTGTGACCTGTCATCTGATCAACTGGCTATAAATCAGGGGTTCCCATGACCTTCCTCAGGTTTGACAATTTGCTAGAATAACTCACGGAATGCAGAAAAACATTGACCTAAGGATACAACTCAGAAACAGCCAACAGCCAAATAGAAGAGATGAATAAGCTAAGGTATGGGAGTTAGGAGGTGGCATGGAGCTTCCATGCCCTTTCCAAACACACCATCCTCCCAACCCCTCCATGTGTTCAGCAACCCAGCAGCTCTCTGACCCCATCCCTTAGGTTTTAATGGAAGCTTCACTGCCTAGGCATGGTTGATTAAATCATTGGCCTTTGCTGACTGAGTCAATCTCCAGTCCTCCTCTCCCTGAAGGTCTTGGAGATGGGAAAGTAGAGTGGGGGTGAAAGTTCCAACCCTTTAATCATAAAACTCTTTCCTTGACAATATGCCCCATCCCCTAAGAGTCATTCCTTAGCATAAACTAAACTCAGGTATGGTTGAAAATGTGCATATTAAGAATAACAAAACATGATCCTCTCACTCCTACCACTCAGAAAATTTCAAAGGTTTTTGGAGCTCTGTGCCAGGAACTAGGGTCAAAGATCAAATATATATTTCTTAATATATCACAATATCATGACATCAAAGCTGCTTTCTCTAACCAAAGGATCATAAAAGGGAAAGCCTGTTAATGTAGAAAAATTTTAGATAATAGCCACTTTAGGTAAACACCATTGAAAAAAACTGTGCCTCCAACCTCATGTAGGCCAGCAAAGGCCAAGTGGGGAGCTGAGACTTCCACCCTTATGAGGCTGTAATGACATGTTCCAACATTCACACCAGGGTGGTATCAGAGAAGCCCAAGTAGAACGCCAAGACTGTGATCCACATAATAAGAAAACTTGCCAGGGGTCTTAGTGGAGACTATGTGAGGAGCTTGAAATACCATCATCCTACTCTGTTGACATGACATCAGAAGAGGCCTGTGAAGAGTCAGGTCTTTACCATCAGCCAGTGATAATCCGGTCATCCCCACTAAGATGTCAGCACAGGAGACATGAAAAGCCAGAACTCCCAATCCTTTCCAGCAGCAATGGGAGTTTTCCCCACTTACATGTCAACAGAGACTTCTAGACTTCCACTTCTTGTAATGCAGGTATGAAAAAAATGCTTCAAAGAGCAATTACTAACACACTTGAAACAAACAATAAATAGAAGGCCTTATCAAAGAAATGGATAATTTCAACAAAGAAGTAGAAGATATTTTTAAAAACTACATGTAACTTTTAGAACCAAAACAATGCAATAACAAAAATTAAAATTTCAGTGGATGAGCTTAATAGCAGAATAGAAGAGATGGAGGAAAGAATTGGTGAACTGGAAAATTAAAAAAAAAAGGAAAGAAAAAAATCAGGAACTAGCCAATCTTTTGAACAACAGAGAGAAACCAGATTGAAAAAAAAAATAAATTAATTAACAAAGCCTTAGGGACCTATGGTACTATAAAAGATCTGACATTCCTGTAAGTTGAGGTCCTGAAGGAGAAGAGAAAAAGCATGTGGCTGGAAAAGTAGTCAAAGGAATAAGAACTAAAAACTTCAAAAATGTGTCTGGAAATATAAAGTTACAGGTTCAAGAAGCTCAGAAAACCCTAAGCAGTGTAACCTGAAAGAAATCCCTATTAAGGCACACCACTTTTACACTTCCGAAAATTAAGAAAAAATACAAGTCTTATCTAGAAAAAAAAAAAAAAAAAACCAAAAGTTGGGAAAAGCTGTTCAAATAAGAGTAGATTTCTTATCAAAAGTCAGGGAGACCAGAAGGAAGTGGCACAATATTTTCCAAGACTGAAAATAAGAACTGTTAACCATAATTCTACATCCAATGAAAATATTCTTTAAGGAGGAAACCATTACATGCTCTATTGAAGAAAATGTAAGACTTTGTTATCAATAGACCTCCCCCAAAAGAAGGGCTAAAGACGGCTCTCTAAACAAAAGGAAAGGAAAGAAAGGAAAGGAAAGGTAAGAAAGGAAAGGAAAGGGGGAGGGGTTGGGGGAAGGCTAGAATATAAAGAAAAAAGAAAAATATGGTAAGCAAAAATACAGGAAAATACAAAATACCTACCTTCTCTCCTGAGTATTCTAAATTATATTTGATGGTTGAAGCAAAAATTATAAAATTACAACACTGTCTAGTTTGATTCTAAATGTACACATATAAAATATTGACAATAACTATAAATAAAGTGAGGATAAAGGGACATAAAGGCAGATAAATATTTCTAAACTTCACTAGAATTGGTAATATGAAAATATCAATATATATAATTTATGTGTAAAGAATGTATTGCCTAGGTCAACTATTAAAAAGGCTATGCCAAGAGATATATTATAGATAAGTAAAACAGAATTCCATAAAAGAAAAAATGATCAAGTAATACATAGGAAGACAGGAAAAGAAAACAGCAAAGTAAAAACAGAGAAAACAAACAGAAAACAAAAAATAAAATGGCAGACTTAAGCTTTAGCATACCAATAATTACATTAAATGCAAATAACCTAAATATGCCAATTAAAACGTATATATTAGAAGACTGGATCCAAAACCATTATCCAACTATATGCTCTCTATAAGAAAATCACTTCAAATATAATAATATAGGAAGTAGAAGTAATAATATAAGTAGAAGGATGAAAAATACATACATACAGAAGGATGAAAAAATACATATATATGAAAATATAAATATTATTAATGAAAAAAAGCAGAATTGGCTATATTAATATCAGATTAAGTAGAATTCAGAGCAAACAAAACTATCAGAGTCAAAGAGAGACAGGTGATATTAAAGTGTTAATCAATGAAAAAAGCAACCCTAAATATGTATGTATTAAAAACCAGAGTTATAAAATATGTGAAGCAAAAACTGATAGAACTGAAAGAATAGACAACTCTACAATTATTGCTGTAGATTTCAATACTTTCTTCTCAACAATTAGAGCAACTAGACTGAAAAACAAAGATATAGAAGAACTCAACAGTACCAATCAATAAGATACAATACTCAATCATTAGGATATAGCCAACACTTGTAGAACATTCCACCCAGCAATAGCAGAATACAGATTCTCTTCAAGTGTCCATAGAACCTATACCAAGATATACCATATCCTGGGTCATAAAACCAGCATCAACAAATTAAAAAAAATTGAAATCATACAAAATGTGTTCTCTGACCACAATAAAATCAAACTTGAAATCAGTAGCAGAGTGATAAAAAGAAAATCTCCAAACACCTGAAAACTAAACAACACACTTCTTAATTTATGGATCAAAGAGAAAATCTCAAGAGAAATCTCCTGTCCCAGCAATATATCATTTATATATATATAAAATGACCAAGTGGAGTTTATATCAAGGATACAAGGCTGGCTTAATATTGGAAAATCAATCAATATAATCTACTATAATAATAAGCTAGTTCTTTGTGGGCAACCTTGAAATGAAAGTGACCGAGGAGCTCCTTTTCGAGGTTTTCCACCAGGCTGGGCCAGTAATAAAGGTGAAATTCCAAAAGATAAGGATGGTAAACCAAAGCAGTTTGCGTTTGTGAATTTCAAACATGAAGTATCTGTTCCTTATGCAATGAATCTACTTAATGGAATCAAACTTTATGGAAGGCCTATCAAAATTCAATTTAGATCAGGAAGTAGTCATGCCTCGCAAGATGTCAGTTTGCCATATCCCCAATATCATGTTGGAAATTCAAGCCCTACCTCCACAACTCCTAGCAGGTACGAAAGGACTAGGGATAACATGACTTCATCAGCACAGATAATTCAGAGATCTTTCTCTTCTCCAGAAAATTTTCAGAGACAAGCAGTGATGAACAGTGCTTTGAGACAAATGTCATATGGTGGAAAATTTGCTTCTTCACCTCTGGATCAATCAGGATTTTCACCATCAGTTCAATCACACAGTCATAGTTTTAATCAGTCTTCAAGCTCCCAGTGGCGCCAAGGTACACCATCATCACAGCGTAAAGTCAGAATGAATTCTCATCCCTACCTAGCAGATAGACATTATAGCCGGGAACAGCGTTACACTGATCATGGGTCTGACCATCATTACAGAGGAAAGAGATGATTTCTTCTATGAAGATAGGAATCATGATGGCTGGAGCCATGACTATGATAACAGAAGAGACAGTAGCAGAGATGGAAAATGGCGCTCATCTCGACACTAACACATGTTAAAAGCACATTGTTTTTATAGGGTCATTTTAGGCCCTTTGACTAAGTTGATATGGAAATATTTTGTTGAAAAACTGTACAGAGCAGCTTTACAAGTTGTCACATTTCTTTATACATTTTTTTAAAGCTACAGTTTAATACAAAATGAATTGTGGTTTTATTACATTAATAACCTTTCACCTCAGGGTTTTATGAAGAGGAAAGGGTTTTATGCAAAAGATGGTGCTACAATTCCTAATCATTTTAGACACTTTAGGAGGGGGTGAAGTTGTATGATAAAGCAGATATTTTAATTATTTGTTATCTTTTTGTATTGCAAGAAATTTCTTGCTAGTGAATCAAGAAAACATCCAGGTTGACAGTCTAAAATGGCTACTGGTATTTTAGTTAATTCAAAAATGAAACTTTTCAGTGATTCACTTTACTAACATTCTATTTGAGAAGGCTTATTGGTAAAGTTTGGGGATAAAGGCATTGCTTATCTTCTTATATAATTTAGGTATAATTTCTGTGACATGCTCTTGAGCTTTACCCTAATTGAACATACATGTGTAGATCTACACATACTGTTTCATTCTAAAATTTAGACATTGTTCATGAAACCACATTTGAGGTATAAGTCACTCAGGAAGTTAAAATATCTCTACACGTATATTTTTACATGAAAAATACAGTGTTAGCATAAATCCCCTTTTCAGGAAGAATAAAAATGTCAGTGCACAGTTAGATAAAATGGTAAAATGTTTTACTGAAAGCATACTTTTTTGGAAAAAAGATTCATGAAGCCTTTAAGTGCTACTTCTGTCAGTCAAACGTTAAAAACTTTAACATTTTCAAAGTGCCCAGAATGTGTACAAAGACACATGTAATGGAGACTGTACAGGTTGTTTTTTTTGTTTGAACCTTTGAAAGAATTTAATCTTAACGTTTTCTAATTTTAAAATTTTAAAATCTTGTTTAACAAAAACTTGTAATGTATTAAGATACTGTTTTCATTTCATTACAGAATTGTTTATAAAAGTTCATTTGTTGAAAAATAAGGATCCTTTTTAATACCACAGCGTTCGTACTGTTCCTTTTTAATATACTGAAAATATAAAATAATAATAATAATGATAAGCTAAGGGCTGTGCATGGGGGCTCACGCCTGTAATCCCAGCACTTTGGGAGGCTGAGGCAGGTGAATCACCTGAAATTAGGAGTTTGAGACTAGCCTGGCCAACATGGTGAAACCCTGTCTCTACTAAAAGTACAAAAATTAGCTGGGTGTGGTGGCATGCGCCTGTAATTCTAGCTACTCCAGGAGGCGGGGAGGTTTCAGTGAGCCAAGATCACATCCCTGCACTGCAGTCTTTGCGACAGAGAGAGAGACTCTGTCTCAAGAAAAAAGCTAAAGGAGAAAATTCACACAATGATATCAATTGATGCAGAAAAAGCAATTGGCAAAAGTCAATGACCACTCATGATTAAAAAATAAACTCTCTGAAGAATATGAATAGAGGGGAACATTTTCAACCTGATATAATGTATCTACCAAAAAAAAAAACTATAGTCAACATTATAGTTAATGCTGAAAGATTGAATGATTTTCCTATAAGATTGGAAACCAAGGATGTCTATTCTCACCACTTTTATTCAACATAGTGTTCTAGCCAGTTCAATAAGGCAAGAAAAGGAAATAAAAGGCATAGCAATTGAAAAAGAAAAAAACAATGTATTGCAGATGATATGATTGTCTACCTAGAAAAATCTAAGGTATCTACAAAAACTCCTAGAACTCATAAGGGAGTTCAGCAAGGTTGCAAGATACAATATACATGAAACATAATTCTATTTCTTATGCTAGTAATAAACACCTGACATGGAAATTAAAAATATAACATCATTTACAATCACTCAAAAAAGAACACATTTAGATGTAAATCCAATAAAACATACACAGAATTTGTTGGCTGAAAACTATGCAATGATGATAAAAGGAATTAAAAACCTATTGAGAGACATACTGTGTTCATTGGTTGGAAGATTCAAGGTAATAAAGACATCAATTCTACCCAAATTGATATACAGGTTAACACGATTTCTAGCAAAATCCAAGAAAAACTTTTGTACGTATAAATAACATTATTCTAAAATGTATATGAGAAGGCAAAGGAACTAGGATACTGAAACGAATTTTAAAAAAGAAGATTAAAGAGGGAAGAATCTATTTAACTCAATATTGAGATTTATTTTATAGTTACAGCAATCAAGACTGTCATATTGGTGGAAAAATCAACACATAGTACAATGGAACAGAGGACCCAGAAATGGACACATTTTTGACAAAAGTACAAAATCAACCAAATGGGGAAGAGGTAGCTTTTTACACAAATGGTGCTAGAGCAATTGGTTCTCCATAGGTAAAGAAGTGAAGCCTGACCTACATTTTACATCTTACATAAAATTAACACAAAATAGATCACAGCTCAAATGCAAAATGGAAAAATGTAAAACTTTTAGAAAAAAATAGGAAAATATTTTTAGGATCTAGGACTAGGAAAGGAGTTCTTAGACTTGACACCAAAAACACAATCTATGAGAGGAAATGTACATAAATTGAACTTCAAAATTGAAAACTTTTGCTCTGTGAAAGGTCCTGTTAAGAGGATTAAAAAAGAAGTTACGGGCCAGGCACAGTGGCTCACACCTGTAATCCCAGCACTTTGGGAGGCTGAGGCAGGTGGATCACTTGAGGTCAGGAGTTCGAGACCAGCCTGACCAACATGGTGAAATCCCATCTCTACTAAAAATACAAAAATTAGCTCTGGTGGTGCATGCCTGTAATCCCAGCTACTTGGGAGGCTGAGGCAGGAGAAATTAGAAATGGACAAAAGATATGAAGGGACATTCCAAGCAAGGAGATATATGGTTAGCACAAGAAAATATATTCAACATCATTAGTCATTAGGAAAACACAAAATAAAACCACACTGAGATATCACTATATACCTATCAGAATGGCTAATTTTTGTTTAAGTTGTGAAAACACCAAATGCTGGTGAGAATTCAGAGAAACAGGATGACTTCATACATTGTGATGAGAATGTAAAATGTTACAGCTAATCTGGAAGGCAATCTGGCAATTTCTTAAAAAACTAAACAACGTGTGGTGGCAGAGGATATAGGGAACATATCTGTACCTTCTTCTCAATTTTGCTGTGAACCTGAAATTTTGCTCTAAAAAATAAAGTTTATTTAAAAATAAACAAACAAAACTAAAAACTAAACATGCAAATTGTGCTTCTGGGCATTTATCCCAGAGAAATGAAGTCTTGTGTTCACACAAAAACTAGATACACATATTTTTCGTGGCTTTACTCATAATAGCCCAAACCTGGAAACAACCCACATGTCCTTCAATGGGTGAATGGTCCAACTGAACAACCTGCATGAATCTCCAGAGAATAATGATAAGTAAGGAATCCCAATCCCCAAATGTCACGGACTGTATGGTTCCATTTGTATGACATTCTTTTTTTTTTTTTTTTGAGACGGAGTCTCACTCTGTCACCCAGGCTAGAGTGCAGTGGCACGATCTCGGCTCACTGCAAGCTCTGCCTTCCAGGTTCACGCCATTCTCCTGCCTTAACCTCTCAAGTAGCTGGGACTACAGGCACCCGCCACCATGCCTGGCTAATTTTTTGTATTTTCAGTAGAGACAGGAGGTTTCACCATGTTAGCCAGGATGGTCTAGATCTCCTGACCTCGTGATCTGCCTGCTTCAGCCTCCCAAAGTATTGGGATTACAGGCGTAAGCCACCATGCCCGGCCTGTATGACATTCTTAAAACAACAAAACTATAGCAATGGAGAACAGACTAGTGGTTGTTAAGGGTTAAGGAGGGGATGAGGCTGGCAGAGAAGTGGGTGTTGCTATTGAAGAGCAACATGAGTGATACTTGTAGTGATAGACATAGTCTGTATCTCACTGTATCAATGACAACATCTTGGTTGGAATATTGTACTACAGTTTTACAAGATGATACCATTGTGCGAAACGAGGGAAAGAGCATACAGGTCTCTTTGTATTATTTATGACATGTGAAATGCATGTGAATAGATGATTATCTCAAAATTTTTCTGTTAAAATGTATGAGACAGTACATGGTATTTCAAAACTCTTTAAGGGGGTGTGTTTGAGTCAAAATGCTTGAAGACCACTGATCCAGAAGATTGATGGACAGAGGCCAAGAAGGAACACAGACCTTGGGGCAACCTTACTCTCTGATGATCTCTTTGGTTCATAATTAATCGGGTGGAAGAGGCTATTTCTGACATTTGCATTCAATAGCACCACACTGAAGTGATGCAGGGTGACGAGGTTGAGTTTTTTAAAAATTAAGTTGCTTTTTACCTAATTGATCAGTTTCATATTCAAAATCTCATGAGAGGCTCAGCAAGCTATATAGTATACAAATAAAAACAATATGATGACAAAAGAGCTTGAATTTCCATGAATGGGAAAGGGAATTGTTAAATTTCCTGCCAGTCTGTATGCTTGATCTTTGATTGGGGAGTGCTGCCCCCAGCTGAGGCAAGCACAACCTCTACTCATCACCTTTTGCAGTTGCAGAACTGAAGTGTGGAACACCAGTAAACTGCAGGAATCGGCACCTGTGACACAAATGTGTCAAGGGATAGCACATGTCACAGACATACCATACCTTTTAAACATGTCTGTTTTTTCTCTGTGGTTGCATTAAACATTCTCAGACACAGCAAGTGTTAGCAAATTAGAATAACTACCTTCCCTTGACCTAATTCTGACAGTGTACACAGCACCAGAACAGCTGAGAAAAAAAAATAGAAACCATTCATTTGCCCAAGTTCCACTTGATACGGTTTTGATAAACAAAAAAATGGTCACGAATCTTCACTCAACTGATGATCAGATCTGATGCAACACATACACACATCTAACAGGCAGTCAACTGGGATGTTTCCAGTTGTCGTGCACTCATGTTAAAGGCCCAGTGTTGAGAATAAAGGAACTAAATTCCCCTTGAAGTTCAGGGTCCCGTAGGACCCATGAGATAGCTCCATTCCTGCTGGGCTTACTGAGAATTGTCAAAGAACCCTTTCTCACACCAACCACGCCCCCGCTTTCCTGTTCAATATAAATGACAGAGTGGTGAGAAAGGTAGGAGCATTTTTGGAAACTGTAGTCTTTATTAAATGCATTTTTGCCTCATTCATCCCCTCTTATGGAGGATGAAAGAACATATTTTTCTACCCTGAGATGAAGAGGATAACCTGAAAAGATTGAGGAAGTTTGCAACAAGGAAAGAAAAGAGAATGTTTACATTCTATTCCTCTTTGCAGTGTATATCTTAGCCAGTGAACTAGCTGATCTGTCCTATACCACCAGAGTGAGAAAACCAGAAATAGGGACAGAAAGTCTCATGGAGAGGGGTAGAGCAAGAAGTACCAGTTCTCCTTCTCCCTTCTTTTGAGTTCTTCATTTTGGATAAGATAAAACATCAGATGTTGCTTGGATTTAAAGGTCTGAGAAGGTAAATTTGGGGGCCTCTGTATTTCTAATACAACTCTAGTTTGAGGGTTAAGAGAAAGTAAGTATGGTTCTGCCAACTGAAGGATGTGGCCAAAGGGATCACCACAACTAGGCAGCTGTTCACAGATGTGCCCCTCATCAGCAATGCGTGTGGTACCCACCACCTGTCTGTGCTGAGTCTGCAGATAGTGAGGCTGAAGAGCAGTCATGGCTAATGAGGAGCGAAGCTCAGCCATGTCAAGTGAGGAGACTCTAATCTATTCCTTCTCAATTTCTCTAGTCCACTAGCACCAGAATTAAAAGGGGACATGATGTGTGAGCACCAAACCAACCTACCTTTTTCTCCTTTCTCCTAAGCCTAGATTGCTACATGGAGCACCTGCCCAGGCACAGAAGAGAGATTACCAGCTATAAGGAAAGTGAACCTTAGAAATCCAAATTTGTATTTGTAAGTAAATGCATACAACTGAAAAATGATAGACTCTCAGCAAATTTTAAGAGAGCTACTTGCAAAGTAGGAAAGAAGATTCATCATACCAAGTTCTGGGCAATTATTAGAAACCATAAAACGATCATATTTCTAACGTGAGGACTTGAACATCTTCAAGTATGTTGGTGGTACAAAGTGTGTAGCGGATGGGATTCACAGTGAGTTTCAAATGATTGGCTAGATTTGGAAGATTAGCCAAAGTCTCTTCTGGAGTAAGAGGCAAATCATCAAGAGGAATGGCTCCCCAGAGGATATATATGTTGGGGTTGGGTTTACAGCCTTATAACTCAAAATGTGATCCAGGACCAACAGCATCCACATCACCTTGGAGCTTGTTAGAAATGTAGAATCTCAGTCTCACCCTACAACCTACTGAATCAGAATCTGCATTTACAAGAGCCCCAGGTGATTCATATGCATGCTAATATCTGGGCAATAGTGGCCTAGAGCAATGGATAACAGAAGGCCTCAGGCAGACATGGATGCTGAAAGTTCCAGAAGCCCAAGGTGAATCATCTCTACTTCACATCTGAGAACTGCTTTGAGGAAATAGTTGATGTGAATACAATGTCTGGCAAACCATGGATTTGAATGTGAGCAGACAGAAAAAATGCCAATAGAATTTTAATTTTGAGAGGGTCAAAATAGCCCAAGGGAACACAGCTACAGCAGAAGAGTAGATGAAAAAGATACAAAGGAACAAGAGGAAGGTGTCACACAGTTGCAATAAAGGCAGCTCAAGGCTTGCCAATCTGCCTCAGCTCTCCCTGATATCCCATTTTCTGAACCAACTTCCATTGAGTTTGATTTCAATACTCTACAGGTCAGCATTAAAAAAGAAAAGAAGAAAAGGAAAGGAAATGAAGAAGTCACTGGCAAGCAAGTAACTGGGGAGGGAGGTGGGAAGGAAAGGAAGGACTACCAAGATATGAAGTAGATGATTTTGTGGCAGAAACAGTGTTCCTCATTAATTACTCCATTTGTTTTCCCGTATTTCCCAGCCTTAATTGAAGTTAGGCTTGATCATGTGGTGAGTTGTACGCAACAAATTATAAGCAAAAGCGACTTACATTCCTTCTGATATTAAAGAGCTGGAGAACTATCACTCCTGTTTTCAGCCACAGTGACTGGAAAAGTTTTACTTCAGCAGTCCTCAAACTGTGATCCAAGGACCCCTGAGCTTTCTTAAGACCATTATAGGGGTCCAAGAGATTGTTTCTTTTCTAATCACATTTCTGTGAAAGCCTAGGTTTTCTCTTCAAGCAAAAAAGCATGTGGCAATAGATTAAATGCAGAAGCAGATATGGGAATCCAGCTGTCCTTAAATAAGCTAGACATTAAAGAGACCAGGAAATGCAAAACAGAGTCGTTCTTTTGTTTTGTTTTGGAAAATGTGGTCATTTTCCATGAAGTGTTATTTATCTCAACATGTATTGGCTATATACTTACTTTTAAATGAGTAAATAAATATTTTACATCTCAGTTTTAGTGCATAATACAGTAAATATCTATAGTTATAAATCATATGAACAAATGTCTTGTATATATTTTTTAAGAATGTAAAGGAATTTAGGAAATTAAAAAGTTTGAGAATGGCTGTTATTAAAGGTGGAGGCTCCACCAGCCTGGAGATCTGGGCTGATAAGTGGAGGAGACACATAGGACTCACCCCTGCAGCTGCTTCTACTCAGCAGGTATTAGGAGTGAGAAATAACTCTGTGTTATTAAGCCACTGGGATGGGGATTAGGTAGTTTCTCAGCACAATCTTGTCCACCCTGACAAACACAAAATACCCATACAGGCCTAGAACACTTTATGAGGCCAAAAGACCTAATAGAGTATGACTTTCTGTCCCTAAGAAAATTGCCTTAATGTCACATGTTTTCAGGCTCCCTACCCCTCGTAATCACATTCAATACTCAGAATATATTTCTTAGCTCGGTTTATTCCTGGAACTTAGCTCCCGGCATTGTGGAAACCCACACCGTGATAAGCTATCTCCCCGGTAGCAGTAGCTCTTCAAAAAACATCATCTCATTTTTCAGGGCACCACCTGAAAATATCTCTTCTAATTAAACCAACGGGCGATTCACCTTTCCAATAGCTAGAGGCCCTTCTGAGATGCCATTTTATATCTTTCTAAAATACCAACAGGAAAAAAAATGCTTAATAGCCAAAAAGCCATGAGCCTTCTCTAGGGAAAAATAATCAAACCACATAAACTGCAGAACTAAATGTGGGTGGCAGTGCCTAAATAATAATTATAATGGCAAATTTCAGGTCATAGCTAATATTTATAAAGTACTAATGTTGTATCAGCTACAATTCTATTACATAGGTCTTTCTTTGTTTACATTTTTCTAACAAGTCTATGGGACAGACACTAGTATTTTCTCCTTGTGATAGATATGAAAACTGAAGCCCAGAGAGGGTGAGTAACTTGTCCAAGGTTGCAGAGTTTGGAAGTGGTGAGTCAGGAAGAAAATTTGTGTTCTTATTACACTATATTCACTCTCATATTTCAGGGAGAACCATGTAATTTGAATGTAATAATACTACTATTCATTCCTCCAATGCTCTGTACATCTCAATCAACTTCACAAAATGATTCAAAGTTTTCCCTCCAGAAGCAGAAGGGAGGCAGCTGCTGGTTTTTGTTGTTGTTGAATATTGTTGTTGTTGTTTTAATTAGCTATATCATTCTCCATGCTCCCAACATCATCTGCTCTTTCTACCCTTGCTATAAAGCCTCATCTATGTGGTGCTTGTACTAATTAGCTAATCCATAGGAATGGAGGTCAGGAAAAGAAGGAGCAGTGAGGAAGAAGAGGGAGCTGATCTGATGCAAAGAGAAAACAGGCGGTTATTATTTCCAGGAAAAGCCAGATCCTTCCTTTCAAACGAGGCCAACGCCTGGCATAATCTCTACTACTTTTTAAGATCCACTGGGTGCATTTTTGTCAGTGTGAGGCATTAGGTTTCCTGGAAGGGTAACATACCAGGAGGGATTAGTTTAACCTAATTAAAACCACTGAGCATCTTCTTTCTTAGCTCTGAAGTAATGGCACTCAGGCAAGGCAGGATGACAAATACTGAGAAAGGGCAAGACCATAGGCTGCTCCCAGGATGAAAAGACCCTTCAGTAAGCCCCTGGAGACACTAATAGAGGGAAACAATGGCACCTGCAGCCTTGGGTATGAGCACCCTTAGCATGGACACTGAAGCAGAGGAGAGGTGCCTTTCCCGGCACAAGCATCAGTGGCAACGCTTTCCGTGGCACCAGTGACCTGGATGCTAAATTTGGCACCGGATGGTGCTGCAAATTTCACCACGGTGTTCTGCGGGAGCAGGAAGAAAAAGTCAAAGATCCATGTAGTTGTCAATATGGCTGATTTTACAAACACAACTTAGATCCTCTGAGGACTTCTATAGCTATTTGGGAAGAATATAAAAGGCTGAAGTTCTTGAAGGGAAGGTGCAGGAAAATAAAGGTAAATCCAGTTATTTTGGGTTTATTGTTACCCAAATCTTAACAATCATGTCCAAAGATTTCTGAACTCTAGCAGGAGAGGAGCTAAGGCCTAAGTTGTGGCTTGCACAGATACAAATGTCCCATGTCCCTGTCCACATCACCAATATTTAATGAATAACAGATTTGTGTTAGTGAGAAAATTTTTCTGAATCTTTTTTTTTTTTTAAGTACAATAAAGGCAAGGTGGTGACATTATGTTCATTTGCATCTCTTTGATTTCTCTTGTCCCTTTTTGGTAACTTTTGATGTGCTGACTGGGTGGAGTTGCTGGAGAATATTAAGCACTTTGTTCCTAGTCATTTGGAGCTTTTAATAATAAAAAAAATGTTCTGAATGAAAAACAAACAAACTTCTCATCAAACATTTATGGAATCCTACAGCTTGGCATCAGAGTGCATGCTTGGAGGTTAATGTGATTATAATGAGAACCAACCCCTGCTCTGAAAAACTTGTAGTAGTGACTCCAGATACAGAGAACACACATGCACACATAAGCACACATGCACAGTCTCACACAGGGAATGCCATGGAATAAAAAAAAAAAAAACATCAAGTGGCATTGGTTCTTCTCCGGGATCTGCCACAAGCCTATACCACCTGCCCTATTCCATCCACTTAGAGGTTCTGGGTCTCCACTGAAAAGACTCACAGATGCTGAAGTGTTGAAAGGATATTGGGATCAAGTATTCTTAACTGAATCGTATGAAACCACAGTCTAGAAAGATGAAATATATATACATATCCCAGTTAACTTTACCAATCACTCACTGCCTTTTATAGTGCTCTGCCCTGTTCCTCTCTCCCCTTTATTGGATAGCCTGCATTTTCCAGGAGGGAGACATACAAGTGGCCACAGTGCCATTTGGCCTAGGCCCCTGAACCCTTGCCTGATGCCCATGGCAATGCAGCAACAAGACAGCAGGGGGGAAGCAAAGCTGCAGTGCTGGCAGCATCTGTAATTTTGGCGATGGCAGCAGAAATGTTGGTGGAAGCAGCAGGAGGATGAAAAGAGTGGGGTTGGCAGCAGAAGAGGCAGCACTGGCAGCAGCAGCTGGACCCCAGACATCAGGCATGGCAACCCTTGCCAGAAACATTGGGTAGTGCCAGCCATTACACAGAAATCGGGACCAGTAGGAACCATGAGGACTTTGGTGATGCTCAGCTAACAGTGGTGGAGCCTGTCATGGATGCTGGTGGCACGGCTATGTGGGCTTACGGTGAGAAGGAGCAAGAAGGAATAAGACAATGGCAGAGATCTTGTACTGCCAAGTCAAGTGCTTTCTAAAAATATGTGTTAGAAACACTAGGGGATGCTCAGAGCAATCTGGGAAGAAATGTGTGGGGTGCCATTAGAGTCCTGAAAGTGCTGTGTGAGTAAAGGCTATTTTGTGGCTCTTACTGTATATTTCACAATCATTGTACAGCTATGGAAATCAAGCCTCAAAGAGAAGCAATAGCTTGTCATTAGTGTTAGAACTCCTCATCAAAGGACTCTACACTCCACACTAGACTGTAGCTCAAGAGAAACTGTGCCTATTCACTTGGGAGAACTAAACTCCATTTCTAGTTGGTTTGGTATGAAATTGAATCCAGATAAGACAGAAGGAAAAATCTGAATATCACTGTCACAGGGAAGGAAAGGCAGTGTGTTGGCTTGGAGGGGAAATATAAATAGACCAAACAGGAAGGAAACATAGGCTTCTGAGCTGCTTGAAGGCACAGAGCCTGGGACGAAACTGCCCAGCAATGAGGCCTGGAGAGTGGGGCATAAAAGAGAATGGGGAGATTAAAGTAGGCTTACAGAGAAATGCCCCTGCCTACTTCTTCATTTTTGCCCAGGGATGGCCCTCTGTGGATTCTAGACAGCTAACCTCGTGGGCAACAGGCTGAGCTTTCAACTTCACCTGAGGAGAAAGTGATGGGAGACTGGTTCCCTTTCCACATCCAGCAGCTTACCTGCCCACGACCATCCCTCACATTAAAAAACAAATGGTTCCATGATCTGCCTGAAAATAAAAGGGTGATATATTTTTCCAAGTTGAAAAAAGTGTACTGTGTCAGTGTAAATATCCATTTTCAGAAACCACACGGGGAAAACAGGTGAAGTTTTTGTTCTAGCATTGCATACTTCTGTAAGTAGGCAATTACAGGGAATAGTGCTCTGAACCAACACCAGTGTTTATTTAAATACAATAATCATACTGTGTGGTTTTTCTCCCCAAATGGTCCCCTGAGAGACTGTAAGCCCTTCTCCAAATCACATGTGTTCCAAAATCTAAAAATCCTCAAAGTTGTAGCTTGGAATTGAAAACATGAAAAACAGGCTTTACATCCCCTAAAGAATGCAAATTCCTTGGTGTGGTATTCCAGGCTTTTCCCAATCTGACCCCAGTGATCTGCCCCAGAAGCCTCAGTTTCCATCACTTTTTGAGTGGGAGGATGTGAGACCAAAGTGTAGCAAGTGAGCGGCATGCAAGGTCCTCAAGGCTGAAGAAGAGAGATGGGGCCAGTGAGACTGAGACCCTGTGGCCAGGGAGCTAAAGTCAGGGTCCCTGAGAGGATGTAAAGTTTGAGATGGAATTGTGAAGTCAGAAAGAGAAGCCTCAGAGGAGGTAATGAGTAGAGAAGACAGACAGAGAGAGAGTCTGGGCTCACAGATGGCAAAATGCCAAGCTGTAAAATCCAAATGAAAGCACCACCACAGCAATCTCAGTGGTGGCAGCAGTAATGCAGGCGTGACCATCTCAGAAAAAGATTTTCCACAGTGTGGCAACAAATCACTTGACCATACTAATCAGACCCTGAGAAGATGTGCAGAGGGCCTCTGGAGCCTGGGGATGACCAGCACAAGACCCAAGAAGCCAACAGATGCAGGTGGAGGTGCAGGAGATAATGAACAGGCCTAGGGTGGATGCTTTGGCGTTCACTCTTCATTCTTCAGGCATGTGTTTTTTGTGTTTAAACAAGATCTTGAATGTGGCTTAAAATTGTAACTAAACATTTGCATCTTGGGTCATTGTCTAATAAACTTTCAGAAAGTGAATACACTGTGTGTGTGTGTGTGTGTGTGTGTGTGTGTGTGTGTGTGTGATCCATTCTAATCGAGTATTCCCTGAATCTAGAGTTGAAGATCCTCTTTAAGAAACCTAATCAACATGACTTGGAAAGGAACTAGCAGTTGGAAATTTCAGTGTCTACACAGGCAATCTCCTTAGTTAATGCTGCTAGGCCTACAGTTACGTAAGTATGCTACACAAATGGTGCATATTAAGGGGTATTTCTATGGCCTAATGCCTGGAGCACTACAAGGGCTGGGGACATATTATTAGAAAAGCCCTGACATAGAGAAAGAAGAAACTGTAATTGGCTGTAGTGAACAGAGAAGGTGACATTTGGGCTGAGCCCTGTTAAATGGATATGATGTGTGTGTGCGCATGTGTATGTACATGTCCATCTATAGAGAAATATCTTGGAGTGTGAACAGTACATTTTCTAGAGGTAGCGTTTCTACAGACTTCTCATAACAGGATCAAAAACATGTATTTTATAAGTCATCCCAGAACTTTGGGAAGCTGAGTGGAAAGGATTGTTTGAGGCCAGGAGTTCAAGACCAGCCTGCGCAACAAAGTAAAAGACCCTGTCTCTACAAAAAACACTTTTAAAAATTAGCTGGATACACTGGCATGCACCTGTAGTCACAGCCACTCAGGAGGTTGAGTCAGGAGAATTCCTTAAGCTCAAGCATTTGAAGCTGCAGTGAGCTATGATCAAATCACGCCACTGCACTCCAGCCTGGATGATAGAGAAATAACTTGTCTTAAAAAAAAAAAAAAAAAAAAAATAACAAAATAAGTCAGAAGGTTGAAGCTTTTCTGAGTTTTGTTTTTTTAATTTGGTAAATTCCAGTTTGGTCAGCAGTGCTAATGACACATCAGGTGAAAGAGATTTCCATCCACTGAACAGAGGAGTGGAGCACACAAGGCAGCAATAAAGAAGATGATCTGCAGCCTGAAGTTGATTTAGGGCACAGAGGAGTCCAGTGGTTCAACCTTCTCTTCTCATCCGGAGATGCTCTTTCCAGTGCCAAGCCTAGGAGAGTTTGGTTTTATTTTGAAGAGGAAGACAGTTTTCCTTATGGAACCTAAGGAAAACTACACTCTATATGGCATACGTTCATAAACTTTCAAAGCCTCAGAGAAATAAAACTGAAATTCAGCAAAGAGCTTGGGAAAACTATGCTCGTCCAGAATCAAATCTCTTAAAATAAAGGCCTGCAGCTGGGACAGGTGGCCTTGGTGGTAAGGCCCATACTTTGCTTCTGGTGCTGCTCCTCTGCTCTCTCGGGTGCATTGCCCCACAGTGCACATGAGCTCCTGCCTCAGTTTGCCCCTGCAGGCCTAGAGGCCTTTAGGCAGCTATTTGCAAGGACTGGAACATGCCAGCTGGATCAGTGATCATTTAGCCTTTGTATTCTTTGGGATTCTATTGCCCACCTGACTGTTGACTTGTAAATATCCAGTTCCTTGTCTTTCACATGATGTTTCCCAACTTCCCTGTACTCAGCAGTCTTTGCTGCTGATGCTACTTTTGTAACCCCCTGAATCCAGACAAGACTGGCTAACTTTAAGCCTGTACAGAAAGAAATCTGCCAATGCCTTTAAAAAGAAATCCCCGAACATCTCAAGAGAGACAGATTCTACCAACTCAACTGAAAATAGAGACATTTAGATATTTGCAATGGAGGAAAGAGTGGAGAAAAAAATGAAAGCCTATATTATAAACTGAGCTATGTACATTTACCAAAAAAATTCAAATCCTTGGCTCTAAAAAAATGACATTAAAAAGTTAAGCAGTACTTACTCTTATTTAAAATGTCATTCTTGTTCAGTGTAACTGTTAGACATTTAATAAAGACAGATGAGCCACACTGACTCCGTGAAGACAAAACTTTCCCCTGTACATCCGCTCTAAAAGCTTTTAAAACCACTCTGTCAGGAGCAATTTGATGGCATATCAATTGTGTTTCTCTAAGGAACCACAGTACTGCATGTGACAAATGAACATCATAACAAGATTGGGTGGGTGGGTGCAGGGAGGTAGGGGCTGAGAAGTCCACCCCGTGGTATAAATGACTAACACAAAACACTGCTGATAAAACAGGAGAGGAAATGCATTAGCCTGCTACAAGGGGCTGAGATGGACCATTAAATATTTCATATAAGAAAAGCATATACAGCATCTCAACAGGACTTTGCTGAAATTTAGGGATTCAAAGGCCCCTAAAAGTGATTTACAAGGGGCATTTTGTTGGAAAATCTGACAGGGAGTCCTGTTGGAGTTCATCGTGGGTGGTGAGTGTTTTCTTCTAATCTTGGTGCCCCTCAGCTAGGACCATAGTTCCCAACAACAGCATTTATATCCATTCGCCATTTTTATGTTCAGTCTTTACTGCACACTGATTAACATCCCTGTGATTCAAAAGAAGGCTGTAATCCCAGCACTTTGGGAGGCCGAGTTGGTGGATCACTTGAGGTCAGGAGTTCAAAACCAGCCTGGCTAACATGGTGAAACCCCAACTGTACGAAAAATACAAAAATTAGGCTGGGCATGGTGGCTCACACCTGTTATCCCAGCACTTTGGGAAGCCAAGGCCGGTGGATCACCTGAAGTCAGGAGTTCAAGACCAGCCTGACCAACATAGTGAAATCCCATCTCTACTAAAAATACAAAAATTAGCCAGGCATGATGGTGTGTGCCTGTAATCCCAGCTACTTGGGAGGCTGAGACAGGAGAATCGCTTGAACCCAGGAGGCGGAGATTGCAGTGAGCTGAGATTGCACCACTGCACTCCAGCCTGGGTGATAGAGGGAGTCTCTATCTCAAAATAAATAAATAAATAAATAAATAAATAAATAAATAAATAAATAAAATACAAAATACAAAAATTAGCAGGGCGTGGTGGTGGAAACCTGTAATCCCAGTTACTTTGGTGGGAACCTGTAATCCCAGTTACTCGGGAGGCTGAGGCAGGAGAATCACTTGAACCTGGTAGGCAGAGGTTGCAGTGAGCCGAGATTGTGCCACTGCAGTCCAGCCTGGGTGACAGAGGAAGACTCTGTCTCAAAAAAAAAAAAAAAAAAAAAAAAAAAAAAAACCAGAGGGGACTTCCTACTTCAGAAAACGATAGTATAAATTGAATCTATAACTAGAAAATGATCAATCTTCTTGGTTAACCAGTTAAAGTGAGAGTCTCGTGGTCCAAATCTAGACTCAAGTAAGAGCAAGAAAGAGTAAGTGGGTAAGTTTTGGGGAATGGTCTATTTCTTCCCCAAAGGCAAGACAATTCATCACGGATAGAGAAAAAAATGGATGGAGAAGCTAAATTGAAAGCCCATGCCAGGGACAGTCAACTAGGCCATTAGGGACTGGACTTCCTAATCAGCAGAAAGTTGGAGAGAGTTCAGAGGGAAGAAATTTTGAGAAGTAACTGTCTTTGTTGTCTATTGAATCGATTGATGAGTAACAATCCAAGAAACAACTGTGGCTTAAAACAAAAAACATCATGTATTTGCTCACAATTCTGCAATTTTGGCAGAGTTCGCCAGGGACAGCTAATCTATGCTCCACGTGTTATTGGCTAGGGCTGCAGAACAACTGGAAAATTCAAAATAGTCTCACCTCCATGGCTGCCAGTGAAGGCTCCCTGCTGTTTGAAGAGACAGCTAGGGCTGTCCATTGGAGCACCTCAGTGCTCCTCTGCATGGCTTGAGGTTTTCACAGCATTGCAATGATATTCCAAGAGAAAGTACTGCAAATGGCTGGAAGCAGCCACCGCAGATCTCCTACAGCATGGCCATGGAAGTTACAGAGTATACTCCTGCCACATTCTATGGGTCAAAGCTAGGAGACTCCAGAAGAGGGGAAATAGACTCCACTGCTCAATGGCAGAAGTGGTAAAAATATTACACGAGACATCTTTAGACATCTATAATCCACCCCAGCAACTATGACCAAGTTACCAGTGTGTGTGCGGCAAATGGAGAATTTTTAAAAGAAAAATGAAACCTTTTCTGTAAAGTCATATACACATTAGATTGCTGATGATGGATACTATAAACCTTTGTGGGAACCACCCTGAACAGTTCTCTCTGGTAGACTTTGATCTGCTAGGAAAACGCTCCCAGGGCTTCTGAAACAAGATGTCCCAACTTCCAGAATGGCTCATGGTCAAGTGAAGGACACATACCATATTCTTCTTAATCTACCTCACAAAGAGTAGGCACTAATTAAATTCCTGTTAATTGAATCGTGAATTTCCAGACCTCCTGTGTATTCCATATGGAGTAGGCACATGGCAGTTAAATAGAAATGCTTTGGGGAGGCAGCATGGTACTGCAAATGAATAGCTTTTAAAACCCCCAACAGTGGCTAGTGGCTAGTTCTGGAGGTCATGGAGAAAGCTAATCAAAGGGAGAAGGGGAAACAAGCATAACATGCCTGGTAACCAGTGGACTCTCAATAAATATTTGTTGGATGAATGACTGGGGAGAAAAATGCTTTGAGTGTAGATAAGAGGACCCTTCCAGGGAGAATTCAACCCAGAAAATGCCTTTTGCTGCCACCTACAGCCTTGTGGGTCTATAAATACCCTCCCAGCCTGCAGTGGATTTTATATAGATCATTTATTTCAAACAGGGCACATAGGCTAGTAACTAAGGAGATTTTCTTATGTCAACATGTTATATTGCATGCATTTACAGTTTCAAGATTTTCTTCATTTCTGTATCCATAGCTTCTAGAACCGTGATTGACAGAGAGCAGTGGTTCTCAACCAAGGGTGATTTTGCCTTCCAGAGGATATCTGGCAATGTCTGGAGGCATTTTCGGTTGTGACAGCTGGGGGGAGAGGTGTTACTTGCATCTAGTGGGTAGAGGCGAGGGATGATGCTACACATCCCACAATGCACAGGACAATCTTCCACAACAAAGAATTACTCAGCCCCAAACGTCAGTTGTGATGAGAGTAACAAACTCTGCCATAGAGTAAGTATTCCATAAATATTTTCAGGATGAGAAATAATGAATGAGAAACAAATGAAGAACAACACTAATGCAGTTAATGAAGATTGTGTGGTTAAGGCAAAATATCTCAGCTCTGTTGATCAACTACAGACAGACAAATACAACTGGATTAATAGGAAGTGACTTGGGCGAAAGTGAAAAATAACAATGGACACCAGCTGAAATGAGTGAGGACAAATAAAGAGTAAGAGACAGCTCAGGCCTCTGACAGGGAAAAACCCTCAACACCGTCCTCTAAGTGTTCCAGTGATGACTTAGGAAGAAGTGACTGGTGAGCAGCTTCAGAAATATACTGCTGTGAAACTGCCTTATTGATAAGTTGTTGTATTCTTACATTTGTACTTGTTTGTCTTTAGGAATTTAAATAAAACTCATTTCATATTACGGGTTCAGATCTTAACTAATCTTTTTAAATTTTTATAAACTCACAAGTTCTATAGCTTTCTTCTGGTATTGTTAAGGAGGAGGCTGTCTTTTAACCAGGTGCATCTATGGGGAATCTGTGGTGCCTCTTACAGTTGCATGCTGCCAACTTCTTGCTTAGGACGTAAAATTTTCATTTTCTATGTGGATAGGACTGTAACCCGCTGCACTAATATCACTACTGTCACATTTTGTCTACGTACCTCAAGCTTCCTACTATTTTTATAAGTAAGAAACACTTGTGTTAGAGCTAAAAGATTGCACGGGGCAAAAGTGACAAAAACCTAACAAGGCAGCATCATCAAATATAAAGAACATAGAGGGTCAGAAGCCTTTTGGACTTAGTCTCATTAATTGGGGGAAAGACCTCTAGCCCCCAAAACTTTGAAATTGTTAATGACAACTATACTAAACATGAGATGTGACTGCTTTAAGTACCCCTGCAGATATATTTTAAAATCTAAATTCTCTCCATCAAAGCAAAATGTGAATTAATGTTTTGACAAGTAAGTTGTCACACTTACTGGGTCTTTGGAACAATAATTTTTCCACTCAAGTATTTGGCAAAACAGAACTTCTCACTGCAATTATGTGATCCCTCCCCTGCCCTCCTTCAGGCAGTTTCAAGTTACACTTAGGGCTGCTTTAGCTTTGATGTTTTTGATTTTTTTATTTCTTGCTTCTTTTTGAAAGGAGAATGTAGGAATGTATTTTACGTAATATCGTGAAATCTATCTTCTACTCCAAATTGTTCATTCTTGGGGAGGGTCCATGGGTGGGTAAAGGGGAGACTTTGGTGAAAGAGTGTGAAGTTTCAGTTAGGACGAATGACTTCTGGTGGTCTACTGCACAGCATGGTGATTACAATAAGTAATAATGTACTGCCTGTTTCAAAATAGCTAAAAGAGAGGATTTTAAGTGTTCTCACAAAAAATTTGACGAATATTTGAGGTGACAGATACATTGACTAGCTCGATTTGATCATCCCACAATGTATGAATGTATCAAAACATTACTTATACTCCATAAATATATTCAATTATGATTTGACAGTCCCAAATAATATAACACAAAAAAATACATAGAAGTCATTCTGATGTCCTTCAGGAATGTTCACTTGCTTGTGACTAAATATCAGCGTAAAGTTCTGAGGAAGGCTGTTGGAGGAAGGACACTTGGGCCGTAAGTCAAAGTGCACAGAGAACTTTCACATCCATTCAGCACTGGCACCTAGCATCAAAGACCTGAGCTGCTGGAGAATAAGGCATTGTCAGTGGTAGTTAATCTTAATGGGGCACACAAGGGATGATCCCGTGGCCCTTCCTTACTCCATACAAGGTTGTCCAAGAGAGAGAATACAGTCATGGGTCCTTAGTTTCTGTTTCTGGTTAGGCCAGTAAAGCCCCTTTTCATCTCTCTTTTCCACTTATCATTATGAGGCATTGTCAACGGTAGTTAATCTTGATGGGGCACCTGAGGAATGATCCAATGGCCCTTTGTTACTCCATACAAGGTTGTCCAAGGGAGAGAATACAGTCATGGGTCCTTAGTTTCTGTTTCTGGTTAGGCCAGTAAAGCCCCTTTCGCATCTCTCATTTCCACTTAATCACTAGAGACAGAAACTAAAAACCATGGCTTTGGGCTGCTGAAAGCCTAAAACAAACAAAACAAAGCAGAACAACAACAAAATAAGGTGGGTTGGACAAGCTTGTATGGCCTCATTGCTCATATGCATTGTGGAACTTTGGGAAAATATCTCAGCTACACACAGGGTATTTCAGAGACTTGCAACTGAGAAACTGAATGTTCCATCTCCAGATAGCCAGCTTCATTACGTCTTCTTTCCTTCACTCCATTTTCTGCTTTTTTCATCTGTTAACAGTTCTTGTTGCTCCTCATTTTAGGGCTTCCAAGACATCCTCAAATACTCTCTTGCTGGTGTTATCAAACCAAGCTGGGGTCTGCTCACTCAGTGCGGCAAAGCCAAACACTGACATAGGGACTGCAGTGAGAGAAAGTGAGGCATTTATGGCAAGGCACCAAGCAAGAAGAGGTGAGCAGCTAACGCTGAAGACTCCAACTTCCCAATGACTTACAGGTAAGGGTTTTTAAAGGTGGGGAGGCAGACATTACAGGCAAAGTCATAAGTCAAATACATGAAGGATAGGCATTGGTTTGACCTAAAAAAGTGGGACATCTTGAGGCAGGGGCTCATAAGACATAGGTGCATCCAAAATTTTTCTAATTTGCAATTGGTTTAGGAGGCGAAGCTTTCTCTAAAAGCTTGGGATCAGCAGAATATTACATCTGACCTCCAGGCCCCTCAGGAAGAAATTCAGAACAAAGAACAGCAGTCAGAATTCAGTCCTCAGTTCCTCTTTATCTGAGGTCTATGTGCCAGCGGATCCATTTGGTGGGGATCTGGATTTCTGAAAAACAACTCAGGGACATATGTTAAGACGTTATCTTTAGAGTGAGACCCTGTCTCAAAAAAAAAAAAAAAATGCTATCTTTAGTTCCTGTAGGGAACCAAACATCCCATGATTCTTTCTGGGATACTGTTTTAAGCTACTATTACCTTCTTGCTTGACAAGTTGCTCACTTACTTCTCAGGGCTAGCTAGATGCCTGAAATTTCCCATGAAATAACTCAAGATTTTCCTTTATTTCCATGCTTTGGGCCTTGCAGACCCCTAAGAGTGATCCCTGCTCCATCTCACTGGTGGAACTCAGCCTACAGAAATTGCCCTTCATGGTGGTTTATGTTGTCTGCCCCAAACCTACAGTCACCTCACTTGGGCTTGCTCTTTCTGTAAGATGAGGCCGGCAAGAGGCAGAGCTCACAGGGTTGGAGGGGGTGGATATTTATCTTTGGTGGTTTTCTTTCTCCCTTTAATGTTTCTCCCTCCCTCACAATATGCCCCAAGTTTTCCCCAGTTTGTGGATTATCTCAGCCTTCCACCCTCCTTTGAACCTTACTGCTGTTAAACCTCATCCTCTGCTTGGTAAGTCTGTTTATAGCTAATATAAGAGGGCTCAAAAAATTCCTTCAAGGAAACTGTGTTACATGTTGAATTGTGGCCTCCGCGAGACAAAGACTAATATTTATTTGAGGGCTTTCTTTCTTGGTGAGGATGTCAGAAAGGGAGAGCTCTAGACAGCCATCCCTGAGTGACTCATCACCCTTCTCAAATATGTCCATCCTTCCTGAGGCAGGCTCCTGCCTATGGAGCGGTCCTAAGAAGAAGCACATACACTGGTATTCTACATTCTAAAACAGTAACAAGGGAGGGCTGAGTAAAATAAATAAATAAATAAATACATTTTTAAAAAGGAGGGAGCCCAGACTGGCAGTTTCAAGGATGCAAACTGCATTGCAAAATCAAACTGAATCATGAAGCATTTGGGCTGGTGCACTGTTAACTTCCATCTGTTTGCAGACACATTTGTGCCTGGGATTTGGGAGCCCTTTGTATCAAGCATCTGACAAGGGTCCCTATAACCTTAATCTACTCGCAATCAGTTTGGGATGGATATGATGGGGTTTCTCTGCTTTTGCTGGGATTGGGAGAAATAAAACATGCAATTTAAGTGGAAGCAAAGAAATTTAAAGAGGATTTTCTTTTGCTTGGGTCAATCCCTGTTAAAAGGGAGGTGGATGTGTTTTCCTTGTGTTGGATGGCATGAGATTATGTGAATGTTTTGATTTATTAAAATGAACTACAAGGTTTTTCACAGGAATGACAGACATTTATGACTGCATGTAATTATAAACTCCTGACCTCCTGGTGGGGTTGGAGCATCTGTTTCAAATGTGGGACGTACAAGCACCTCTCACATGAGAAATGAGGGATGGGTGGGAAGGGATAGGACAGAGCTTCTGTCACCATGGACTTAAGACCATGTTGGATCCAAAAGGTGGCCTGAAACCCTGAAGCTTATGCTTCACAGCTGGGCTGTAAGTCAGACTTGAACCCAGCTGACATGCAAGGTCATGGCATGCCCGAGGTGGTGACAGTGAACAAAGTGTATAGTATGTGGCCAGTGGTAGCAATGATAAAAAGTATACCAAATGGACTTTGAAGGACCAAAGGTTTTAAAAGTCAATTGGTATCACCTCCACACTAACTAGGATAGTGGGGTGCATTTGGTTTTCAAATTGGGTACTTTTAACACTTTCGTGCCTGACTGTTGTTCTTTGCTGACTTGATTCAGTCACTCGTAGCTTTATTGGTCTGAACCAACTCCTTGTTCCCAGGTTACAGACCTGCCTATTGTTCCAATAATCCTGTTTCACTTGAATAAAGGAAATATGTCTTAAATGTAAAGATTCTAGTTCTCACACTGTACTCTGAAGTCCAAATACTGTCTGTCAATGTGTAACCTGATGTCTCAACCCCCAGTGAGAAGAGTTGATTCTTTGGTGTTCACCAATGTGGGAGACTTCACCGGGACAGGCTTTTTTTGCTTTGGGCTCTGCTATTTGTTTGCAGAACACCCAAGAGCAAGCAAACATGCTTTCTTCACAGCAGTACCTTAGGGTTTTGCCATTGTAAATGGGTCTGATGTGATATGACAAGACCAGAGAAATTGGATGTAAATTTACATTTTTGAATGTGCTTGTTGTTTCACATGATACATTTAGGGTGTGCAGCTCCTTTTGTAGTTTTTATTTTTACTATTTAAGTTTGGAAATGATGCTAAATTTTTGTGTTTCTTTAATCAGTGTGTTCCCTTTGGTAATATATATTGTATTATGTATTGATGTGTGTATCAATATATACTGATACGTATTACACTTACACATACAAACACATACATAAGAGGGGGTGAAAACTGTAGCCTTTGCATTCTCCATTGCCTTTACAGACAGATCCTAAGCAGTAAAATCTTGGTGTTGTGATGTACAGAAATGGAAAGGAGTATTAAACCATATTTAAGAATAAAAGAAAAAAACAGAGGGAGCAGAGACAACAGAGCAACATCCTTGAAACTCTCCAAGAGCAGATATTGTATAATTAAAAGCAAATACCAATCCATGGTCATTTTTCATCAGGTGGCTTTTGACGGCTCCTTGCTGCAAAGAGGTTTAATGATTTCATTGAGTAAGAGGTGGTGGACTCAAGACGCGTGCATTGGCTGGGAGATAATTGCATTTAATGAAAGGCACATCCATAGGTTTGGGGAGGCAAGTGATAAATCTTCCTCCAGAGTCTGTGGATCAGTCATATTCCAACTGATGAGTGGTTGGAGAATCAATTAATAATCATGATGAGAACAATACTTTTCACTTGCAATTTTCCATAGGTCGCTTAGAGCAACTTTAAAAACATGAACATCCATCTTCTTGGTCCTTCTGGGAAGTAAACATTTGGTAGAATTATCACCATATAGTCAACATGGAAATTGAGGTACAGGGAATTGATTGGCCACTACGACAGCAAAAAAGGGAGAGGGGCACAAAAAAAGTGGACACATCTTGGTATTTTTTATTGGAATGTTGACTATGTATTCTGCAAGCATTTTTATTGATCTCTAAGGATAATATTAGCTAACAATTTTAGTGTCAGGCTTTGTGCTAAATGAAATGCTTTACTGGTATTGTCTCATTTATTCACCTCATTTTTACAGATGAGAAAAATCAAGAATGAGGAGAGTTAGTACCATGCAGATGGTCCCAGGATGAAACCAGAATATGAACTCAGGCAGTCCAGCTGCTCAACCTGTGTTCTTAACCTTCATGCATATCATGTGCCAGCCCTGTGTTGTGATGGGTACTTGGGAAGATGCCCACAAAAAGCACATGATACCTGTTCTCAAGAAGCTCACAGTGAGTAGGGGGTACAAAACCCAGTACTAATATTATTTGCATGCCAGACACTATTCTCCATGCTTAATGTATATTAACACATGTAATCATCATAACAATTTGATGAGGCAGGTGCTATTACAATACTCTCCATTTAGCAGATGGAGAAACCAAGGCATAGATAGGCTATGTAACTAGCCTAAGATCAACATTTATCCCCAAACAATGGGACTGTAAAGTTGATGCTGTCAATCATTAACTGCCTTTTTTTCCACCCCAAGAAGGTTGATGTTCTTATTAGAGGTGATCAGGCAACACTAAAGGATTTTAAGCAAAGGAGCCATATCAGATCCAGGTTTTTCTAAGACCACTCTGTTGACACTGGGGTGAATTGATTGTTTATTCCCTCTTCTGCTATACAAGATATTTATGGATTTAATAGAGTCCAAAGGATTGAAGGTTTGTCATACTTCCAGGATGCTCTGTGGAATTCCATATCAATTTTTCTTTATTTTCCACACCTAATCTTCTCCTTTGTAAAATTGACACAAAACTGAGTTTGAACTTGTCCATATGCCACCAGAATGACCTGTAGCTCTAACAGCTAATTCTTCCATCTTATGAAGCCATGCTGGGGTGGGGCATGTGTCCCCCAGCAAAACAGTTTGAGAAACTGCAGCCCAAGACACTCTATTCACAATACTTTGTTGTTTAAAATCCCAACAATGGAATGATCAAGTGTCCAAAAATACACAGAAGTCCCAATAGAAATGCCCTAGTTTATCTGAATGGCTAAGGAACTTAGAAAAAAAAAAAAGGCAGGAGATCCAGCTGTTCTAAAACCCATCCCATGGATTCCTATGTGCATGGTCCTACGTCTGAGTATCAGCCAATGTCCAAGCTCCTAACTTATTCTATCCCATTGCCTGAGAGCACCTTTCCAGTGCTTTCCACTTAACTAGCCTTTCATTAGTTAACGGGACCTCAAAGTCCCATTTCTTCAAAGAACTTTCCCATTACCTCCCTAGTCCAGGGAGTCTTAAGTCTCAGACTCCCAGGAATTCAAGGAGATTTTTTAAATTGCCTTGCTAATTCACTGTTAGTTCGTATCTCCTATCAAAATGTTCCCATCAGGTATTTTATTACCACCTTTGACAGGGAACTCACCACTTCATGAAACAGCTTCTTATGTCTTTGAGCAACTCTGACAGTTTTATAGTTCATCCTTTTACTGAGCCAAATTCAATTGCCTATAACTTCCTTCCTAGCAGCCCCAAACTCCTATCCCTCAATTAGGCTCAGTGTAGAGTGAAATAAACCCTCCTTTACCACCTTGGACTGTGGTAGGTTTCTCAAAATATCTGTATTCTGCCTTATAAGATAACAGCCCAGATTATATGTAACTCCCTGTGTGCTGTGTGGTCTCCCTCAGTAAACTATAAACTTCTCAGGAACAAGAGACATATCTTTTATTTCTGACAGCTGTTGCAATTCCTGGGTACCACAGGCACTTCCTGTGCTTGGAGCACATCACTGATGGCTGATCAGGAAAGAAGATCTTTTCACATAAAGATAACATAAACATGTTGTACGGAGGGAGGCAATGAAGAGGCCACCTTCATGCAGCAGCAGTTGTGTGCTGCTATTGTAAAGAGATAAACATGTGTCTATCCATTTGACTGACCTTCTGTCCAGTAAAGAGGTTGGGCAGAGGCAATAAAGCCAATTACACTAGACTTTATTACCTCTTAAATGGTGGCTTCATTAATAAACATAGTATGTGGCCAATGTACAATTTAATCAACAGACTCAGCGAAAATAAAATAAGAAGGGTATAAAGATCAATGGCCCTGCTTTTTGCAAGAGGCCAAAGAGTACAGACAAAAAGAAAGTCACCAAAGAAAGGAACAGGAAATAACATACAAAAGATGAAAGTGTCCACAGTAGCAAAATCCCTGAGAAGTAAGGCACAAGCTCAGAACGCAACACAAAAGAACTATAGTTGTGAGGATAAAGGATGACTAGGGTGCTCACTGGGAGGAAACTGCATAAGAAAGAGGTCAAGTTTTGGAAACCACAAGAAGGAAGAGTCCAAGCAGGGTACATTGACTATTCATAGAAGAAAGCCAACAAACTTAGCATTGGCAATGGTTGACTATAGCAATCAATAAATCACAAGACCTTCCTGCCAAAGGTCTTCTAATCCAAATCCTCATTTTACAAATCAGATGCTAAGGCTGAGAGGTTGAGTACTTTGACCAAGTCACAGAGCCAGGTTTTGGCAAAGTTTCCCAGATCCTGGACAATGATACAATGCTCTTGCCTCCTCCGCAGGCCTATGCATCAAGAACAGTCATTATGCATCAAGAACAGTCATTTATTAACGTCCAGGCACTTCTCAGGAACTTCACAACTATTACCTCATCTAAATGCTGCAACTACTATACAAAAACCAAGAATCACGTTGTCATTGTGCACAGTAGGATACATAAGCCCAGGAGATTAAGTTTACCTACTTAGTATCTCACACTAAGGCAGGAAATATTTGGGATTCCAGATCGCTCTACTTCAAAATCCTCCTTCCTCTATACCACACTGCCTTTTACCATGGGTTAGCAAGCATGGACAGTGAGTATGTTTTATACCACCATCCTCCTACCCCTGGGGTTATAAGGAGTGCACAAGGAGAAAAGGAGTGCAATTTCAAGCCACTGTGAGCAGTATCCACAGCATTTGACCTCAAGGCAGGCCAAGGATATAACTCTTTCAGGGAGCCAAGCAACTCATATTTACAGAGGTCTCCCAATGCAGTTTCTGGAGTCTAGACTGTAAATTCCTGAAGAACAGGACTGTCTTCCCAGCACTTAGCTCTGTGAATGACACATCATAGGGGGCCCACAATCAGTCATTAAACTGGATGGTTCTCAAGTGCCTATCTGAGGTCAGGACAGATTTACAGACAACTCTCCTCCAGTCAAGGGCAAAAGTGTACAATGATGCTTCCCTGCACCCTGAGAGGGCAGAAAAGAGACGTGGGACATCTGCCCAACCTCAGTAAGGCAGGATTCCTCTACAGACCTCTGAATTCTGTCTGTAACAAACACTTATGATTTCTGGTCTACCCACCTCAAAACTCTACGACAAAGAAGGAAGAGGCTGTATCTCCTGTCCAGAGCCCTCCTTCCTTTGTCTCTAGATTGCTCCCCATGAGTTTCAGGCCTGCTGGCTTTTGAGCCGCTGACATCTGTCTCCTTGGGAAAACTCCATTTGTCAGGCCTTCCTGCCAGAGTTCATGGCCTGTTGGCTGCTAGGAGCAGTAAAGTTAGGTCCTGCTGGTTGGCCCCTAGCCCAAGTCTCTCTCTGTTGGCCCTGAACTGCATCACCCAAGCCTAATCCCCACACCAGACCACAAATCCTCAGACTGTCTGTGAAACTCTTTTCAGGCTCTTTAATGCAGAGCATTATATTTAACTTTCTGCTCTTGTACAGATAAGCAGTACATGAAAAGAGAAAAATATGCAGATCACATTTTAATAAATATGGAATACTGCACCTGGCATCTATCTAAAAAAAATAATATTACCTGCACTGAGAGAACAGCAATAACACCACCATAACAATAACATTGTCGGAATGCAGAAAACCAAGATGTTTTGAATTGTGTTATAATTAGAAAGCAGATAAACAAATAGGAACATCATTTATTCATTAAAATTGTGCAAATGGAAAATCTACTTAATTAATTTCTTTGTACAATGTCTGTAAACTCTTTCGGGGAAGAAATCTAAGGAACAATTTCAAGCCCAGAGCAAGTGACACAATAACGGCTTTGAAGCACAACCGGAAAGGCAGAACAGGGGTGGTGGCTTTTTGGCAGAAGTGCTCTTTTGAGTGAGATGCTGAAGAGACAAAGCTGGCCTCATGAATGGCATGGCGCAGGCACCCAGTCATCAGTGTGCCTTAATTCCATTTGCCCTGTGCATCTGAATAATACCCACTTCCTCTTCTGTCTGCCCTCAGAAGTGGGGTCTCAGGGTCACATGGATGAAGTTGAAGTTTATTAACGGGTTTTCTGCAAACCCCCCTGGAAGGTTTACAAGCTGGGTCATTAGCGGGTTGCATATCCATTATGGTGATCATTTACCAACCAAAGGGTTTGGGGGAGGGTCAGCACTTAGCGTAGTTGCACAGCAACCATCAATTGGCCTTGGTTCCATTTGTCTCATCCCTGCCTCCTCCCTCCATGCCCCTCTTCTTACTCTTATTTGCTCCCTTCATTCTTAGGCCTCCTTCTTGCTCTGTGTTTCTCAGACACTATCCTACTCTAGCTTGCAACCTTTTCAGCCTACTCTCATCTTAAAACAAGTCCTGTATTCAAGTTAGTAATGATTGTTGGGTGAAGCTAGAGTTGAAGAATACTTGATAATATACAACACTTCTATTGATTCTCTGGGTTAATTTTCCCAACAATCTGTAAAATAATAATAGCAATAATGGCAATTATTTATTGAACACCTTGAGCCAGTCATTGTCACGTACTCTGAGTGCATTATCTCATTTAACCCTCACCATGACCTAATAGACAGGCACTAATAGTATTATTCCCATATTACTAATGAGGAACAGGGGTCACAGAGTTGATTAACTTTCTCAACTATCACAATTCAGTACATATAGTCTGTCTTAAATCTAATTTTTCATTCTTTTTCATTTCTTCTTCTTTTTCTATAATGAGCATTTGTATTGAAGGCTTTAAAATTGTTTTGCTTAGTCATATAGAGAAAATTATGTAGTTCAGTAGAAAACAACCCGTAGTTTAAAGAACACCTGTCAAGGTTATCTGATTCTGATGCAACAGGAGCTATTTTGCGACTCTGTAAATTGTAGGTGAACTGAGAACAATGCACAATTTTTTTCTATACACATGCAAATTATGTTCTGTCCAGTAGAGGTTCAATTGACTTTTCTGTCCCATTGTAGGAGAATCTAGTTTTGCTTCCATTTGCACATTCATTTCAACATTCCTTTACTCTATATACATTTGGGCTTATTTTTCACTTCTTTTTTGAATTGGTTGTAACACCTCACCTATTTCCATATTATGAGTTAAATAAAATATTTAACTTGTTTTTTGTTTGTTTGTTTGTTTGTTTCACAGGGCTGACGTAACAAAGTGCCACAAACTGGGTGGCTTAAAACAACAGAAATTTATTACTGCATAGTTCTGGAGACTAGAAATCTGAAACCAAGTTGTTGGCAGGTCCACGCTCCCTCAGAACCCTCTAGGGGAGAATCCTTCCTCGCCTCTTCCAGCTCAGGTAGCCCCAGTTGTTCCTTGGCTTGTGGCAGCATAACTCCAGTCTCTGCCTCCTTATACACAAGGCCATCTCTTCCCTGCTTTTCCAACTGTGTCTTCACATGGCGTCCTCCTTGTATGTCTGTGTCCAAAATTCCCTCTTCTTATAAGGGCATCAGCCATATTAAATTAGGTCCCATCTAATGACCTCATCTTAACTTGATTAAACCTGCAAAGACACTATTTCCAAACATGGTCACATTCTCAGGTACTGGGAGTTCAGGCTTCAACATATCTTTTAGGGGCACACAGTTCAATCCATAACAAGGTGTTCATTTTTATATCCATATGAGTCATGATTTTACCTTCTTTTGAAAATTATTATAACATCTAATAATCTCCTGACAATACATTGGAATACAAAATCACTTATTTTTTCTTTTTAAATTTTTTTCTATAGAACATGTCAAATATACATAAACAAAATAGAGAGAATAACAATGTGTCCCCATGTACCTGTGACTCAACCTCAACAATTATTAACATTCTGCTAATTTTAGTTTTACTCACATCAATGCCTGCATTTATAGGGGTTCTGCTCTTGACTCTCACCCCCATTCTCCAATTCCAGTTCACTGCTGAGTATTTGGGCTGCCAAGAGTAACTTGTTACTTTAAATAGAAATAAATAATCAATTCAAAGGTAGTAACAATGATAAAGCCCTTACACCACCCATCCTAGGAGGGAATTATATTGCTTCTAGACTTTGCACTTGGATAGTATATCATAAACACGTACTCGGATTTTATGGAGAGAAATTAATGTGTCTCTCTCCTGTGATACATTTATATTTTAACTAGAGCATATCTGGAAGGAAGATGCATGAAAGAAACTTTGAAACAGATGGAGACCAGTCTTGTCTCTACGACTCCTTGAAGTCCTGCTTATGAGACAGCCCTCTCTCCCACCTGCATGCAAGGACAGCCCAAGGTTCTCATGTAAGGCTGGCAGCATGAAGCTTTCAGTAGCAATGTGTCTACTCTTCTCCTCCAAAGTGCTCTAGCTAACAGTACGTGCTAAGACGTCTTCACTTCCACAAACATCACAATAGCAGGCATATCATCCAAGCAGAAAATTAAACTGCACAAGATATATTTATATATACATGTTTTTTGAGACAGAGTTTCACTCTTGTCACCCAGGCTGGAGTACGATGGCAAGATCTCGGCTCACTGCAACCTCCACCTCCCAGGTTCAAGTGATTCTCCTGCCTCAGCCTCCCGAGTAGCTAGGATTACAGGCGCCTGCCACCACGTCTGGCTAATTTTTGTATTTTTAGTAGAGATGGGGTTTCACCATGTTAGCCAGGCTGGTCTCGAACTCCTGTCTTCAGGAGATCCACCTGCCTCAGGCTCCCAAAGTGCTGGGATTACAGGCATGAGCCACCGTGCCCGGCTGATAGTTTTTAATAACCTACACAAGACACCTGTTAGAAGGACTGCTCTTGAGGATTTAAGAACATGTGAGAGAATGTATGTACAAGTTTAATAATTGAACACATGGTGAGGCTTAGAATTTGGGGTGGGTGGAAAAAAATCAGAGCCATGGAATCTGTGGGCTGTCTTGGAAGATTCTACCCCCTACCTGATTTGTCACTATTAGAGAGCTATGCTCTTTAGTAAATTTTCTATCCTCATTCTAGGTTCTAGTGCAGTGATGATAAAAATCCCCTCTAAGAACAAAAATCTCTTAGAAATAGATAGAATTTTATACCGTCATTACCATTTTATAAACTTTTAATTTTGAAATAGTAGGAGACCTATAAGTTGTTACAATAGTACAGTGAGTTTCTGTGTATGTTTCCACCCAGCTTTCCTCAATGATAATGTCTTACATGACCATAGTACAGTGGCTTATGCCTGTAATCCCAGCACTTTGGGAGGCCAAGGCGGGCAGATCACTTGAGGCCAGGAGTTCGAGACCAGCCTGGCTAACACAGTGAAATCTCGTGTCTACTAAATATACAAAAATTAGCCAGGTGTGGTGGTGCACGCCAATAGTCCTGGCTACTCTGGAGGCTGAGGAATGAGAATTGCTTGAACCCAGGGGTGTGGAGGTTACAGTGAGTGGAGATTACGCCACTGCACTCCAACCTGGGCGACAGAGACAGACTCTGTCTCAAAACAAACAAACAAACAAACAAAAAAACAGGAAATTGACATTGGTACAATAAAATGAACTAAACCATATGCTTTTTTGGATTTTATCAATTCTTCTCTTTTTTTTTTTGGTATAGCTGTGACATTTTCTCTCATATATAGATTCAGTATTATTCTTTTTAATCACAAGGCGAATTAATATATTTTCTTAGAGTTGGCCTACTCTTGTTGTAAGCCTCATTTCTATTTCCATCCCCTATTTATCTGGGCTTCATGAATTCTTTTTTTTCTTTTTCCATTAACATTTTAAAAAGCAACTTTATATCAGAAAATTAAAAAAAAAAGAGTACAAGAAATAACAAACACAGTCTTCAAAGCAGATTTGCTGTTTACTTATATACCTGTTTTGAGTTAAAGTATTCTCTATTCTCATTCTAGGTTCTAGCCACCTCCCGCATTCAGATACAACCACCATCGCAGGTTGACTGTGTTCCCTGTCGTTTAATCTTTCTCTACTTTGACAGGTATGTTTTATGTATACATAACTTGCATCTTTTTACTAAAGTGATTTTCAAACATTTTCTCTCACTGATATACAAATGGCAGATGATATTCATGTAGGAGAGTGGGAGACATACTCCCAACTGCAGCTCCTGGAGCAATAGTTGTAACTCTATCTCTTTTTCTCCCACTCATGAAAAATAGTTGGAATACGTGACAGACTGCTCTATAATGGGAATTACCTTGAATGTGCTCCAATTTAGAGAAACAGTAAAGCCTGCAGAAATTCTAGGGCTTTAATTATTTGTAGTAATTACTTGAACTACACCTTGTAACTGATCTCTATGTAACATAATGGTTTTAAATGGCTGCTTTAATAAACATAAGCTTTCCAGGCAAGTAGATCTTATCTTAAAACAGCAGAGCTTGACTAGAACACTGAATGGAAAAATTGTGAGCAGGTGAAAGGGTTATAGGTTCTCTTTGGCACCACCGTGATTTGGCAAATGCACTTTGGTCTGCCTCAATTTCTCTTCTTCTTTTGATCAGGTTAGTAATCCCCTCTCATCCTGCAAGACTGAGCTCCAGTTTATCTCAGTGCTCTGAGCAATTCCCACACTGACCTGTATCATAATTTTTTATTTAGATTTCAGTTCTGACTCTCATCATAATCACAAAATCCCCAGGACTTAGCATAGTTCTGAGGTTACTTGCACTCCCAGATTACTTGGGAGACTTGCAGACTTGCACTAGATGGGCAGAAGCACAGTAGAGTAGCCAGGTGACCAGGCCGATCCAGGTTCCAAAGGAATTTCCATCACTTACCAGTTATGTGGATCAGAACAAGTGATTTATGCTGTGAGTTTCATCTGTCAAATGGGGATTTTCACAGGAGTTCCATTATAGAGTTGTAGTTAAGGATGAGATGATCTTATATGCGTACCAGTTAGCTTGGCATCTGACATGTAGCAAAAATTCACTAACAGTGGTGATTGGTGCCTAGAATATTGGTGACTGCTGAGTTAATTGGGTAACTGAACCAACAGTAGATAGCCTGGCCATACAGCAAAGCCACCTGGCCCTAGAGGTGTCTAGGGATTCCAACATAGGGCTGAGAAGTGCAGGATAGGAGGTATCAGTAACACCCGTGATGACCATGAAGGTGTCTTACTCATCTCTCCCTGCAAGACAACCTGCTGTGAAGAGCAGTTGACTGACAGCTTTAACTCGCTACTCCTTTGAAGCTGCCATGGTATTTACAGAGGCTACTGAGCATGGAGGCTACAGTGGTAATTCCTGCTTAATGCGGGACCCCTGTAATAGACTTTGTTCAGGGCCTTCCCATCAGCCTGACTGAGACAGCCAGGACTGCAATTCAAGGCCCTTCCTATATAATCCTTCTTTCTTTCTGTCCATCCACAGATGTTAGGCTTGCATCATGGTCTGAGGCTCTCCCAAACATCATGTCTACTCCCATCATCATTTACAGGTGTGTTTCCCAAGATCTCTTGTACATTTAATTCCATCTTAGAATCATATCTTGGCATGAACTGACAATACCTAAAAGAAGCTTCATACTTTCTTTGAAGTGTAGATCATATGATGTTATTTATGCTGTCTTATATCCCCATCCATGGATTGCATTACAGAAGAGGCTAGCACATCTATTTCCATTTGTAGGCAATATCCAGGAGCAAAGCATAATGTTAAGGTAGTGTGTGAATGGACTTTAAGACATTCTCCTTTTCCACTTGAAAATGGCCTGGTGACGACTCCCAAACCTGGTCTAAGACTGATCTACCCATGGATCAGTAATTTTGGAATCGTTTCCGGGGTCATATAGATGGAACAGATAAAATATCAAAAGACACAATCTCAGGACTCCCTGAGCTTATAGAGAAGAAAAATATAAACAGGAAACCATTTGTACTTGGCACATTGTCGCTGCTACTTGGACTTCTGATCTTTGTGGGTTTAATTGGCACTGTTTTTTGGGTAAATTTCTGGTGTTTAGAGTTGGCTAAAGTTATACAAACTGTGCTTTACATTGGCCCATTATTTATCCGTCTTTTAACTTACGTTGCTTTGAAAACACCCATGCGTGGCAGAGGGGCAGATGTTATTATTCTGATGTTGTTCTTTGGAAAGCTGTGGCCCAGAGAGGATAGGGACTAGACTGAGCTCACAGAGGCTGGCTGTGTCAATCCTCCCAAAGCCCTCAGCTGTGCTGACTCCCATTAGAGGTTAAGTGCCTCTCATAGTACCAAGCTGAGGATTCTCTAACACTGATCACTCAAATGAGCAAAATCACATTTGGAGTAATTGCAGTTAAATTCCTTTCCACCATTAGAGCACCAGGCTTCGGTTTTCACAGCCTGACTGGCTCTGGCCTTTGCATTGTCAAAAACATTTCAAACCCAATCACAACTTCTGCCAGTGGCTGATACCCTGAGGCATGATTTGCTTTTCCTGTAGCTTCCTAAATTTCTTCTTTTCCCCAAAAACCTATCTTCTTGATCATTGCCCCCGAGAAGAATCTGATGACTTTCATCAGCATATTTTATCAAAACCACTGAGCAGAGTGAGCCATGACAATCGCCTGTCCAAAAGTTTGCAAAACATGTCAGTGAATATAATTGATATTTTAGGAAATCAATGACTTTAGAGATTTGTGACCAGTAAGAACTCTCCCACAGAGATCATACTGAGCTAAGAATAGCTGCCCCCTGTACTCCAAGTAAAAATGTCCCTCTTTAGGCTAATGATCCCTGCAAATCCTACACTAATTGATAGCCCAGAGTTCCAGAGAGTTGCACTTCAGTAAATGGTCAAAATGACACATTTGGCATTAGTGTCTTGACTCTGTCTCCCTCAGGTGCAATCTCCTTTTCAAATCACTCCAGCAAGACAACCATCCTAACTGCTAATTTGCAGTCACAGATCTCTACTTCATTTTCTATTCTCCTTCTTCAGGGGCAGGAAGAAGGGGCTAGGGTATGGAGTCAAATATTTAAACAACCTGGGTTGAATCTCTTCCAAATAACTGTGCGTGTCCATACACTTGGCTATGTCCTAGCTTTTACATGCACACCTGGCCATACAGATTTCCACATCTGTCATGTTAGATGGTTGGAGGGAAAGGCTGATCATTATGAAACTAGTAGTCAGTCCATAGTGTTAACCACTTTCATGTCAGTTTCCCTATCTATTCTTCATAGCATATTCTTCTGCCCCAAAAGGCATAGCTGGAGTTCCTCTCTCTACAGGGACAGCAAGCTAAGGTGTATAGGGAATAACAAACATATATGCAGCTAAAATTTAACAATCTATTGTTTGCAGGTCCTATACAAAACAAAAAAAAACCTTTTGATCTAAAATAGTAAATCATTATGATAAAGACTGGCTATAAAGTTGATTTGGGGACAGACACTTCTGTTCAGGGCTCCCTAATCACAATGCAAACATCTGTTTACCTGACTAACTTGCAAGGTCAGCCTTGTCAAAGAATGCAACCTAGTCCTCATTTCAGTTTTCTCCAAAAATGTTTCCTGTCTTTTGTCTGAGAAAACAACACTGATGAATCATAGCAACAACCCACACTTGTGACTAAGAGCCGTATTTAAAGGAGAAGAGCTGAAGGAAACACAGAACAGAGTTCCCATTCCTACACCTCCTCCTCCCCATGTGGTTTTCTTAAGCTTGTTTAGCTGCTTCATCCAGTCCATTCTCTTTCTCCAAGTTTCTCTTCAGGTTTAGATGTGACTGCTGGAAGGCAAGAGAAAGAACAGAACAAGGGTAGTTGAGATTAAATCAGACAGCCATGATTTAATCAAGCCCTGAGGGAAACGGGAAAAGAAGGGTAGGCCATGAGTTGGTAGACAAGGGAAGCTGGGGAGGAAGGAAGGAAAGACGAAAGGGAGGGAGTGAGGAAGGAAGGAAGGAAGGAAGGAAGGAAGGAAGGGAGGGAGGGAGGGAGGGAGGGAGGGAGGGAGGGAGGGAGGGAGGGAGGGAAAGAAAGGGCAAAGCAGAATGGATGGAGGAGAGAATAAAGAAGAAAGTAACCTAAGAAGAAATAAAGGGGATTGGGAGAGGGATTAGGGGAGAGGGATCAAGACAGAGAGAGAGAGAGAGAGAGAATGGTAGGAGTTGGAGGTAAGAGATTTAGAGCAAAGAGAAGCAGAAGATGGGCCAGAGAAGATCTCCCCTTGAGGATTCCCCTTAACTTTCACTCTATGGGGAGGATCATTAGGGAGAGGAGGGGGTCATGCAATGGCAGTGCTTTAAAACAGTCATTTTAAACCCTCTATGTCTATAACCATCCACCCAATCTAACACTTGTGATGCTGAGCTCCCACTATTAACCAGACACCATGCTTTAGATTTGAGTTTTGCAAATTTTATAATACCTTGCCTCATTTTTCTTTTCAGAAAAAAGAGGGGAAAAACACAGAAGAAAGGTAAAAATGTAGGCAAAGAAGCAGGAGCAGAAACAGCACAACTCTACACAGGGCAAAAATCTATATAGGAGTATGGGGAAATGTTTATATCAGGCAAGAGAGGGAGGAGCTAACATTTATAGAGATAGATGGCTGAGTGCGAGTTATAGTACTAAGCACTTTCCAATCATTATTGCTTTTATTCTTTACAAAAGTGAACCAGGTGCTTCGGTATTCCCATTCTGCAGAAAAGTACAATAGCCTTTGCCTCCCTGGGCTTTCTATCATGTGGGGTATTATTGGCCTGTGTGTGGATATCATTTTGCCTTACACAAAAATTTCCATTGTAGCAGGCTGCAGAGATTAGGGATGGTGCCACAAAGCATTAAGAATTGGCCTGAAGAAAATTAGAAAGATATCTCTAATTTCAGCACCAGGCACTAGAGCAGAAATGGCAAATGGGTTTCATCTCACATGCCAACTCCAATTGATTAAAGCCAGCTTCATGAAGGAGTCTGATGAGAACCATTCTCTTGCCACCTGGGACCAGTAGGAGGAGGCTGTGGTATCTAGATAGTGACATCTGCTCTATGCACAGGATGGCAGAGGTTGCATGTGTGCCTTAGAGATGCCTTCCTTGCATGAGATGGAATGATCAGCTCCATGAGTTACTGACATCCATGTGGGCGGCCAAATGACTGGTAAAACTAATCTATCCATATCCAAGAGCTGTCTACAGTCCCATTGAAATCTCTGCATCAGAGATAGTCCTTGTCACTGTAATCTTCGTAGGTCCCCAGACTGAGGACACCATCAGTGTTGCTCAGATCCCATTTGGGGAAGGCTCCACGGTGCAGTGGAGCCAGCAATGGACTTGAGAGCCGGAGCCTGTGATTGAGCCCAGACTTGTCACCTCGAATGACACAGAGTAACTAACTTCACACTTAACACATCTTCCTCTGCTGTAAAATGTCATTTGGGCCAAATGACACCAGATATAAAATTCTAAGATTTTGATGCCCCAGATTTGCTGTACTTCAATCGTTTCAGACAAAACCTAGATTTGGTTCTCATCCAAACTGGTTCACTGATGTTCTTTCCAAAAACATTTTGTTAAATGTCTAAAATGGTACTGGTGTTCTCTTCCAAGCTGGCAAATCAGCACCGATTGTCCCTTGAATAGGCCATGCTAAATCTTCCCCTCTGCCTTGGCCCCTGCTCCACTCTCAGCTCCTCCGTGTGCCTTCCAAGTCTATTCATTCTCCTGCTCAACTTCCTCCGCAAAGCTATCAGTGACCTCGACATGTTTCTAAAACTCTCCTGCTGATGTCCAAAGCTTGACAGGGGTCTTTGAGGACTCTCAAAGATTGCATATTTATTCAGAGGAAGAGGAAGGGGAGGGGTAACCTCGCTCAACCCCTGGGAAAAGCAATGCATGGCAACGCTGTACATTTAGGTAATGGATTTAAATATTCACAATTTGACCAGGTCTCTTTGATGCAACAGAATTTGGTTCTCAAGAACTTTGGGTAGGGAAGCAAATACCAATGTCTTCACACAACTTCAACCTTTGTACTATATACGAGAAAATATTTAGTAAACTATGTTTGGAAAAAAATGAGGATATATTCTAATAGAGAGCATATTTTATAAAGAATATGAAGTTATATTTGGTTGCGAACCCCGGACCGCTACTTTCTTGATTCATGCATTTGGGAAATTCTTTTAAGGACTCTGTTATTCAATGTCTTCACTGGTAAAATGGGGACAAAAAGTATCTTAGATTATGATGAGGATCTAATGAGGCAAGGTGTGTAAGCACTTAATCCAGTCCCAAGGGTATGGTTCTGAGTCAAAGATGGCACCTGGGCCTAGATACTCTGCATAACTTCAATCAGAAATGCAGGGCAGACATCGGTAAATATGGAAACAGTGTCTGGACATAGATCTGGGGCATAAAGCTCAAAAAGGAACATGACATGCCACCAAGACTTCGCTCAGTGACGTTTCCTGCTGAAGTTAAGGATTAGTCTCACAGTGTGGCTGGTTCTAAGCCAAAACTATAGGGATGGATGTGAGAGGCAGAAGAGAGGGGAGCTTGTGAACAGCAGCAACCCTGCTTCCTTGCCTTTCTAGCCTATTTCAAAAGCATCTATCTCACAGTGTACAGGAGGATCACAGCCCCTGCTGGGCTGTGCTGGGGGCTTGGTCAGGGCCCAAATGCAAATGAATGTGGCCAGTCCTAAGAATCTGTACCCTGTTTTCCCTCAGACAATTTCTTTACTAAACTAGAGAGACGGATAAGGTAGCCACCATCACAAGCCCCATATTGCCATAGGACCTGTGAAAACATCTAATGGAAGAGGAATCCAGTAACATCCTAGTGAAATCAGATTTTGCCTTCTCTGGGTGGTTATTTCACAAGTGCTTGTTTCACTGTCAGTCTTCAAAGCCCTTTTTAAGACCTATTATAAGTACATTTGTCACAAAAATAGGAAGGAAAGCAGGGCAAGGGAATACATACTGAACAAGAAATAGGAAAGTCAGATTTGAGAAACGATTGTTCACTAGCATTCTGCAGACCTTCAGAAGTAATATTTTAGCCCAGTGATGCCTAGACCAGTTTCTGGAAAATTCCTGTTGAATACCATGTGTTATTAATGTCTCCAGGCCTTCTTTCACATCAGGCCTGGAGTATTTTTTTTTTTTTTTCTGCACCACTAACAATTCAAATGTTCTCCATCCTCTTTAAGGACAAGCTGAAGATGTTCTTCCTTGCCCTTTCATCACTTCTGCAGCCCATTCTGGTCATTCTTAAACCTGTAATATGTGTTTCTGCATTGTTTAGCACTTGTCTGCTTCATTAAGCTGTTTTCTTTCAGGAAGGGTGTAAGGACGACCCGGTTTCTCCATAAACTGCAGAAAATAAGAAAAGAACGAAATGCTTGGGAGCTGAATGAGGCAAAGCCCAACGACTGGCTTCTAAAGGGCTTAATGAAATCAGCCAGTGAATAAGCAGAAAGTAGGCAGCAGTCATGAATTAAGCCTCTCCCTGTTCTTTTCACAAGTGAAAGATGACCGGAGACTGGATGAACTTATCCCCAGAGGAAAGGAGGTGGTGGGACCCACACCATATCACCCTCAGAGACAGCAGAAGTGAGACGGTTCCATTTGAAGCTGATGAGTTTTGCTTTGGTTTTTGTAGGCGTAGTGCAGGGCTTTGCCTTCCTGGATGAGGGAAGGTTCCAGGAGGTGATAAGCTGACTCTGCAGTCTGCTCAGGAAACTAACAGAAATATTCTCCTTGCCTCTGCCAACCACTCACAGCATATGTCTTCACTCTCCAGTGTCATGTAAGCCACCCAACGGCAGGGACTGTATTATCTATTCACACACATATGCACATGCGCACACACACACTTTTGCATAGGTACCTATGGCGATACCTATACTATAACTACATAATTATCTATAATTCACTAACTTAAATAGCAGACATTTATTGAGTGTGGACTGTATCCACAGCCCTCTGCCAAGCATGGATCAAAATCTTGGGTCAATTTCCACAGAGTAATGCATATGTGGAAAACCAATACGTAAAACAGATCAACTCTGGAAACAGCTTGAAAATGACTGCTGGTCTACTTCAACCCTCCAATTTTCAGCAAGAAAAAAAGTAGATTCAGTCTGATGATATCAGTTAAAGAAGTGTTTCCTAATCTTGCTTGAAAGTAGAAATTATGTTGGGCAAAGAGAGAAAGAGAGAAAGGGGGCTGGCTGGGAGAGAGAGCAAAAAAGGAAGGGGGGAGAGAGAGAAAGAGACAGAGACAGAGAAAGAGGGGGAAACAGAGAGAGGGAAGAGAGATTGAGAGAGAGACAGAGACAAAGAAAGAGAGGGAAACAGAGAGAGGGAAGAGAGATAGAGAAAGAGGCAGAGACAAAGAAATAGGGAGAAACAGGACGGGGGAGAGAGAGAGAGAAGTAGAGAGAGAAAGAGAGAGATTCCAAGCTCCAACCCAGAGCCACGTAATTCCTTACAGAAAAAAAGGTGAGCCATCTGTGAATTTATCAAGCGTCCTGAGTGATTCTTAGCAGTCAAACCAGGGAATGAAGTCATTTTCCAAGATTCTGCATTTGTGACCAAGCCGAGGAAACTGAGTGCTAGGCTGTGGCAATTTCCCTGTTACACCCACAGCCTCGCCACCCAACAGTACTTCATGTGAGGTTCACACTTCATTCTTGTCATCCCTCATCTTTCCAAGGGGCATGTCTGATCTTCCAAACAGATGAACGGCTCCTCTAGGTCAGCAGCCAAGCGTTTTTATTTCCCATCGGACCAGGTTTACCATATAATGGATATTCAGTAATCTTCTATGGGGTTGATTCATCCGGGTTAGATTTTACTTTGGAATTACACCATTCACCTTCCCTACAGGTTCTCTCTGATTAATGAAACCTTGTGATCAAGAAGGAATATGTCATGAACAGTTGAAGGCACTGATTTTTACTTTTGCCATTTCCCACAAACCCTGGGAGAATCACGAAACTCCACTGAACATCAGCTCCTTCATCTTCAATACGAGATTGCCATTTTAGGTTTTCTTAGGTCCTTTTCAATACTTTTAATGATTCTAAGGCACTTACTATGGAAAACTGCCTCCCAATATAATTGTTATTTTTTATTGCTGCATGGTTCTGATAGACGTTAATACTAATCTCTTAGATTTACATGATACCACACTGTTTTCAAAACTTTCATATGCATTGTTTTACTCTTCAAAAACCAGCTGGAGAGGATAAAAGTAATAATAATGATTATTCCCATTATACATATTAATAAATTGAAGTACAGAGAACATATGTGACTTGTTCAAGGTGATATAACTAATAAGTGGTAGAGCTGAAATTCTAATCTATATCTACGTTGTAAAAATCTAAAATCTAATCTAAATTATAATCTAATCTGTTGACTCTGTGGTATTCAATGGTCTGCCTTTGAGAGCCTGCTATTTTCACTTAAGGGACAATTATTTGCTAATAGTAGCTTTAAAAGCAGTCTAGCCTTAAGACAAAATCAGAATTGGGAAATGGCTTCCATCAGCATTTTTTGTAAACGCAAAGCCATACCTTTTGGATTTTCACATGCCCCAGAGAGTAGATGCCTTCATTAGCCATGTTGTACCATGTGGAAAAAATCTAGAGAAAGCATTCGATTTACACCACACACTCCACTTATTTATTAGTTTTATCCAAGATGGCCATCATTGAGGCACATGGGACATAACTGTTCCAAGGCAATTAAACCAAATGTCAGTGGTTCCTACTCTGAACCAACCATCCCACCAACCAACTGCAATCAGATTAAATAGATGAGTCTAGGTATACGCCCTTAAGAGCACCTCAGAAAAATATGATCCGGAGCCCTGATATCCTGTCCTACTTGCCATCATGATTTGTGGCCAATATGATCCCCACACCATTGCCATAACTTCCTAGCAGCTGAGTAAAAGAAAATACAAATGTCCTTAAATAATTCATTCACCCAAATAGCAAACACTGGGTGACTGCCGTGTCTACAGCACTATGCCAAGCAAGGAAGGCATTAGAAAGAGCCAGTTAAAGGCAGCCACCTGATCCCCATGCAACTCTTAACCTTGGAACAAAAATCCTTCCTTAGTCTCAAGTTCATCCATCCTAAAAGGAAAAAGGAGGATCCAATGAGCACTCGGTTTCCTTCGGTTTCTATTTTTCCAGATTCTTGTTAGACCACAGGGTATCCCGAAGGAGTTTTCCATGGCATGTCAGCAAAATCCAAATACCACTCTTCAGAAGGTAATATACTTAAAACAGAAATAAAACAGTAAAATTGCACCCATATATTCACAAAATTTACACTGGAAATTATGTGCAGATATTTAGCTCAGCAAATATAGTAAGCTATTACTTTTAATGAATGAAAGTCTATTGACTGTCATCAGTCAATTTAGTTGTGAAAGGAAGTAAAAACTATCAGACAAATTAAAATGATTGTTAAAAAAAGCACTGAGGAACTTCGATCTAGTTCAAGAAAGAGAGGAAAATTTAAAAAGTTCCTCCTCAGCAATGCAGAGCCTATTAGTAATTACGCATTGTGTTATCAGCACAGTGACTGACCAAACCTTTTGTGGGTAATGGGCACTTCAGTCAAAACCAAAGGCTATTGTTTATAGATTGCCAGAGGCTTTTAATTTCCTTATAGCACATTAAAACCTAGTCCATCTTTGCCACATTTTAACCTTGTTTAGCATAAATTGTTGCACTTTAAATTCATTGTCTTACATAGTCCACTGGAGATCACATTAAGAAGTGTCATCATAGTATTCCCATGACCAAAACTTTTTAATCTCTCCTCCCCTTACAGCATATAAAAATGTAGTTATAGATGACTACCTGTCTCCAATTATTTTAAAAATTTTTCTGAATCATTTCACATTGAGGATTCAGAAACTATAAAGTTTTCAGGAAGCCTCGATAGAAGTAAATACAATTATCTTGCATGAACTTCCTATGCCTTTATTTATAAATGCCAGCTGACATATATGTTTTCAAAGTCAATGAGGCTGATCTTGACTTATAAGTTCATTTACCTAATAGTTTCACACCTACATGAACATATCAAAACTAATGATGGACATCATTAGTGGTATGACAGACACAGATATTGGTTTATCCAACAACCATTATCTAGTCCTTGCATATTCCTCCCATAGGTGCTTTCTTTGCAAGAATAACTTGCCAGCTATGTCTCCCCAATCCCTGTCCCTCTGCATTTCTTCCTGTCATGTCATAGTCTGGTGACCCAATCTAGCTAATGAAATATGTCAGGGAGAGAGTCAGGGAAATCTGAGAAATCTGATATCTGTCTGATAGATAAATGGCAGAAGACACTTCTCCTTATCAAATATTGTTGGCCTCTATAAGATGCCTGCAACCGCAACAGCCATCTTGCCACCATGACAAGCCAAACCTAAAGATCAAGCCTATGAGCTGAGGTTAGAAAAAGTCAGGGTCTTTGAAGACTTTGCTAAAACAACCGTGGTTCTGCCCACTTTCGGGCTTCTGGTTGGTTAGTATTTGATTGCTTCCATCCTAACACCTCTAATCTGATTAAAAAGAGGGTAGCGTATTGCATCCACATTTAACTCAGTTTTTACCTTTGATATACCCTGAGAAGTAGACAATACAAGACAGAAGAGATAGGTGAGATGGATGGTGGTGAAGAATCGGAGTAAAGGCTAAGAATAGAGATGTCTTCCCAGTGCACTCACATCAGGCCTGGATAGGCTCTTCTGCAGCAGACAAGCTGCCTCGGCTGGGCCCCTACAGGCCTTTCTGCCTGGGGATGCCGACCTGTGGCCTGCTACTTCTCAAAAAAGTAGCCAAAAAGTAACCAGCTCTGTGTTAATATTCAAAGGAAAAATAGCAAATTTCCTTATGTTTTCTACTTCCTTTGTTAAAGAGGATCATGAATTGGCTTCATAGAAATATGATCTACTTTAATTAAAGCCAGTGACACTGAGTAAATTAGAACGTAATTGCATTTTCCATGAATTTCACACAGCTTGCATTTTACCAAAAGAAACCCAGTTTCAGTCAACGTTTGTGTGCTGATACCTGCAATCAAAGCCTTATTAAACTAAACAAATCATGCCTTCATGGAAGTTAAGGAAGCATAAATACAAGGCTGATTCATAAAGTTTCTGATTTCTGCTATTTGGAAAGGCAGAGTTTGGAAAGAGCTATTTGGAAAGGAAAACTTTCTTTCAAGGAAAATGGAAAGCCTGGACTTCCTCCATTCCAATGACGACTTGCCCTAGAAGGCTTTGGTCTTCCTATATGACTATTCATGCCCCACGTCTATTTTGAATAGACTGATACAACTTCAAGAGAGTAGATGTTTTACAAAAAATGTTCAGGTAAAAGGAAAGTCCTAAATTTGAGATTTGGTCATCAAAAGAATACCAATTTTTAACACAATGTATTTTTCAAAACAAGGAACACAGATAAAAAAACAAACCACATTTGGGTGATAGGTAACTGTTGAGAGAGAGGGAGGAGCCTGTCTTGGTTAAGAACTTGGGCTCTTAGCAACTGTGCCAGTATCCTCTCTTTCCATGTACAGACTATGTAACAACCTTCCCGTATGTCACCCTGTCTCTAAAATAAGGATGAAGAAAAACAGTAGTCACCTCATAAGGTTATTGTTACGATTAGACTATATATATAAAATGATGGTAATACAATCAGTCTTCTTTCCAGGGTCAGAGGCAAGATAATAGTCAAACACTAATACTAATATAACACCCAAACTATGTGTTGTAAGCTGAGGTCTTATTTGAACATTTTGGTAGAGTGAAGTGCACTCACTGGAGGCTGCCACCAGCATGATCCACATTGCCTATTCAATCCCCCCAGTAGACCAGTTAGTCTCACTGCTTTTCAATGCCCCAGATGGTACTCTTACCTCCAGCCAACTGGCCTGGAAAAGCCAGCTGTGACTTCACAGGGGGTTGGGGCATGAAGCTTTCCACAAATCAGCAGAAATCCACCCACATCAAAAGATCAGTGCCAGCTCAGCCAGAATTGTGCATTTCAGCAAGTCATTTTTGGAATCAGTTGCTGGGGACACATTGTACACACACACACACACACACACACACACACACTCACACAGGAACCATCTATGCTGAATAAAATACAATTTTAAAAAACCTAAATGAGAACTCAAAAAAAGCCAGGGAAACTCTAGGTAGGTGAGTCAGTGAGATCATCCACATACATACGGAATTTATGTAAACTATGTGCCCTTGAGGTCAAATAAAAAGATTTTTATGGAAATCCTCCATTAGAGTAAAGAACTACAGTCTGAGTGTTATATGCATTGTTTTCTATTTTCTTCTCTCCACTTATTCACTAAAAACTGGTCCTTCTGTCTTGCCTAAAGGTCCAACATAAAGATATTTCTTTAGCTTCTACAGACTCTTACAGATTAGGAATTAAATAGCTTGTGAGTATCTCGACAACTGACACCTTCATAGTGGAAAGGTACTCTTGAATTTGAGCAGTATTTTGAGAAGAAAATTTTAAATCTTCTTTCTCCCAATTCCCAGAACTTCCAAGTGTGTCCATGTATGTCTAGCCTTATGTTAACACATGAATAAGTTAGCCTAAATACCTTTGCATAGACACACACACACACACACACACACACACACACACTATTTTCTTCTATTTTCCCTTCTCTGGGATTGGATTAGGCATGTATTAGTGCTTTCCACAGTTGTATCTACACACCTTGTCTCTTCTGAACTCAATATGCCCACAAGAAAACTTATCTGATGGGCTGATCAAACTCACCCTCTCCTCACATGAATGTAGCATCTTCCCTGAGCCTGTTCTTCCAGTAGCTGTTATCTCAATTACCAAAGTAGAAACCTGGCTGTCATCCTAAAATATCTAAACACATTGTCACCCAAGGGTGCTCTCTTCTCTATTTCTAATGCCCTATCTTATCCCAAGTTCTCATAATCTCTAGACCATGTCAGCAGCTTGTAGATTCATCTCATTTCTGCCAATGCTAACACACACATACACATGTACAAACACAAATTCCCACGCATATGCATATGCACACAAACATATACAGAAAATTGCACACTTTGGTAACTGCACCACTCTGTTAAAAGAGTGCTATCTTTCTAAATTCTAAAATCTAATTGTGTCGTTCTTTTTTTTTTTTTTTTTTAGCTTTTTAGGGGCTATTAATGTAAAAACTATGAATGAGTCCCCTACACCCAACCCTGTAACACACATGAACCTGTAACAGCCAGAACACAGTCCATATTCTAAACACATGGTAAACTATAGCCCACAGGTCAAATCCATCCCACAACCTGTTTTTGTTACTTAAGTTTTATTGGAACACAGCTATACCCACTTGTTTATGTAGTGGCTGTGGCTGCTTTTGTGCTATAATGATATTGCTGAGGAATTGCAACAGAGACTATAGGTAGCCCACAACCACAGCCCACAATATTTACTGCCTGACCTTTACGGGAAAAAAAAAAGTTTATTAAACTTGATTCTATACCATAAGACATTCTTTACAATTTGTCTAATATATGTGTCGATAGCTTAATATGTGACAGCCCCCATTTCGGGCTGATTGATATCCTATTTCCAGTCCATATGGGTAGAGAAACAAAGGCACGGAGAGGTTAACTGTCCAAATACATCTCACAGCAATGAAGCAAGGACCTAAACCCTGGTCAACAGGTTTCAGAACTCCTTCCTTAACTGTTATAATTGCCCTCATCTTTTTTCATGTCTCCTTAATAATCTAGAACTATTTTCCATTCCCAGAACCTTGCCCTTCCACGTGGCTGTGCTCTGCACATACTGTTCACTCTTGAAATAGCACCGTACCCAGGACACAGCATACTACAAGCTATATGTATGCCCTCCCTCTGTCCCAAATCTTTAGTGCACACCACGTTATTCATGAGCAACAGCCTCTCCCCGTCTCCCCCTCTCTCTCTCGTTACCATGCTTTAAGATTGTCAACTTGCTTTTACTGGCACAATTAATTTTGATATTTTCTATTCCAGCCTTTAGGGAATGAAGACAATGGTCCTAAAGATCTTTTTAAAATTATCAGCTCCTTGAGAGCCCAATCTTCAGAAGATGGAGTGTACTGTCTACCTCCATTTCTTCACGTGTCAGGTAGATAACGTCTTCTTCGAGGGTTAGGTTCCATTCTCTCAACCAATTATCATAAGTGTATACCATGTCTGTTAAAATAGTCTCACAGCATACAGAATCACACCTTGCAAATGCAGGTACTCATTTGCAGAGTGAATGAATGAATGATTCTTAGGCCAATGAAGGCTGGCCCACACAGCAAGGGAAGGCCTTGATGGAAATAGAAACAGTACTAAAACTGGCAGCTCACAAAGCATGAAGCCTCAGTCAGGCCTCAGCTCTTGCTGAATTATCTAACAAATCGTGTGTGTAAGTATCACTGGCCCCCAGACATCCAGTACTACCTCAAACGCTGATCTCATTACATTAGCTGCTTATTGCCTTCACTTTTGCAGGCTGCTCTGGAAGAAGCAGACCATTTCCTGAGGTGTAAACATAGCTTCTGATAATGCCAACCTCATGAGGTCAGTCTGCTCTCGGAAGTCCACTGGTCAACTACAGAGCTCAGATACACATTTCCTCTTCAAGGTTTCTTGGAGTAAGATGAAGATATGAACTGACATCTTTGATGGAAACCATGGAGCAAAAATCAGGCCGTTTGTGAGGATATCTTCAGACACCTTGTCAAGCTGAAGTCACAGCAGAGTGGTATCTGGCCCTACCCAAAAATCTCAGCCATCCTTTGAGAAGGTAGGTTAGAAAATGCAATTCTGTGGAAAGTCTGATTATGGGGATAGGAGCCCAGTGCAATGTAGCTTCTATCCAACTCCTGAACTTCTATGTGAGTGCCCTCTTCCCTCAGAAAGCCAGCGTGCTCCTCTAACTGGACACTGCATGTGAACATTTGCTGCTTCTTTATTTTTTCTGTTTCTACTCCAAATATGGAAAGTCTTTTGGTGTCAGATGAGCAGAGGATATGGCCAGTGGGTATGGCCACGAGGCTGGAACACAGATCCTGGGTAAAAAGCTTAGAGTAAGCAGAGAAAATCTACCATCTGCAAATAAAATCTAGCAAAACCTATGTATTTGATACCTGTGTTTTCATGTTTTAAAAATGAATATTTTCTTTACAAAATCCTATGTCCCAGGGTTTTTCTTAATGTATTTGAATAAAACTCTGGATTTGATATCCTGAAATCACAATAGTTTTCCCATTCAGGAACCCAACCGATTCCTATTGCATAAAAGAGGGTATATCTGAGTTTTCAAGCAACACAAGTTACCAGATATTTTTCATCTTCTCTGAGGACTGAGGAGGAAGAGACAGATATACCCAGAGGATAGAAGAACAATGTACATTATTTAGACGACGGAATTTTCTCTGTGTTCAAATTATTAAGCTCTGAGATCTTCTCTCAGTGCCCATCAGAAAGGGGGCACCCAGAAACACCTCATGATGCAGATAATAAAATGGTCATAAACACTGGAAGAGTTTGCCCTGAAAAACAAAATTCTTTTAAGTAGATTGAATAAATAGGTGGCCATAGAGGCAAAGGAATTGCCTGTATAAATAATGAAATATTCTTTAGCTTTGTTATTCCAGAAATGCACACAATATCCAGAATTAATATTCCAGAATCCCATGAATGTTTTTATCATATTTTCTTCCACCTTACCAGATAGTACTTGCATATTTATGATACACGGGGATTTAAATATCTTTTTAAAAACCCACTCTTGTCCATGAGAAAACAATAACTGAATGCAAGGGTCCCATACTTTTTCTGTAAAGGGCCAGATAATACATGTTTTTTGGCTTACATGCCAGATGGTTTCTGTCACAACTACTCAACTCTGCCATTACAGTGCAAAAGCAGCCATAAACAATAAGTAAACAAATGAGCGTGGCTGTGTTCCAATAAAACTTTATTTACTAAAACAGGTGGTGGGCCAGATTTGGCCCACTAGCTATAGCTTGCTGATTCCTGATCCGGAAGAATGACTCCCAATCTATGGACTACAGACTCATGGCAGATCTGCAATTTATAGAAAAGAAAATTCAAATCCATATGCACACCAAGAACTGTTTACTGAATAAAAATAACTTGTGTACGCCTGTACTGCTCTGTCCTCAATGTACGTCAATACAATTGTGATTAACGCATTTAAAAATAGCTTTTTTTGCCACTGGTTATCTGTCATTAGAAGTTAAATGTACAGTTATTCCCACATGAAGATCCACTGAATGTTTCACAGTATCAAATTATATGTATAACCCAAAAGCCTACATCTCCAGATTTTCACTTAAATTCATTTACTTCCTACATTTCCCTGACTTTCCTTGTCTTTCCTCTTGGGTAAAATGTGGTACACTCCTCGCCCCAGAAATATGCCTGAAGAGGCTCCCAGATCTCTGTAAAGCACACCTCAGCACTGGGGCATGACAGCCACACAGCACTGGCTGATAGATGGCATCGGCTAATCATTGCACCAGCCAGCCTTTACGCAACTCACAGGTAAGATACTGCTCCAGTCACAGTCACAGCTGGCTCCTGATTAGCTCTCTAATGGGTGGAGTACTGAGGCAGAAAATCCCAAACAACAGGTGATCCAAATATAATTTATATTTGGCTCAGCAAATGACCTTATTTTGTATCAGTTTTACCTTCATAATTATGTTTTCTTTAGACTAATACAATTTGTTGGCACACACCATCTGACAACAGAATAGGGTGCGCAAAAATGCAGGTAGGTGGCAAAGAGAAGCTGGGAAGGATGAAAATTTTGCTGGGGATACTTAAACAAATATAACAACTTCTAACAGAGAGAAACTTGACTATACATCATTCAAAGGGTCACAAAATCAAGCAGGAATTTAAAGTTTATCTGTTCTGAATGTGACAATGATGGCTTAAATAGTTTGTCAGAGATTACTCATCTAGAAGATATAAAATAATAATTATGATGATGAAGATAATAATGGTGATGATGGAAACCTGTAAAGCCTTTTTCTGACCAACCTAGACAAATTATATCCCCATCACAGTCCATCACAGCAATCAGTAAATCTTTTTCTATGAAAGGTCAAATAGTAATATAAATAGTAAATATTTTTTATGATCTCTGTTGCAAATAATTCTGCCATTGAATGAGAGTATTTGTGTTCTAACAAAAATTTAAGTATGAATATCAAAATTTCAATTTAATATAATTTCACATATCAAGAGATCTTTATTTTTTAAATGTTAGCCATTTAAAAATGTAAAAACAAATCTCTGCCCCAAGGCAGTACAATAACAGGTAGCCAGCCAGATGAGGCCCCACCCCTACTTTATCTCATCGCCCTGTCTTACTTTAAATCCTTATTATTATTTGAAACTATATTGTACATTTATTTCTTGTTATAAACAGTTTACTAAATTTTTATATTGTATCTACCCTCACTCAAATATAAGTTCTTCAAGAACAGGTACCATTTGCATCTCTTTCAACTAGGTATCATCAGTGCCTAGAACAGTACCTGTGAAAGATAGATCTTAATAATACTTATTGGATATCCAAAATGAATGGCTAAATATTATTATTAGCCATATAGTGATAAGCATTTGCCACTAGCAAACTTCAAAACACCTCTACGTAAAAATATATTTTTAGGCTAAACACAGTGGCTCATGCCTATAATCCTAGTACTTTGGGAGGCTGTGACAGGAAGGTTGCTTGAGATCAGTCTGGGCAACATATTGTGACCCCATCTCTACAAAACGTAAAACAATTAGCCTAGCGTGGTGGTGCATGCCTGTGGTTTCAGCTACTTGGGAGGCTGAGGCAGGAGGATTGCTTGAGCCCAGGAGTTTGAGGCTGCAGTGAGCCATAATCTTGCCACACTGCACTCTAGCCTGGGCAACAGAAGCTAGATCCTGTCTCAAAAAAGAAAAGAAATATTTTACCTCAACATCAAGCCCTTCATAGGTAAAGGGAAGAGATTATTTTCCACATTCTATATATAAGTAAATGTGGAGAGCTGAAGTGACTGGCCAGAGAGGACAGCTGGTCATGTGCAGGGCTTGCATTGGAATGTGAGTTTCCTGCCACATCCAGGCCTCTGTTTATTGCAGCAAACCAATTTCTCATGTAGTCATAGCCCCCAGGCAGGCACCCTTGCTCACAGAACCATATTGCCTAAACATTTTAAATGTGAGATGCTGAATAATAAAACAGAATGTAGAAGATTTTAAAAGTATCCTTGATATGTTTTGGCTGTGTCCCCACTCAAATCTCATCTTGAATTGTAGTACCCATAATTCCCACATGTTGCAGGAGGGAACCGGTGGGAGGTAATTGAATCATGGGGGCAGTTACCCCCATGCTCCTGTTTTTGTGATAATGAGTGAGTTCTCACAAGATCTGATGGTTTTATAAAGGGCTTTTCCCTATTTGCTCAGCACTTCTCCTTCCTGCCACCATGTGAAGAAGGACATGTTTGCTTCCCCTTCCACCACGATCATAAGTTTCCTGAGGCCTCCCCAGCCATGCTGAACTGTGAGTCAATTAAACCTCTTTCCTTTATAAATTACCTAGTCTTGGGTATGTCTTTATCAGCAGCATGAAAATGGACTAATACAATCCTCCTCTAATGAGTTTCAACCAAAGTTTCATCTCTGGGTTCCAGAGAGTTTCTAAGATGTTTCAGTTAATATCCACCAAGTTCCAATCAACCTTCCATGCTACTACAGTGGTGCCACTTCCACACAGGGGAAGACCTGGAAATTCTGAAGATGTAAGATTGGATGGTAAGTCCTGATGCTGAGGCTCCAAGTAGCTATGGGTCCACATGGTCCACTTCAGTATTTTTTCTCTCACCTACACCACAGGAAAGGACAGCTAAACTCTACAGGCTATAAACAAAACCCTGATGACCCATGAACTGCTCTCTGCTACTCTTCTTTAGCTAATTAATTCTCATAGCATTTATTGAGAATCCACAGAGGCATGATCCCTGTGCCATATATACTGGGGACTAATGGGATATGAGGCAAAGAATGTGGACTTTGAAATGAGGAAGATTGGAGTTCAAATCAATGCTCTGTCATGATCAGCTACATAACTGAAAAAATTACTTACATTTTAACCTCTAAAATAAAGAGACAATTCTCAAACTTTATAATTATTAACAGAATGAAGGGAGGTAACATATTGCCCAGCCCAGTTTCTGGAAACCTAATAGATACCCACTCAATGATTGTTTCCTCTAGACCTCAAGGTGTGTGCCCTGTAGAGAAGAACAAGATAATTCCCAGGGTCTGACTGGGCAGTTGGAACTGGTGGGTAGCTCTTTCACTATTCAATATGGCACCGTCGTGTGCATTAACAAAGTACCCCTTCTTCAAGGCACTCTCCTATTGTATGCTGGAATGATGTAGTGATAACTATACAAATTTTCAGTGACAACACTGTGAATGGGATCCTACGGTAACGCAGTGCGCACACAATCAACCATAAAAAGCAGCTCTTATCAAAATGTACACTGTATTAATTCAGATTAAAAAAGGATTAATACAGGTTAGACTAGTCAACAAGTCACATAGACAACCATGACTTGAGTTAGATTTTAAGATGACGAGAACTGGTGGAGGAAGTAAAAAAAGCATTTAGTGAGCACCGTGGGTGGGGAGCCAGGAGAGCCCTGGGAGTTGGCCAGCCTCTGAGTTCCAACTCAGTTCTCAGAAGAGCTCCCCATGAATAGTCCCATATTGGGTAATTTGATTGAAGAGCCACACACAGAAAAACTTGACATACAGATCAGAGCATGTGTTTCCACGCCAAACAGAAGGTTTTTGAGAAGCAGAGAACATTATGCTGTACTCGGCCATTTCCTAGAATTCAGAATACCAAATATTTTGAAAGTATACTCCCCAGTGACAATGTAGTGCTGGTCTGGAGACCAGAGGCTCTGTATGACAGAGGCTATCCTGGGAGTCAATAAGTTCTTGTTTGTTTGTTTGTTTGTTTGTTTGTTTCTTGAGACAGAGTCTCACTCTGTCACCCAGGCTGGAGTGCAGTGGTGCAATCTCCGCTCACTGCAACCTCCACCTCCCAGGTTCAAGCAATTCTCCTGCCTCAGCCTCCCAAGTAGCTGGGACTACAGGCGCTCTCCACCATGCCTGGCTAATGTTTTTTGTATTTTAGTAGACATGGGGTTTCACCATGTTGGCCAGGATGGCCTCAGTCTCCCAACCTCGTGATCCACCGGCCTCAGCCTCCCAAAGTGCTGGGATTACAGGCGTGAGCCACCATGCCCAGCCCAATAAGTTTGTTCTTATAGCTTATTTCAATTTGACAGTGCAAATAAAACACTTTGTTCATGGAACAATCCTAAAACTGGGGCTCACTTGGACTTTATCATCATCAAAACCAGTATGTTTATTCTAATGACCAGGGTCCCAGTCGGTGGAGGCAGCTTTTCAAAGGGAAGTATGTGATGAGGTATGTCAGATAATTCCTAATTTTTATGGGGTCACACATGAATCCTAAGCCCATGCCATTTGCTAAGCAAATAACTGGTGTGTGTTTTGTTTAGTGAAAATCTACACCCTTGGGAGCAGTACCTTTGTGTTAACATCTCATAAAGTGTGTAAACAAAAAAGCAAGAAGCACTTGTGATTTCAAGGAAACAGCTACACGGAGTAGACAAGTGTAGGGTTTGAAGAGGTCAGATCCCATTTTGAGGTGTCTTTCTGCCATAAACCACCGGATGACCTTGGGAAAGCTGCTTGCCATCTCTAAAGTGAGTAAAATCAGCAAAATGGGAGACAACATTGATTGTGCAGCCTACTTTATCTAGAATGTGCAAATCATAGCCTGAGGAAGGCAGATCGATTTTATCGCATTAGTAAAATCTGATGAAACAATAATATTTGCCTGGGACACAGGGTTGAGAAGGATCCTGAATGAGCATGGGCTCAGCAGGAAAGTCAACTGGGATGGAGGAGTGGCATGTGCCAGGCATGGGAGACAGGGGTGGCAGCATAGCTATTTGCCATTGCTGTCACTGAGAGTGGACTTCTCTTGAGACCATCTGCCAAAGGAATAGGGTAGGGGGCAGCATAGTGATTTTACTGGGTGTTCTGGTTAATGTGGGTCCTGATATTTAAACACTAGCCTATACCTACATACTTGCTGCATAAGGAACAAAACTGTTTCCAATGTGACAGCCTTCTTAGGTAGGTCAGTGGAGACCACCTTCCTCAGGGCCCCAAAGCCTAGGCTACCCAAGGCTGCTCCCCTCTGGGCTCCTCTTATTTGATATTCCACTACTAGATGTTTCATTCCTTTGGTTTTTTACTCTGCTTGATTCTCATTAAAATGAAAACTCTCTGGGAAGAGTAACACATTCAACCAAGAAGCATAAACCTTATTAAATGTCCTTTTTCTTCTCTCTATCAGGACTGGCTCAGGGCCCAGGAAAGGCACTGGGCCCGCTAGGTGAAAGCAGTGCAGGAGTTTTTCTCGACCCCTTCATCAGACTTGTGACAGGGGTGCCAACTTACTCTGCCCGCCCCACTCAACCTCTTGTGGGAGGGATCACATGAGCAAGCGAGTTCAGAATCCGGCCAGCAGCTTTGGACTCCAGCAGGAGCAGGCTCCATGCAGGCCCCATGGTGGTGCCCAGGTGGGGTGTCTGCAACCCCCAAAACCCCAGAGGGTGTGTTACAGTGCTCTATTAGCTCTGCCGTCCATGGACAGTAGTGTGTTATCAGCTCAGTGGGGCCCTTGCCTCATCCGGTGGGGTGACGGCCCTCTGCCAGCAAGGGCAAAGTGCCAGTGTGACAGCCTTTGTTGGGCACCACACTCCGTGAGTCCTGAGCTCTGTTCGGCATCCAAGAAGAATGAGGTTGCCCAGACACTTGAAGGATGGTGAGGCAGAGAATTTTATTAAGTGATGGAAATGGCTATCAGCAGAGAGGGGAGCAGGAGAGGCGACAGGATGGGCAGGTAATCTTCCCTGATGTCCGGCCATCTCTGTCTGGCTCTTTTCTGAAGTTAAGCCATCTCTCCTCCTAGGGCCAACCATCCCCCTGAAATCAAGAGCCATCTCTCCTCCTAGGGCCAACCATCCCCCTGAAATCAAGTTCCCTCTCTCGAGTCAAGCTGTTTCTCTCTCTACTGACTGAGTCTACGGTCTTTATAGGCACAGGATGGGGAGCAGGGTGAGCCATAGGTAGTTTGAGAAAAGGCAACATTCAATTGGTAAAAAAGACATTATTCAGAAAGAACCAATCAGGAGAGAGTGGGCACACAGGGATAGAAGTTCTCACTTTGGGCCATGGGTTTCACGCTTTACGGCTGGAAGGTGGGACTTCACCAGGGACCTGCCCTGTCTGCCTAGAGTTTCTCTGCCTTCTGTCTCTATCAACAGGGCACTGTTGGGAGTGATGAATGGTCAGAAAAGATGAACAGTAATGACCCATAATTTAGGTGAAGATGAGTCTTCTAGGCTGGTGCTCAATGTCATGCTCAGCACAGCTTTTACACCAGTACCTGCTCAAATAGGGAATGAGAAGTAACTTTTCCCTGCCAGGGCCCCCAAAGGACAAGCGTTGTGTGTCCCACTTCAGTACTGAGACTCCTACTAGAATGCCTGGGATAACCTGACAGTGAATATCCTGGCCTCATCTTACGCCAGGCGCCTCTCCTGGAGTTCCCTCCTGGAGAGCCTCAGCAGCATTAGGAATCTGGAGTTTCAAGCACCTGCCAGCGAATGGCAGGCTCCAGAATTTCCTAAGAATTGTTAATCGGAGAACATAGAGATTAAAGGTGGAGGTTCTTGGAATGCACGAGGCCTTGAAATGTGCAGTCTGGGGGCCACCTCTTACAGAGAACGAGGATAGTAAGAGACTAGGAAAGAGCTACTACTTGTGGAGTGTGTTCTGTGCCAGGATTAAACGTGCTACTTCACCACCACAGCCTCTCCACTTGGCAGAGTTAACCATCCTCTGTTCCAAAAAACCAAAATTCAGAAAGGCTAATTTATGCACAGATACACATAGATAGTGTAACCCAGGGTTGCTGGGTTTTGGAGATGCATTATTGTGAAAATGTATCCACTTGTAACGTTGCACCTTGAGTTCTTGTTTCAAAAAAGCTCTAGGAAGAAGCTCAGCCCAGGAAAAACCAAACTGATGGGATCCAGAGATGCCTGAGTTGGAGATGAACTTTGGCAAACTCCACTCATTACCATACTAACCTCCAAACCCAGGGAGAAGCCTACTTGCCATTTCCTATACATTTGACGTGTGTAGAGGCACGATCAGTGGCTGTGCCTGTGCTGCCTATATGCCACCTCTACATACAACGACTCAGTTAACCAGCCCAATAAAAGCCCTGTGTTCACCTTTGTTAGGGGAGGCATTGCTTTGGGACCTATCCCCGGTATCCTCCTTACCTGTGGCAAGTAATAAAACCCCCTTGTTAAATCCTCCTTCATTGTCATTGGACTGTTACCTGCCAAGCGATTGAACCCACCTGTTGTGTGGGTAACACTAGTAAGTGAGAACATGTGTGACTCTAATGTCCCAGACCATCTTCTTTTGCCTGCACTGTGCTGCAGGCAGATTGCACGGTAAAGCCTGGGGTGAAACACACACATGATTCTAGCACAAACAAACAGAACTAGGGGTCTCATAAATGGATTTGTCTATTATAATTCTGGTTTCTAGATGCATTTTAAGTTCAATCTTTTTTTTTTTTGAGACAAGATCTCCCTCTGTTGCCCAAGGTGGAGTGCAGTGGCATGATCGATCATGGCTCACTGCAGCCTCCACCTCCTAGGCTCAAGAGATCCTCAGCCTCCCAAATAGCTGGGACCACAGCCATGCGCCAACCATGCCTGGCTATTTTTGTTGCTGTTGTTGTTATTCTTTGTAGAGATGGGGTCTCACTATGTTGCCCAGGCTGGTCTCGAACTCCTGGTCTCAAGCAATCCTTCTGCCACAGCCTCTCAAAGTGTTGAGATTATACGTGTGAGCTACTGCACTCAGCCAAGTTAAGTCTTTAACAGTGATAGGTAAAGCTTTATGTACCTGATAAACCCTTTGCCTAGGCAATTCTCAACTTCTGGTGCCACAGAAGGAGAACATTGGCATAAGTAATTCACTAGAGCATTTCTTGTTAGATTTTCTCATATTTTAATTAGGACTGCATATAGTATCACAGAGAGGCATGAAATGGCCTGTCACGTGTAGGCCTGGAGAGCCGATGACTCACTCTCTACACATGTGTTAGATTCAACATGATCAATCATTCTGTTGGTGTATTTTACTGAAAAGAATTCCACAGAGAATAGTAAGGAACTGACTGAAATTATTTCATTTAGGCAACTCCTGGTCCTGACGGTCCCATTACAATTGCTTTCCTTTCATTTTGAAGAAGCACGAAACTTTCAAGAACAGTAGCAAAACTGTAAAACTGTTGACAATCAGCAAATCTCCAAGCAAGTTTACCATCATCCATTCTGATTCATTACAATCATTGAAATTTTAGGTCACACAAGAGCCATCTGTGAAGCAGCCTCCCCAGATGATTAAAACACTCCTGTACAATGTACATTTACAAATTCAAAATTAATGAGGAAACATGTTTAAAAATTGACTATAGCTACCCAAGGGTTTAAAAACACTTTAAAATGCATAAAGAAATCACTTGGCTATGCAGTCCTCCTTAGTGACAAATAAGTTGCATTACTTCTCAGAATTACTGCTGCTGAATTAACTTTTCAATGTGCTGCTTATTATGGTTGCATACCAACATCATATCTCAAAAAATATTAATACAAATCATATCTCCCCACTCCTGGCCTCTGGGCTAATTCATTTCGCATCTTTCCAACTCAAGGTAAATGACCCAGAACAAAGCAAAGATATTCCTCATGAATGACTAGTGTAACAACAAACAAAATTGTATTCTGCCAGTGGGAATGGTTTATTGTCGGTTAGAAGTTTTTTTAGCGTTCTTGGCTGCAAAGACCAAACAGAGACTCTCTGTAGCATTTTCTGGACAATAGGGGCTTCCCTGTAGGCTGCTCCTTTTTGCTGTTTGGATTTGTTCTCTCTCCTCTCTCATCCCACTTTGCCTTCAGTCAGGCATTCCATCTATCTGCCTTTGGGACAGGAGTCTTTATTAGAAAGATAGAGGGATAGGAGAAAGCATAAGTATTGTCCTCCAAAAGCTTAGCTGATAAATAAGAGTAGCAAGGGCAGGATTCGAGTGGAGAACCAACTCTTGAGCGGAGCTAAGTACATGTTTGAACACATTCTAGCGCTTTGCATATGTTATTGAAGGCAATCCCCCCAACATGCCTGAGAGATTGGCAATCTAGTATTACTGTGAGAAAAGTGAGGCTTAAAAACATTATTCAGGCCAGGCACAGTGCTTCACATAGCTGTTATAATTAACAGTTATGAGAGATCATGCCTATAATCCCAGCACTTTGGGAGGCCAAGGAGGGTGGATCACCTGAGGTCAGGAGTTTCAGACCAGCCTGGCCAACATGGCGAAACCCAATCTCTACTAAAAATACAAAAGTTAGCCGCCATGGTGGCAGGCGCCTGTAATCCCAGCTACTCAGGAGACTGAGGCGAGAGAATCACTTGAACCCGGGAGGCAGAGATTGCAGTGAGCCAAGATCACGCCACTGCACTCCAGCCTGGGTAACAGAGTGAGACTCTGTCTCAAAAAATCAAAAACAAAACAAAACAAAACATTATTTAAGCTGCCTAGGGTTACAGACAACACTGGGACTGTGTAGAACTCACTCAGGTGTGTGCACACACCATGAAAATAACACCTATGAATTGGTAGTAGACACACAGAAGCCAAGGACTGCTCATCTGGTTAGATGGGGATACTAACTTGCAGGCAGTCAGAGCTGATTCATATAGCAGGTGCCTTACACTTGGATTGTTATAGACTAAATTATACCCCTCTTGGAATTCATATGTTGAAGCCCTAACCTCCAATATGCCTGCATTTAGGGACAGGGCTTATAAAAAGGTAATACGGGCAAAATGAGGTAATTAGGGTGGGGCCTTAACTTAGTAGGACTCGTGTCCTTCTAAGACGATTAAGAGACACCAGAATTCTATTTCTGTGAACTCATGCAGAAAGTAAAGTCCATATGAGGACATAGCAAGAAAATGGCTGTTTGAAAGGCCAGAAGAAAGCTGTCACCAGAAACCAGATTTTCTGACACCCCAATCTGGGACTTTTCAGCCTCCAGAACTGTGAGAAAATAGTTTTATTCTTTAAGCCCCCAAGTCTGCAGCACTTTGTTATGGTGGCTGGAGTGGACTAATAAAGAGGTACTAAAAATCAAGGACAGGAAACTCAGTATATGTGACTGTAGGTCAATGCCAGGGTGGGACAGTGCAGAGATGGCCCCCACATATGAGCAGGAGCTACTGAAGCTGCTCTCCGACCTCACTCACTGGGACTCTTGCAGCACTGGTAGTGCTTCTGGAATAGAACTCACGTCACATTGCAGTATTTGCTCTAGGTCTGCCCCCCACTGTCCTGAACTATGATCCAGTCTGTGGAAGGGCCTACGTCACGATCACCCTTTTATCCCATCGTCCCTGACACATAGTTGCTTTTTACATTTATTTAGTGGACTAGGGCAGGGTGCAGTGGCTCACATCTGAAATCCCAGCACATTGGGAGGCTGAGGCTGGCGGATCACTTGAAGTCAGGAGTTCAAGACCAGCCTGAGCAACATGGTGAAACCCCGTCTCTACTAAAAATACAAAAATTAGCTGGGTGTGTGGTGCATGCCTGTAGTCCCAACTACTCAGGAGGCTGAGGCAGGAAAATCACTTGAACCCAGGAGGCAGAGGTTGCAGTGAGCTGAGATCATGCCACTGAACTCCAGCCTGGGTAATAGAGCAAGAAGACTCTGTCTCTAAATAAATACATAAATAAATAAATAAACAAATTTAGTGGATTGCAGGTTGGATTGCTGAGAAATAGGGCAGGCCTTGCCTACAGGAGGAATCAAAGAACGAGGGAAGCACCAGGGACCTGTAGGGGTGAAGCATTGGCCAGATTGTCCTGGAGAGCAATATGATCAAAACAGTTTGGAGAAGATGAGTCTGGCAGCAGCATATGGGACAAGGCCAAGGTGGAAGGATTCTCCTTCTGGAGGCTACTGTCAACATGAGTCAAGACACACTCAGAGGGTGAATCAGACAGCAATTCTGGGAAGAGGAAGATATGAGAAAGATTGGAATGAAACATTAGTTGTAATACTGAGTGGATGCCTTCAATGATTCAACAAATACTCATTGCCTACTAACCTTATATCGGGCACTAGGTACTGTCAGAGAGACTGCAACTCAAGAGGGAGCAAAGCCACACACACATGGTGCCTGTGCCCAGTTTGCTGATAGGGGAGCCAGAAATGAATAAAATAACCACAAAAAAATTAAAATTAACAGCTATGAGACATCACATGCAGAAACATTGCATGGTCCTATAAGAATCTACAAGAGCAGACTTCCCTAGTCTAGGACGTTCAGTCACCCCTAGAACCCTAGGGTGAGACTCCCTCCCTTGCCAACCTGGTGAAGAGGAAGTGAACCAACATATTTCTACACCCTTGGGAATCTATGTACTTGAAACTCAAGAACAAAGAAGATTCCATTGTCTGGTGTATCTCTAATCAATTAACTGTCCCTTAAATACACACTGATCACAGGAGGAGCCAGAGAGGAGATATGCTGCCATGCTGCCTTGCCATGATCCGCCTCTGCTGCAGAGGACAGATGTAAAGCAAGCATCCCGCTGATAACACATTTCTGTACATGAAGGATGGCACCTGAATTACTGCCCAAACCATTTTGTTTCAATGATTCTTCCTTTCGCTATTAGGAGGAGAATTGGGATTAGGCTATCACGCATAGACTTGATTAAACAAATGTATTCACTTCAGGTTTCTGAATGAAAGTTTCAGAAGAAGATAAAAATAATAAAAAAGAATCAGCTCAAGTGAAAATTGCCATAGGTGTGATATTTATTTTTAATTTTAGGAGTCAGTGTGAGATGGTTTGGCAGATTAAAATCATAATGTACAGTGTCAACTGTTTCAATGTTATCAATTTGGCTCTTACAGAACTTAGGTTGACAGTGTGGGCCTGTCATCTGGCAATCACAAAGCATTTTAGAATGTTCACTGTGAATGTATTATCAAATGGAAATGCATCAAAATGGACATTTTCCAAATCTTTTTGTTGTGGTAGTTAATATGCTAAGGGTAGGGAAACATAAGAGCTATTTTAAATCCTCTGAAATATCCACTAGATATTTCTCAAAAAAGTAAAAAGACAACATTTCACTTGGATACTTTATTTCATATCAAACAATCCTCTCCTTTCTAATCAGACTTACAACAGCCAGAAGTCCCATAAACACATCAGAAGAGTAAGTTTAATGAGGCTTATGAGAAACAAAGGGATGTTTTTATAGCAGGTATTTATGAAATATGTTCTATGAAGACTTAGCAGACTCCTAGACTGACAACTGGAAGTTAGAGGGAAAAATGATCTTTGCTCAAAATGAAAAAATGTCTCAGGTCCAACTTCTCCAAAGCTGGAGGTGGAAGATGTATGCTCAGAAGGTTGAAGGTTTCCACCAATGTTGATGAGAGTGCTGAACTTTGATTAACCACTTGATACAAGAGATTCAAGCCTCAGACGAAGAGTTGCCATAAACAGCCTAAAATGTGGCTTTAAGCACCAAACACCTGGAATACCTTGAGCTGGGCACTATGCCGGGTGTTTCAAAGACCCCTCTTACCTGTTGGAGAGAGAAGACCTGCATGCCCCAAGTGATAGTGGAACTCACAAAGTTCAAGAGTAGTCTCATGACATTGACTAGGAGGATTTCAGAATGTGTGAAAAAAAACAAATATAGTAAATAGAAAATGCTTGAAGACGTTCTGTGAAGATACCAAGACTTGAAGGACAGGCAAGATGGTGGCTGGAGAGAACCTTAAAAAGTGAGACAGACAAGATTATCAAGGCTACTAAAACTACTGGTGAGGAATTTAAACCTTAGAAAGCTAACAAGTAAATTGTTGAACCAGGAACGAAAGCAGTATTTGAAGAACGATCTGCTTGTCAGAATTCAGGATGTATTACCTATAGTGTCTGCAAACTTTAGTAAGCATCAGTAAAGCCTGTTTAAAATTCAGATGCATGGTTGGGAGCAGTGGCTCACATCTGTAATCCCAGCACTTTGGGAGGCTAAGGCGGGTGGATCACCTGAGGTCAGGAGTTCGAGACCAGCCTGACCAACATGGTGAAACCCCATCTCTACTAAAAATACAAAAAAAATGTAGCTGGGCATAGGGGCAGGCACCTGTAATCCCAGCTACTTGGGAGGCTGGGGCAGGAGAATTGCTTGAATCTGGGAGGTGGAGGTTGCAGTGAGCTGAGATTGCACCATGGCACTCCAGCCTGGGCGACAGAGCAAGACTTCATCTCAACAACAACAAAAAAAATAAAGATTCAATGGCCACAGACCCAAAGACTCTGATACTATAGTTCTAGGGTCGGGCCCAGTAATATGATTTTTTACTGTCTCTCTTGGTTCTTCCATCTTCCATCTCTCCACCCCGTGAATCTGTAGCAGGTTGTCTCCAGATCACAGTTTGATAAATGTTTTTTTTTTTTTTTGAAGGAAAGAGTAAAAACATAAGCAAACTTGGCAATTGTTCCTATAATGGAGGCACCAGAAATACGAAGTTTAGATGAACCTGCTGAAAATTCTCTAAACTGATCTGCAATCTGCATTTTGGTGACCACACACCACATTGGAACTTCTTCAGCCTTCTGACATTACATTAATACTCAGCCCCTTGCCTACATACCAGTCATTTAAAACTCCAAAGGTATTTAACATGGTTCTCCCAAGTAAATTCATCTCCAGGATGAATGAAATTGGTTGCTTCAATTGTTTCTCGCAAGAGAGGATTTCTGACCACTACACAACTTTGCTCACTTTCTTCCTATATCTGCCAGTTTATCAATGTATTCCAACATGCAGGGTTGTAACTAAGCAGATACAGGACTATCTCCTCCCTTGGTCTGCCCACTTTGTACTTATTAATGCAACCCAAGATCTCATTAGCTTTTTCTGGGGTCCAGAAAACTAAGCTACTAAAAACTCAGCTAGTAAATGGTAAAACTGGTAGAAAAAGAAAACTAACTAAATTAGTCAGGACTTATTCTTAATGAATCTGTGTTTTTTAACCACCATAAGAATTGAAACAATTCGGGGGGTGGAGTCAAGATGGCCGAATACGAACAGCTCCAGGCTACAGCTCCCAGCATGAGCCACGCAGAAGACGGGTGATTTCTGCATTTCCAACTGAGGTACCGGGTTCATCTCACTGGGGAGTGCCGGACAGTGGGTGCAGGACAGTGGGTGCAATGCACCGTGCGTGAGCTGAAGCAGGGTGAGGAATTGCCTCACCTGGGAAGTGCAAGGGGTCAGGGAATTCCCTTTCCTAGTCAAAGAAAGGGGTGACAGATGGCATCTGGAAAATCGGGTTACTTCCACCCGAATACTGCGCTTTTCCAACAGGCTTAACAAACGGCACACCAGGAGGTTATAACCCGCACCTGGCTCAGAGGGTCCTATGCCCACGAAGCCTCCCTCATTGCTAGCACAGCAGTCTGAGATCAAACTGCAAGGCAGCAGCGAGGCTGGGGGAGGGGCGCCTGCCATTTCCGAGGCTTGAGTAGGTAAACAAAGCGGCTAGGAAGCTCGAACTGGGTGGACCCCACCACAGCTCGGGGAGGCCTGCCTGCCTCTGTAGGCTCCACCTCTGAGGGCAGGGCACAGACAAACAAAAGGCAGCAGTAACCTCTGCAGACTTAAATGTCCCTGTCTGACAGCTTTGAAGAGAGTAGTGGTTCTCCCAACACGCAGCTTGAGATCCGAGAACGGGGATACTGCCTCTCAAGTGGGTCCCTGATCCCCGAGTAGCCTAACTGGGAGGCAACCCCCCCGTGGGGGCGGACTGACACCTCACATGGCCGGGTACTCCTCTGAGACAAAACTTCCAGAGGAACGATCAGGCAGCAGCATTTGCGGTTCACCAATATCCGCTGTTCTGCAGCCACCGCTGCTGATACCCAGGCAAACAGGGTCTGGAGTGGACCTCCAGCAAACTCCAACAGACCTGCAGCTGAGGGTCCTGACTGTTAGAAGGAAAACTAACAAACAGAAAGGACATCCACACCAAAAACCCATTTGTACGTCACCATCATCAAAGACCAAAGGTAGATAAAACCACAAAGATGAGGAAAAAACAGAGCAGAAAAACTGGAAACTCTAAAAATCAGAGTGCCTCTCCTCCTCCAAAGGAATGCAGCTCCTCACCAGCAATGGAACAAAGCTGGATGGAGACTAACTTTGACAGGTTGAGAGAAGAAGGTTTCAGAAGATCGAACTACTCCGAGCTAAAGGAGGAAGTTCGAACCAATGGCAAAGAAGTTAAAAACCTTGAAAAAAAATTAGGTGCATGGCTAACTAGAATAACCAATGCAGAGAAGTACTTAAAGGACCTGATGGAGCTGAAAACCATGGCACGAGAACTACGTGACGAATGCATAAGCCTCAGTAGGCAATGCGATCAACTGGAAGAAAGGGTATCAGCGATGGAAGACGAAATGAATGAAATGAAGTGAGAAGAGAAGTTTAGAGAAAAAACAATAAAAAGAAATGAACAAAGACTCCAAGAAATATGGGACTCTGTGAAAAGACCAAATCTACATCTGATTGGTGTACCTGAAAGTGACGGACAGAATGGAACCAAGTTGGAAAACACTCTGCGGGATATTATCCAGGAGAACTTCTCCAATCTAGGAAGGCAGGCCAACATTCAAATTCAGGAAATACAGAGAACGCCACAAAGATACTCCTCGAGAAGAGCAACTCCAAGACACATAATTGTCAGATTCACCAAAGTTGAAATGAAGGAAAAAATATTAAGGGCAGCCAGAGAGAAAGGTCGGGTTACCCACAAAGGGAAGCCCATCAGACTAACAGCTGATCTCTCGGCAGAAACTCTACAAGCGAGAAAAGAATGGGGGCCAACATTCAACATTCTTAAAGAAAAGAATTTTCAACCCAGAATTTCACATCCAGCAAACTAAGCTTCATAAGTGAAGGAGAAATAAAATACTTCACAGACAAGCAAATGCTGAGAGATTTTGTCACCACCAGGCCTGCCATAAAAGAGCTCATGAAGGAAGCACTAAACATGGAAAGGAACAACCGGTACCAGCCACTTCAAAAACATGCCAAATTGTAAAGACCATCAAGGCTAGGAAGAAACTGCATCAACTAACGAGCAAAATAACCTGCTGACATCATAATGACAGGATCAAATTCACACATAACAATATTAACCTTAAATGTAAATGGGCTAAATGCTCCAATTAAAAGACACAGACTGGCAAATTGGATAAGGAGTCAAGACCCATCAGTGTGCTGTATTCAGGAGACCCATCTCACATGCAGAGACACACATAGGCTCAAAATAAAGGGATGGACGAAAATCAACCAAGCAAATGGAAAAGAAAAAAAGGCAGGGGTTGCAATCCTAGTCTCTGATAAAACAGACTTTAAACCAACAAACATCAAAAGAGACAAAGAAGGCCATTACATAATGGTAAAGGGATCAATTAAACAAGAAGAGCTCACTATCCTAAATATATATGCACCCAATACAAGAGCACCCAGATTCATAAAGCAAGTCCTTAGTGACCTACAAAGAGACTTAGACTCCCACACAATAATAATGGGAGACTTTAACACCCCACTGTCAACATTAGACAGATCAACAAGACAGAAAGTTAACAAGGATATCCAGGAATTGAACTCAGCTCTGCACCAAGTGGACCTAATACAGACATCTACAGAACTCTCCACTTCAAATCAACAGAATATATATTCTTTTCAGCACCACACCGCACCTATTCCAAAATTGACCACATAGTTGGAAGTAAAGCACTCCTCAGCAAATGTAAAAGAACAGAAATTATAAAAAACTCTCTCTCAGACCACAGTGCAATCAAACTAGAACTCAGGATTAAGAAACTCAGTCAAAACCGCTCAACTACATGGAAACTGAACAACCTGCTCCTGAACGACTACTGAGTATGTAACAAAATGAAGGCAGAAATAAAGATGTTCTTTGAAACCAATGAGAACAAAGACACAACATACCAGAATCTCTGGGACACATTCAAAGCAGTGTGTAGAGGGAAATTTATAGCACTAAATGCCCACAAGAGAAAGCAGGAAAGATCTAAAATTGACACCCTAACATCACAATTAAAAGAACTAGAGAAGCAAGAGCAAACACATTCAAAAGCTAGCAGAAGGCAAGAAATAACTAAGATCAGAGCAGAACTGAAGGAAATAGAGACACAAAAAACCCTTCAAAAAATCAATGTATCCAGGAGCTGGTTTTTTGAAAAGATCAACAAAATTAATAGATCGCTAGCAAGACTAATAAAGAAGAAAAGAGAGAAGAATCAAATTGACGCAATAAAAAATGATAAAGGGGATATCACCACCGATCCCACAGAAATACAAACTACCATCAGAGAATACTATAAACACCTCTATGCAAATAAACTAGAAAATCTAGAAGAAATGGATAAATTCCTCGACACATACACCCTCCCAAGACTAAACCAGGAAGAAGTTGAATCTCTGAATAGACCAGTAACAGGCTCTGAAATTGAAGCAACAATTAATAGCTTACCAACCAAAAAAAGTCCAGGACCAGACGGATTCACAGCCAAATTCTACTAGAGGTACAAGGAAGAGCTGGTACCATTCCTTCTGAAACTATTCCAATCAATAGAAAAAGAGGGAATCCTCCCTAACTCATTTGATGAGGCCAGCATCATCCTGATACCAAAGCCTGGCAGAGACACAACAAAAAAAGAGAATTTTAGACCAATATCCTTGATGAACATTGACGCAAAAATCCTCAATAAAATACTGGCAAACTGAATCCAGCAGCACATCAAAAAGCTTATCCACCATGATCAAGTGGGCTTCATCCCTGGGATGCAAGGCTGGTTCAACATATGCAAATCAATAAACGTAATCCAGCATATAAACAGAACCAATGACAAAAACCACATGATTATCTCAATAGATGCAGAAAAGGCCTTTGACAAAATTCAACAACCTTCACGCCAAAAACTCTCAATAAATTAGGTATTGATGGGACATATCTCAAAATAATAAGAGCTATCTATGACAAACCCACAGCCAATATCATACTGAATGGACAATAACTGGAAGCATTCCCTTTGAAAACTGGCACAAGACAGGGAAGCCCTCTCTCACCACTCCTATTCAACATAGTGTTGGAAGTTCTGGCCAGGGCAATCAGGCAGGAGAAGGAAATAAAGGGCACTCAATTAGGAAAAGAGGAAGTCAAATGGTCCCTGTTTGCAGATGACATGATTGTATATCTAGAAAACCCCATTGTCTCACCCAAAATCTCCTTAAGTTGATAAGCAACTTCAGCAGTCTCAGGATACAAAATCAATGTGCAAAAATCACAAGCATTCTTATACACCAAAAACAGACAAACAGAGAGCCAAATCATGAGTGAACTCCCATTCACAATTGCTTCAAAGAGAATAAAATACCTAGGAATCCAACTTACAAGGGATGTGAAGGACCTCTTCAAGGAGAATTACAAACCACTGCTCAATGAAATAAAAGAGGATACAAACAAATGGAAGAACATTCCATGCTCATGGGTAGGAAGAATCAATATCGTGAAAATGGCCATACTGCCCAAGGTAATTTATAGATTCAATGCCATCCCCATCAAGCTACCAATGACTTGCTTCACAGAATTAGAAAAAACTACTTTAAAGTTCATATGGAACCAAAAAAGAGCCCGCATTGCCAAGTCAATCCTAAGCCAAAGGAACAAAGCTGGAGGCATCATGCTACCTGACTTTAAACTATACTATAAGGCCACGGTAACCAAAACAGCATGGTACTGGTACCAAAACAGAGAGATAGACCAATGGAACAGAACAGAGCCCTCAGAAATAATGCCGCATATCTACAACTATCTGATCTTTGACAAACCTGAGAAAAACAAGCAATGGGGAAAGGATTCCCTATTTAATAAATGGTGCTGGGAAAACTGGCTAGCCATATGTAGAAAGCTGAAACTGGATCCCTTCCTTATACCTTATACAAAAATTAATTCAAGATGGATTAAAGACTTACATGTTAGACTTAAAACCATAAAAACCCTACAAGAAAACCTAGGCAATACCATTCAGAACATAGGCATGGGCAAGGACTTCATGTCTAAAACACCAAAAGCAATGGCAACAAAAGCCAAAATTGAAAAATGGGATCTAATTAAACTAAAGAGCTTCTGCACAGCAAAAGAAACTACCATCAGAGTGAACAGGCAACCTACAGAATGGGAGAAAATTTTTGCAACCTACTCATCTGACAAAGGGCTAATATCCAGAATCTACAATGAACTCAAACAAATTTACAAGAAAAAAACAAACAACCCCATCAAAAAGTGGGTGAAGGATATCAACAGACACTTCTCAAAAGAAGACATTTATGCAGCCAAAAAACACATGAAAAAATGCTCATCATCACTGGCCATCAGGGAAATACAAATCAAAACCACAATGAGATACCATCTCACACCAGTTAGAATGGCGATCATTAAAAAGTCAGGAAAAAACAGGTGCTGGAGAGGATGTGGAGAAATAGGAACACTTTTACTCTGTTGGTGGGACTGTAAACTAGTTCAACTATTGTGGAAGTCAGTGTGGTGATTCCTCAGGGATCTAGAACTAGAAATACCATTTGACCCAGCCATCCCATTACTGGATATATACCCAAAGGATTATAAATCATACTGCTATAAAGACACATACACACGTATGTTTATTGCGGCACTATTCACAATAGCAAAGACTTGGAACCAACCCAAATGTCCAACAATGATAGACTGGATTAACAAAATGTGGCACATGTACACCATGGAATACTATGCAGCCATAAAAAATGATGAGTTCATGTCCTTTGTAGGGACATGGATGAAGCTGGAAACCATCATTCTCAGCAAACTATCGCAAGGACAAAAAACCAAACACCTCATGTTCTCACTCACAGGTGGGAATTGAACAATGAGAACACATGGACACAGGAAGGGGAACATCACACACCAGGGACTGTTGTGGGGTTGGGGGAGCAGGGGGGATAGCACTAGGAGATATACCTAATGCTAAATGATGAGTTAATGGGTGCGGCACACCAACATGGCACATGTATTCATATGTAACAAACCTGCATGTTGTGTACATGTACCCTAAAACTTAAAGTATAATAATAAAATTTAAAAAAAAAGAATTGAAACAATTCTTTCAAGAATAACTTAAAACAAATGCCTCTATCCTTATCTTCATGTTAGCATTTTAAATTGTTTATAAAATATGCATGTATAATTAAATGAAGATTTGAGTTTTACAATAAGCTATCTAACCCTTAATGCTTGTTTTTCAAATCATCTAAGTTTATTTTATCCCATCCAAGGGAACCTCTGGATGGAATAGAAGCTGTCATGGCAATGGGAGCTGAAGAAGAAGATGCATTCTCCTCAATGAGAGACCTTGGCAGCAGCTAGGCCAGTAAGCAGTGGCTGCTACTGTTTCCCAGACTATTGATTAAGCAGTTTGTAACCATGGCAATGATCTTGTCTTCCTGGAAAGGTTAGCAGGGTGGGATGGGCAGTCTTCTATGTTGAAAAAGGATATGTTGAAATGAAGCAATGCTCTTAACAGTTCTTTTCTCATGTCACTGAACAGGAATTGTCAACACACCTTGCCAGTTTCTTACCCTAAACCTTTCATCACTCTAAAGAAAATCCACCCAGATTCTTAAACCGCATTCTCAAGGGAAAGCTTGAGAACATGGGAAAGCTTCAAGATACAGGGAAGGAGAGGACTGAGGTGACGGGTGTATGCCTGTTTTTTTCTACTGAATTTAGAACATTGTTTTTACTTGCTATTCACTACAAAGGGAGCTATCTCTTTGACTCCTACTGATGAGGAATGCAAGTTTATTCTTGTGACAAATATTTGCTATACAACTACTTATTTGCACCTGTGCAGAGTTACAACGGCTGAACTGCCTTGTTCTAGGAGGCCACTGTCTAATTGTCTCCAGAGGAGAAACCCAAGAGAGAAAGGCTTAGAGGAACTCCACTAAAAGGGAATCCCAGCAAACGTGGAGGCAGTTCAAATGCAAGGTGAGCCATAATTTACACACACATCTATTAATAATGATCATTTGTCGTGATTGCTAGAGACACAAAAGTAAATAAGATACATTTCCTGAGCACAAGAAAGCTTTTTGGCTAATAAAAAGAGAAAACAAAGGTAACAAACATGGGGTATGTCTAAGAGCATCAAAATTAAAACAAAAATTTAACTTAAAACAACAGTTTGGATGGCCAGAGGATCCTGTTTCACAGAGGTTTTGCATAAATTGATTAGGAAATGCTCCTGTCTTGTCCAGTCCTTCTTCTTGAAATCAACTGATTGATTTGGCTTCATAGGTCCAATATTGTCTTGAAGCTCAAACCTGAAACTATTTCGTGCTCCATTTTTTCTAATGTTCCTGGTATCCCATCACCTCACAGCTGAAATGAGGCTAGGGAGGCTCACCTTGCTCTTCTGGCATTTCCTTCTGATGTCATTGGCATAATACCCCTTCAGTCTGACTTGGTCCCCGGGACTCTGTCCTAACTCTAGCCTAGGTGTTCAGTTTTGTCCTGATTTATACCAGACTGCAGGCGGAGAGTATCCTGCTGGCTCTAGCCCAAATCCCCACAGCTATCATCAGAATTCTCTAATCGTTTTTACAACCTTTCTCTGTCCTACACATCTTAGCATTTTTGACTGATAAGACAGGGCACAAACCATCATATCAGCTCATTTTCCAAAACTGAATCTGGTCCTGCAGACCTTGGAAAACTAATTATGTCTTTTCATAACAGCCTGTGACTAAACCTGATGTGTGAGTGGACAATGGCCCTTAAACCTTCAAAGAAGGCTAGAAAACAAGTCGAATAGTAATGAGTCCTATTGATAAATTGTAGCTCTTAGCTGCAAAAGTGCTTATTCACTGACCAAGAGCCCTGCAATTTATTTTACTTCATTAGATGCTGAATCCTTCAAAAAACTGCTGGAATTCCAAAAGCTTTGAATCTAATTATTATAAGCATGTTTAATCAAACTTTAAAACTACTTGGAGTCTAATGCTGAAATTTAGATGAGACTATACCTCTCTGACACTCATATGTTAATACAATTCCAAATCTCTGTGAAGACATGAAATAGACCAAACATTTTAAACAAAGCAATATAGTACTTTCAATTTTAAAACATTCTCTGCTGATAATTCTTCTCGTGACCATTACTGACATTCTCTTCATCTTCTCCAGAAAATCCAATGTAAAAAAAATGAGAAAGAGCATCTTAAAGATAGAGCTACATATAAAAACTAGAATCTTAGCTTTGGAAAAGGACTTACAGGCTCAATTCATTATGTGATGTTTGGATTACCTCTACTATACTCATGCAGGGAATCATCCAACCTAGACATGACTATTTTCAGCCTCATGGTGTTGTCAATTCCATCTTTGCATATCCCTGAAAAGGCTTCCACCTTTTCTAATATAAACTTCTTTTATGGAAATTTTGAGCTCATATTCACACACAAGTGCACACTGCATAAGATGAGGTTCAAGAACTGAACACACATCCTAACTCAATTTGGAAAGAGCCCCATGAGCCACTTGCTACGTATTTCACAAGCGTCCTCATGCTCTGAAGCTAAGAAGAAATGAACAACAGCTAACTTTCAAATTCTTACCAGAGGCACCCAAAGGGAGTGTTTCCCAGACTTTTCAGTCCAGGACAGCCCTGTGTTCACTGTACTGTATTCCTTTGATGGTGCTTGTAGTAGCAGGAAGCAGACTGTCTGTCTATTCTTTAGTTATTTAGTTCAGTCATGTCTTCTTGACCACAGGGGCCTGCACAAGCACTCATTGAGCATATGCAAACACATACATACAAGCACACAGACTGTGTGTTCCACAAGCAAAACTCACATGTAGGCATGCACACACAGACACACACATGCATACACACAAACACACACACACACACACACACACACACACACACACACACACAGAGAGAGAGAGAGTGAAACTTCCTTTCTTTCTCTACTATGGTCACCACCATCTCTATACTTTAACTTCTAAGTTATAATTTGACAGACCTCTCTTGAGGACACCCTGAATGAACATCCCACATCCTGGCAGATCAACAATGTTTTATAGAGACCCAACATTTTAACACCCTGACTGGGTGACAGAAAACACCTGAAGGCATCATTCTTGGCAAAGGCAGAGAACTGGGGAGAGCTGGGGAAATGAAAGTCCTCCAGCTTGGAGGGCCCTAGAGAGCCACATTTCTCACTTGACACAAAATAATTTCTTTGTTCATTTGGTAAAGTTTGTAGCTGCTGGCTGGCAAGATGAGGACACTGGGAAAAGAGTCCCTTGGATCTTCCCTAAAGCAAGGTCTGATGAGAAAGCAGAATGGGGTGGTAAGTTGCTGACAATACTCATAGTGAAGGCAGTGGGTGAGGCCAAATGATGCTTTCACTGCAAAACTGAGTCAGAAACTACAGGTCAAGCTCACCGCTAGATAAATTTCTTAATCTAATTTTACTAATTTTTTTTGCATTTTGTTGTTTCTTTTATTTCACTATGGTGAAAGAAGTGAAACCGTTAAAATAAAAAAAAAAGTATCTATGAGCGTAATTGGTTGGAAGGAAGAGAGAGCTTTCAAGGTCAAGTTTAGCATACAGGCCAGAGAACCCCCAAAATGCAAAAGGGAGCGCAGGTTGTAAGGGGAGGGCACTAAAGAAGAAACCGAGATTCTAAGACCCTGGTTTTCCTTTGACTTATGTCTTTGCTTTATTAGGGACTCCTTTCTTTGGCTTCCAGAGAAGCCCTCAATGAAAGTGAGAATATAGATTGTCTTTAGCGTCTAGCTCTACATTTTCCAACAACCTTCCCACTTTTGCTCCCACAATTCTAGAAGATTCCATTTTAAAAACTGGCACACACTGTGAGATCCAGAATTTACAGGAAGCCCCCACCAGGAAAATTAGGTTCAGAAAAACCAGCTAAGGAGGGGGAAGTAGTTCCTCTAAAGTGGTACACGCCAAAGAACTTTTCATGGGCCTCCTGGAGAGGATAATAGGTCTTCCACGCATGAATGTTTGTCTGGTGTAATCAGGATGGGAAACACTGAGCTAAACACAGTGAAATGGGTTTATTTTCCCCTCCACTGATCACACTCTCCAATTTGCTGTTGTCTATTATAAATTTCCAAGCAGGAGTAGGAACGTCATATGCACAGAAACCTCTGTCTGACAGGAAAGAAACACTAACAGAAGAGCTGTAGGTCTCAGTTAACAGCGATTTAAGCCAAAGTCTCAGGGTCTTTCAAACATGTTGAGTGTTCTTCTTCTTCTAAAGATAAAGTGTCCCAAGTGACAACTCTTGCTTTGCTGAACAACTTCACCTTTCAATCCTTCTTTCTTTCTTTTTCTCCCATAAGTGAACAAATACCAATTGAGCATCTATGTGCATATAATCCTTCTTGATTTAAAACAAAACCAAAATAATAACCACAGTACCTATTTGAGGCAAATATTTTTTTAAAGAAGAAACAAACAACAGAAAGTATATTATATTTATTCCCAATATAATAGCTTATATTTAAAGATACATTATAGACTTGTTGAATAAATATGTCTACTCCCACTAATTCCACAAACATATGCTAAACCCATAGTATTTAGTCATGCAAATAACCAATAAGGGACAAGACAGCCTTAGGCTAAAAGGTGGCCTGGTCATGTCAACAGGAAGGGTAGCAGTGAGGTTCGGAGGCTGGGCTTTAATTCCAGGCTCAGACGTCTCACTCATAAAATGTAGATAACTACATGGTGTCTGCCTTGTAGGAATCATATATGGGTTTAATAAGATGATTTCAGTAAAACACATAGCAGAGAATGAGCCCTGAATAAACAACAAGTATTATTATTATTGGTTATACTTATCAACTCTAGCTTAACCAGGAATTTTATTTCTCCTCCAAAACAGTGATATTAGGATGATTACATCTTAAATAGTGAGTTTTTCTGAACTTAGGGGCACTTTCTGAGGTTCAATGTTTCTTGTGCTGCTGGAATAGCACAGTCACCTTTCCATGAACAAGAAGGGTCTCAGAACTGGTAGTTCCTTGCCCCTGAGAACTGGGTGGTCGGCAAGGGCTGAAGTGATTAATACGTGATTCAGCCCATTCATATTCCTTCTTGTTAAGACTTCAGGACTATTTTCAGTTGTATCAAAGATAGAGTGATAAAGTGAGACTAGGGAGAGAAAAAGAGAGAGAGAGAGAGGAATAAACCAAGTCTGCCTTACACCTCTGTGCTAGAACTGGAATTATGACAGCTCCCTTGCTACTCCAAGAGGGGGCTGTAAACCAGCCATATGGGCATCACCTTGGAGCTTGTTACAAATGCAGATATCAGGCCCCAGCCCAGACGTACTGAATAAAATCTGCATTTTAATAAGATGCCCAGGTGATGTATATGCACATTAATATTTGAGAAGTGCTACCTTAGAGAACTTTCATTTTCCTCAGGGTTGCCAAACCTGCTCACTCCAGAGAGCAGCCCACACAGGCTAGAGAACTTCCCTATACCCAGAAGGCTACTTTGAAATAGAGGGAAACATAAAAATCCTCAGACCCACTTCACAAGAAAAATCCATCCCGTATTTACACAGACCTGCATACCTGCTTATGGATTAAGCTGTTACACTTTCTGGTTTGACCCGTTTCCTTGTAACTAGCTTGGACCTCAGTTTCTTAATGGAAACAGACATATATTGCACACATCACCTTCCTACCTGTTTTCTCAGTATATAATATTCAACTTGATGGGAGTTGTCCAGTGATGTTCTGTACCTGTGTATTCCTATATCACTTAGGTTTTCAGTTTTATTTCACTCATTTCAGGATATACATAGAAAGTGACACAACTGTCTACACCCTGAAGGTGTAGACAATTAGAATTTGCAAGGCTATAATTGCTGACTCACTGTGAAATGCCTTCCCACTGTTCAGCCTGCCTTTTATAACAGGCCTAACAATTGTTACTATCAGTCAAAGGAAGGTTGACATAGCAAAATAAGTGGTATCTGGTCTGTCTTATAATAGGATTAGGGCATGCATGAGCCGGTGGGTCTGACTGCTTTGTAATAGCTGCTCTGTTAGTAATCCTCAAAGCATCATCTGGAAACACATTTGAGTCACTGCATTTATTTTGAAAAGTCTCTGATAGAGACTCTGGTAACTGCGGCCTCCCAGTGGTATGTTTATGTTGCACAACCAAATCAGTTTCTTGAGGCCATTTGGAAAATGTCTTCATAATGCTTCCTATCTTTGTAAAAGGCTTTGCAATTTACCCAGTGCTTTCCTGTACATTATCTCACTTAGCTCCCACCACTGCTCTGTGAGGTTGGCAGGGCAGGCTTCACCCCAATCTACACATTTCAAGCCTTTGCCTATAGATAAACTTAATAACCTAAGTTAGCTAGGGCTAATTTAGTAACTTCAGTTACAGGGAGTAGATGCCTTGCCCGGGGTCCTAAGGTGAGTAAATGATAAAGCCTAGGCCCAATTCCATGATTCCTAAGTCAGAGCCCTTTTGCCCACTGTGTTGCTGCTTCCCAAATTTTGATTCCACATATCACAAGGAGGTGTCCAAACAATCAAGTCTCTGACCAAGAATTTCTGGATCAAATTAATTGGGTCTTATAATGACCCCAGTTTACCATCTCATTAGTTTGCTTGTTATCTTGGTGCATTTCACTTTTTTCAACACTTTAAATCAGCACAAATAGAAATATGTTGTCTGTGTGGCCTTTGGTTATTTAGAACAAAACTGAGTTCCTCCTATAGAAGGAAGGAACTTTAACTGCCCTTAAACATGAGTGTGTTACGTTTGGAAACCTAGGAAATACTTGTCCTTGTTTTAATTCATTTATTCATTTGTTTGATACATGTTTTTGAGTACCCACTAATGCCAGAATCTGCAACATTTGGGTCAAATTCATTAATCAAGAAAGTATTGTTTTTTTAGATTGCCAAATCACCTTATTGTCTTCTATTACTTGTAACAACATGATGGCTCTGAGGAGGATTTAGAATCACTGATTTCAAGTCAGATATTCCCAAATATCTGCACATATAGGTGATTTACAAAACATCTAAATACAGAGCTATACTTTCTTGCTAAGTTTAACCGTAGGCATACATGTCCCATCAAGATCAATTTGAATTTTGTGCTGTATTAACTCTCTGAGCCAGTCTTTTGCGTTACATAGATTTAGTCAGCATCAGACCTCCCCTCACCCTTCTCTCTTTTCTCTACTTAATACAAGTCATTAATACAAATATTGAGCACAACTGACACAAAGAGGGAACCTTAAAAGTGGTCATTAAAGCCCCTTCTCCATATCACTCCAACATAACTCATCAATATAGGGGAAGCCAGAGAACTTGAAAAAAAGATCCAGAGACAGACAACATGCAGAAAATAGGATGAAATAATGGCTTTAGTAAATCCCTCTAAAATTTTAAACAAACTATGCCTTTTCAAAATCACTCAGCCTTTAGAATTCAACCATTATACATGCCTCAGGAATACAGGTGTGCATACATAACTGTGCACCACCATTGGCCTTATTTTTTTCCCCATAATTTATCTCTTGTGCTCTGAAGTGAAAGTTACTAGAACTATTCGGAAATGTTTGTGTTCTCTTTTTGCACCATGGTTAAGATTTGATGTCCTTGTGCCCTTTTAACTTCGGCATGGCAATGTGACCTGCTTTGGCTAACACAATGTGAACAGAGGAAATGTTTGACACTTTCTGGAGGAAGCTCTGGGGGACAAGTGCATTATGGGCCATATTTCCTTCTCCCACTGATTGCAGGAACATGAGTTGAGGACATAAGACTACACTGAGCAACTGTGATGAGCAGAGCCCTTACCAACCAATATTGGTCATGGAAAATGAATTAAGAAGGCATCTGCTGCATCAAAACTTTGAAATTTGAAAGATTTTGGTTCACCTTAACTTGGCCTATTCTCACTGACACATCTAGAATGTGTTTTCCATGCTCATAAAAAGATATCTGAGTTCCTCTTCTACCATTTAAGGTCTTCTATCAATTTTACCTCAACTTACCCCTCAAACGTTTTTCACAACAGTCACATACTACTATCTGCTTCTTCTAGGAATCCCACTTTTATCAAAACTCCACCTTGTAATGTTCCTTTTGTTCGTCATAGTTCAGTGCTATGTCTTGGGAGCCAAACTAGCCTTCACAATTTTTTTTCATCTTCATTCCTGTACCTAAAACATCACAGAACATCACAGGCGGAGGCAAAATATAAGTAATTCCCCTGACCATTTCCTTTGCTTATTTACATAAGTGCCTCAGGAACTGCCAACCAGAGAGTAAGTAAAATAAACCATAATCAGTTAGAAAATTCCCTAAGTAGTTAATTAATGTATTCATGCAAGATTGTCTTATACCATCCTGGAGGTGTGTAGAAAGCATGATTTCTCCAGAAATTTGCTTTCATTAATCAAGTCAGTAAGCAATATAATAACTACTTATTATAATTCCCGAAGTTTTCTTTGACAAATTCAATACGAGCTGATTGTGTGTTCCCGGACTTAGAAGAGTACTGTCATATATAATGAGCCAAGGGCAATGGGTTGGACATCCTAAAAGAGAGATTTGGAGTCAATTAAAGATAAAAATAAAAAGGACTTTGTTAAAAATTAGAACTCCACAACAAAAGAATGCAGTGCCTGTAAGAAGCATTGTGTGTGCTCTGAGTCAATGAAAATGTCCAACAGAGGACATCTATCAGAAATGTCACAGAAACAGTTCCAGCACTGGGTGGTATTTCTACCAGATGATTACTAGAGTGCCTTCCTGCTTTCTTGTTCTGTGATTTCATTTCTATTTCCCTGTGTCAACTTCTCAATAGTTCCTGTCACTCCTTTCTGAGTTGCTCCTAAATCCCATTACAAACAACAGATTAAGGGCAAAGAAAGAGACTTTTAACTTGTCCTTGGTAATGCAGGTCTACCTAAGGAGGTACTTAGAGAACGTGATTCCAGGGGAGCCCAGGAGATTGGGTTGGTGCAGAGGAAGGCAGTGGGTGAAGAGCTGCAAATAAACCCTCCTCTACAAATGCTCTTGTCTCATCAAGATACATTACCTCTCTGTGGGAAAGCCACCGAGCTAGCATTTACTATTTTGAGATTATGATCCACTTCCCAACCTACTGTTAGCATCCCTACATACCTCACAAAGTAATTTCTTCTTGTAAGATCTTGACAGGAATATTAAAAATTCATAAATGTATTGCCTTTAACCCACAATGAAAAAATACAGTGTAGACTTTGGTAAAGAAGCCTGGTATAATATAGGAAGTAAGAAATAGCAAGGTTCCTTACTCAAATAATACCACATGGAATTATACACATATTGAAGTAAGAATATTCCAGCAAGGCTGGTGACTCTGACAAAGTTCTCAAAAATGACTCTTCAAGAACATCCTCATTGAAAATGAAGAGAATACAGGAATGCTTCCTTCTTTCATGTTTCTCTGACATTGCCTTATTCCCTAGACATTAAGCCAATATGTTCAATTTGACTGGAGATGCGTAGAATACCCATGCCCATCTTCTGCATGGTCCTAACCCCTGCAGGCAAACACAGAAACTTTAATGGTTCTAACTCTCTTCTGTGACCCAGAGTCTTGAAGATCTCTTCTCAGCTTGCTACTGTGGCAACCAAGCAGCCTACTGAAGCAGTTAATAGAACCTAGTAGATTAAAACAATGTTCCCGTAACAAAATGTTTCAGTCTAGATCCATTCTGGCTTGGGAATTTCAAAACTAGTACTGAGGAAACTAGTTTTAAAATTCCCAGTGGCTATTTGCAAGATGAGACAGTTTGATACAGATTGAAACTTTGAATGTCATTCTGCCAATGACTTCACAGCCCCAGTCTATTCATGATAATGGAGTCCAGAGAATCAAGGCAAACCATGTCTTGAATGTCCAGGTTCCAGGGGTATTTCCCACATGAGAACAGAAGGAGGGAGGTAACTGAAAACCTTATATTTTTTCAGTGATGGAAAAATCAAAACACCTCCTGAAACAAGAAGCTATACCCCTGCTTTTTTATAAGATAGGGACAACCTAATAATAATTGTAATACAATTCAATATGGAGCATGGGAGGTTACCTTTTGAGTGCAAGAAATCACAGGGCACAGTCTATTACAGCCCTGTAATGCAAATGTGCTGTAAATGATCTAATTAAGATACTGGTTACAACACCCAATTGTCTCCCAGGTGACACAGTGGAAACTCCATTGCTTAAAAGTGATTTAAAGCTATAGCATATAAAGAAGTAAAGAAAACAACTTGACCCTCACAGAGACATCATATTCTGGTCATCTAATAAAGATAACTTTAATGCTCAATTTTTTCTTCCTGTTTGGAGATAGAAATAGTTTTTAATAAAATACATCCACTTATTTTGAATTTTAAAACTCTCCCAAACTTAATCCAAATAGATTACCATCTCATTTATCCAGAAGTCACCCACCGACCAAATGCACCTGCCTGGAGTTTACCCAAGAACCTGTAAGTAAAAAGCACTGGACTTCAGGCAAATAGATGCCAAAAAATCTTTTTGGCAAAACTTTTGAATTTTCTTCTTAGATTGTAAATTCCTTGGTGAAATGTACTGTTTCATGTATTTGTTCATTCAACAAAACATTATGAGGTACATACCATAAGTTATGCTCCCATTCTGCTAGGTACTGGGGATACCAAATCAGAGAAGCCAATACTGACCCTCCTCAGTCTGTTTAGAATACTTTTTAAAAGAATGGAAAACAAGAAACCAAAATAAACGAAACCACCAAAAATAGTGAACTATTTGAAACAAAAAGAAATCCCATTAATTCTCTAAAGTTATTGAACTAGAAAAAATAGCATCAGATGACAAAATATGACTCAAAAAGCATTTCCATTTGGTTTGAAATGGAAATTTCACCAAACGTTCAGAGCAACCAGATATTGGAACCCTCTGGAGAGACACCCTTTAATTCCTACACTTAGGTCCTCCAACACCACAATATTAATATAATCACCCAGCACTCAAAGAAAACCAGACTTAAGGCTAAATAGAAATTTCATATACTTTGTCTCCTGCATCTAGCTGCAATCCTTTAGTGTCCCAAAATCTAGAATAATCAATCTTCAAATATGGATTTGGTATTAATTATTTCCTCAGCTAATAAAAGTGCTTCTATACAGGATACTTGGCTATGTTGTTGGTTTTCAAAGATGAGAGAGGAGATAGAGAGAGAGAGAAACACAGACACACACAGAAATAGAGAAAGAGAGCAAGAGAGAGAGAGAGAGAGATTGTCTTAGCGGAGTAGTAACTTGGATGGAAAATAGAGAAAAAAAGAAAGTGAAATTAAACAATAAAGGTAAGCAAGAAAGAGCTTTATGAGGGAAAATAAAGTTTCTCCAGGCCAAATCAATTTTTTAAAGCAACTTATATCATGTCTTTTGCAAAGCTGAAGTTCATTGGAGTTTGAGATTTTACAGGAAAAGAACAAAGTGAGAGACAGAAAGGGAGGGAGGGAGGGAGGGAGGGAGAGAGAGACAGAGACTTTTCTTATCACATGTTTCTGAAGGGAGCCACCCCAGCGTTTATAGATTGCCACTTATTGTTGGAGATACATACCATCAGATAACGAAAACAGCCCCCCCATGTTTTAAAATCCCCCATTTAAAATTTAAATTCATTAGTTTATGAGCTGCTGGGAATTGACAGTTTTATACCCCAATCCTCCTCGAAATTTATGTAAAGCCTGCTATAAAATGGAATAGGGGAGCATCTCTAAGCGAAAACACCAAACACAAATTGCTAAATAAAAACGCAGCTGAAGCCGATTTGCTGTGGGTCACATAACCAAGAATGTTGTTTTTATTAAGGGGAAGTTCTTTAAGCATTTGCTCCTCACCCGACCACGCTTTTTTTTTTTTTAACCAACATTTAAAATATTAATGTACTGTTTTTATTGCTTCCTTGCTTCCCTCCTCAAACGGCATTTCTATAACTGGTTCCACACGTATAAAGTATGTCCCATGTATCTGCAACACGGCAAGCATTTCTTTTTTTTTTTTTTTTTTTTTTTTAAGTGGGAGAATGTGTGCGCCTGTGAGTGGTTTCTTTCTGACAGTTTATTTCACAACTAGACTGCTGTGTCCTGATTTTGGAGATTTTAATTATAATACAGCTTGATATATACTAGAGACTAGACTTTAAAATACATGGAGGTTTGTGTCTGACTTGTCTTCAGTGTTGAAATTTAGTTCTTGCTTTTAAAAGCTTTTAAAACAAAGGTCACTGGGGACTGTGCATATGAATTTGATGTGCTACAAATAGGAAAGATCCAGGATGAATCAATGAATCAGGTCTCCAAATAAAATATGTGTACACAGGCTCGCAACACAGTTCTCTCTAAACAGGGAAGTCTCAACCACACTTTATGGATCATACTTTCTGGATTATCCCTAAGAAATCTTTGCCTATCCCAATGTCACAAAGCTATTCTCCCATGTTTCTTTTACTAGCTTTGTAGCTCTGGCTGTTACACTTAGCTCTACAATCTACCGTGAATTGATTTTTGTACATTTAGTAAAGTACAGGTCAAGGCTGTTTCCCTATCGAATTGTCGAGGTGTCCTTGTCGAAATCATTTGACCATGTATGTGTGGGTCTATTTCTTGGCTTTCCATTTTTTTCCATTGATCCATTTGTGTCTCCTTTCGCCAGTACCACAGTGTCTTGAGTATGGCAGCTTCACTGTAAGTCTTAAAGTCAGGTAGGGTAAGTATCCAACTTTGTCTTCCTTTTTCAAGATTGTTTTAATGATTCTGTTCTTCCCACTCCAAATTAAACTTAAGGTTTATTTGGTTTGTACCAGCCACACTTTACAATGCTGCCATGCCCCCACACTTCAAAGAGGCAGCCTGGAGGACACTGGGGGAACCAGTCTCCGCCACACTTGAACCTTCAGACCAACCTGGAGCAGTGAACTTCTAAAGGCCCATTGACGTGCAAGGCTCAAATCATTATTTTAATCAAATCCTGATTCTACAACGCAGATGGATCATCTTAAACTTTAGGCAATAAAGCAATAATAACTGAAATTAAAGAGGCTGGCCTCTATTTTATTTTATTTTATTTATTTTATTTTATTATTTTATTTTATTTTATTTTATTTTATTTTATTTTATTTTATTTTATTTTATTTATTTTATTTTATTTTTGAGACGGAGTCTCCCTCTGTCGCCAGGCTGGAGTGCAGTGGCGCAATCCCGGCTCACTGCAAGCTCCGCCTCCCGGGTTCACGCCATTCTCCTGCCTCAGCCTCCCGAGTAGCTGTGACTACAGGCGCCCGCCACCACGCCCGGCTAATTTTTTTGTATTTTTAGTAGACACGGGGTTTCACCGTGTTAGCCAGGATGGGCTCCATTTCCTGACCTTGTGATCTGCCCGCCTCAGCCTCCAAAGTACTGGGACTGCGGGCGTGAGCCACTGCGCCCAGCCGGACTCATTTGATAAGACTAATCTGTGTCCTGGAGCTCCTAGAGGCAGGGCTATCTCTCTTTCTTCTTGGTATTCCCAGCACATAACAGAAATTACAGTGCTTAGTAGGAGCTCCCATGGTATTTATGAAATCTTTTCTCTGCAGGGGCAGCCAGGCCAATGTGGTCACTACTGCCTGGGTGAGCTTTCTTCTTCACTTGTAACACTCCACCTACCTCCTTCTACCTCTTTTATATTGCTTTTCCCATTTTGCTTTATCAGGCAGCCATATTGTCTTCCCTTTAATATTATATGTCAGGTGAGGGCAGAAACTACCTTTTTATTTCAAAGTGTCCTCACAGTCCTTTGCACAGGAGAACAATAATCATCTGTTGGGGAGTGAAAGCAGAGAAGTAAGGGGACAATCCATCACGCCAGCTAGCAAATTCACCAGCATCTCACAGCGTCCCAGACACAGGGCAGAGACTAAGTATATATCAGTTCACTGGAAGAGTAAGTAGACTTTCTATTGTAAATGCTCTCAAAGGTAGGGCAAAGCATAGTTTCTTTGCATCAATGAGGAAATCACCCATGGCAGCAGTTCTTTCAAAGGAGGAATCAAATAAGACTCCTGTTTCTTCTAAAACCTAAAAGGAAACCATGTCATCCCCCTAGCCTGTGTTCAGGACAAGATAAAAGGGAGGGAGAATAAGACATGCCTGGAGAATAAGATATGCTTCACAAAACATAGGGGGTAAGGGCTGAGCACCAAATGCCCCTGGCAAAATGAAACAAACAAATACACACAAAGCAAAGCAAAACAAAACAAAACAAAAAAGCAGCACCAGATGGAGCTGGAAGATGTTTGTTAGATTTCACAAAGAGCCAGAAGAGGCCAGGCCTCAAATGTCCTATTTTTTCATTCTTACCACCACTACTAGATTACGTTAGTGGTTTGCTACCCAGCCTCTGATCATAGCGACATCTGCAACCCATACACCATACAGATGCCCGCGGGGCTGTTCTAAAGCTGAATGGATACATACCATCCTCTTGAAATGCTTAATCACATGACCCATGTCCACTTTTCTGCTCCTCGCTGGTCACCACACCCACCATGGCTTTGCAGGAGCTATTTCCTCTTCCTGGAGCATCCACATCCCCTTCTCTATCTAGTACTCAAATCAAACTTCACCTCCTCCAGGAACCTTCACTGGTCCTCCCAGTTAAATGCCCCTCTCCCGCACACCCATGGTCCCCTGCACTTCCTGTTGAAGTTCTGCGTTTTCAACAGAAAATGGTTCTGCAACCATTTTCAAGCTCGTCAGCTTGCCAAAACTGCAAACGTTCTGTGGTTACAAAGTCACCTTTGATCTCTGTATGTTATGCACCTAACACTGGACTTAGCATCTAGTCAGTTTAATAAATGGTTGAAAAAATGACTAAGAGCAAAACTAAATGCGTCAAATAAACACCGGATAGATTCACATGTTTCTGGATATCTTTACTGTAGGACAAGTGGAATCTTTCCCTACCTTTTATTTTCTGAATTGCTAGTCTTGTTTTAATATATTTCATATATACTACATAAAAATTTACTATGTTTAGCAAGTTATATAATGTACTTATTTTATGTACCCATTCAGTTAAGTTTTGAAAAGTCTACATGCCTTTATAACCACACCTGCAACCAGGATATAGAACACATCCATCTTTCCAAGAAGCTCCCTGTGCCCTCTCTCACGAGTGCTCCTCTCGCTTCCAGCTGCCAGTGAGTACTAATCTACCTTCTGTCACTACAGACTAGTCTGGATATTTTTAAAAAATTATATAAGTAAAATAATACAGTATATATTCTTTTGAGACTGGCTTGTTTAGCTTAGCAAAATGTTGAGCTTCATCTGTTTAATTATGTGTATCCGTAGGTTTTGTTTTGCTTTGTTTTGTTTATGTTTTTTTTTTTTTTTAATAGAGACAGGGTCTCACTTTGTTGCCCATGCTGGTCTCAAACTCCTGGGCTCAAGCAGTCTTCCTGCCTTGGCCTCCCAAAGTGCTGGGATTAAAGGTGTGGGACACCACGCCTAACCGCTAGTTGTTGTTGTTTTTCTAAAAATTGTTGACTAATACTTCATCTTGTGAATACACTATAATTTATTTATCCATTCATACTTGTTGAAGTTACATGGGTTGTTTCCAGTTTGGAGCTATTATGAATAAAGGTGCCACAACAATTAATGTATAATTCATTCTAAATATATAGTTTTTATTTTACTTTCTTAAAGTGTTATTTACTTTCTTAAAAGTGTTATTGTTGGGTACTACGGTAAATGTATGTTTAACAAAGAAATTGCCAAACTGTTTTCCAAGAAGGTTGTATCACTTTATATTTCTGCCAAAAATATATGAGAGTTACAGTTGTTCCATATCCTCTCCAGTACTTGGCATTATCAAGCTTTTTAACTTTAGTCATGTTAGTGAGTCTCTAACTTTTGTTTGTTTGTTTGTTTTGAGACAGAGTCTCACTCTGTCGCTCAGACTGGAGTACAGTGGCGTGATCTTGGCTCACTGCAAGCTTCACCTCCTGGGTTCACACCATTCTCCTACCTCAGCCTCCCAAGTAGCTGGGACTACAGGTGCCCACCACCACGCTAATTTTTTTTTTTGTATTTTTTAGTAGAGACGGGGTTTCACTGTGTTAGCCAGAATGGTCTCAATCTCCTGGTGGGTCTCTAACTTTTTAAAGCATCTCCTATTTATCTTTTAGCAACTCTGTTTTCTTGTTGTGAGTTCTAGAACATAGAGGGGCTATATATTTGCATTAGGGAGAGAATGTCTACTTGGTTATAAGGCTTATAAAATTATTTAGCAAGATGCAGTATGAACAGGACCCAAGTCAGAAGTAATGAGTGAGAGGGGCAAAGTGATATGCAAGGGACAACTCCACAAAGAGCATGATTAAGGAAAAAAAAAAAGCCAAGTGCAGTGGCTCATGCCTGTAATCCCAGAAATTTGGGACGCCAAGGCAGGAGGATCGCTTGAGCCCAGGAATGCGAGACCAGCCTGGGCAACATAGTGAGATCTCTGTTTTACAAAATAAAGAAAGAAAAACTAGCCAGGCATGGTGGCACATATCTGTGGTCCCAGCTACTAGGGAGGCTGAGCAGGGAGGATCACTTGAGCCCAGGCAATCAAGACTACAGTGAACCGTGATTGCACCACTGTACTCCAGCCTTAGCAACAGAGTGAGATCCTATCTAAAAAAGAAAAAAAAAAAAGGAAAAAATGATGCAAAAAGTCTGTAGGTAAGTTGAGAAACCCAAAACCTATGCCATCTTAGAAGCCCACCTCCATTCCCTAGACCCGGCACAAGGCTAAACACCGAAGAGGCCTTCAATGAATACTTGTAGATTTCCTTTTTGAGAAGGTGGGGAGGACTTTGTGGCATTGAGGCTTTTTGAAAAGAGGGCTTGATAAGTTCTTATCAGGGAGCCAGATACAGTAAGAAAACAGCAAAAAAAGTTGTATTTATTTCTTATGGTTCCAAAGTAGGTCCTTAGCTGGCAGAAGGTAAAGTCCTTAAACTACCTAGCACTCCTTTCCTCATTGTCTCCAGCCATTCGGTACACATGCTTGTAACTAGTGATGAGTAAGCATTTCATAGTCAATGAAGTCTATTAGAGTGATGGCCTAAGACACAGGTGGTTTCAGCATATAATAAAAATAATTAATTTATAAATATTATTTTTATAATATTTATACATGTATAAATATTATTTTATAATATTTATACAAGTATAAATATTATTTTTATAATATTTATACAAGTATAAATATTATTTTTATAATATTTATACAAGTATAAATATTATTTTTATAATATTTATACATGTATAAATATTATTTTTATAATATTTATACATGTATAAATATTTATATTTATACATGTATAAATATTTATATTTATACATGTATAAATATTATTTTATAATATTTATACATGTATAAATATTATTTTTATAACAGTTATTTTTTGATGACTATGTGCTATGCATTTTCCTAAGCAAGTTATACACAGTGCATCATTTAACCCTTACACAGCCCTAGGAGGTAGACGCTATTATCACCTTATTTTGCAATGGAGGAAAATGAGACACTAAGAGAGAATTGAACTGCCAAGAGTGAAATGGCTAGTAAGTTGGAGAGCCCAGAGTAGAATTCAGGTACAGCTAACTCCTCTTGACCACTGTGTTCTGTGCTGAGATAGAGTGTATATCAAAAGCCACTTTGCCCTAACATCTTAGATGGTACAGGATGGATGGCTTAGGAATATGGGATACAGGTATCTTGATATGGATGATAGAAGAAAAAGCTGAAATATTTCAAGTTCCAATACCTATCTGATGACCTTCCCAGGACAGACAAAAGGCAGAATGAAGGGGCTTCCCATCACACAGGGATAGAAGTGCAAACACCAAAGGAGAAACAAGAACAACAACAAAAAGAAAAAAAACAGTAAGGGAAGGGATATGGACAGACCTAATAGAAACGAATCAAGGTCAAATGTTCATGTACACAGTAGTTTTAACGGACTTCCCTAATTGACAAATTGTCTGTATAATCTTTTAGAAGTAGCACAGATTTTGAAGTTTCAGATCTAAGTTCAAATAGGGTTCAGCCAGGATCTTGAGAAAGTCACTAAGATATTTGTAAGGCTTAGTAACCTAATCTAATCTGAACATTGGAGACATACAATTTGCAGTATTATTTGGGGTGATTCCACTGAATTATGTAGAGAAATGTGTTTTGTAAGTTGTCTGGCATAGACCATTTGAACCTCATCTTGTTCTCTTGCTCCTTATTTCCCCTTAGGTTTAAGCAGCGTCTAATACACAAATGGTCACTGAGGGGGAAGAGCTCTGAGAATCACCACTGCAACTGCATTGAGAGTACAGGACTCAGGTTGTTTGATCAGGTGTTGTTCCTGCAGCATATCTTGCCATGTATAAGCCCTCTATTTCACCCCACACACGCATACAGACACACAATGAAGAAAGTGGGAGTCACACTGTCATTCTGCCACCTTCTCTAGCTCATCTACTCTTCTTGCAAATGAACTTCAGATGTTAAACAGTGTTTTTACTTACATCTTTCAAAATGGGGAAATGCCATTCCTAATACAACTACTGCCTCTTTAAATGTTTTGTGTCACGGTGATTTGTTGCAGATGGGTAACATGTAGCCAGATGGGGGTCTGTTCTTTACCTCAAAACTAGGATTCTTCAGGGACCCAATATGATGGAGTGTGCTTTGCATAATGGGCTTATTTGATGAGCACAGTTGTTTTTTGACTAAAACCAATCTATAAGCTTAGGCCATACATCATGTTGCTAAATAAATAAATACTAAATAAATCAAGCCATAATTAAATATTTTAGAATTTGAATGAAATGTCTTTTTCCTAACATTATTTTCAAAAATCATTTGGTGATTCCCCAGCTAAACAGTTGCTTAGTAAAGCCAAGAATCCAAAACAGGTTTGGAAGCAAAAAGCCCCAGACTCCATCACTACATACCCGTAGGTCAATATTAGAAATACTGGACTATCTGTTAGAAAATATCAGAAATAGAGGATTAGTTAATCATGAGAGAAGCTCATGATGGAACAATATGCAGCCATTAAAAAAGAATGTTTCAGAAGAATCTGTAATGACATTGAAAAATGATTAAGATATTATTGCAAATGTTATAAAACAACATATGTGATATGACCCCAATCCTATAAGTGTGTGTGTGTGTGTGTGTGTGTGTGTGTGTGTGTGTGTGACAGAGAGAGAGAGAGGTTTGTTTTATGAACAAACCAGAGAGCGCCTGCACACTGGCACTTGGGTTCTGTGTTTCTTCACCATAGGCTGAGACCCATTAGCCCAAAAGCCTGCTGGCATCAATCTCAAATTTTTACACATCTAATTATCTTAAATATTGCCCAAATAAGCAGATTTTCAGTGAATTGGAGTTTGCTTGCTTTGCACACTTCACAAATCTGTGCCCAACACCTGTAGCCACAGATAACATAAGCTCTGGGTGTAAAGATCTCAAGCTGCTGCTACCCTTCTGAGCACTCAGACACAGAGATCCCCTGCTGTGCTGCCCAGTGACATCACCTAGATACACAATCTCTGATGATCTCTGCCCTTTTTCCTTTCTGAACTGGGACCTCTGCGCTTACCCTCAGGACAGACTTCCACAGCAAGGAACCTCTCTGCCTGCAAACCTGTCAAAGTGCCTAACACAGCCTGTGTGTACCACTGCCACCTTGTGGTCATATTTTTTTCTTTGATTAGTCCCCAAATCCTTTGAACTCCTTAAAATGCCACCCGGCATCTCCTTTCCCCATGAGATGTAGAGAAGACTGGCTGCAACCTTATGCCACAAACCCACATTTCTCCAAATATTTTCAGTGCTTACTATTTCATCTTTACTTTTGTAGAAAGCTTCTGGCTTCTACTCACGATAATTGCTTCACTTTGATTGATTCAAATATGAAAACCAGTTTTTTCCTTTAATTTCTGCACGAAAATAGACTCATACATCACATGTGTGATACTGACTTAACAGAAGGTTTGACTCTGAGTTGGGGGATGTTCTACTTGCAACAATGTAAACAATAATATCAAATGGAACATCCCTCGTTTTCCCCTCGTTTTCCTGCTTGGAAGTCTTTCTCTGTTACCTACCATCACAGGTTTCTCAGTGGCCCTTGACCCTCCCTATTTTCTTACAGATTCTCTCTCTTCACCATCGCTGCTCTGCTCCACCTTCCCTTTTTGCATTGCCCACAATAATTCACTGATGACATGTGGTTTTAGTTGGAATAGGTGGGACAGGACCAGCACTGCACCTTGAATGGTATTGGAATAGTGGATGGGTGGAGGGCAAGCTCCCCAGAGCCCTGTCTTAGTGGCAGGGCTTTTCAACTTCCAAAAATGGAAATGAAGTTACTCTATGTATTTACAGTAAGCATGCAGTTTTTGAGAAATATGTGACAGGAGAAACAGAGACAAAATCTTAAACATTAAACAAATAGAAAATAAAAGTGATACGGAGCAGTGGGGTACCCCAGAAGGCCCTTTTCCAAGCTTAAGTGCTACAGAAATCAGGAGAGAGAGTTGAGCACCAAGAAACTGGCAGAACCAGAGCAGGGCTTGGAACTTTTGGCAGCGGACATACTGGGGGTGGGGGAGGGAAAAGAGGAGAAAAGGTAGGTGACATTTTAAAGCAGGAATATGATCTGTGCAAAGTACCAAATATGAGATGTCTTGTGGAATGCTGAGTAGCCCAAATTGGAAAACTGGAGGCGAGAAAAGTAGACTAAGAGGGGCAGATGGAGCTAGATTTGGGAGACATTGAGATATCAGGCTAAGAGTTGACACTATTTTTAAAGCCAGTGTTTCTCTAATTGAGAATTTGTGGAGCTCTCAGTGTCTATCTATAGACTCCAGCTTAAGAAGCATTGCATGACTCTGAAAAGGGTCAAAATCTGCCAATATGTAAGATCCCCTTGCCAAAGCATTTGGAACATTTTCTCCTCTTAATCTGAGTCTTAGTGCCTCCCTCTTGTTCTCTTCCAATAACTCTGCAGGAGATAAACTTTACTATTTTCATTTGCAAGTTTTCCCCAAATCCGAGAATTCCTCTGTTATGTCTGCAGCAGACATTACATGTGGTACCACCTTTGCCACCAAATGTGCCACCACTTCAACAACCATTCTCCAACCCCTGCCGATGAGCTCATCTGTTACCAAGTACTCTGTACAACGTTGAACAGCATTTTAGAAAAGACTCTGTCCTCCCTCAGTCCTCTCTCCCCTCCGCCACACTAAGTGCAAGCTGGGAATCAGCTCAGATTTATTGGATGTAAGGGCCTGTAATGACTTATCAGTCTGGGTGAGAGAAGTCTATTACCCTCCAACCACACATCAAGTGGTTTTCATCTCAGGTCCACACACCACCTCACGGGGCCCACAGCAGGAGTAGAACAGTAAATTCACTCCAGGGTTAAATAAAACTTTGTAGTGGGCAACAATGACAGACAAGGTCTTGATTAAACATGTGAGATGGCAATTTCTGAATGGGTAACCAAATCTACATTTCAAAGTAAAAACTTAGAGAAGCTTTCAAAGGAAGACATTCAACAGAGCGGGATGCTACAATTGACGGCACGGAATAGGGAGGAGGTATATTTCAGCAAAACTTTGTTACTATCTCTCCTTTCTTTCTTGTTACAATTCTTCCATTTAATGAGTTTGTCCTCTAATTTTTCAAAAACTTTTTTTCTTTCTATGATATAATAACAACTAGAATACAGCACCAATGAGGAAAATATTGAAGTGCAGTAGAGCAAGGCTTAGGCTTTGGAATGAAGTGATGTGAAACTTTTTGTAATAGGCTGAATAATGGCCCTCAAATCTATCAGTTCTTAATCCCTGGAGCCTGTAAGTGTTACCTGATTTTTAAAAAGAGTCTGTGCAGACACAAGTAAGTTAAGGATCTTGAGATAGGAAGATTATTCTGCATTATTTGGTAGGGCCCTAAATATAAACACATGTATCTTTATAAGAGGAGAGCAGAGAAACAGTTGACACAAAGAGACCACAGCGAAGGCAATGTGACCATGGGCAGAGACTGGAGTTATATGGCCAAGGAATGTAGGTAGCCACCAGCAGCTGGAAGAAGAAAGGAGATGAGATTCCCCCCTAGAGCCTTCAGGGGGAGTATGAGTCTGCTCACACCTTGATTTTGGCCCAATGGAACTGATTTCAGACTTTTTTTTTTTTTTGAGACAGGGTCTCACTCTGTTTGCCGAGGCTGCAGTGCAGTGGTGTGATCATGGCTCACTGCAGCCTCGACCTCCCAGGCTCAAGCGATCCTCCCTCCTGAGCCTCCCAAGTAGTTTGGACTACAAGTACACACCACCACACCCAGCTAATTTTGTTTTATTTTTTATTTTTTTGTAGAGACAAAGTCTCACTGTGTTTCTCAGGCTGGTGTTAAACTCCTGGGCTCAAGACATCCTCCCGCCTCAGCTCCCAAAGTGCTGGGATTACAGGTGTGAGGCCCAATTTGAACTTCTGGATGCTAAAACTGTGAAAAAACAAATTTCTGTTGCTTTATGCAACCAAGTTTGTGATAATGTGTTACAGCAGCCACAGGAAACTAATACACTTCTCACTCACAATCCCCTCATATAGAACATTTTTGGAAACCATCCAGGTAGTATTTCTTCCTGGGCATCATCCCGCTTATTGTAAATTAGACTCAAATGCAAAACTACCTTTTCAGGAAAACTGGAGCACCCATCTCTGCTTTATTGCAAAGTTAGTTAGATCAAATTAGAATCATCTCACCCACTACTCTAAAGGGTTAAATGTGCCTATGAGTGAATAGACTGAGAAGGGAGTTACAGTGTTGGCTGGGCTGATTGATCCAGACTAACCAGGGCAAATTGTAGCACTCATCCACAGTCAGGGTAAGAAAGAATATGTCTGGAATATAGAAGATCTCTTAGTTTAGTATTACCATGCCCTGTGATTAAAGTGAATTGAAGACTACAACACATTCCAGACAGAAGTACGAATAGCCCAGACCCTTCAGGCATAAAGATTTGGGTCAACCTACCACATAAAAATGCATGACAGGTTAAGGTGCTTGCTGAAGGCAAAGGGAACAGAATGCATAGTAGAAGAAGGTAGCTATAAATACCAGCCATGGCCATTTACAGAAAGGAGGACTGTCACTGACATGAGTATTTCTTTCTTATTAGTTATGAATTTATACACACACACACACACGTACATATATTAAGCAAATCTCTTCAATTTATTTCCTCTCTTATTCCCTTATCACATAATATGTTTTGACTTTATATAAATATTTAAGCATTGTTAATTTCACATCATAATATTGAAGTTATGGTGTATCAAGAGAAAAGATCAGACAAAGATTTCACCTTCTTTTTTGGGGAAGGAATTAGTACATTTTCAATCGTATGGCGGATGGTTGTATCATGTTAGATGGAATTATAAATTTCTATTATTTTTATTTAGAGATAAAGTATGATTTAAAAAGAAGTGTTTGTGAGTACCATGCTGACAAGCGGTAGATTTGTGATGGTTAATTTTATATGGCAACTTAACTGAGTTAAGGGATGCCTAGGTAGCTGGCAAAATGTTATTCCTACTTGTCTCTGTGACGGTGTTCCGGAATAGATTAGCATTTGAATCGGTAGTCTGAGTAAAGAAGAACTACCTTTACCAGTGTGCACAAGCATTAGGGCAGCTTCCAATATGCTGAGGGTCCATACAGAACATAAAGGTGGAAAAAGGGTGAATTCTCTCTCTCTTCTCAAGCTGGGACATCTATCTTCTCTGCCCTTGGACATTGGAGCTAATGCTTTTCAGTTGCCCCCAGCCTTAGGCTTCCCCTGTGTTCCTAGTTCTTAAGCCTATCAGGGGACATTTTGGCCTCCTATATAATAGTTAGTCATAATAAATCTCCTCTTCTATATCTATTCATATCCTATTGGTTGTTTCTCTGGAGAATCCTGACTAATGCAGTGCCTGTGTTAGGTCCTTGATCATTCCATTAGGAAAATGTAACATATCTTTTCATCCATCCATGGACCACGCATCATGGCTCATTCCATCTGCCACTAGTCAGGGGTATAAGAACAGAGTCTCATACGAAAACATGTGAGATGTCTGTGGTGGTGTTTTGGAAATAACTATCAGGTTCCTGAGTCCAGGAAAGGGTTTCAAACTGGCCAGTCACTGTTTCTGACTTTTTTCCTTTTTCCTACCCTCACTCTCCAACTCTCAAGTTATTAAGAGAAAAGTTAAAAATGAACAGTCAAAAAACTCAGTATCAAGTAAAAAATACATTGTAATTTGGCAATGGTCTCCAATCACATACTTGGGCTTTCAGCATCAAAGGGAACTTGGGCTGTTTTAATAAACATTAAGATGAAAAGCAGTGAGCCAACAAAGCGTGACAGGATTTAAAAAAATTCATGCAATGTGCAAGGAGTTGCAATTATATTTCCAGTTAAAGAGAGATGAAGGAAATTCAACTCCATTTTCAGCAATTTGCATGTTTCCCACAAAGAGCTTTGCTCTAGTTAATGGCCAAGATGATAAACAGGAGAAGCATGACCTCCCTGTTACCTAGTGCCACTCCCTGCAGGCTCTCTAGGTACTTCAAAGCACTTAGTGCACTCCATTCTGCTGGTCCTCTTCCAAAAACACTGGCCTCCAGTACTGTGCTTATAAGCAACAGTGTGAGGTTGTGAGGTTGCTCTTTGGCATCCTCAGCCTCTGCCTGCTGGGTCCTTTTCCTGCCTCTCTCCTTCCATCTGCCAGCGCATCTATGCTTTCTCCTCTTCCCCATATCAAAACAAGCATATTCGTTATTTATCACTGCATGTCAAATTACCCTGCGATTTAGAGGCTTGAAGAAACAACAAATGTTTACTATCTCTCATAGTTTCTGTGGATCAGAAGTCAGGGAGCAGCTGACTAGTTGTGGCCTGGGGTCCCTCATCAGGTTGCGGTCAAGATGTCGGTGACAGTTGAAGTCACCTCGAGGCTTGACTGGAGCTGGAGCATCCACTTCCAAGACGGCTCACTCACATGGTTGGCTGGTTTGTACTTGCTGTTGACAAGAGGCCTTAGGATCTAGACACATGGAAGTCTGCACAGCTTTGCTTGAGTAGCCTTCAAACATGGCATCTGGCTGTCCCCAGAGTGAGGGATCCAGAAGAGTAGGGAGAAAGCCGCGATGTCTTTTATGACCTAGCCTCCAAAGTCACACTTCCCTTCTTTTATTCTCCTTTTCTATACATTTTGTGTAAAATTTTGAATATCTTGACATTTATTTGTGTAGTTAAAGATAGCAGTGAGGAAGAAATCCATCAGGAATTGTGTTGGAAATAAGCAGATAAAAATAATTTTCCTTAAACAACATTACGGCAATCCACATTTGAAATTCTGTATACGTACTTTAAGAAAGATAAAACAAATCACACCAGAATAATTTCCAGATATGATTTTTGGTGTTATTATTTTCAGTTGACAAATAAAATTATATATGTTTATATATAAAACATGTTTATATTCAAAACATGATGTTTTGAAATATATATATATAAAACATGATGTTTTGAAATATATATAAAACATGATGTTTTGAAATATGTATACATTGTGGAATGGCTAAATTAAGCTAATTTACATATGCATTATATCACATACTTTTCATTTTTTTGTGATGCGAACACTTAAAATCTACTTTCTTAGCAATTTTCAAGAATACATTAACTATAGTCACCATGTTGTATGCTAGATCTCTTGAACTTATTCCTCCTATATAACTGAAATTTTGCATCCTTTGACCAATACTTTCCCAATCCCCACTGCCCTAGTCCCTGGTCATCATCATTCTATTCTCTGCTTCTATGAGTTCTATTTTTTTAGATTTCACATATAAGTGAGATCGTGCAATATTTTCTTTCTATGCCTGGCTTATTTCACTTAACATACTGTTCTCCAGATTCATCTATATTTTTGCAAATGAAAGAATTTCCTTGTTTTTAAAGGCTGAATAGGTTCTATTGTGTATATATACACCACGTTTTCTTTATCCATCCATTCACTGATGAACACTGAGGTTGATTCAATATTTTGGCTATTGTGAATAACGCTGCAATGAACATGGAAGTGCATATATCTTTTCAACATACTGATTTCATTTACTTTGGATATACAGCTAGTAGTGGCATTGTTGGATCATATGGTAGTTTGATTTTTAATTTTTTGACATATCTCCATACTACTTTGCATAATGGCTGCACTAATTTCATTCCCACCAACAGTGTTAAAGGGTTCCCTTTTCTCCAAATCCTCATCAACACTTATTTTTCATTTTTTATTAACAGCCATTCTAAAAAGTGTGAGGTGATAGCTCATTATGATTTTTATTTGCATTTCCCTGATGATTAAAGATGTTGAACATTTTTTCATAAACCTGTTGGCCATTTGTGTGTTTTCTTTTCAGAAATGTCTATTCAAGTCCTTTGCCTACTTTGTAATTGGGTTATTTGTTTTTGTGCTATTGATTTTTTTTTTTGCTATTGTTTGAATTTCTTTTATATTTTAGGTATTAACCTCTTGTCAAATGTAAGAGGTTAAGGTTTGAAAATATTTCCTCGCATTTCATAGGTTGTCTCTTCAATCTGTTGCTTGTTTCGTTTGCTGTGCCAAAAGTACAGACAACAAAAGCAAAACCAGACAAATGAGGTTACATCACACTAAAATGCTTCTGTACACTTCATTTCTGTAATATCTTTTTGAGTTACACAAGTCAACTCTACTCAATGTGAGGGTAATTTTAAACAAAAGTCTGGATGCCATAAGGCAGGGATCATTGGTACCCATCCTGAACACTGGCTACCACAGTAGCTTTTCCCTTAAACTGTAGTGGGAGTACTAGTCACCAAGTTCCTGTAGATAACAGGAACAAGTTTGGGTAAAGTCATTCTCTCCTATTCTCATGAAATAAAAAGTGTTGGTCAATCTTTAAGTTATTTCAGGAATTGGAAAGAGGAAAGCAAGGACTTCTCTGAGTGTACATTCTTTAGGTAGCTATCCACTCCTAAGGTGGGTAAAGAGAGCTATGGTATGCTAGCAATACTTTTTTCTAGAATGATGATAATGAAGATGATGATAGCTGATGCTTTGTGAGCTTTTACAATGTGCATAATTTTATTTAAATCTACAACAACACTGTAAGGTATGGAGAAATGAGGTAATTTATGGAACGAAGGCAAACAGTTAAAGAATGGAAAAGTGGGGCCAGGTGCGGTGGCTCATGCTTGTAATCCCAGCACTTTGGGAGGCCGAGGCGGGCAGATCACAAGGTCAGGAGATCAAGACCATCCTGGCCAACATGGTGAAACCCTGTCTCTACTGAAAATACAGAAATTAGCTAGGTGTTGTGGCACGCACCTGTAATCCCAGCTACTAGGGAGGCTGAGGCAGGAGAATGAACCCGTGAGGCAGAGATTGTAGTGAGCCGAGATCATGCCACTGCACTCCAGCCTGGTGACAGAGCAAGACTCCATCTCAAAAAAAAAAAAAATAGAATGGAGAAGTCCAAGAATGGAACCTAAACAGGCAGATACAATGGCCTTTACCACTAGGTATATCGACTTCTGCCAAAAGCAGTGAACCAGAAGATCCTCATCTGTCCCCCTTACTTAATCTCCCCCCAGGTCCCCAGAGCCACAGTACTTAATTTTTTTTTCTGACAAGTAATTCAAGGCAGATAACATTAACAGGGCTATAGTTTTCCATGGGTCTATTCAATACTATGCACAATTCCCATCATACTGGCCATAAGTCCACTGACCTCTTACTCAAAAAAAATTCTTTTTGAGTGAAATTTACAAGTCAGCAAAAGGGTTTTTACTTGGAGGATAAACTTGCATTTGCACTAATTTATATATTAAAGTATAAATTCTTCATAAAATCTGGTTCTTCAACCATTATCAGACACAATAGTTTACTGATCTAATAGATGTGGAAGATTGTTGGCAAAGATGGCCCTGTAATCCTGCTATTCCTCTCAATGTGACTTTACCATGCTTTCCATTAAGAGGTACAGTTCATTTCTCTTCTCCTCAATTCTATACTTAGCCACATGACTTGTTTGGTCAATTGGACATTAGAAAACATAATACAAACAGAGGCTTGGAAAGTGCCTGCACATTGGGGCATGCCTTTTCTTCCTGTTGGAAATATTGAGACCATCCTATAAAGAAGTCCAGGCTACCCTGGTGTGGAAACCACATGGAGGAGAAATGACGTGCCATTGACCAACAGCTGGGTACCTACCAGTCATGCGACTAGGCCAACTTTAACCATCCAGCCCCAGCTGAGCCACCAGCTACTTGGAGCTTCAAGAGCAAGCTCAGGCAATACCAGTGAAAGGACCATTCAGCTGAATGCAGTTCCAATTGCCAACCCACAATAAAACATGAGCTAATATATGCCTGTTGTTTGAGCATAAAGTACTAATTAATGCAGTCAGGCTAAAAGATGGTCCTGTAGTGTTTCTCAAAGTGTGGTTCACTGATCAGACCACCTCTAACAGAATCATCTGGGGCCTTGTCAAAGAGGTAAATTCCCGAGATACTCCTCAGAGAAATTAAGTCAGAAATCAGCATCATGGCTAGGAATCCATCATTTTGAACAAGTTACCACATGACTATTCTGCACATGAATATTGGATAACCCAGCCCTCACATTCTACTGAAGGCTTCAGTGAGCATGTCAGCTTAGAATGAGGAAGGCTGCATGGAAGACTGGGCAACAAAGATTTGAGTACTAAGACAACTATAATTTTGTTTTGTTTTGTTTTCTTCTCCCTCTCCCTCTCCTCTTTTTCCCTCATCTAGTCCCATACTTTTCATTATTGCTTTTTGTTTTCAATAATCTGAACATCTTTCTCTTTATTTTATTTTCAGTTTATATACTGGTGTGACAGCCTGCAGCCTTGGTAGTGTAGCCTAGACCACAGAATGATCCCCAGGGGGCCATCAGAAAAGATCCATATCAAATAACTAGGGGTGGGTAGAGTGTGAATTCTTATACTTTGGAAATGATAAAATGCTAAATAGTCTATTATCCTGGGATGGAAACAGCAGGTGTTACAAATATAAATTCAGTGTTGAAGCTCAAGAGAAACAAGAATAAAACAGGCTGGAATGAATGTTCAGGTTTATCAATGCTGTAAGATACACATTGTCATGATATGTATCTAATTAATAGTTTGCATGTTCTCTAAGGAGTATCAGAAAAGTTTCAAGGGTGTATGCATTCCAGCTTTCTACTCCTCTGATGCCTTCCAGGCAAATACTGTTAATCAGGTATAGTCCTAACTGTAGACAGTTACGTGAAGGGTGCTTAAACAGGTACTACGATACAAAAAACAAATTCTCCTTTACCAGTCTGCCAGGGATTTCTAAACATTGTGAGATTCTTCTTCTTCTTTTTTTCTTTTATTTTTTACATTTCATAAATGTTTTTGAGAATCTATTGCATTTCAAGACCATTGAACAGTGAAGATAGGAAAACAGTCCTTATGCTCAAAGCATTTACAATCTTATTAGAAAACAATGGGATTGATAACTACAAGGCAATATGGAAAACATTGAACTGGTGGCATGTGAAGTTGCCTAGAGAATGAGAGAAAGAGAGAGAGAAAGGAGGAAGAAAAGGGGAAGGGAGGAAAGGGCAGGAGGGGAGCAAAAGGGAGAAGAGGAGAAGATTTCACAGGCATAATGCCTGGACTTTGTTTTAAGGAAGGATGTGTAGGCATCTTCCAATCAGAAAAAGAAAAAAATACAAAGGCAAGAGAGAATGCAGCTTACTTGAAGAAGTTTAAGTATTTGAGCATACCTTAAGATCACAGTGCTTTGGCCGGGCCACAGTGCTTTGGCCGGGCGCGGTGGCTCACGCCTGTAATCCCAGCACTTTGGGAGGCCGAGGCAGGTGGATCACGAGGTCAGGAGATCGAGACCATCCTAGCTAACACGGTGAAACCCCATCTCTGCTAAAAATACAAAAAATTAGCCAGGTGTGGTGGCGGGCGCCTGTAGTCCCAGCTACTCGGGAGGCTAAGGCAGGAGAATGGCGTGAACATGGCAGGTGGAGCTTGCAGTGAGCTGAGATAGTGCCACTGCACTCCAGCCTGGGCGACAGAGTGAGACTCCATCTCAAAAAAAAAAAAAAAAAAAAAGATCACAGTGCAGTGCTTCATAGAAGAGGAAATGGTGAAAGCAAGGGCCAGTCTACAAAGATTCTTATGTATATTGCTAACAAATTTGATCCCATATCCTCAAAATGATAGAGAGAATAAAAGAATTAAGTTAGTTCTTTGAGTTAAGGTATCAATGCTCTTATTAAAATGTAAATGTATTACCCAGGAGCATTATTGCAATGTCAGCTCAATAGAACCTGTTAATGCCTTTGCAAAAAGACTGGCTAAATTGTCACTTCAAGAAGCCAAACACAGGGCAAAAAGGCAACACTAAGTTGTACATTTTAAAATGGCTAAAGTGGTGAATTATATCACAAATGAATTTTACCTTAATAAAAGAAAGAGACTACTTATTAGTAATTATAGATGAGGATGGAAAGGGCAGAGAATAAGACTACTTCAAGAAAGTTTCAAATGCAATTTTCCAAAATTAAAATTGGAGAAATTTGAAAATATTCCAGAAGAAACACTGGCATTTTTTTCTTTTTGAGAATGACAGGAATTAAAAGGACCATTGTGAAGCTGAAGACAATATTCATCACTGTTCATTTCTTCTGAACCCAAACTGATGCTTATCTTGAAAGCCTCAAAGCTACAGTGGCAATGTCAGCTTTTTCCCAGGTTCCTTTGTAAGCTGCACAGAACTGAAATGCAGACAGGCTGAAAGCCTCTCATTTTACAGCATTCTATTCTGAAGCAATCAGGAAATGTTAATTGGGATTTCAAGGCTTCTTTCTACATTTTTTTGCTTTACTTTCAGTAGTTTGCCCCCATGCCCATCAAATTCTTTATGCTTTTAGCCTCTAAATGTTACTTTATTGATTCATTCATTTATTCATGCATTCCCTCATTCACTCATCTATAAAATACATTGAGTGTTTACAGAGTGGAGGCCACATCCAAGGCATGGAAAACATGATTTTCTATCCTCATAGAACTCTCAGTGTATTATAAGCGACAAATTTAAATATTTGCAGTACCATTTGGTAAAATGTAATGATAGATGCATATATATATATTTGAACAAAAAAGGAAGTATTCAACTTTATGGACTTGGACAGGGGCAGATATGATTGGAACATAGCACAGAGAATGACCATGGAAGCTGAAGTTTTTCATTTGTCCCCTGATGGTGAGTTAGTTAGACTTTTGTTTATGTATTTTGTGTTGTGGGGGTTCGTTTAGTAATATTATGCCCTTTTACTTTTAAATGACTTAATTAAATCTTATAATGTTAGTTGCTCATTGTAGAATGTTTAAAACAAACAGAAAACGGAAACAAAATTCTAAAGAGATACACAATCTGTGTTCTATTTTAGGAGTAGTTCTTCCTGAAAAGATACAGTTTTTTCCTTTTTTGTCTCATTCTTTTTGTCATTATATTCTTATATAATCAGGAACATAACGCATGCACAGTTTTGCCTCTTGTTTTTGTATTTACTTCATTAACTTGAGCATTTTTCTATGTCATGAAATATTCTTAACACATAAATTAAAAATTTTAATGATTACATATTATTTTTTCCTAGATTTGCCTTGTCTTTAGGTTACCTGGGAAACATACTCTGAAATAGAGGTTTACATGCTGGGGAGGACGCTTTGATTGCTGCCTGTAAGGAAGCAAGACAGGCAGGGTTGGGCAGAGGGAGAGCTTAGGATGTGGTGCAGTTGAAATGGAGGCTTCAGGCCATTCCAGGGGGTAGTTCTCAGCTGGGGTGGCCCTTTGGAGCTGTGCAAGCCTCTGTACCCTTGCACGAACTGGCCACTGGATGTGGGTTCATATAACCCTGGGCAAAGCAGCTTCCTTCAACCCAAGGCTCTAAGAGCAGAGGGCCTCAGCTGTGAACAGTCAGTGGTCAACACTCCTGACAGCTGGTGGGTGAGTGCCTTGGCCCTGACAGGGAGAAATGGATGGCAAACCACAGTAATTCATGTATCCACTGTCTTCTTGTTGGACATTTAGGGTGTGTTTTGAAGGATGAAAAGGAAGGAAAGAAGAAAGAGCATTCCAGGTCAATAGAACTGTAAGAACAAGGTCCAGGCACATAAAAAGAGAAAAAGAGAGAAAACAATATACAACTCTTCATAGCAGAGGGAGAAGATTACAATCACACAGTGATAAGAGATGCTGGGGAGAGGTAGGCACGCGAGGAGCCAGGTCATGGGGTCTTGGGGTTTATATGGTAAGAAATAGGAGATATTGAATGGTTTTGCCCTGTTTGCACCAGAAGGGTAATGAGATCAGCTGCTTCTGCTCCAAGGCATGCCATTATCTTTTGGTTCTGGGCTGGGAGGCTTAGAGATGGCAAAGTTGCCGCCAGAACCGCTGCCACCTCAGCCACAATTTGCAGGAGCCTCTCCAGCTGTGTCCGCCTTTAGCCATCTATGGTGAGAGCCCAGTTTAATGCAGACAGCCTCCAGGCCTTGACTCAGCTCTCATCCAGATGTCTTACAAGGGTGGTTTCTGCAGAGGTATAGCAGTTCAGTGAACCTATGGGAGGGGACTATGCAGTGAAGTCAAGGGCAAGAGGCTACCAGACAGAAGCAAATATATACTGTGCTCTGACTGGAAGCCAAGCATCCTTGGCATGACTCTCCCATGCTCATTCTTGGACTCAGTGAGATCGAGAAATCCTGGTCTAGAGAGACAAAATAGCAAATTTTATTCAGTACCTAAATAGTTTAATCTTTTCCCCTAATAGATGAATCAATTGATTGACTGATTGATTTTTGGAAAGGGAAGGGCTGAGCTGATACTAGGTGGTAGGAATCAATCATGGTGGGGAATTTGTTCCTGAATGCCAAGCAAGGCCAGCTCAATGGTTACGGCTGCTATGAATTAATAAAGATCTTGGCCTTAAGGCCAGAAATCCCCATTGTTTAAGTTTGTCAGGCTTTATTAAGCCAGCAGCTCTGTGGTGATGGAGAGCAGAGTGGGGCGGGCAAGAGAGCAAGTGTGTTGCCATGGTTACAAGAAGAGAAGCAAGGTGTGTGGGTGCCGCCACTGTCTTGACTCCAGGAAGTTTATTTAGTGATAGGCTCACACGCTGATGGGGAGAAATGGCTTTGAATCTCTCAGAATCATTATGGAATCAGTGATCTGGACCCACTATCCTAACAGTGTGCTAGTATCCAAGCGACTAAAATATTCCTTGACATGCTTGAAGAATCCGGGAGACTCCAGTAAAGCTGTCAGTTGTGAAGGAAGCAAAATACTAGTGGCTTAGTCAAGGAGGCTAAGATGCTGTTGACTCAAATTCCTTGCAAAGGCAGAGTTTCAATGTGCATTTATTCATTCACAAATATGTACTCTATTGGGCTACAAGTATCAGACACTGTTCTAGGCCCAGGGTGTTGTAAGCATCTCTTTTCACCTGTCATGCCAGGTAAGACAGGTAAGCTCACTGAGTCTGCCCTGTATGAGAGTCTTGCAATTTGTGATAGGAGAACCCAGCCGGGGCAACTGAACTACATGCCATGAAATATGGTGTGGGTCAAAAACCATGAGCCCTCGGGTGTATATGTGCTGGGCTAACAGGAATGTATCCCTAAATCCAAGAGTCTACCTTATAACTACACAAATGCAGTGTCATTGTGATTCTCAGCAGATATTTTTAAAATGTGTTATTAACAATAATTTGATACATTTTAAAGAATAAGAGCAAAAAGCAGAAGAAAAGAAGGAAGACTGGTATTATGTCAATTAGGGAGCTGCTTAGTGGATAACTAAAAATCCTTTGCAGATATCATGTAAATCAGGAAAATCAGAAAACTTGGCTGACACGCATTTCCTGGTTGGCACATTTATCAGTGTTTTTTTAATGCAGGAGAAAATGCCTGAGGAAGCATCAGGAGGAACCCCATGACTGGGCTTTGTGTAGTGCTTAGCAGGGGGTCTGGGGGATTCATTGTACCTCTGTGGTTGCGGTTGCATTTGCGCAATGAAAGAGTTGAGTTGGAAGATCTTCACTTCCAGCTGTAATAGTCTAAGGTTCTATGGCACTTAAAATAACATCTACCCAAACACCTCCCAAGATCCTACTTCTCTGGCCAAGCAGCTGGGTGGTCCTTAGTGTGTAGTTAAAAGGTAGGATTGCTTTTACGCCTATAAGTAACACATTTTGCTGGGTTGGCAGGCCTATGGACTCCTTCAGAACAAAAATCATTTTAAAAGTTTCTCCTTCTCACGTCACTGTTTGTGGCAAACTCTCAGAAAATAACTGGAAATATCAAAACAATATAGCAGAACGTTTATAAAAGGCCCTTGATCAAAAAGGAGGAGTCCTGTCCTTATCTACCATGTGATCAGTTGACAGAACTTTCTATCCCTCAGTTTTCTCTCTGCAAAATGGGATTAATGAAAACTACGTATGATCTTTAAACTCTGTAAACTAAAAATAAAAAGCTATATGGGTATTGCAAGACCAGTATTTTATATGGAATTCCCTAAGTATTCTTCCCTCAAAATAACTCATCTTACAGAATGACAAGAAGACCCAGTATCCTATTACAGCTCTCAAGAGAAACTGCAGAGCAGATGTTGAATACAACAAGGTTATGCTTGCAGATGCAGGGAAACAGGGAGAAAGTTAAACAGCTGCTTCTGGAGGCCACTCACTATACATACTTATTCTTTTCTTCTTTAAAAATAAATGTGTGAATAAATGTCTCTCTAGGAGCTACTATGGAGTTTTAATTTTTTTCCTAGCTAGGTTGTTTTTTTGTTCTCATTTTTAGTATGAAAGGTATTGTTTCCTTTTATTTCTTTAAAAGCAAGAGGGGTATCTGCGTATCTGCTAGGATAGCAAGATCCTCATACCGTATGTTTCCATTTTGTGGCTTGTTGCATGAAAGTATCATGGCCCTCTCCAAAATACACAAAAGAAATCCAAATGTTTTTGTTAGAGATGTAGCTTTCTCAGGAGTTCAAGTCCAGTTTGAAGTCTTGGTCCTTTCCTTTGTCCTGCTCATGGGGATATGCAAAAAGACTGAAATGATCAAGGGACAAAAGAAAGGCTGGGCTCAGAACGTAGGCTGCCTCCTGTCCCCCTTAAATTCTTGTGTTCCCTAATACAGCATCCGAGGACTGCCTGTGAGTGGGAGCCAGAGAGAAAAGGAGAGATGGAAGTACTGGGCCCAGATGCAAAGGGCAAGGGTCATCATCAGAGCTGGATGCTCTGCAGACCCAAGACCACCCTCAGATACCTGCTCCCAAGAAGGTTTGAGACTTTCTCTTTTAATTAACATTTAGGGCCTAAAAATATTATTTGAAGAACCAAAAGCATACATGTTCCATCGGAATGGTGTATTTCAGAAGGTTAGTTCCGGACAAATTATATGCTATTCTTATTGAACAACAAGTGATTTCATTATCTTGTCCCAGTTGGGAAACAATCAGTTATATTCCCAATAGTTTGAATAGAGTATCTATTTGGGTATGGCAGGGGGAGGTCTAATCTTGAATCTACAGAGTTATGTCTCAGTCTTCCTTAAAAAAAAAAAAAAACAACTTATATACTTCTTATCCCATGGATTTACTTTTAAAAAGCTTTATGTAAACCTTTGTAAATTGATTAATATTTAAACAGAATGAGGCCTTACACATATTCTTTGACAAAAATATAAAGAATGAATTAATTTTTTAAATGAGTTAACTTCACCCGTTCCAAAAGTGAAGATATGTAAATTCAAATTCTCATACAACTAACCACAAGAGGAACCTTTTCTATGCTCATTGGCCAGGAGAAGACCATTAGGCTGAGAGCACTGATTCCTAATATACTGTGGAGACTGAGTTTATGATGAAGATTAACAGAGATATTGCCAGAGTTGGTGAAGTTCCAGGATCAACCATGCACATCAGCTTGGGAAACTGCACTTCATGGTGGGTGGGAGTTCTGATGAGACACTTGCCTTTCCATGTGGGAAGGAGCCCCTGTCTCTTGATACTTTCATAGTACCTTGCATAGCATTTAAACACTTGGCTAATTACAGATGAAACACTTGCATTGGGCGATAAAGCAAAGCAAAATGTACAGGAATAAAGAATGAAATGAAAGATGTATGTAAAGGAATGAGGACAGTATATATGGTTTATGGTATGGTAACCAGGAGTTGAGTGTAAGGATCGCTGAGGCTTGATCCCTATCTTTCCTTTACCCCTACCATATTTACCTAATGCCCACTATGGGCAACGTCTGGGAAATCTTACAGCCACAAGACACAGTCCATGCAAAGACTGCCAGTAGCACCCTAATATTCATTGTCTCCTTGCTTATCTTTAGTTGGAAACAAGGTCACCCAGAATAAAGACTCTTTTCTAGCCTTCCTTGCAGCTAAATATTAGGTTGGTGTGAAGGAAATTGTGTAATCACCATGTGACTAAGTTCTGGCCAATGAGATGTAGGCAGAAAGGGATGCATGCAATGTCTACAGGGTTTCCTTAGAAGGAGAAGGCATGCCTCTCTCATGCTTTTTCTCTTTCCGCCAGCAAGAGAAGGCTAGAGACGAAGCATTCATCTCAACTCACAGAAGAGAAGCTCCATCTTGAAGCTGTACAATCCTCATCAGAAATGTGGATTTCTGATGGTTGTGGACTCATAGCAGCTGTGACCCATGCATCCAGACTTCTATGACAGTTGAACATGCATTGCCCAGTTGTTTAAATGACTATTATTTTAGATTTTCAGCCATCCACAGCTAAACACAATCTCTGTACTAAACCCTTCCAGATAACTTAAATCTGCACCTGTACTCTCTGGCTTAGATGGCTGAAGTCAGAAGTCAGAAACATGGTTTTGCACGTATCCTGGGTTTGGCCAGTTTGGGACGCACTTAGCTCTCTTGAGCTTAGTCAGCTGCACTGAAGGCATGCCAGAACACTTATATGATCTCAAGCTTTTGCAAAAGCTATTCTGCATTAGGGGTCACAAACTCAAATGCAGGTGAGAGCAGAGGACCAAGCTGATGAGTGGTTAAGACTGGCAAACTGGAGAGTGTACTCTCAGCCTAAAGACGAGTGCAGCTCTGCAGTCCCAGCTATGGGCAGCTACACAGCAAGGCAGGCCCCAGAAAGAGGAGTCTCCAAGTTTTTAAGAGTCATTGGAAATCTGGATTATTATATGAAAGTGCTCAATTTTTAAATTTTAGCAACTAAAATAATAATAATAATCAACTTCGTGGGTCCAATAATATGTGGTTTCAGTCAAGATTCGGCCCACTGGCTAGCTACTCTCAACTTCTAGTATGATTGCTGGGGAGGGCAAGGGATTAGAAACTGAAGAGTTGAAATGTACATGCTCCCAACACAAGCAAAGTCATTACCATGTAGACAGAATTTAAGCTGTTAGAGATGGAACAGACATGTCAAAAGTGCCTGTAATCCCAGTACTTAGGGAGGCAAAGTTGGGATGATCCTTTGGGGCTAGGAGCTCGAGGCCAGCCTGGACAACATAGTGAGACCCCATCTCTTAAAAAAATGAAAAGAAGTGAGCTGAGCATGGTGGTGTGCGCCTGTAGTCGCAGCTATTTGAGAGGTGGGGCAGAAGGATCCCTTGAGTCCAGAGTTCGAGGTTGCAGTTCGAACTAGGATCCCATCACTGCACTCCAGCCTGGACCACAGAGTGAGACCTTGTCTCGAAAAATAACAACAAAAGAAATGTCAAAAGTACCAAAAATCAGGGTCATAAATTATAAAAGTACAGTTTAATTTAATTTTAGATATTATAAAAATAGCACCATTCTTCCCACTCACCCCCTCCACTCTCTTCACCCTATTAAGATGGGAAACTAAAAACTAAGATATTTCAGGTGAGCCATGTTTAGGAGAGATTTACAGTACCCCACCTACCTCACCTCAGGTACTTCAGTAAAAAGCCACTATTGCCAGATAACAGGTAATCTCTTCTGCTACCAGTATACCTCAACCCTGGCAACAGAAGACTAAGGGTCAGAGCCTCAGGTCCTCCACTTTTGCAAAGTCCCTTTTCTCCCTTCCTAGGGCAGCAAGTTCTCTGGTTCCCACATCTCCTTGCGATATTAATTAAACCTGCCCACTAGTCCTTATGCCTAAGGGGTGGAGAGGTGGGACCAGTAGACTTGGCTGTGCTCCAGAAACCACATATTCATCCTACCCCTGCCTGGCACCCAACACTCCACCTTTGCAATTAACCTTGCCATCCTGTTCCTCCAGGCCAAGAAATAATGCCAAAGGCATGAGTGTACAACAGGCAAATTGCGGCATGGCTGCAGGGTTAAGGAGTCACAGTGTTTCTGGAATTTTCACTCTCTGTACAATTCACTCTGTAACAACCTCCTTGAGCTTAAGCTGCTCTCAGAATCACTCCTACATAGTTTTGACCTCCTAGTTTAGGGTCTCTCAGAATTGTGACTAAAGCAAATGCTAACACAAACCCGCTGGAGTTGTTTTTATTTCAATTAAGTAAATGGCTCCCTAGAGGCTTAAAGCTTAACGCCCAACCACTTAGGACATAGCCAGCAAGGTCGGGCCCTCAGAATCAATCAAACCCCCATCTGATTTCATAAACTGAGCAGTGGCATACAACGTAAAGAGTGAATAGGTACTTTTTATTTTCTTTATGCCTCTAGTTTGCAGCCACAAGGGGGGCAAAGCTTTGCAGAGCACTGTTTGCCCACTGTATGGTTCACTTAACTAAACTTATCCCTGTTGTGCTACTCTGTAAAATGAATACTTGTAAACAAAATGATTTCTGTTTATTGATACTGATTACAATTCAAATATTTCTTAAGATTTAAAACGTACGTATGAAGATGCATGCTTTCATATCTACATACAAATTTGCTAAGAAATGACAGTTAACCACACTGAAAAAATAAAGACTGGAAAATGTAATGAAATTCCAGAGAATGTGCTATGCTACCTCACTGTGTGAACAGAAGATTGTTAAAAGCCTTATGATTCAATGTGTGTTCAGTGGACCAGCATTCAGGGAGGTTGTAAGTGTGGAATTTCAGGCATCAAGGGCTAGGAGTTTGCTAGAAGTGCATAATCCCAGACCTGAGACAGAATCAGAAACTGCATTTTAACAAGGTTTGGAAGTGACACCTTTGCACTGTTGACAGTTTGAAAGAGGCAGAACAATGATAACGAAAGGCGTCATTAGTCCATAGTCCATGTCACTTAGTCTGGAGAAAGGACAAATGGCCTTAAGTCCTAATTACACCACGTAACAAAATTACTTGACGTCTCAGTTTTCCTCATTTGTAAAACGGGAATGATAACAGATCTCATATGATAGAGATATTTACTTAGTAAACTACTGAGGATTGCTCAACTATAAAGTTGTGTTGCCATTATTTACCGGCATTTTCATGCATGTACACAACCATCTTGGGGCCACTTTTTGAACATATCTAACTGGAAGAAGTCACCTTGAAACTCCCCTGGAAATGTTGGCTGGAACTAAGGACAAATGGACACTTACACAAACAGGAAAAGCTAGAATAAGTGTACGTGATGAATAATTTGCTTCCGAGTATAAAGATAGGCCATAAAGACAAGTCCTAACTTCCGCTGAAGTCTGTGGTAACAAATTGAATGTATGTCAAAGTAAAGAAAATACTGAAATTAAAACTTTAAAAAATCTTTGATAGGCATAATCCTAAAATACTACTCATGCATCACCAAAGACATAAGGAACAAATGAAGCAGGAAAAAATGGAAATGATGACAAAAAAGAAAAAGATATAAAGTCAAAATCTACCCGACATTATTTAGTTCAGCTCTATTAGGTGTGCACACCCAAAAGCTATATAGATCCTCTCTCCCATCTGTACTTATAAGGACACCTCCGAAGCTGCTTCCTTGAGTTTGGATTCTTATGAAAGGACGTTTGTCTCAAATGGTCAGAGCAAACTGTTCATTTCTTTTATGCAAACTGCTTCTATCTGTTTCAAATCCTCTCCACCTGAGGAGTTAGGTCAACAAAGACTTCTACGGATGATAATTCATAGTTACACTACTTCAGTTACTAAATGTACCTGGTTTTAAGAAAATTGTTTAAAAATATACACTTAAGTTTTACTCTATTTGAAGTAAGAAGAGCTTCACCAACACACTATACCAATTTCATTTTATAGAAAGTTTTCAAATGCATGCATTGCAATCTGCAATTTCAACTGGCAAATGAACTCATATCTACTAAATTGATAAATCAGCAGCAACAAATCACAGAGTGAAATGTGGGTTGCCTTATTTGATATAGGAATGCAATATGGCTTGAATTAGTAGCTATATGACATCTAAGATGCATAATACCTGTATCATACACACTTTTGTATATGTGCATGTGGCTGGGCAAGCCATGTGTTCTAATGAAGAAAGCTGTCATCATCATTAATTACTTGAGATATACAGAAGGACACATGGCTAAATGTATGTAGCTGTATCTATTATCTAGTTTATTACTGTTGTTTCATACACAAGGTAATGAGTTTGGGATAAATGTCCACAACTCTCTCAACATAGTTTCTTTTTTTGAAAATGTTAGTATTTCAGATCATATTTAAAGTCCCAAACAAGTCAAACACTTTGTGAGTCTATGCTGTTAAAGGTCACATTCTAATTGAATACCTTTCTCTACCCTTGATGTATCCGTGTTGTCCTTAAAATCAAGAAGCTACATCAACTACTTAAAACACCCACTTGTCTTAGAAATAGAATTAGTTGAACACAGTTTTGTTTAGGGGAAACGGGCACTGCAACAAAATGAAATTTTCAATAAACCAAAAAGAAAATGACGAGAGTACTTTTGCATCTTTGTGCTGGGGGACATCAGAGACATGGCATTGCTCCCATGGAAAGGGCACTTTTCTGCACATCTTATTCTTGAGGAGCAGCACACCCAGGCCTGGGCTTCGCTTGAAATGCAGCCATTGTCTTTTCATTTTCCTCAGGAATTCTTCAGGGCAAGAAAATGGCATGAGCAATGGCCTCTGTGGGGGGGAAAAAGAGTTCCTTTTCTTCCTATCAACTCCCTTCACTGCTTCATTATCTAAACTAGCCCTGATTTTTCATTGTTGCTGTTTTTCAAATTGATTTTGGGATCCAGCCTGTTATTCCCTTGCAATTTTGCTAATATCCAAGAATGTAAATTTATAGACAAATGTGCTGGTATACCACTTTGCAGCAAAAATTATTATTCACTTTTCTAAAGGATAAACAATATGCTTTCACACTTAAAGTATGATCTATCTGGCAGAGTAAGATTTACCTAAGTCCATATTGCTATTATTTGCTTGAATCTACATGTGTTTAGAAACCATAGGAAACATGTTCCAACCATTATTTTTCCTTTGAAATGATACACAATACAACAGAATTCAGAAAAGAAGAATTGGATGCACCATTATGTGAATGACGTAAGAGTTCCATCCAACAACTGCGAAACAACACATTTAACCTCAAAATAGAGACGTTCTCATGACTAGAGGAATAATTACCAGTGACAATCCTATGAGATCCTAAATATTCTCATAAGATTCCCAAACATTGCTAGTTGGCACTCTTTACAAAATCCCTTTGTTTCTAGAACAATTGTGAATAGTATTTCATGGTAACATTATACCGCCCTCATAAAAAACTACTAATGGGTCACATTCTCTATACAGAAGTCTCGGCTAGGTGTCATGGCTCACGCCTGTAATCTTAGCACTTGGGGAAGCTGAGGAGGCAGGAGAATCGCTTGAGCCCAAGAGTTCTAGAACAGCCTGGGCAACATAGTGAGACTCCATCGCTACGAAAAACAAAAAATAAAAAAATTAGTTTGCTTTGGTGGTACATGCCTGTAATCCCAGCTAAAGGCCTGAGGTGAGAGGATGAAGCTGAGGCAGGAGGATTGCTTGATCCCTGGAAGTTGACGCTGCAGTGAGCCGTGATTGTACCACTGCACTGCAGCCTGGGTGACAGGGTGAGACCCCACCTCAAAAATAAATAAATAAATAAACAAATAACAATGTTCTCTTCAGTTAGGGTTTGGGTCTATGGCTTGTACTCATCAGGGTCACTATGATTTGGAAACCTGTTGGCCTCTCCCCGCAGGGGTCTGTTTACTCTTGCTCAGGTTGCTGGCCAATCTGTACTGACTTCTCATACACCCAGCACTGTGAAGCAAGGGCCCGCTATCTCAACAGATGGCACAGATAGCCTGGTAGCTGGGAGCACAATGCAAGGGACATGTGGCACGCTGACTTTGTAAATACACTGCAAGGGGAAAATGATTAGCCACATATGTCTGTGATTTACCGGTCAGCTGGAAGCCACAGACCCCGAGTCTGTTGAGTCTCTAAGAAAAAGGAAGGAACACGCTGACTCAGTAAGTGAAACAAATACAGGGCAGCCCTGCTCATACTTGGACTTAGTGCAGCCTCACCCTGTAATGAATATGTTGTGGCTCCATAGTTTAGGAGGGTGGTAGAGAGGTGTGCAACTAGGTTTTAAAAATGTGACTCGGCCTCCCCACATCACCATACACCCTGTGTGGTAATACTCTGATGTAGCTATTTAGGGACAAATGGCTTGTCAATAGGTAACTCGAATGGGCAGCATCAGCTTATAAAGGGAAGTCATACTGGATCCATGATCCCTACTCTATCTTAGTGTGTTGGGGTGGTGGGAAGAGGAAGGAGAGGGCACGGCAGGAGAGACATCGCTCCTGGTAGCAGGTGACTGAGAGTCCTATAGGCCGCAAGCCAAAACCCCTCAGCAGGTTGGTCTTTAGAGGGGAGGGGCAATTCTGGAGACAGCTTGGTTCTTTTTCTGCCAAGCTCCTAACAGACACATGTCTGGGTTATATAAAGAGCAGAATTGGAAAAAAAATTCAAAAAGAGCAATTTCATTAAACTCTGGAACACACTAGAAACAAAACTACTAGCAAAGACAATAGTACAGCTTCAGGAGTCCTGGGGGGCCATGAATACAGAAGTGCCCTCAGCAGAAGCCAGGGAGCCTCCCATGCCCAGTGGAGCAGCAGACATTCTGATGCCAGAAGAAATGGTGCCACAAAACCTGGTGCCTGGCAAAGGCAGCACCGGCCATGAGTGAACTGGATGTGAACATGTGTGAAGAGGTTCCTGGGTTCCTATGAACAGCTGAGTTCACAATGTTCAAGGGGGTTGGAGGTCCTAAATTAGCCAGCTAGGTGCATGAGCTCCAGGTAAAAATGTGAAATAAATGAATTCATTATTTCTATCAAAATGTATGATAATTTTTACTTGTTGAGCACTGTGTCAGGCATTTTATGTGTTTGTTATATTATTTAAAACTCACACATCCCTATGGGGTATGGGGACTGTTGTTCTGCCGTCTTTCAGATGACGGTTGATGTCAAATGTTAAACTGATGACTTCAGGGTCGCAGAGCCAAGATTCAATTCCAGCATCAACTGACCCAATGCACATGGTCTTAACTGTTATTCTCTGTTGCTCCCCTCATGAATGACACATAAACTGGCCAAAAATGAAATGATTTTAAAGAGATATTAAGAAGATATTTAACTACAAAGTTTCATCCTACAATTTCAAAATATTTTAAATATACTGCCATTTAATGTTCTATTGTTACTATTTTAAATTACAGATTAGATCTTGCTACTTCCCTGCTCGAATGCCTCCTCTTTGCCCCTAGACTGTAGCCCCTAATGACTTGGTTCCAGCCCCAGCCTGTCTTTTAACCATATTTCAATCTTCCTGCCCACCTGTCTGCACCCCAGATTCCTACCATCACTGACCACTGGCCAGGTTCCTGATCACACCTGTTCCTTCACAAGTCTTGCTGTGCACTCTTGCCTGCATTCCTGAAAGTCTAGCTTCAGCATCACTTCACCTACACAGTCTTCCTTTCCTTCACCTACACAGTAGAACTTCCCATTAGTTCTACTGACCCCTAGCAGAACTAATGGTTCCCTCCTGCATATTTATTGTGCATAGCTTTAGATTCACTTATACGCCAGTTTATCCCCAATGTCAATTTGCATTGTGTGATTCCTTCACAAGATAGCAAGTTACTCTGGGGCAGTGATTTTGCCTTCACAATTTCAGTTCTCCAGTGTATGGCATCATATATTTGCTATACAAGAGTCACTCAATACATTCATTGAACTGAACTTCCTGGCTTTGGTTATAACCAAGTGTACCTGAGAATTATGCTGACTCTCATTTTCTCAGCTCTGATAGGAAATAAGCAAAAATCACGTTTCTCTTGTGTCTTCAGACTTCCCTTATCCCAATTAAAGACTTTATATTCATTAAATTAAATGCACTTTCCTTTCTATCATCACTGCCCCTCCCTTCTCACTGCCTGAAGATGTACATTTCCTCTGCAAGTCTTCCACTTTCTCTTAAGGCCGCCAAATAATATACATGTCTCTCAATTAAATTTAATTTTCAGATAAACAGCAAATATTTTAGTATAAGTAGATTCCAAACATTGCATGGAATCTACTTATACTAAAAATCATTTGTTGTTTATATGACATTCAAAATTTAACTGGATACTCTGTTGTTGTTGTTGTTGTTGTTTAATTTGTTAAATCTGGTGATCCTATTTTCTTTACAACTGTCTTTAAACCATTATTTTCATCAAGTGACCCATAGCGGCCTCCTCTTTGGTTATAACATAGGGCTCTACTGTTAATGAAATGTCTTTGTGCCATAGGGGCAATAAAACACACAAACATGAATTTTCAGTGACCCCCTATTATTTGTAGGATAAGATGAAAGGCACATATCTGTAACAAATTGTGAGGACTACATGATTGCTCACGCTCCTGCATCTGGTTGTTGTCCCTCACGTTTCAAATTTGACCTGGGAAATTGTCTTCTATGTGTGTTCTTATATTCTTTTCAACCACTTTTCAAGCTCTCTTACTTGCTAATTTTCCCCAATTCTAGTCAGACCCAGGATTCCTTACCCTGAATCCTTCCCCTGTGGGTAGCAAATCTGCTTATCTTTGACCTTTATGAAGAAATTAACAGGTCTGTAGTTTCCCTTCAAAAGGGTCTCTGCAATTTTTCTGCATTCATGAAGGTCATGGGCAGACACTGAGCCCATGTAGGCTGCTCTCTTCCTGCATACACTGGAGAATATCCAAGGAGGGGAGGCTTGCTGATTGTCAGCAGAGTCAGCACAGCAAGTTCTTCAGGGACTGTCTTCTTCCCTAACCCCCTAAGGAATCATAAGGGATGAATCTCCCACTTCCAAATACCAGATATTCACTTGTGTGTTAGCAGAGTTTTGCCTACATCAGTGCTCTCCTATAGTACTTAGTGTCATAATGGAAATATTCTATTCTGCTCTGTCCCATACGGTAGCCTCTAGGTTCTGGACTACGGACAACAGATTGATATGTGGTAAGTGTGACTGATGGACTAATATTTTAATTTTGTGTAGTTTTAATTGATTTAAATTTAAATAATTACATGTGGCTAGAGACTACTGGATTGGACAGTGTAAGCCTGCAGAATTAAATTGCCTAAAGGAACTGAAGTTACTTTATTTAGGAGAGGTAATGAATCCCTACAGCTCTGGACAAGGTCTAGGCCAGAGATTTTCAACCAGGGCTGATTTTACCCCAGGGGACATCTGGCAATGTCTGGAGATGTTTTCAGGTATCGCAACTGGGGGTAGCAGTGCCACTGGCATCTAGAGGGTAGAGGTCAGGGAAGCTGCTAAACATCCTACATGCATAGGATAACATTCCACAAAAATAATTATCCAGCTGATCTAGATTTGAATCCGTGCTATACCTCTTAACCTGGGCAAATTATTAATCTTTCTTGAGCTACAGCTTCCTTATAAAATGGTGTTAATAATACCTAGAGTACATGTTGGTTATGAGAACTAAAAATTAGGCAAAGTTTCTGGCAGAAAATGTACATCCTGTAAAGTGCAGCTATTACTGAATTGCTCAACTGACAAAACAATGAGAGCATCTTCTTCGAGTCCTTTGGTGGACAAATCCTAGTCCTTGGTTGCTGAGGCACTCCTGATCGCCTGGAGGTGAGTGGTTCTGAATGGTTCCTCCATCTTCTGCTAGAACAAGTAGCTGCTTTTTATAATGGGTTTCCAATTAAGATATTGTTTGAACATAGAGTTCTGTAAAAAAAGTTTGAACACCACAGCTCTCAGCCATCAGTAATTCTAATGTGAAAAACTGGATCCAGGCAGGAGGAAGAGAGCTATTTGGGGGGATACTTACCTTTGTCCTCTTTTCAATTATACTAGATAGTAGGTCTCATCTACTGAGAGCCTATAAATAGAGTCTTCGTCACTTATTTTTCCTGTGGATGGAGACATATATACCTCCAGAGTCTGAGTGAGTTAATAAAGGCATTTTTGGGCATTTAACCTCTCTTGGGCTGGTGACCAGAGAATTTTCCAGAAACAATTGATGGCATCAAGGTCAACCCAGTTCAGGAGAGGCATGGCACACTTCTCAGCAACTTCCTCAATTGCTCTCAAATCTTCCTTGTGTTATCACTGTCTTTACATTTGTGGACAAGGGACTGATGATGGAACTTGTTTTATTCTGCAAAAGTCTTGGAAATAAGAATGCAGAGGAAAGGGCAGATTCTACTTGCTGCCTTGGGGAAGCAGTGGGACACTGGCCTTTGCGGAACTGGTTTAATCTCTCTTTAAAGCAAATATCATCTGTCTGATGCTCTGCTGAGTGATCTACTCTCACTTTTCGGGATGCAGGCTCATTTAACAACTGGCAATCAAACCCGCTTCGGCAGCCACAATAGTGACTGTCGAGGTTGATTAAACTGAAAAAATATGCCATCTTTATTTCTATTCTATTGTTTCCCAAAGATTGACAATGCACATTTTTTTTCAATGGCCTGTTTTCATGAAATTTCACTCAGATATATTTCTAAGCCCTCGATCCTGATGGTACAACACAAAGTCAAATATGAATGGTGCTTCTTATGCTGCTATTATAAAGCATGACCCTATTCTGGACAAATTCAGAAAAAAAATGGCATCAGGAGTTCAAGAGAAGAAAATAATAGGAGACTCAAGAATTTATGATGTGGGAGTAGGGAAATGTACTCTTGATTTAGATAGTGATTACTGATAATGATTTAATGGTAACTTGCGGTTCACTGTAATTATTTATTTAGTGTGACAAAATTCTTGCAAAATCCTGGTGATATGTAGTGGACACTTAATACGCATCTGTCAAGGAAAATATTAAAAGAGTTACCCCTTGTGGTACTTTGGGGAAGCTTAAAAAATGGGAAACCAACAAAATAGTGATAAACTATTACAACTAAAATTTAAAAAGATAGTAGAAATAACTGATTTTGAGAAGATGAGACAATGGTAGTTTTAAAACATGGCTCACTTTTTAAAAAGAGTCCTCCTAGTGATAGATGAGGTGTCTGTCTCCTCCTCTTGGGTACAATTAGGACTGCTTTAATGGACAGATCACAGATAGATACAGAAGGGGCACAGTATGACTTCCAAGGCTAGGTCATAAAAGGCCATGAAACTTTGCCTGGCCCCCTTGGGACATTCTAGGGAAAGCCATCCACCATTTCTGAAGTCCAGCTGCCCTGAGACCATTACTCTGGAGAGGCCATAGGCCCATTATTCAACATCCTGGTTGAGCGTTCAGCCGCCAAATAAACCCTCATGCAACCGAGTAAGCCATCTTGGGTGCCCAGCTCAACATTTCCAATAACTTGAGTGTACTGCAGTTAGCATCCATACCCCATATCTCCCAGTCAGAAACCCTCCATTGGAGGTTAGATCAGTTTATGACATAGCCTCCTGGGGCCCTGAAATAGAGTAAAGATCACTGATCTCATTCATACATGTGACAAATACTGATGACATATGTAGAATAAATTTTTTATATGTTTGTCTTTCTGGAGCCAAAGAAAAAAAAATATGACCAAGACATAGTGCATGCAAAGAGCTGAGTCTTATGGGGCAGTAAGAGAATGTTCTTATCCAGTGCTGTAAGTTCCATAATGAAGGATGTGCCAAGCTGAAGGAGAGTCCAGAGTGGGGGTACATCAATCTGTAGGGAAGTTGGGGAATGCACCCCAGGAGAGGGAGAGAAAGACCCAGAGCTTGCTAATTGTGGTTCTCAAGCCCATACCAGCTGCATTTGGTACTCAGGAGACAATATAGAGGTTTTTAACATCTGTATTTTTTTCATAATGGCATGTATTTTAGATGACTGTTTGCTTTATAAAACCATGGTAATATATGAGTCAGTATCCTGGATGCATTTAGCATTTAATTTTTTTTTACAAATGTGGCATTTGCATCCTCATAAATGCAAATATTTTTGCAAAGTGATACCCTTTGCATCATACAGCAAAAACCTATAGTTCAAGTAACAAAAACAAAACACTTTTTTGAGCACCTAGTGTTTGAAAGGTGTGCGGCTATGTTATCTTTCTATACTATAGAAAATACCATAGTTTTCCCTAAAATGTTGTAAATTGTATACTAATATATCAGCCTGTCTTCTACTATCCATTTTATAAATTACCAATAATAAATATCCTCTGGACAGATTTTAAATTGAGTCAGAAATCCTGTTACTTTGTGAAAAGGCCTATGAGGATATATCTAATGCATGAACATTTGAAGTATTTTTACCACCAAGGGAATAGCTCTAACAATTTGCTACATGTTTCCTCTCACCCCTTTTCATTCAAACATGGGTGTGTATACATGCACAACATGAGTGTGCATACATGCACAAACACACACACACTCACATACACCATTCTAATTAGTATATAAAATTCTTCCCAGCACTTAATAAAAGTGCTTTGACTTTGACAGACGCATAATAAAATAAAGCCTCACTTCTCTGGATACATTGCGAAGACTTGTTTGACCTTCTCTTCCACCAGTGTTAGCACATGAGGTGGGAAAAAGGCATGGGCTTATATCTGAGTTGTATGATTAACAGACTGTATGACATCATATTCAATTCTCTAGGCTTCCATTTCTCTATCAATAAGATGGGGAGTCCATCTGAACCTTCTAAGGGTATTGTGAAGAAATATGAGAAATCAACTCCATTGCCTGTGAGAGCTCTGCATTCAACCCGCAAGGACTGTAGGTTTGATCTATATTCAGAGCCCATCTGAGGGACACCTTATGAAAACATGAATGCAGGGGCAGGGCGCAGTGGCTCACGCCTGTAATCCCAGCACTTTGGGAGGCCGAGACAGGTGGATCACTTGAGGTCAGGAGTTCGAGAAAAGTCTGGCCAACATGGTGAAATGCTGTCTCTACTAAAAATACAAAAATCAGCTGGGCGCGGTGGCATGTGCCTGTAGTCCCAGCTACTCAGGAGGCTGAGGCATGAGAATCGCTTGAACCCAGGAGGTGGAGGTTGCAGTGAGCCAAGATCGCGTGACTGCACTCCAGCCTGGGTGACAGAGCAAGACTCTGAAAAAAAAAAAAAGAGAGAGAGAAAGAAAGAAAGAAAGGAAGGAAGGAAGGAAGGAAGGAAGGAAGGAAGGAAGGAAGGAAGGAAGGAAGGAAGGAAGGAGAAAGAAAGAGAGAGAGAGAGAGAGAAAGAAAGAAAGAAAGAAAGAAAGAAAGAAAGAAAGAAAGAAAGAAAGAAAGAAGGAAAGAAAGAAAGAAAGAAAGGGAAAGAAAGGAAGGAAAGGAAGGAAAGGAAAGGAAGGGAAGGAAAGAAAGAAAACATGAATGCAGAGTGAGTCTCTTGGGCTTCCACAGAAGAAACTACAGGCTCCAAAGTCTCAACCCCAGTCTCAAACTGACCCTAATTTACCCAAGGCTGTAAGGCATTTCACATTCCCTATGATTTTATAAACAAGGTTTTGAGTCAGAGAAATTAGGTCAACAAAGCCAACAGCTTAAGTCTGTAACAATCGAAAAGTCATAATAGCATATCACAAATCCCTCTAACCCCTCCAAATGAGTTTCCTTTGCTCTGAGTTGGTGAATGTACCACATGAGTATTGTTGCTCTTCTCACACCTAACTATGACAGGTATCATGAATCGGCCATGGTCCATTTTCCCACAGAGACAGGACAGTGCCTCAAGATCCTTCTCGACACATTGTTTGATTGATTAGAGTTAACCCTTTAGATGAAGATTTGCCATCCATGCTCTAGGTAAAAGAGGTGCCAGATAAAAGATGCCAGGAAGGCTTGGCTCAGTGCAATTCTCTCTCACCTTCGATGTTTCTTTAGGATAAGTTAATTTCCTTTGTCAATAAAAATAAGTATATAAATATTATTAAACCCGATTCTCAACAGCATTCATTTAGCTAGTTTAAGCCTTGACGCCATTCTCCATTCCGCACCAGATCATTAAGAATGGTTAAAAAACAAATAAACAAACAAAAACAGAACAAAACAAAACAAAAAACAACTAGGTCAAACGCAGTGGCTCACGCCTGTAATCCCAGCACTTTGGGAGGCCAAGGCAGGTGGATCCCTTGAGGTCAAGAGTTCAAGACCAGCCTGGTCAACATGGTGAAACGCTGTCTCCACTAAAAATACAAAAATTAGCCAGGCATGGTGGCGCAAGCCTATAATCCTAGCTACTTGGGAAGCTGAGGCAGGAGAACTGCTTGAACCTGGGAGGTGAAGGTTGCAGTGAGCCGAGATCATGCCATTTCACTCCAGCCTGGGCAATAGAGCAAGGCTCTGTTTCAAAAAACAAAACAAAACCAACAAAAAAACACAGAAAAAACACTAGCTACTAGATTATCAACTGCTGTTATTTTGAACCCATGAGAGAACCTATAAATGGCTTTCTCTAAGCCTATGTGCTACCTGTGATCTGTCCCAGGGACCACCTTGATGCTAATCTCTTAAATCCGCATGTCTAGAAGCAATGCTTCAGTTATAAATATCTTCCAGGGGGTTGACACTGTCTTATTACAGATGAAAATCGTGCTTTGAGTATAGCGTTTTACCCTCTAATTTGTTTTATGTATTATCCATTCTATAAATACATACTATGACTATGGGAACTCATTCCTCTTCGAAGACAGGAATGTACTGAAAAATATTTCACAATTATTCTTTTCCTCCAAACAAGTCACTTAATTAACAGCAATAGCATTAGTCATGTCAGGGGGAAAAGTCATTTCAAAATTTTGCTAGGTAGTGTCTTTATATACAAGCAGCTGCATTATCATAATGCAGCAGTTATATTGGGTGCTTTCTATTCAACCTCTGTACCCCCCATCCCAGTCTAACGAACAGCACAAAGCAAATAGATTCTTGTGTATACAGCATCCATTAAATAGCCTATTTCTTAAACACGTTAAGAATAGCAAATATTCTTTGTCATACCACTTCCATTATAAAAACTTTTAACTTGGAAATATTCCATGTAGCCGATAAGTAAAAAAAAAAAAATAAAAATTACTCTGCCTCCTTTCCTACCTTCCTCTATGATTATAAAAAAATGAAAGTACATTACAAAAATAAAATGTTCAAAACTTTATTTGGAAGAAAATTTAAATCACTCATGATTTTCTCAGCCACAGTACGTATCATAAATATATATTGGTATACCATAAATATATTATATTGTTAATGACATATATATTTTTTCATTTTATAAAATATTGTGGAGATCTTTAGCTGTGGATAAACCAAAATCTACATTACAATTTCAAAGAATTATACCATATTCCATTGTGTGGATTGACTGTAATTCACTCTACCAATTCCTTGTGCCATTAGTAATTTCTAATTATTTATTATCATCAACATACTTGTTAATGTATTTTTTGACACATATATCTTTTACTCATTATTTGCATTATTTCCTTAAGGTAAATTCCTAAACATCAAACTGTTAGGTCAAAAGTATACACGTTAAATTTTAAGACCTTTAATTGAATCGTCCAACACAAAATCATTGAGACAGTAAAATCTTCGTAGCCTAGGGAAAAGCACAGAGCCATTCACAGAGGCCTGGGAGTGAATTATTCCTGACCCTCTGCTGGCCTGTGGGGAATGGTACTGCTGGCTTTGGGATGCAGTATTATGCCATCAGTTTATATTTTTATTTTTGTTTTTTATTTTAACAGATGAAGTACCAACCCGGGCCCAACAATGTAAATAACTGAGTTGATTTGAATAATGGTGAAGGTGAAAATGCAGTGTACAGGAACAGCCCCTTTAAAAACTGCATCGCCAAATGACAGCATGACCAAGAAAAACCAATTAGATCTGAGAGCTCTGTCTCTGCCATAAACATGCTGTGTGACCCTCAGAAAGTCACTGAACCTCTCTGTGCCTTAGTTGACTCATTTGTCAAATATCAATCAAGTCTGCCCACAGTATTTTTCAGAGGGAGATTAAAAAACAGAAAAAATACTTCAGGAAAATACAAACCTTCTTTGAATAATATTTAAGAGTCATTATTCTGGAGAGGTGATATTGCTTATAAATAATACAAAATTAAACTCAGCAGATAAATAAAGTATAAAATGATATAATGTGTGACAGTCTGGAATCTACTGATGTGTTAGAAGCCTAGAATTTGGCAAAAAGATCCAACAAAATGGTACAAACTGCCAGAGTTTGGTCCAATTTTCAAATAAATTGAAAAGCTTTGACATGTAGAAAGATCAACAAGCTTTCCATATCTAGATAATTTTTACGTTTTATTTTTTAATTTGATTGTTCATATCTAGTTTTCAACATATAGTACTTTAAGATTCAGCATTTAACCAGAAGTTAAAGAGAATCTCACTTTTTATTTTAAGTTTGCGATAAATCCCATGAAATTACCAAACAATTATTCACCTTTTTTTCTGACCACATCTAGCTAAGACCAAGCCAACATGTTTTTCTGAATTCAGATAAAAAGAAACTTCTGTCTTTCTGATAGCCTTCTGTTTTTTGAGTTCAAATCATAATGCATAGGAAACTGTATCTTCCTGGCAGAGAAGCAACAGAAGCCAATGAACACAGAAATAAAAATCAAAGGGAAGATTAAGAGATGGGTTGGGAGACTCCAGTAAATGTCAAAGCAGCAGTCTCAGCGTTTAGGACCAATATCTTAGAACCACCCCCACTGGAGTCAGACGGAAGATGGGCGGTAGGTCAGCCATCCCTCCTGGGTCCCTGCTCTTTTAGGCAAAGCCTTTACCCCCATGTCTTGCTCAGTGTAGAAGTCAGGAGAGGGCATTACTGGAATTTCACTTTTCTTCTGAGTGAGAACATATTCCCAAGAAACCACATGAGAAGACGGACTGATAAAAAGAAAATGGTAGTAACTGCCCGTGGGCTCCACATTTCCCCGGACATTCTGGTTTTAGCCAAAGTAAAATCATTCTAGCCTAGCCTGTGTCCAGCCTTGTGGCTGCTCCAGTCACCCAGGGCTCTGGGTATCTCTTATGCTTCCAGAAAAATAGTGGCACAGTGGTGGTGGGGGCAGGGGCACTCTACCTATCTCACTTACTGAGCAATGGATTACCTTCCATCCTCCCTACCCTCCATCTACCCTGGGCTTTCTGGTTGGTAATTTGCATCAAGAATTTTAAAAGAAACACACATATAAAACATGCCCTTGAATTCTATCCTCAAAAAATGCCCAAGAAAGCATCTTGTACTCCTTTTCCCACCTCCACTCCCTGCATTATCCATTATTGCTGATGCTTCTCCAGCCCTAGAACCTGACTGCCTTCCTGTCTCAGCTACCTGAGTCTTTCCTCCCAGCCCTGAGGCCATCTCTTTACAGTACAGAGACTTTGGGGTCCATGTGTTGATAAAGTGATACAGAATTCACATTTTATCTTATTTTATTTTATTATTTTATTTTTTGAGACAGAGTCTCACTGTGTCACCCAGGCTGGAGTGCAGTGGCACAATCTCAGCTCACTGCAACCTCCACCACTTCCTGGGTTCAAGCAATTCTTGTGCCTCAGCCTCCCCAGTAGCTGGGATTAAAGGCACCCTCCACCAAGCCTGGCTAACTTTTGTACTTTTAGTAGAGACGGGGTTTCACCATGTTGGTCAGGCTGGTCTCGAACTCCTGACCTCAAGTGATCCCCTCCCCAAAGTGCTGGGATTACAGGTGCCCGCCACCGTGCCTGGCTAATTTTTGTATTTTCAGTAGAGACCAGGTTTCACCATGTTGCCCAGGCTAGTCTCAAACCCCTGACCTCAGGTGATCTGCCCGACTCTGCCTCCCAAAGTGCTGGGATTACAGGCGTGAGTCACCGCGCCCGGCCTCACATTTAATTTTACTTTTGATCAGCTAGAGAGAACTGTGATTCTCCAGATACTCCAATAATACTGGAATCCTCAGAGCCCCAGGAAGCCCCAGGCTAAGAATGAAACAAGTTTTTTTTTCTTTAATTATAAAAACTTCTCCCCATCTCCCATTTCTATCTTCCTTCTGACAAGAAGACTGCAATGAAGGCAAAGTGTTTGCTTCCAAAGGACAAACATTACATGCTGTGCTCATCTTAGCAGGATCCCGACCTTCTCCAAAAGCTGCTGACAGTACTAGGCAGAGTCCATCTCCTCCATGCCAGATCGTACTGGAGTGCAAAATGAAATTTTTAAGTCCATGAGAGAATCAGGAGTCAGTTTTTTTTTTCAATTTTCAAAACCAACTTGTATAAATTAAAAGTCAATGTCATAGGACAAGTTTATTCATGTCATCACCCCCAATTAGGTCTCTCCACCCTTTCTAATAATAATGACAACATATATTTAATGAACATTTACTATATTTCACACATCATTCTAAGCCTATTTTATGGCATCAGATATAATGAATGATTTTCATTACCCGATTCTGACTTCATGGGTATCAAGAATGAAGTGGTCAAGTTCATCCTTCCTGCCCAGTGTTTGATAAGAAAACTAATTTTTTTTAGTTACAGAATGAATGACAATAAAGAAGAGAATAAGCCAAGTTTAACTTAGATTTTCATAAAAAGCTAACATTTATTGAACCATTGCTATTGCCCATTTTTGTATATACACTATCTCATTTAATCGTCACAGCAACCTTGGAGGTGGGCATCAAGTCATCCCATAAAGTCATGATGCTCTTGTTTCTTCCCAGCATTCTTACTCAATTCTCCAGACAAACCACACAGTCACAGACTAGGCATTACCCAGAGTTCTGTGTCACATTATCAAGCTATTAATGTCATTAACAATTTCCTCCTCAGTAGTCAACAAAAGAAGGATCACTTGCCTTCGAGTAGTAATAAAATTATCAAACTATTACGATGATGCAGTAACTGAGACCGAGTTGAGAACAGAGGATCATTTTTTTTGCAGTAGTGAACTGACAGCACCACAATTAGAAGGACATGGTTACTGACATGACAAATTAAGAACTTTCTAATGAGAAAATTTACCTTATTGTGTTAAAAATAAGGCCATGATTTCCCTGGGATGAGAAAATACCAAGTCTTCTTTACATTAGAGGGCTCTTTGGACTGAAGTCAAAGCTATTTGTGACCCATATTCCCTCACCCCTTCATCTTCTTACAACAAGTCCAGAATCTGAGCTAGGACAGCTAGCAAAAGAGAAACTGGTCCATCCAGCTTAGGTCCTCATATTCGTATCTTTGACTCAACAGTAACATTCATTCCTCCTTTTCCAGTTCTACAGTAATTCAATGGACAAGTTTCACCAATATCTACAACGAAACTTTCCAATATCTATATGATCCTGAAGCAGAGTTCCCAGTGTGAGCTCCGCTCTTCCCACCTTCATAACCCAATAGTTTCTCACAAAACTCCTAATTGAGATTTCACCTCCTTCCTCTTCTCTCTCTCTCTCTCTCTCTCTCTCTCTCACACACACACACACACACACACACAAACACACACACACAATGAATGAGTGAGTGACTGTGAATGGTATTCTCTTTTGTCCATTTTTCTTTACATCCTCAGTGACATGGAGGTGCTTGGCTTCCCCACCCACCAGGATCTTCCCTTCCCATGAGAAGCTCCCTGCTGTCAACATAGTCTCCCAGCTCATGTTTATCTCCTTGAGTGTTTCTATTTTTATTTACTTTTGTTCCTATTTTTTTCACTAAGACAGGGTCTCACTCTGTTGCCCAGGCTAAAGTACAGTGGTGCTATCATAGCTCACTGCAACCTAGAATTTCTGGGCTCAAGCAATCTTCCCACCTCAGCTTCCCAAGTAGCTGGGACTACAGGCACATCCCACCACACCAGGCTAATTTTTATTTACTTATTTACTTCTTCTGTAGAGATGGGGTATTGCTATGTTGCAGGGATGGTCTGGAACTCCTGGCCTCAAGCAATCTTCCCACCTTGGCCTCCCAAATTGCTGGGATAACAGGTGTGAGCAACTGCACCTGTCTGAGTGTCTTAACCTATACTTACAGTCTCCTAATCCTAGAAACTTTCCACACATTCTCTCTGTCTCTGACTCTCTCTTTCTTACTCTGTCTCTGGGTCTGCATTAATTTCACCTCCCTCTATCCCTTCTATCTTCTCTGTCGTCCCTGACATGCTCCAGTCTCTAGTAGATTATCGCACTGCTTCTATCCAGCACTCTGCTAGGGTTGGGTGACGCTGGTGGGGGTAGGAGGGGCCCCAGTTCCTCAAACCCTGATTTAGACCCAATCCTCAGAAAGCCCTGATGAGACCGTCATGTGGGACTGAATCAAAAGACTTGCTGTGGCTCATGTAGATTACATCTATTGCTTTTCTCCTATCTCTGTGACCTGTCATTCTGTCATAGGAGGAAATTGAATTGGCCCACACAGTTTTCTCTTTACAATACCATGCTGGTTGCTACCCAGTTCCTCAGGCTGCACTGAAAGATGGAAAATTGATTGCCAGATGTTGTTTTGGTGTCTTCCTAGGTACTGAAGGTGACTGATGATTCGATACAGGTGAAATTCACTTTATCCAGTTCCTGTTTCTCTGAGAACTTGTGCAAATCAAATTTCATACAAATTGAATTTTACTTCCTTCTTTTTTTTATTTTTTAAAGATACTTGATTTCAGATGGAGCCTTAATGGTCTGTATCTCTTAGCATTAGAGCTGTGATGCTGTCCCCTTTCAATCCTCAGGCACTCTGGGACTTCATGAGATATATATTTTTAAATGTACAAATACACTGGGTGAACTATAGCAAATAAATATTAGTAGGTGCTAGGCTGTCAGATTAGTTTCTAAAGTTTATAAGTTTATATAGAGAAGGCAGAGCCCCTTAGAGTAGTAACTGTCCTTTTTACAACAATTGTGAACCAAATACCTTGCTAAGTGCTTTGTAAATATTTTTCTCATTTAATCTTCCCAATTTTTTTTAGGTGGTAGTGATTATCTTCGTTTCTAGGTGATACCATTGAAGCCCAGACACAACATGTAACTTGCCCAAATTTACCCAGATGTAAGCGGTGGAGACAGGATTAGAAACCTGCAAGTATGAACATATGTTACTATTTTCCCTTTGTAACACAAAAGTCAACCTGCTACACACACTCCTCTTTATGTTGAATTGTTTCTGAACCGTATCCCTGGGAGATTTACCCAAAATAACACATAGGGAGGGGCCACATTCTTTTTCTCAATTACATAATGTTCATTTGTATGGATGGACCATACTTCATTTAACCAGTCCCCTAATGATGGACACTGGATTTTTCCCTAACCTTTTGCTATTTTTAAAAGAATGCCATAATGAAATTTTACGTATTATTTCACATAATATGAAGGATAAGTTCCAAGGACAGCATTTCTCTGTATTCTCAGAGCGGTATATGAATTTGAAATTTTGTAATTTTTGTAGTTGTTTCTAAACAGACTTCTTCTACAGGAGTTGTGCAGATTTATGCTCCCTTCCTCCCCCACTGCATTCTATGAGAATGTCCATTTCCTCACGCTCTCACCAACAGAATGTTTTATCAAATTGTGGATTTCAGCCAATTTGACAAGTGAAAAAGAAAAACCAAACTAACAGTATCTCAATGTATTTTAAATTTGCATTTATTTTATTAAGAATGAAGTTGAGGGTGGGCGTGGTGGCTCACACCTGTAATCCCAGCACTGTGGGAGGCAGAAGCGGGCGGATCACCTGAGGTCAGGAGTTTGAGATCAGCCTGGCCAAAATGGTGAAACCCTAACTCCAATAAAAATACAAAAATTAGCCAGGAGTGGTGGTGGTTGCCTGTAGTCCCAGCTACTTGGGAGGCTGAGGCAGGAGAATCGCTTGAACCTGGGAGGTGGAAGTTGCAGTGAGTCGAGATCATGCCACTGCAGTCCAGCTTGGGTGACAGAGCGAGACTCCGTATCAAAAAAAAAAAAAAAAAGAAAAAAAAATGAAATTCAGCATTTTTCATATGGTTAAGAACTGTTTGTACTTCCCTGTCAGTGATTATTTGTTTATATTCTTTTTCAGTTCTATTGAGTAGAAAATCTTTTTTCTTCATGATTTCCAAAATCTCTTTTTATAGGGATGTTTTACGGAAAATTAGGCCTGTTATATGAATTGCAGAAGCTTCTCCCAGTCAATCAGTGGTCTTTTGACATGTTCCCCCGTAGAGAAGGTTTTTATTTTCATATGGTTGGATTTATCCTTTCCTTTAATGATTAATGGATTTTCAGTCATATTTAAAAGCCGCCTCTCTACTTCAAGTTCATAAAGGAATTTGTCCATGTTTTCTTTCAGTGCTTTTTTTTTTTTTTTTTTTTACATTATAAGCTTTGATTTGTTTGTAATCTATGCTGGTGTGTGGCTCAAGATAACAATCCAACAGTAATTTTATGTTTTTGTTGCAGACTGCTACAATTTTTACTGAATGATCTATATTTTCCTCACTGCTTTAAGATGATACATTTTCATACACTGAATTTCCATATGCATTTAGATCAACTGTCCAGAATGTCCATTATTTTCCAGAGATCTCTTCATGTATTCATAGAAGCTTGCAGTGTATTCTCAATTTCTAACCATAGATACTTCATTAATCTTCTTATACGGTATTTGTTCATTCATTGTCTAATTTGCTGATTTTTGCATATAAACTTCAGAACTAATGTGTCTGATTCTACGAATTTGGTGAGTGTTTTTTGTTTTTGTTTTTGTTTTTCAGAGTCTCACTCTGTCATCCAGGCTGGTGTGCAGTGGCCTGATCACGGGTCACTCACTGCAGCCTCAACCTCCTGGGCTTCATTGATCCTCCCACCTCACAGCCTCCTGAGTAGCTGGGCCTACAGGTGCATGCCACCAAGCCTGGCTAATTTCTAATTTTTTTTGTGGAGACAGAGTCCACCATGTTGCCCAAGCTGGTCTTGAATTCCTAGGCTTGAGAGACACCTTCCTCAAACCCCATCATGGTCTCCCAAAGTGCTGGGATTACAGGTATGAACCACCATGCCCAGTATGGTGGTATTTTAACTGACACCATTTTACATATAGAAATTGACTTATGAATCTGTCATGTTTTTGCTAATGTGTTTTTGTGTTGTTGTTTTTTTGGGGGGTTTTTGTGTGTTTGTTTTTTTTTTTTTTTTTTGAGATGGAGTCCGCTCTGTCACCAGGCTGGAGTGCAATGGTGCGATCTCAGCTCACTGCAACCTCTGCCTCCCAGGTTCAAGCAATTCTCCTGCCACAGCCTCCTGAGTATCTGGGACTACAGGCGCCCACCACCATGCCCAGTTAATTTTTGTATTTTTGGTAGAGATGGGGTTTCACCATGCTGGCCAGGATGGTCTCGACCTCTTGACCTCGTGATCCGCCTGTCTCAGCCTCCCAAAGTGATAGGATTACAGGCATGAGCCACTGCGCCCGGTCGTTATCTTGTCCAAGCACATGGTGGTATGTCTTTCCATGATAGACTTCCTTTTTGGTTTACAGGAATGGTGGAATGTTTCTTCATACAGGCCATACATAAAACAAAAAGTTTTAAGTATTTCAATTTCTGTGGACTGCTATTTTAAATTGATGTTTTTCTATCATTAAATCTTCTAACCAGCTATTTTATAGAAGCAATTGATTTTTGCATATTAATCATATACTGCTACTTCACTCAGTGATCTTTGCACTAATTGTTTAAGTATTAACTTTGGGGCCAAGCTTGAAATATTTTGTCATATTAGTAGTGTATCCATGCATACTTATTTTGAGTGTGTGTGTGTGTTTAATCAAGAATAATTATTTAATTTTGCCAAATTTTCACTTCAGTGTCTGTGATGATGATTGATCATAGAAATTTTACCTTTGTACATTATTAGTATGATGAATTTTATCAATAATTCCTTTGTATTGCTCCAATAAATCCCACCTCATCAACAGTATTATTCCCTTAACTGCCAGCTGCTTTCTGTTTAGTCATATTTCATGCAGGATATTGTCAGTATTATCCACAAGTAAAACCTTTTATTATGGCCAACAGGTTGGCACATCAGGGAAAGACTTCCCTGAAGAACGTGTATTTTTGCTGATGCTCTCTGACACCTGCTGCCACTGGATCCTTTCAAAACGCTCCTCATGTCCTCCGCTCTTCCTCCCAGGCAGCTTCTGCTCCATCTTAGCCTTGGTCTCCTTATACATTCTTATGAAAGCTATAAACTTCATGGAGTATCAAGGAAAAGGGTTTAACATTAATTTCTTTCTCCTTCTTGTGTTTGTATAATTTCTAAGAGGAGAAGAAGAAAAATGCTGTTGTACACAGTCACCTTCAAAACAGATTTCTCAAGAATTATTTTCGACATTTAAAACAAATTTCGTCTTTTTTTACATTCCATTATCACAATTACATGTGGAATCGTTGTTGTCTGCATATTTATCTAATCCCTTCTATTCTAGAATGCTTAGTCACTATCTGTAGACAGATGTAACCAAAATCAATTAGAATTATTTAAACAATTTTCCTAAACAGATTTTAAAATGTATGTCCATGGCTATGCATGTTGAATTATATAGGAATTCATGTATATGTTTTCACTGTAAAATAGTTAAACAACATAGAAATTTATAAAATAAAAGGTGAAAATTTCCCTTCTTTCCTTATCTGTCATATTCACCCTGATATAGTTTGGCCGTGTCCCCAACAAAATCTCATCTTGAATTTCCACATGTTGTGAGAGGGAGCCACTGGGAGGTAACTGAATCATGGGTACAGATTTTTCCTGCTGTTCTCACGATAGTAAATAAGTCTCACAAGATTTGATTCTTTTACAAGGGTGAGTTTCCCTGCACAAGCTCTCTCTTTTTGCCTGCTGCCATCAATGTAAGACGTGACTTGCTGCTCCTTGCCTTCCACCATGTTTGGGAGGCCTCCCCAGCCACGTGGAACTGTTAAGTCCATTAAACCTTTTTTCCTGTATAAATGACCAAGTTTCAGGTATGTCTTTATTAGCAGCATGAAAATGGACTAATACACACTCTCCTCTCTAGGGTCAACAATGTTAACGTGTTATATACTTTTTGAGGTTCTACTTTTCTACACTGATATATACACATGTACATCATATATACTTTTTTTTGGCAGAAATGAGATCCAATAAATATAGTTATATATACATCATTGTGCACCTCTGTATATCTCTGGGATTTATGCCTGGAAATGGGATTATTGGGTCAAAAGATATGCACATTAAAAAATATCTATGCATATTATCTATTGCCTTCCAGGAAAGCTGTAATAATTAATGATCCTATCATGAAATTAGCTGTTTTTCTACATCATTTCCATCACTGGATAGAATAAATTTGTTTAATTTTTGTTATTTTCATTTTTAGCTTGTATTTCCTCCATTATTATTGAAGTTGACCACTTTTTTATGTCTATTGACCATTTATATTTCTTCTCTGGATTTCCTTTTACATTTGTGTGTCCATTTTTCAGATTTTTATTGATTTATAGAAGCTCTTTATGTGCACTGGAGATTAATCACTTGTCTGTTACATATCCTATAAATGATTCTTCCCAGTCCATTACTCAGTTTTCTACCTTAAATTTATGATACTGGAAGTTATTTTTATAAAATCAAAGATCGCCATCTTCATTTTTTTGATTTCTTTGTTGATTTTGTTTATTGTTTAATTATGGGGACCAAATATAACTACACTTGGTAAAAAGTCTCTACATCCTGCTTTGTCTCCTTAGCTCTGAAGACTCAGGACAACGAAACAAAACCCTAATGCCCTGAATTCCCAAGGTGAGAAAGCACTGGTTACCTGGAAGCTCTTGTTGTTACTGAAAATCTTGTCGAGGTGCTTGACACTGCTACTCAGTGTCAAGGAAAATCAAGTCAGGATAATCAAGAAATTTGAGTTCTCCTTTGCTGATGAAAGACTGCATACAGACATTATGCTAACCACAAACTTTCAGTTTCATCATTAAGAATTGGAGGAAGAGGAGCTAGTGCTGGGACAGTCTAAGAGACACTTAGCAGTTTTTTTCTTTTAACATCTTTTTTTTTTTTTTTAACAATAATTCTCATCTCAAAAATGTGTCTGTGTTTGGATGAAAAACAGCATGCAGATGATTAACTGAAGATCTTAAACAAATTACATTTAAATTAATTCTAATTTTCCTTCAGTCTCTGTTTTCCACTTAGATGCCTTTCTCTATTGTTTGCATGAGCTTGCTGTTTTCAGCTTGTGTTTTCCAATTTTATTTCCCCCAAACTGGGTGATTTCTCCAAGCACCCCTTGGGGTCTTAGCCAAATTGCTTCCTTTTTTATGCCCCTCCCATTGTCCAAGGCCCACACTAATGTGGGTGCTTGCATCATGGAAGCATTATCCAGCTCGATGCCTGCTCAACTTTGTGTCTGGATATTTTTGCTAAATGGGCAATACTCTGTATTTAAACACTTGTTGTGTGCTTTAGTGTGTTTTTATGTTCGGTACATGTGTTACTATTCTATAAACACAGCAGAGATAGATGATGATGCACTTATAAACTTGGCATCTCACCTCCTCTACCACATAATGCAGATGTAGCCAAAGTAGATTCTTAGTAGAATCTTAACAAATCTTAGTTTGTGAATTGTTAAAAAAAAAAAAAAAAAAAAAATCCCAGGCTGTCCTAAGTTCTCTCTTCCTATCTTTCTACCTCCTATTAACTTTTACAACTCAGTAAGCCCTTCATCAAGAAATGTGCACCTAAACTGGTCCCTTGGTCCTAAATGTTAATTAACTTTCCTTAACTCTCAGGAAATGACCTAAGGTTCTCTTTCTGTCGTGAAGCTAGGAGACCTCTGAGATGGGAGTCAGTGTGAGGTCTCCAGAGATGTAAATTTATAATTGAGGTGAGTGAACTCTTGAAAACATACAGTTCAAGTTGTCCTTTCCACCCTCCCTTTCACCTGCAAGGTGCTAGCAAGTGAAACTCTCACAGAGGAAGAAGTAAGGTCTTCATTGAAAAGCTGGTGTCACACTCCTTGGGCCAGAGTCCTAGTTTCCTATTTTGTAAAATAAGGATGACAAGGGCAGTTAAGTGTCTAAAACAGTGCAAACACATAGTAAATGCTCAAATGCAGTAGTAGTAATCGTAGTAGCAGTAGTAGTCATAGTATCCATTATAATAGACCTCAAAAAAGATAAATTGGGAAGGCTAGATAAGCCCTTTCCATTAACAACAATTGTTTGGACTCAGTTCAAAGGTCCCTTCTCAGAGAATAATGGCAGAATGCAAATGTATTCATCTCCTATTGTGGCTATGACAAATTACCTAAAATTTGGTAGCTTACAACAAAACAAATTTATTATTTTATAGTTCCAGAGGTCAGAATTCCAAAACAGGTCTAGGTAAGCTAAAATCCAGGTGTTGATAGAGCTACTTCTCTTTTGGAAACTTTACAAAGAAATCTATTTCCTTATCTTTTGCACTTCTAGAGGCCATCTGCATTCCCTGGCCCTTGGCCCACTTCCTCTGTCTTTGAAGCCAGCTCTTCACACCTCTCTCTAACTCTGTTTTTCTGCTTCCCTCTTCCACATTTAAAGAACAATTGTGATTACATTGGGCACACACCAATAATGCAGCATAGTCTTCTTATTTTAAGGTCAGCTGATTAGTGACCATAATTCCATTTGCAACCTTAATTCACCCTTGCCATTTAATATATTACAGGTGTCACCTGTTAAGATGTGGGCATATTTGAGGGGCCATTATTCGGCCTCTCCTAGCCAGAACTGCATCTGACAAAGAATCCAAAGAAAATAAGACATACTCATAAAGAATCCAGAGTATGAAAACTTAGAAAAAATTCAGTGCTCTAAAAGCTCTCCATGTTTGAAGTTTGTGTTGTGATTTTTCCCAGTGATGATCTCAAAAATAAAAATCCTCATGGTTTATATTTGAGGGCCACAAGGAATCAGGGAGCTGGAGGAGACTGCGTTCCACCTGGCATCTAGTTTTGCTGCGAAAGCAACCCATGGAGATAATCAAACAACTTGGCAACAAGTCATATGGAAGAGGGAGGAAAAAAAGACTAACTTCCCAGAGCTGGAGGGAAAGCAGAAAGCCATGCTTAAGCTCTCATCAGTGGGAGCCATTCCATCCCAGGATCCTTTCAGCAACCAATTTGGAAGTCTAGGCTTTTCAGTAAATAGTTTTATCTTGTGTTTCGAAAAAGCCACACTTCATCTTCTGAGCCTCATATTCTCTTACATGAAGTTACTAAATAAATCTGTATTTCTTTTATTTCTTTTACTTTTTTTTTTTTTTTTTTTTTTTTTTTTTGAGACAGGGTCTCACTGTGTTGCACAGGCTGGAGTGCCGTGGTGAGATCACGGCTCAGTGCAGCTTCAAAATCCTGGGCTCAAAAGATCCTCCAGCCTTAGCCTTCCCAGTAGCTGGGACTACTGGTGCATGTGACCACGTCTACCTAATTTTTAATTTTATTTTTTTGTAGAAACAGGGTCTTGCTGTGTTGCCCAGACTAGTTTGGAACTCCTGGCCTCATGCAATGCTCCCAACCTTGGCCTCCCAAAGTGCTGGGATTACAGGCACGAGCCACGGCACCAGGCATTCCCCGCCCCACAATGATTTATACGGCTAATGGTACTCCAAATCTGATAGAAAAGAATCCAGTCTGCTCCTACTTCTTCACTTCCAGTGCTAACCAAGCATAAGCCTCAACCTCTCTTGCCGGAGCTGGTAAAATTGGCATCTATCTAATCTCCTCACTTCGTCTTTTGTCCCAACATAGTCCATTCTCCACACAGAAGCCAGATCTTCTGAAAAATGAAGCCTGATGTCAACATTTCCCTGTTGAAAGCTTTCTGACATTTTCGTAGACCTGTCTAACCACAGTCTTTAAGAGGCCCCATGTGGGCTGGCCACCTTGCACCTCTCCACACCCATCTTACATATCACACCTCCATTACATTTCAACCATGCGGTTTTTTTGTCTGTTCTTTGAACACAGCAAGCTCGGGCCTTTGTGCTGGCTGTACCCTCTGACTGGAAAACCTGGTCCCCTCCCCATGCCATTCCCATACCACTAACTCCTGAAGGTGGATCTGTTCTCTGCTCAAAGTTCACCTTCTCAGAGCGGCACTGCATGGCCACAGCTCTGGTACTTTCTAATTCTTCTGATTCATCACTGTGCTTTGATTGTCTTTATATCACTTATCTTTCTCTGAAATTATTTTGTCCATATATTAACATACTGGTTTGTCATCTATACATACTACTCCCAGCTCTCCCTAGCCCTACTCCCACCTCACAGCACAATGTAAATGCTGACTGAGTAGGGATGAAATCTACCTTATTAATTGTGGCTGAATTCCCAGATGCCAGAATAGTGTCAAATACATAGTAGGGACTTCATAAATATTTTAAAACATTTTTGAAACTATAAATTTAAGGGATTATATATATTTTTCAAAAGATTCCTTATGAGAATACTGTTTTAAATAGTGAATAGATTTATTTGTAATAGTATTTCAGCTACACTTCATACCTTAGTTTCTTAAGAAACTATAAAATGAGAGCTGGGTTAGATGACAAACAAGGTCCTTTCCAGTAATTATAGTTCCGTGATTATGACTGAAATAAAAAAAATTAAAGCTAATTTTCAAAAGGACAGTTGCTAAGTAAAGTGGTGTCCACCTCTGTAATTTAAAAAATGACTCATTTCTGTCTGATTCATCTAGAGTAGAAAGTATCTCTTAACTCTTTTGCTGCAGGCCTCTCTGTTCACCAAGACTCTCTCCACAGCCAGCAGGAAAACTGTCCAGCAGTACCAATAAATACATATTTTCACAAGACTGAAAGGTTAAGTCACAGCTCTACAGAATAGAGGAAGATTTTATTTCACCCTGCCTGTCACCCTGCTTTCTACCTAAGAATACTTAGGGTCATTGAATCCTTGGATCGATGAATGCTTGTTATTCATTTCAATCACTTGCAACTGAATCCATCCCATCTCATTCTTCTCTTTACTCAGACTGTCCAGTCATACCGGCCTCTCTGTTTTTCTGCAAAATCATTCAAACGCTCCTCCCTCGAGGTGAAGTCTTTGCACTTGCTTTCTTCCTTCTGCCTAGAATGTTCTTCCTCATGGCTTGCTGCCTCACCTCCTTCAGGTCTTTCCTCAATGTCATCTCCTTAGTGAGATCTTCCCCAAGAACCTCATCTGAATTACAAACATATCCCAGCTCACCCTCTTCCCCCTTCCCCGCTGTGACACACATCCCTGTTATGTAATACTTATCACATAACACACTGCACACATGCTTACTTATGTTGCTTGTGTCTTTTTGCCCCTACTTGCATGTAAGCTCCAGGAAAACTAGGTTTTTGTTTTCCTTGTTGCTGTTTCTCGAGCACCTTGAGCAGAAACTCACAGCTCATAGCACAGCATATAGGAGGAGATGGTGCAATAGCTACTGAATGGAGGACAAGTACGTGCTGCTTTGTGATTCCTGGTAGCTATACCTCTCCATACATGTTGCAACAACTGAGAGCACAAGCTGTCACTACTTCCTTATATTCCATTACCTTAAGCCCATATTGAAATCTTTGCCAACAGACTTAATTTTAAGTGTTTGAGAATGGTCATTTTGGACTCAGGCCCTCCTGACCCACCTCCATAGACTCCCAACAGTTCCTGTCATGTTCCCTGAGCACACACCATACAGTAGGAAACAACTTATTTCCCTAAATACACCTTGTTTTCCTCTAGTTCATGACTTTGCATGAGCTGCTCCCTTTTCCTGAGATGTCTTCTCGCATCTCATTAATGATGACAGCTCTAAAAGCCACCTTTATTAAACTTGCGTTAGTGGAAGAGGAGATAGCTGTTCCTTCCTCTATGTTCCTTCCTATGCTTCCTTACATCTAGCAGGTGCTCTCATCCCTCTGATACCGACAGGAGGCAGGGGAATGCTGGGTAGAAGAGGGTGGGTCCCTGGCGAGGGTTCCACCCTCAAGCCTGGACCCATGGCCCTAACTGAGAACTTCACATTTCTGTTTTCCCACCCAAATGTTGCCATTTCCAAAACCACCCTGGCCCATCCCGCTACCCACCCTGTACCCATAAAAACCCCAAGCTCCACTGGCAGAAGGGCAAAGTGGAGTGGCAGAGGAGAAGAGAAGAAAATAACCAGCTGGATGTCGGAGAGAAGCAGCTTGACTTCAGAGGAACGGCTTGATGGCAGGACTTCAGAGAAGAGCTTGGCCGGGGATGGTCGAACTCGAGGGGAAGATTATCTTCCCACTGCCTTGCCCCTTCCAGCTCCCCTTCCCTCTGAGACCCACTTCCACTGCTCAACAAAATCTTCCTCATACACCATCTTTCAATTCATTTGCATGACCTAATTCTTCCTGGACACCAGACAAGAACTCAGGTACCAAGTGACAGAGTGTAAAATAAAAGGCTGTCACTCTGATCTTCCACTGAACTGGTCAACACTTAGCTGTCCATGGACATCGAATGCTAAAGGAGCACTGATTGTAACATACACCCTCTGGGGCTCCAGGGGTCGCAGACACTCTTTCCCAGATGGCAGAGCTAAAAGAGCATTGCAACACAGTTGGACACTGCTGCGGGGCCCACACAGAGCCTGCTCCCACCAGAGCGGAGTGACCAGCCAGTTCCAGTGTTCATCTGCCCCGGCACCTGCACCCGCTCACCTGCGTGCTTCCCCTCCCATGAGGGGTTCAGAGCTGCAGGCTAAGCAAATGAGCCTTCAGGAATCCTGCAGATGGGTCAAGGGAACTATCCCATCTCACCTTCATGCCTTTGCTCATGCTGTGCCCTCTGCCTGACACCCCCTTACTCCTTCTCTACCTAGCTAGCTTGTCCTCCTCAAGACTCAATGCAGTGTAATCTTTCCCAATAAGCCTGTTCTAATCCTCTACTCTCAGTGAGGCTGCCTTCTACATGCAGTCCTGTATCCAAGCACTCGTCACATTTTATTGAAAAGTCTTATTTATGTGTGTAAAACTCATAGAGGCAGCATTCCCTCTTACATATTGTTCTATTCTCTATCACAATCACTACATATTAAATGAGATAAATTATATATGTCTATGAAAGCAATCAACACATCTGATTTTCATTATTTGTAAAATATATTTCATCAAACCTTAATAGACTTTTTTTTTTTTTTTTTTTTCTGAGACGGAGTCTCGCTCTGTCGCCCAGGCTGAAGTGCAGTGGCGCCATCTTGGCTCACTGCAAGCTCCGCCTCCCGGGTTTACGCCGTTCTCCCGCCTCGGCCTCCTGAGTAGCTGGGACTACAGGCGCCCACCACCACGCCCGGCTAATTTTTTGTATTTTTAGTAGAGACGGGGTTTCACCGTGTTAGCCAGGATGGTCTCGATCTCCTGACCTCGTGATCCGCCCGCCTCGGCCTCCCAAAGTGCTGGGATTACAGGCATGAGCCACCACGTCCGGCCAAACCTTAATAGACTTTAAAACCTCTGGGGGCAGCAACTATAATTTATAATTTTGTATCCCCAATGTAGCACACATAGTAGGAGATCAATACACATTTCTAAGGAAGTGGATTGTGGGCCCTGGATTTCCTAGTATAGTAATTTGCACAAAAATGTTGCCATACCATAAAGAGTTACTGTGTAGCTGATTATATGTTATTAGGAAGTATTTTACATGCAAAAACAAATTCCCCACAAAGTCCTACGTACTTTGGAAATAGAACCACTTTAATCATTCTGTCTTTCGTAGCTCATAGAACAGAAAGGGATTGCCTGCTGTAGGAATCCCTGAAAAAAAACAGAGCCTGAATCCACAGTCCAAGGAAATAATCACTGGCCCCTTGGTCAGTAGAAACTTCAATCAGGAACTAATTGCAGAAATAATAGTCACATATACACACACTTTGTAGAACAGAAAAAGAACATTTTAGGTGCTCAATAAATCCATCAACTTTAGTAACAACCACCACCAATTTTCTTTAAAAAGCCATTAGCTCGCACTAATGCTCACTCAGAATATTAGAAACAGTGACTTTTTAACATAAAAACAAGAAGAAAAACAAGTTAGAGATAAAAATGCTAAACTAGATTACATTTGGGAAAGTACCAGTTTAGGGTAATTTTTTCTGAGTCATGGACCACTTTTGAGAATCCAGTGAAAGTTTTGGATGACATCTGCCCAAAGATGCCCACGCTTACCATATTTTCTATAATATAGTTATTTGGAGCATGGACAAGCTGTCATTGCCTTTGACAGCTACCAGCAGATGGAATCTGATGGTTGCTGGGTCATTAGCAAGACAACATAGTTGTCTTTCCATTGGAGGGAGATCTTAGGCTTGGTAAAGCTCCCAACGGACCCCAGATCTGAATGATGGCCCTCTAAATCCTTCAAGGCTTTGTCATTAGGAAAAAGAGCAAAATCTTTCAAAAGGCCTGCCATACGAGTGATCTCTGGACTTTGACTAATCTCTCTTGCCTCCACATGAAAGGCCTTCCTCCTCACAGACTGTATTCCAGTTGCACTGTTCTTTTGTTTCTGAGAAAGCCTGTCATGAGAAAGACAACATTGTCATGTTGTTTCCTTACCTAGGATTTTTTCCTTCCACTCCTTCCCCCATGTCTCTTCCGTTAGTTCATCCTTCTTATTTTTTAACTTTATTTTTGTAAAGATAAGGTCTCACTATGTTGCCCAAGCTGGTCTAAACTCCTGCCCCCAGCAATCCTCCTGCCTCAGCCTCCCAAAGTACCAGGATTATAAGGGTGAACCACCACACCTGGCCCCTGAATAGTTCATTCTCATTTGCCCTTCAGCTCTCAGATCAAACGCTTTCCCACCCTTGTTTGTGTTTAAATAATCACCCTTTAATTTCCTTCACAATACTTGCTAGAATTAGAAATGTATATGTGGGGTTATTTGAATAATGGCTACTTCCCTCACCTGACAATAAAATCCCTGAGGAAAGAATCATATCTGTTTTACTCAGCCTTTTACCTCCAGGGCCCACCTCCATGTCAGCCATTAGTAGGTGCTCAATAAATAAACGATGACTAAGCAAAAGAATAGATACCTATCAGTATCAGTGCTGTCATATAAACCCACAAGATTAATTTTCAATGACCGGTGCTGTCAGCACTATAGCTGCAGGTTTCTTTACACTTATGCTTTGAAAATTCCCATTTTATCAAGCCATTTGATTAGCTTTAATGTCACAAGATCTAGGATATTGGAGGCAGATCTAAAGGAAAGAATTGCAGACTGTTTGTCTTCTACTGGGAATAAAGGTGGGGAATATTTTGTTCACTATTGTAAACTGTAGTATAATGGCCTCAAATTCTAATAAGTAATTCATTAATGTAAAGTAAATAATTTTTGTGGATATATGGCACATATAATTCAGTTATTTAGGCCATGTGACCATTCAAAGAATACAAAATTTTCATTAGGAGGAGTAAGTTCAGGAGATGTATTATATAACACGGTGGCCTATGTATTGTATACTTGAAAATTGCTGAGTGTAGATTTTAAATGTTCTCACCACAAAAAAAAATGATAAGTGTGTGAGGCAATGCATATGTTCATTAGCTGTAGTCATTCCATAATGTACACATCTATCAAAATATCATGATGTATATCATAAATACATACAACTTTTGTCAGTTAAAAAAATAAAATAATACTATTAGGCCATGTAACCATAAACTGTCATTTCCATTTGCAGCTCCTAGAGTGTGGAATGTGGTGGTCTTTGAGGAGGGTCTTTGAGGTGGTCTTTGTTAAGGTGGTCTTTGATGAGTCCCAAGACTGCATTCTTCTGCACACCACTTACAATCCTACCAATCATCAGCAGGTAATGCAGTCAGGGATAATTGAACAAATGATTCCAGTCCCACCATATAAGCTCCTGTATCATGAATATACATTCACAGATAAAAATAAAGGATTAGTCCGGGCGTGGTGGCTCACACCTGTAATCCCAGCACTTTGGGAGGCTGAGGCGGGAGGATTGCTTGAGCTCAAGAGTTTAAGACCATCCTGGGTGACATGATGAAACCTTGTCTCTACAAAAAATACAAAAATTAGCCAGGCATGGTGGCATGTGCCTGTAGTCCCAGCTGCTCAGGAGGCTGAGGTGGGAGGATCACTTGAGTCCTGGAGGTGGAGGTTGCAGTGAGCCACGATCATGCAGTGAGCCAAGATCACGCCACCGCACTCCAGCCTGGGCGACAGAGCCAGAACTTGTCTCAAAAAAAAAAAAAAAAAAAAAAAAAAGATGATTGGTCATTCCAAAAATTTCAACCAAAGAGAAGAGGATTTTAGTGAGACTTGCTTGGGTGGCACTGAGGAGGTCATCTCACTTTGGCTGGTCCACAGCATACCAGGTCAAATAGCAAGTCAAAACAAAGTTCATAGACTAAGGAAAACTTTGTGTTCATGCTTTCCAAATTCTTTCTTCTCCAATTTTTTTTTGCCAGTAGATTAATTGTGCATGCAGTAATTGGTGGGATATGCCAAATTCAGAGTAGAAATGAGCAAGCTGATACAAAGAAACCAAAAGACGAGAACACAAGAAACCCTTTATTTAGAAATTGATTATTTTTATCTTAATACCTGAAAAGGGGTTCTCTGCATAGTATAGAAGAATAGTCTAATAACTAGAATGGTGTACATGACTTTATTGTCAACTACTTAAATATTATATTGTCAGTCACTTAAAAATAAATCTCCTGTGAGCTTGATAATCATGATCTGGTCCTTCACATCTGATCATTTCTGGGTGCACTGAAAAAAAGCATCATTTTGGGACTTGCAAAATGAGAACTTTATCTTCAACACTCCATGCCAATGAGCAGATTTTTCTACCTCTCCTTTCCCTTTCTAGATCATACACTGTTTATTTTGCTAACCTATAACATCCTGGGAGATACAAGTCATCCAGATACCTCCACAGACAGCAACACCCCCTTGTATACAATAGGCCTTTGATTGGCATAGCATGAAACAGACTCCATTCCAGTGTCCTCATTCACTTCCCCTTGGTCTTTTGCAAATTACTTAACATTGCTGCTTGATGTGCTTGGTTTGTACAATACCGCAAATGAAAATATCATATTTGCAAAGTGTTGCATAAGCTATTGTTTCATTGTTATTTTAATTACTGTGCTCTCTAGTTGAAGCTCTTTACATAATGGTGCACCTGGCTAATTTCTAGCATGGAGAGCAGTGCCTCTATCTTTTTTTAACTTCCTTTTGTAACAGTGCGTGACCCATGACCTAATGATCTACTTGCAACAACTAAATTTACAGGAAATAAGGAGTGCCTTAGAGGATAAAAACGTAGGGAACTACAGGGGTCTAAATGTCTGCTCGTACAGAGACTATAGTTACTCCATAAAATCCCTGTGTTTAAATCCAATTAGATATATCACTTAGTTAGATCAGAACAAGAGAGAGAGAACAGAAGTATGAAACAGTCTTCGATTCAGTGGGGCTTCATCAGATAAGCCATTCCCACTGTGTTGATGACAAGGATGCTACTTTAGGAATTTGGGAGCTGTTTCTGAGGGGCAAGAGATGTCCAACTGTCATCAGGGTGATGGTTGACAAAGATGGCAATCCGTCAGTCACAAATAAAAGTAAATGGCCTGACAAGAAAATAAAAGCTTCCTTAGGGCAGAAGAGATTTTCTTTAAAAAGAAAATAAATCACATTTTGGCTTGAAAAATTCAAATTGACTGGTTAGCTTCAGTAAACTGACTAGTCAGGTGATCCTCTATTTTAGGGCTAGCAAATGCTGTATGCTTTCCTGGTTTCTTGAGTACGTAGGAGAAAAAGATGAAGGTTTTGGCCCATTGTTTGCTTTTGTCTGGGTGAAGTAGATACAATTTCTCCTTAATAAACTAATACTTGGAATTGCAAACTATATTTCAACCATTGCAAGCTAAATCTCAACCATTGCTGTGTTATTGGTTTCAACCATGCCTCAACTTAAATTATTCAAATCACCCAGTATTACTGAGTACAGTCAGTCCCTCAGTATCCATGGGGTATTGGTTCCAGGACCCCCACTCAGATACCAAAATCCACAGATGGTAAAAAGTCCCTTATGTAAAATAGCATAGTCTTTTCATATAACCTACACGTATTCTCCCATATACTTTAAATAATTTCTAGGTCACTTATAATACCTAATACAAGGTAAATGCTATGCAAATAGTGGTTATACTGTATTGTTTAGGAAATAATGACAAGATAATAAGTCTGTCCATGTTCAGCACAGATACAACCATCCTTATTTTTTCATTTGAACATTTTCAATCTGTGGTTGATTGAATCCATGATGTGAAACCCACAGATAATGAGGGACAATTGTACCTACTCTTTCGCTTTCAGAATGATAGATACCTTTAGATATTGGCTATGGTATATAGGTAAACTGGATCTCCAAAAAACAAAAGGTCCCAATTTTTTTTTTTTTTTTTTTTTACACAGAGTCTCGCCCTGTCGCCCAGGCTGGAGTGCAGTGGCACGATCTTAGCTCACTGCAACCTCTGTCTCCCGGGTTCAAACGATTCTCCTGCCTCAGCCTCCCGAGTAGCTGGGACTACAGGCACGTGCCACCACGCCCGGCTAATTTTTTGTATTTTCTGTTTAGTAGAGACAGGGTTTCACTGTGTTAGCCAGGATGGTCTTGATTTCCCAACCTCGTGATCTGCCCGCCTCGGCCTCCCAAAGTGCTGGGATTATAGGCATGAGCCACGGTGCCCGGCCAAGGTCCTGATTTATAATATTTACTGACTTCCTTTGTGTAAATACTCCCGCCATGGCCAGTTTCAAGTCACTGAATTACGAGTGGTGAAAGGCACAAAATCAACCTTCCTGATCTAAAGGGAGCCGTTTCCAGCAAACGATGAGTGGGATAAAAATATTATAACAACAACAAAAACAAAGTAACAGGCTTTTTTAATATAATGCTTTAGAGCTCACATAGCACTCTTCTGAAATGTGTCCAATTCTCACAGCTTTTTGAGACAGGAGGTATCTTTGAAATTGAAGTTCAAAGAGTTTAAGTAGTTATATCCATTATGAATAGAAGCTAACAGAGCTAGGACATCTTTCTTAATTTATGAAGCCGAATTCTGTAACATTCCATAACATTCTCAGGTATTTTCAAATTCCATCTCCTTAAAATTACAAATTAATCATGAACATATTTATGCTTTCCTAAACACTAACAATTGCTTAAATTTTATAATATTACATTTTATAATGTTTTAAAACTTTTTGCATCTATTATCTTAATTGAACTTCCCAAAAACATAGTAGTGTAGGCAAGGAAGAGATTATATCCATTTTCTAAATTCTGAGGTTCAAGTAAGTTAAGTGACTTGTGGAAGATCTCCTAGTAGGTAGCACTATTTTACAATGTAGGTGAAATGACTTCGTGGCTTACTGTGACAGGGAGGAATAAAAAGTTAAACCAGAAGCGCTATTTCTTATCAAGATCACAAATATTGGTAGGTCAATGTCTATGAATGAAATTGAACAGAAATAGAGGCCCCAGGCCTTCCGAGACAAGGATACCACATTGACTCCACCTAGACCTGCACATTAGAACCCTGGGAAGACTTATAAATCCCAACCCTTGGGCCAAATCCGAGATCAATTAAATAAGATTATCTGGGGGCGGGACATAGGCATCAGTACTTTTTAAAGCTACCCTTGTTGATTTACATTGGTAAATTTACATATATACATATATATACACATATATACATATATATACACACATATATACACATATATACATATATATACACACGTATATATATCTCAATGTAAATCAGTATATATGTCTATATGTACACATCAATGTAAATCAACAAGGATATATATATACAGGAAGAACTACCATTTGTTTTTTTACTCTTTTATTATATTCACACACTCATCCATCCTTTCATTTATACAACTAATATTAGTTGCACACCTACTAGTGCCTAATAGTGCCAGGTATTATTTTAGATACTGAGGCTGCAGTATGGTCAGAGGCAGGATCCCACCCCACTCCCAGTTAAGTTTACACTCTAGAAGGGGGCTTACCCACTAGGCAAAGGAATTGTGCATTTTGGGGGCTGGAAGAAGAGCACAGCAAAATACAGAAAACTTCAGCATAAGCCCTGGGCTCCCTCCCAGTTGGCCCAACGTTTTTGCCTTGTAGGCTTTTAGAAAAAGTTACTTTCAAATAGAATCAGGATCCTGTTCCTTATAATGATATTTCACCTTGCATATCAAATTAAATGAGAGGCTTTGATAGTTTGAGGTTTAATCATATATTCACCTTAATTTATGCACTAGAAAGGCTCCTAAATTGTTCTGTGTAAATCATTTTTAAGGTAATGTTGAATACTGTCTTCCTATTAACTCAGATTATCATTTATCTTCATTACAAATGAACTTTAATTGGAAGTGGCTCCTAACAAATTTAGCTACAAATGTCTCACTGGGCCTTCCATTAAGCACCAATCAATAAAAAACAAACCAACCAAAAGACAAAAATGTTCCTGGTAAATACATAAAAGGAGTTAGTTATTATTTGAAGTTAATTTCTACAAAGAGACAGAGATTCCCTGATCCTCTAAGTCAACCACTTGAAAAGGCAGCTTTGTAAATATAATAAATCTGTATTTATTCCTCATGGTCAGGAGGCAAAATCTCTTTTCAGGACTGATTTCCTGAAATAGTTAATATTTCTTAAAGTGTCATTAATTAAAGAGGCCTCACTCTCTGACACTTTGCCCTGGTTCCACTTTCTCACTGGCTGACTGGGCTTGCTTAGAATGTTCCTATTCTCCTCGTCTCCATAGCCAAGAAGCCCACAACTCACCCCTCCTTCCTTCTGAGCAGCCTGGCACTCCGTATTGACCCAGCGCTCAGCACTGTCGCCCTGCCTTCCAAAGCTGACTCTCTAACTAGACTCCATAGCTTAACAAAATAGCTCTGTTATCTCAGGGCCAAGCCCAGCGTGTAGCACTTACTTGTTGCCCTTAAAAGGTAATAATGAATAAATGAATGCTTTATTTAAAATTTAATGCAAAATATACTTCTACACTGCAGAAAATTTTCTTGGTCACTAAATGCTCAGATGTTCTTTTTTAACCAATAAAGCCTCTTTTTATTTATATACATATTTAAAAGGGTGGAGGAAATTACTAGTTTGGTTGCAATTCCAGAGACTTCCAAGTGCTGAAATGACTCTAAATTGCTGAGGGGGGCCATCTTGGATTTTCTTAAAGTCACGGCTGTCCTTTGAAGCAAATACGAATTCTGTAAACACTGATCATCAAGTCTGCAGATTAGACTTTCCCTTTACATCTCTCTTTCCTCCTTACATTTCCTTTTGACCACTGAATGCTATCAGGAAATGGGTATGAAAATTAGATGGAACCCAAATTGAATACATATTTCCACTCAGCAAAGGAAGCAATTTGAATGGCAAAGTAGAGACGCCTAACAATCTTCAAATCCTGCAGTACTTGAGTGTTTACAAAAACTGCTAGTTTAGGCAGCACGTGGATTATCATATCTGATTTATAGATAAGAATATTGAGAAAGACATCCAAAATCACCTAGCCGGTGGAGGGGGAGAGCTAGTAAGCAAATCCCAACTCCCCATTCCACGTCCCGTATCCTTCTGCACACACCAAATTCTATGGAGGCACCATCTTCTCCTCTACTTCACCCCCTCAACTATGGATAATGGAGAAACAACTGTAATTGGAGACAGTAAGTACCCCATCAGAGAGCGCTTCAGGGTGACAGCTTTCATGGTGTTAGGATCAGCGATCTGATGGTTCCATTGCTTGATGCAATGGCTGTGAACGAGCCCTGCTTATTGTCATATCTATTACTGAGACTAATTAAAACAGAAGCTCTTTCTCTCAATTATAGCATTGGGTTGGTTTAATTTCAAATACAGAGAGAACAGGTACACAAGCAGGCCAAAAGAAGGGGGGAAAAGGGATATTATGTGATTATCAGAGCAGCACCAAATAAAGCTTCATCTAGAACACATAGGGAAGGAAATTCAAGCAGTAAAAGATGTGAGGATGAGAAAACAAATGCATTCTTTGTTATAAACCAGCCAGAAAGCATGTCATTACTGTCCATCCATTACACTACTGCTTCTAAAAATTAAATAGACTCCCCCATATAACGGAATCACTGATTGAAATAACTTTTTGGTCCAGTTTGGCTGAGGATGGTGGAATATTCTAAGAAAACCTAGAGATAATTTTGACCACCCCACATCATGGCATCTCCAGATTCCTCTTCTAAGTATTATACTCCTTCCCCATCTTGAGGTGATTAAAGGAAAGAGATTCTGAGCATAAAAAGAATGTACACATTGGCTGAATAATTTAATGATTCATATAGGGTAATTCCAAAGTCATTATCTCATTCAGTGCATCTATTTTCAGAAAAGCACATTCTGATGTCAGATAAAGTCTGCAAATTTCTTTGTTTCATGACTGTTGACAAATATTTATGAAAGAAGAAAAGGGTGAGAGAGGGAGAGAGAAAAAGAGCACCAGCTTGTGTCTTTGTGTCTGTGTATTGCTGAAGTTTGAAAGAATGTGCAGGGCATAGTCTGGGTGTCAGTGAAGAAAGCAGGTTGGTTGTTGGCATGGAGTCTTTTAAGGTGACTTACAGCTTGGTGTATTCACTATGGTTCAAAAACTTTGGTGAGGATCAAATGATATGATATATGGTAGCACTTTGAAAAACATCAAGAGTTACATAAGCATAAGGCTTTATTATAGAAAATATATGTCTCAAAAGATTAGGAAAACTTTAAAAAAAAAAAAACAGAAGAGATCACAGAATAAAACACTTTTTCATGAAACTTCTTGTCTTTTTTCATTGTCGTCACCCCTCCGGAACCATGCCCTTTACCACACCAGGAAGAAAGGCATCTTTCTAGCTCCCTTCCTCCTGCAGCTTCTGCTCATACTACATTTAATATCCCATTTCAGAAACTGTTATAAAAATGATTATTAAAAGAATTAAATTTTGATAAAAATAATGAGTACAGTGATACAATGAAAGTACCAGTCAATGAGCAATAAACTATATGTACAAATAATAATAATGCTACTTAGCAATTTTGTAGATATATAACTTGATAAATATTGCTGTCTTCTATGGTAGAAAATTTTAGACTTGGGTCCTAGTCCTACATTGTAAATCCTAACTGAGTTTTAAGCAATCTAATTCTCCTTACTGAACTTCAGATTTTTTCCTCCTGCAAATAAAGAGACTGCACTCAACAAGTGCCTAGAAGCCCTCCTAGACCTGGTAGGCTGTGAGCCATGAATTACATGCTACTGGAGGAGGAGCCAGCAGAGAGAATTCGTTTCTAGAGGCAATCCTCAGGAGTAAAATACCTGTTCACTTTAGACTTTGACTTTCATAAGTAAGTAGGATGCTGGAAGACAGTGTCTGGCCAATAGCATGTACACGTAATGTGGGAGAGCATGCTTGACCCATCACCCCGCAGATTCTACTTAGGGAGAGACTGATTTTTCCTGGTGAAATGACTGGGTAAATTACGTGGGTGGAAGAGAACAACAGGGTTAGATGGATGTGCTAAGAGCCAAGGCAACCAAAACTGTTCTGCAGAAGGCACAGAAAAGGTTTTGGTTTTACATTTGGGTAGATGAGGAAGAAGTATGGATAAAGCAGGTTAGTGTAAGTTCAGTGTGATGTAGGGGAAATAGTCAATGAATGCCTGCTAGTTTTAAGGTAGCTGAAGAACAATTTAAAAAGTGGAATGCTTAATGTTCACTTAAAAGATAGCTGCAGTTTTGCAGTATAACTCCTCTTTTCTCCTCCCCTAAAATACTCAGGAAAGAGTGTTATATTCCTGTTTTGAATAAATGTAATGGTTAGTTCTTTTGACTGTCCCTTTATGGAAATAATAAAAGGGTGAAAACTCAAATCTGGATCGAAATGTGTAGGACAGAGATAACCTTGAGAATGTAAACTACCAGGGGTTTGCAGGCCTCTTTGAGACTGTTTTGGACTTTTTTTTCTTTTTTAGGCAAGATCTTGCTCTGTCACCCAGGCTAGAGTACAGTGGCATGATCATAGCTCACTGCAGCCTCAGTCTCCTGGACTTAGGTGATCCTCTCCCATCAGTCTCCTGAGTAGCTAGGATTACAGACGTGCATCACCATTCCTGGCTAAGTTTTAAAAACTTTTTGTAGAGACAGAGTCTCATTATGTTGCCCAGAATGGTCTCAAACTCCAGAGCCCAAGTGATCCTCCCAGCCTCCCACAAAGTGTGCTGGGATTACAGGCGTGAGCCACTGTGCCTCGTCGAGAATGTTTTAAATTTTAGAAGAGCATGGAACAGGAAGAATATCTGATCTTACAAGGCCAAGAAATATCCTGTGATCATTTATTTTATCTATTCTCATGAGTGGCAGATAAGGAAAGACTAAATTGGAGTTTAAGAGAACTTTGTGAAACTTCTAGACTATAAGCTAGAAGAGGAATCGACAAAAACTAAAACCCACGGGCCAAATCCAGCCTGCCATTTGACTTCAAAAATAATGTTTTATTTAAACATAGCTATGCTCATTCATTTGCATATTATCTATGGCTGCATTCATGCCATGACAGGAGAGTTGAGTAGTTGTGACAGAGACCATATGGCTTAGAAAGCCTAAAATGTTTGTATCTAGTCCTTTACAGAAAATGTTTGCTGACCCTGGGATAGAAAGGTACTTTGGTGGGCAGATACCTTTGGACAGCCTGACTCAGAATCTTAGGAAATGTAGCCCCCTTTTTCTCAAGAGGCAACAAGACAGCTTTATAAGATTTGCCTCAAGAATTGCTATGCTCTTTCTTCATCAGCCTCTCATGGACCATTATCTTGACAGAATGCATTCCCAATAAGACAACACATATGGCAATTGGAAGGAACTTTTGAATAGGAAACTCTAACTGCTGGGTTTCCTCTCATTACAGCCATCGAACCCTCATGTGTTTATCAAACATGGACAAAGTATCTTCTCTCTGCTTGGCACCGTCGTAGGCAATGAGAGCCCTGGGACCAATGAGACACTGCCTGCCTTTAGAGAGGTTACAAAGGGAGGGAGACTGGTCTCAAATCACTGGAATCCAGAGCAGTGGTTACAACAGCAGAGGCCTGTAAACGTACATCTGCTCTAGCAATTGCTTAAGTGTTCAAGTTATCGCCCCAGTAATCAGAAGTGGTGTATGACTGCTTCAGTTGTACTGAAGTGCCCCCATCCTCTGCTGCCAACATCATGGTTAATCTTATTCAAACATGGCACACCTGCAAAAAACAGGTAAAGATAATGCTGATCACATTTTCAACTACTTTAAAATGAAACCAATGAGTGTTTCTAAAAAAACATGTTATCACAAAACATAGATACTGGAACATCGTAACACCTAAATCCATATTTGTTGAAAGCATATATGGGAAAAACAGAGAAAGAACTCTTAACAACTTTATTGCTTATATGTAGGTAACAAAGATGATGACTTGATGAAAACCAATAATTTAAAACAAAACAAACAACAACAAGAAAAAACAAAACATCAGAACAGAGGACCATGGAGATCATTCATCTAACTCCCTCACTGGACACTCATCTCCCTAGTTCCTGGCAGAACTAGCGCTAGAATGTTGATGTTCTTTTTTTGAAGTTAGATCTCTTTCTACTCTACTGGTAGGTTCTCTACTATGTACTGTGTGACTCTCACTTTCTGAGGTGGTGACTCGGGTGTGGATAAAGCCAGGATGTGCCAAGGCAGCAAGAAAAAGGCCAAACAGTTATGGGCCAAGCCTCCAACTTCAACTAGAGCAACTCTTTATTTTCTGTCATATTTCTATATACGTAGATTCTGCCTGAGATTCGGCTTGAAAAAGAATAACATAGCCACAAAATTTTACAACTATAGCATTTTACCAAGCTCTGCCTCTGAGTTGAAAATATAAATAATCTTTTCTCAATATTAGCCATGATGTGAAGGCTTTTATAATGCATTACATTTTGGAAGGACTCTAGGTTTTTTAAATAATAATAAGCATGGACTATTTGCTCTTGAGGGGTGTAAAAATGAGTCTGTAAGAGGTGTGTTTCTTCTGTTTGGAGTGGGGAGGTGTCCCTTGTGACAGGCAGTGAATTCCATGTTTTTCATCTGGCAATCTAATTCATAGCAAGGATTATAGTGGTGATATTCCACTTAAGCCTTTACCTCAATGATGCCATTGATTCCACACTTGAAAATCTATATATGGAGACCCTCAATTTTACAGAGATTTCGAAGATCTTCAATTTTTGTATGAATTTTGAACAAGAGCAAAGATTCTGGAAAAAGTTGCAAAAATGTATTCCTCCAAAAATGTATTCCCACTATTTTTCCAAAAGACAATGCTGAAAATGAAATGTGGAGAATTTTCATTCTAAAACTGCTTTATTGGTGCAAAAGTGATTGTGGAAAAAAAAAAAGTGAATGGCAAAAACCACAATTACTTTTGCACCAACCTAACTAGACCATCCAGAGCAACTATGACAATTTCAAAATCTTTAGGAATTATTACACTTGCTAAAATCACTTAATGTTCCTGGGCACATGGCTCACACCTACAATCCCAGAACTTTGGAAGGCCAAGACACAAGGATCACTTTAGCCTAGGAGTTCAAGACCAGCCCTGGCAACAGAGGAAGACCCCTTTCCTACAAATAATAAAAAAAATCCAGGCATGGTGGCACGTGCCTGTAGTCCCGGCTACTCAGGAGGCTGAAGTGGGTGGATTATTTGAGGCTGTAGTGAACCATGATCACACCACTGTACTCCAGCCTGGGCAACAGAGTGAGACCCTGTCTCAAAATAATAATAATAATAATCACTTAACACAATTGGCCTACAGAATAGTTAATGAGGACTGCTGAAAGGTAATCTTGAGTTCTGTCTCAGTCTTCTAACCTGTGTCCTGGGAGGTGCAAGTGACACTCAAATTAGGGAACTCCATGGCTTTGTAAGAGGGAATATGTGAGAAGGGTGAGAAATATTTCATTACTCTGCTCACGGATAAAAGATGAGAAGGGGTAGGGAGCTATTATTTCTCAATGTTTGTCAAACATTGTGCAAAGAACATTTATTTATATAATCACATTAATCACATTTAATTCTAAGAAAAGTTATTGGAGGTAGGTGGCAATTTTATCAGTGAAGGAGTATACCTTGATGAGTCTAATCAATTTGCCCAGGTTCATGCAACTTGTAAAGTAACAAAGCCAACATCTGAACCTAGGACGGTCTGTTTCCCAAGTCTGTCCTCTATAAATAATCTCTTTTATAAAATGTTTCCAACTATCCAACGTAGAGATCATGGCTTAAGAAGTTAGACTGTAAATAATCTTAGATGAGAGTGTATTGTCTTAATCTCTGTCTCTCTCTGTCTCTCTCTCTGACACACACACACACACACACACACAGACACACACCAGCTTTGTATAGTCTACATTTTTTCTAGTATCCTCAAAATTGCTCAGGATGAATGATACCTTTAATTGTGCAGAATCTCCTCCCATAATAAACAGGCTTTCATTTAAAAACTTTTAAATATATATTTAAAAAGCGTATATGTGTGAATGTGCATATATTTTCATGTATGTGTGCACATGTGCATGCCTGTGTGTTTTGGGAATATTGCGAAGTACAAACACACTAGACAGCTGCATTTCACAGTTGAGTCTTCAGGCAGCAATATTTTAGCAGAATGAACATCAAATCTTCCCAATGACTTGCGAGCTGTGAAAGACATTGCAGCTAACTCCAACTGTAAAAAATATATTGGCTTCAGAAGAGAAATGGCATTTGGAAAGCTATGCTTTAAAATGATGTTGGGGGAGAGAAAAACAGAAGGCTGCAGTTCTCAGAGTAAAATAATCACATTGAAGGCCCAGATGCAGAGCTGGAGGTGTGGGGAGAAGCTCAAGATCTCCTTTTCTGTTTATCAGATTTACTGCAGATCCTGCAAGGATATGCAGTTATAAAAGTACCATATACTCAGGTAAGCTTTGGATCATGGGATGTTCCCTGCCTTTCATTCTGTCCTCTGAATTCTAACACCATGTCAGACAGTAAAAGACAACTTCCATCCCACCCAAGATGCCTTCTCCAATGCCATAGTTTGTATGTATGTCTTTCACTTTGTTTTGTTTTAAACAGAACCAGCTTCCTCTGGCATTTCAGTGTCTCGGAAAGTCTAAAATATTTTCTGTAAGCCAGCTCCTCCATGCTAACATCTTGTTCTGCACAAAAGTTGATAGTCAGTATCATGTGCTAAATAAGGGACTGATTAAAATACCCACAGAGGCCAGTTACTGAGAGGTGATTTCACACGAAGCATCTTGTTGTTTACATAAGTTATCTCATCTGGTACCCAAAACAGCCCCACTGAGGGTGGTAGTGCCATTTCCATTCTACAGGTGGCAAAGCTGAGTATTAAAGAACATAAGTGACGTGCTCAAAAACACACAGACAGCGGCAGGGCTAGGATACAAACCCAGGCAGTCTGACTGTAGACCCTCTACCTAAACATGGAGGGAAACTGAGTCCTACAGCTACACTGTCCTTTCCTTGAATCTGGGTCCACTGTTTCCTCGGTTCCTCCCATGCATGAATACTCACGGAGAGTTAAGAAGAAGAAGAGAAGTTGATGTGCAAGTGATGAAAAGAATCGCAGAACTGCTTCAGTAGATATCTACCAATGCAGCCACCCCTCCTCTTAATTAGTAGTGAGTGCCTGGGGAGAAGGTTAGCTTTCCAAAGAGCTGGTTCATGCAAAAGCTAGGGAAACTCATTACTCCTCACCACAGGGGTTCAGTTCTCCCTCCCAAATCCTCCTTAAGAGCACAGTGGGGTGACTGCGGGAGCGATAAGGAAACATAAATAACAACTGTGCTTTCTAAACTGCCTAGTCTGCTTCACACTTCTTCCAAAGAGGTAACTGCAAAAGTACATAAGCTTTGTTTCCAGACCACACAGTATGTCAAAATAAGAAGTCAGAAGGACTCAGATTTTCCATCTGTTCCTGGGACAGCAAGAAGAGGAGCAGGGACTTTACATAAGGCTGTAGATCTGGGTCATAGAGCCCCATGATCATAACCATTCCTTAGAGTTCTAGAGAATTTTACAGTTCATAAAGCATTTTCAAGTGGCTGCTCTCAGCCCTCTTTTGAACATTACAAGTTAATGAAGTGGGTCTGAGGCTCTCATAGAGTACGAAACTGAGGAGAGGTTGAGGAATTGTGCAAGAATCTCCCAGCACGTGTGTAACTTGAACCCATGGCCTGACCTGCAGAGTAGTGGTCCTCTCACTGTCCTCACCTCCTCCAATGTTGGGAGAAAGGGTTGTTGCACTGGACCTTCTAGGACTCCATTAGTGAATACACCTCCCCTTACCCCTTCTCTCACTTCTGGCTATAGAATAAAAGGATTCCCCAAGCCTCCTAAATCTGATCTCTAATGAGAACTGTTAAAGAAAGCTGATACAGATATAAGGACTTTAATAGAAAGAGAAGGTTGCTTTAGCTCAGAAAATTTTCAAAGGCATCTTCCTAATGGCTTGGGCAGGGAAAGGGGTCTTGTTTCCTCTCCCTCAGCACCACCCACCAAACAGGCAGAGGAGGCAAGACTGAACACATGTCTACATGGCATGTTTTTGAGAGTACAGGAAAGTCAGTCTCTCCAAAAACACCAAATTAGTAGTAGTTGCTACTAATCAGATTTAAAGTAAAGCATGTAAACTCATATCCTGTTTCTTCTCATGGATAAATATGTAGATATTTATAATATCTTCAAGTTAGAGTAGTAATAAAGTTTTGATGGAATTGGAAAAGGAAAAACTTGGATACACTTGAGTTCATTTACAATTAACACAGTCTCTCGGTTTTGAAAATTGATTATGTTAGACTATATGTATATCATATCCTTCAATCTTCTCGGTAATCCTGTAAGCTAGATGTAACCATCCCCACTGCACAGAGAAGCAAACTGAGGCTTAGAGAGCTAAATAACAAGCTCAATTGAGATGTGGAACTGACATATGAATTCAGGCTTCCAAATAGCTCTAGCTCCACTATTTCAAATGGTAATAGATGTGAAAATCCACATTTAGAGAATTACAAAGTACCAGATTTATAAAGGGTAACATTGAAACATTACTAGCCACAAATGCATTGTCAAAAATTCAGTATGATGCTGATGAAATAGGACTCAAGAACGGTAAGATTTCATAGGCAAGTGAAGGGGAGGGTAAGTTCTCAACTCTTGGGTGATGCTAAGAGGCAGGTTGGCATGGGGATTCCAATAAGAACAGAGTGAAAATATAAGGAAGGCAAGGAGGTAGCGCAATTAATGGGAAACAGACATTTCAAAGCAACTTACCAAAGTGCCCTGGACTTTTAGTCATTCCAGTAAATAGGGTAGTGCCCACAAGAAGAACACTAACCCAGCCTCAGCATCCACACCCATCCTGGAAACTCTCCTGTTAGATGTTTCATTTCTGGGATCAGATACCTAGCGCAGTGGAAATTTGCACGGGCTGAAGCAGAAGGAGTTGAATCCAATAGTGCCATGTTTTTGTATGAGTGTGGTCTTCCCTGAGGTCAGGAGTTCGAGACCAGCCTGACCAACATGGAGAAACCTGGTCTCCATAAGTGCCATGGTTTTGTATGAGTGTGGTCTCCGAGGTTGTGACTTGAAGCACAACTCTCTTACAAATGAGCTGTAGGGTTCTAGACAAGTTATTTGACCTCTCTGTGCTTCAGTTTTTGTTTTTTCTTTTTTTTTTTTTTTACTGCACTTCTCATAGGGATGTTATGATGATTCTGAAATGACATATGCAAAATGTATCATTTTAAATATTATTATGACTGATAGACTTAATACACTTTCTGCAAATATGCATATCTAGAATCATGATTCTAAAAGTGTGTACAGGTGAAACACCCAAGTTCCATGTTAAAACATATTTGTCTCTTCAAAATCAAACAATTAAATACTGTTAAAATAATTTAGTCCATAAGTTTTTCCTTAAATATTAGGAAGCTACTATATCAAGTCTAAACCTACTTTATTCACAAAATAGGTTTCTGTTAAGTCACAGAAACACAACAGAGCAACTTCTAAATAGCAATGGATTATGGAAACTTATTCTTTAGTGGATATAAATGTTCATGAGTATAATTTTATATTGCTCCATACAAAGCAAACATAGCTTTGCTATTATGTGTAGCTCTAGTTTATGGCGTTAAATATAAAAAGTAATTAAATATCTCAATATTGTATTACACTCCAGATGTTCCACCACCTGAATTAGCTTGAAAACCACTGATATGAAAATGTCCTCATTCTTTAGCTGTGCTTGTTTAAAAAAAAAAAACAAATAAACATAGTGATAAACTTGAGTTGTTTGAGTTATTTCTAAATGCATAGTATGATCAAATAAATTGAGCATGCAGCTGACCTATTAATATAATTAAAAAATCTATAAGTAGAACAACTCTGCCCTTCCCCATAGCTGATCTATGGTGATAGGCTTTCTAGGATTTTCTTTCCAAATGCCACTCCTTGGCCGACCCAGGCTGGTGGTTACTATACCATTAAGTGCCAAAACCAAGATTTCTACCATAGCAGGTGAGTGAAACAAATGAAGAACAGCGAATGTTAGTTGCCAGTAAGTGCTCTAAAAGTTTTTTTCCCCTTAAGTTGTCTCTGTTAAGCTCACCATGATAAACTTTTGTGATAGGAACTCATGGTAGGAGATGGTAAACAAGAGATTTGAAAGCCTCATTCTTGCTCAACATGAGCAGGGCCACTCCTAACCCTTAGGACATTTTTATGTGAATTTTAAATATGTGAATCCCCTTCTAGATCAACGTAGCCCCTATCTGCCCCTCCACAGAATGTCTTCTACGTTGTAAAAGTACACAGCTATATGCACACAACTGCATGCAGGGCCCTAAACATGATGAGTCTGTGCTCTATGCCAGATTCTCAAGATTTCCTGCAATCCAGCACTTCTCAGTCTTTCCTGTGTTACTTCCAACCAGTACCATTCCAGCCTCCCAATTAGGGTACCTGGCTATCTCCCTGGGCAAGACCTTTTAATAAAGAGCAGAGTTTCCTGTGTTAGAAAATCAAAGTTAAATGTTGCCTCTGTTTGGGCACGGTGGCTCCCACCTGTAATCCCAGCACTTTGGGAGGCCGGGGCCAGCAGATTACAAGGAGCTCAAGACCAGCCTGGCCAACATGGTGAAACCCCATCTCTACTAAAAATACAAAAATTAGCCAGGTATGGTGGTGTGCACCTATAGTCCCAGCTACTTGGGAGGCTGAAGCAGGAGAATTGCTTGAACCCAGGAGGCAGAGGTTGCAGTGAGCTGAGATCGTGCCACTGCACTCCAGCCTGGGCAACACAGCAAGACTCCATCTCGGATGGATGGATAAATAAATAAATAAATAAATAAATAAATAAATAAATGTAAAATAAAATAAAATAAATGCTGCCTCTGCTCCTTAGTAGCTGCGTTATTCTGAACAGATTATCCAACCTCTTTTCTCTTCCTCTCTAACATAAAGATGATGATAGCCCCTATGTCAAGAAGATAAAATTAGAAAATGCAGGTAAAGCATTGACCCATCTGCCTGGCCCATAGTGAGTGTTCAGCAGGTATTTGTTGCTCCTGATGTCATTATTTACTTATTTACATTTGTAACAACGATCTCTGACTTGTTCATGGCTTCTCTTCTGCTCTCCACCTTTCTAAATTCCCTGGGTCCTTTGAGGACTAGTCCCTTTCTCCACTAACCTTACTCTAGGCCATACTCTTATCACTTACAGCATGCATACCACACATTAAGCATTGAATTATGCTCTCTTATTTCCTAGCAACAAAGTCTGCAAGGAATATTACTCCTATGAAATGCTCCTCAGAAATAGTTATTGCGCCCAAATAAATATAAAGGAGACTGTACATTGTTTCTCTTGGAAATCTACAAGCATTCCAGCATAGTAAAGGTTCTGAAAAGTCTTGCAGCAAAGAGATTAAAAAAAAATTTTAGCCTCTATTTTCTCACCAGTTTTAGTAAAGAAGCCTGGCTTACTTATGAAGAGTCCACAGAGCAAACGTGCCTCAGTTTACACTATAGAAATTTCTACCCTATTGCTGAATCCAGTGGAGCTGTTGGATTCTGGGAGATGACAGGGTGATGCCCAAGCCTTACATCCTCATCCTTCCCTTGTTCTCCTAAAGCTGCCCTCCTGGGACTTTCCTGGCATCCTAGGGATCTATTGAATGGAGTTAAAAAATAATCAATATAGATTCCCTCATGTGATCCCCAGAAGCCAGGATCAATATTATTATCTCTGTTTTACTCATAAGAAATCTGTGATTTAGAGTGACCAGGATTTGATGACCACATCTTGACCAACCAGCGTGGGCAGAGCTGCAAATCTTCCCATTCCAAATTCAGTGCTCCTTTTACTGGGCCTTGCAGAGTTCATTAAATGTGCAATTAACATATGGAATTCTAACCACTTCCACGTACTTGTGGACAACTAAGAGGTGAGGACAGATGAAAAAAAACTCATGGCTTCATTTTTCCCTCTGCTAGTAAAAATGGTGTCCCGAATATGGTCCTGGATTTCTGAGGCACAGTGCCCATTGTGTAGGCCCAGTGGTACCTATGGGCCAGGGGAAGCTGCATTATTGCTATGGCTTTGCATTGAGGTATGCAAGAGTGGCATCAGTTCTACCTTCCAGGGATACTGTTGGCAGTTAAGTCTATTTGGCCTTGACACCTGACAGAGTTTAGTCTCAGCATTAATATAAAAAACAGAATCAATGAAAGGTAGAAGTAATAACTCAATTAAGAGAAGGTGGGGCAAAATGAAATGCATACAATGGTAAAGATGAATCCTCCTAAAAACCCAATCAGTGAGAGGTTAGAGGAAACCTCAATAACAGAATTTTCAATATAAACCTGTCCTGGTGGCACAGTGTCCAACAGCAGTGGTGACGATGGTTCTCCCATCTCACAGGCTGCTGCTGCTGCTGCTGCTGCTAGAAGCACCACCACTCCTATCATCACTAATCACCAGGTAAGGCTTTTAAAACACGTTTTACCACTTAACCTAAGTGGGTAGGGAATGTCTTACAGATGTGAAAATATCTGAGCCCAGAGAAATCATGCCACATGGGGATAAGCATCCCAGCGTGTATAAAATGACACAGGCAGGAGGAGCATTTAGTTCGTGTGTGGCTGGAAATAAAGGGAGGGAGGGAAAGGAAGCTAAACAGGTGATTTAGATGTTGGTTTGACAGGGCCTGACATTATCCTGTAGGCAGAAGTATATCAGTGATGAGCGTGGAAGGCACAGCTCTGCAGAGTCTGATGGTCAGGAATATATACTTGATTGATCAGGGGGTGGAGGAGCACAGCTGCTATTAAGTGAATTTAGTAGAGCTTGTTGGTGTCAGCACTGGGCAAGAACTTAGGTTTCCCTGTTCCTAGTGTAGGATTCTCTCCACTACAGCCCACCGAGTCTACAGAATTCTTTCATCCTTCCTTTCCCTGCCCCCTCCCTCTCCTTTTTATTGCACAACCTCAGGTTCAGAATTAAGTACCTCTGTTAAATTACCTCCCAGGATTTCACAAAGTGTAATAATGTACATATTTGATCTAGATGTCAGGGAAATACTGTAGACAACGATTTAGAGCATCCATTTTCCACTTGGTCAAACTCATTTTGATGTACTTCTCTCAGACCTGACTGAGCCAAGTCCCTCTTGCCTGAGGACATGGCTTTAGTAAAATCAAAACACTTTCATGGTGGTCTCAATTTTCCTTTTAGAGTAAGAGCGGTCCACGTGGTACCAGCCCAGCTCCAACTCTAAATCAATGCTTAGGCATTAAAAAGTTGCTCTTTAAAGAGCACTCTTGTGAGATAGTGTGTCCTTAACTAAGAAAGTGAACCTATGAGGAAATATCATAAATGCAAATTATCAACCATTGCATTTCTTAAAGAATAACATCACAAAGTCTGTCTGAGCCATAGAACCTTTTGGAAATATTTTAGGGTTGTCACTAAGCACTTAAAAAACACATTGTTTAAAGCTTTTACATTTCTGTGTGTGGTAACGAGATAACTTGGAAGTACAGAGAGGTATGTTCACAAATGAGTAAATTCTGAGTTATTTAATATAGCAGAATCTGATACTCAGAACTCTGGTATGCAAAAAATGAACAGTATTCTAAAACGCAGTGCTATGGTTTTTAAACTTTTCAAAAAGCTAGAATAGCACACTTTATGTTTTCCAAATGAAATCATACAGGGAGTCACCTTATGTAGGACAGATGACGACAGCACTGTCCTGGTAGCAGTGGGGGTGAGGCACAGGAGGCTGTGTCCGGCCGCCTCCTCTTTCTCCAAGGCATCCTTCCTCAACATCAGGATCCCAAAGAATTCAGTCTGCAAATTGCTCAGCTAGTTCTTCTCTCTCCCTTTGCAATAGATTGCAAACACTCCTTGGTTAAACATACACATTCCTGGCCTTTATTCTTATCTCTGCCAATTATTAGACTAATCCCCAGGAGAAAAATTTCTTAAATGTTCAGCCTCCATTTCTCCTATAAATTGTGAAGGTACATATATGCACACATATTATACTTCAAAGGTTTGTTTTGAGATCAAGTTAGATTTTAAAATGCTTTTTAAAACTCTAACACTTAGATAAATGTACAAAATCATTGGCCACACAGTTAATTCATAGCTAACTTCAAAAGAAAATAATAGAATGATAAGCCTGGATATCATGATATAAGGGGAAGAGAAGACAGAAAAACAATTCTGAGTTTGGCCATAACCCTAGAGAAATATTTCACTTTGGACACCTTCACTGAACATTTAACTGATTGTATGGGCACGAAAAACTAATGCAGAGTTCCACTGGTGACACAGACTCCAGGGAAGAAGGAACCACCAATTAATTACTGATAGTTTAAATATTTTACACACATAAACAAATATACAAAAAAAAGTTGTGTGTAAATGGAAATCAAGCAGTCAAATCAAAACAAGGAACAAGCCACAAGTAAAGGCAGTGGTTTGCTTACAGCCTTCTAGAGCATCCTCATTTAGGTCTCTTCCAAAAATGGGTGTACCCATACTGGCTGGAAGCATCTACCCTGAGCCTAGGAGGTCAGCCTGCTCACATCCCAATGAGGCCATTTGGGGCAAATACTGAAATCTCAATGGGCAGATATCCAAATCAGTTGCTCACTCACCCTTCCCCGCTTGTTGGCCTTTTCTCTTCAACCTCAGCCTAAGTTCTCTTTCAACAATTTGCCCTAAATCCCTAGGCAGGAATGCAGCACAGCACAGCAAAAGCCCTCTTGACTCAGGACATGCACAGAGAGAGAGAACTTCTTCCTTGCTTGGAGAATTCAAGATCATCACTGTACACTACTTCTCCATGGACATGTGACCTCGGGGGTTTGGGAAACATGCAAAGTTGTATCTCTTTACCCCCTTGCAGGAAGTATAATATCAATGATTGATTTGGAGAGGATGTTAATTGAGGGAAGTGGCTGGCAGTGAAGGCCAATATGAAAACAAGGCAAAAGCTATCAGAAATTGCAGAGAAAGAGTTTTTTAAAATGCTGTCCCTAAATATTAAAAGGGTGAGCTCTACTAACTGTAGATTTCTGCAGTGATGGCTGTTTTGTTTGTTTATTTGTTTTTCATCATCTCCCACTCCCCCAGCAGAAATTAATTCACCTTTGCGTCAAAGGTTCTCTTTGTATTGTCAGAAACTGCAAATACTCATTTCATGCCTCAAACAATGCTATAGACCAGTGTGCAATGTTATAGTCGTGTCTCTCTAATTATGTGATGTTTTAAGTCAATATGATAGCACAGAAATCATCTTTTTCCATTTCTACCACTCGGCAAAACATGCTCTTAAAGGGAACTCCGGACACCCAATTCTTTAAACTTAAAACCAGGGAGTTGTTTTTGAGTTTCTTTTAACTTTGCTCTCCACATCCCATCAGTGGCCAAAAAACAAGGATTCTTCATCTGTAAATAACTAATATTCACCCTTTCTCATAATTCCCACTGCCCTGGCCTTCTCCAGACCCACACTAGTTCTTCTCTGAATTACTGCAGTTCCTCCCCACAGGTCTTCTTTCCTTAACTCTTCCCATCTCTTTCTCGTCTATACATTCTGCTGAGTTAAAATTTCCTGAAAACAACCATGAACACGTCAGTAAGTGACTAAAAGTGTCCTGTGGCTCTTCTCTGCTTATAGAAGACTTAAATGAGAAATTGCAGATGCTAATACTGCTTAATGCCCATCTCTCTTACTAGAACATAAGCTATAACAGAGCACGGGCTTTGATTTTGAGCTGTACTGGGCTCATAGGAGATGCAATAAATATTTGTTGAATGACTAAATGAGTAAAAATGGATGAATGGTTGGATGGATGAATGGACAGAGGAAGGCTGAGTAGATGAACAATGCCCCCTGCACAGGTTTGTTTACAGAATTAAATAAATAAAATAATGTATAGAAGAGCGTCAAGCACAGAATCTAGGCTTGTGAAATGTGGGGCTCCTTCTTTATTTTCTCTGTTATACTCCTTGTACCATTCCATGCCTATCTCTCAGCCACAGAAGCTCAGGGCCCAACTGTGGAAGGAACATGTTTCCAAGATGTTGAATTTGCACCTGCCACTGTGGGCAGTGGGGGATACTCAACTTTGAGGCTTTAGTATAGGAGAGATAACCAGTTGCTTTGTAAGGAAACAACTATGGTGGCTAGATGGAATGAAGAAGGCGGCTTGCAGATGTCAGATGGGCAGTGAGATGGCTTGCAGCAGGACAATGGTAAAGACACCTTAGGGCTGCACCAGGATGGTATGGAGAAGAAATAAGGTTGAAAGGGATTTCCAAGGGAGGTTTATGGGGGAGCTGGTGAGCTGGGATAGAGACAGCCTCTACCACCAGATCTCAATCTCTAAAACTAGGCCTAAGGCCAAGGCTCAGATGTCCTTCATGTTTTTGTCTTTTTTTTTTTTAATATGGAATTAGAAACAATTTGGCTTTTTAGAGCTGAAAGCTAGAAACAACACATCCAGGAACAGTAGACTTCTATTGTCTTCAATCCCTAATGTCCTAGTGAGTATGTACCCTATGGAGAAGGCAGAAATGACGTGGACCAGGACTCCTTACATGGAGAGTGTTTTAAAGGCAGTTTTTAAAAAGCCCATTTTGTGAAAGAAACCAGAAGGCTCGTAATTGCTGTCTGCACTGTGGTTTCTCCTGGGGGTTGGGGAGGGGAGTGGATTAAATAAAAAGTTTAGAAGGCCATAGGCATAAATATCGAAATAGTATGAATTTTAATATATACTTTTAAAGGGGTTAGGCAATGATGAAAAGATATGACTGCTTTCCTTTCATTTCTCTATTAAATTAAAATTCCCACAAAAGTGCAATGGCTATCTTTTTGAAAACACTGCATAATTTTAAAGTTTGGGAAGGTTTATCTTTCATAGCCACAAATCTTTGCAAAAGCCTTTGGCTACAGGAAACACAGGCTCCAAGTCTGCCATATAATGAAGGCTTTATGTGTGTTTCTAAAAGGTAGCCGGCTTGAAATAGCTACCCTTCCATTTATGAGTGAAACCACCTGATTATTTAAATGAAACAGAAAGATGCATGAAACATTCTTCTCATCCCAACTAGATAAGAAGGCTGAGCTCTCAAAACATTATTCATTGTCTATCATTTAAGAATTATCTGATTATGAACCACAGTATTTCAAAAAACAAGTAGTCCCAAATAACACTGTAAATCTCATTCCCTACTATCCATGCTTCTGAATAGAACAGGCAACAGACATGTATTTAAATAGTTTCAACGAAATGAATCCACAATTTATTGCTACTATTCATCTTGGCTAGTAAATGGCCTCCATACTATTCTTCATCCATTAAAAATGGTTCATTTCCTTTGGCCTTTATTCATTGCCTAATATTCCTAATGAACTTAATGTAGCAAGTGATGTAATCAGACAAAAGACCTGTAAGAATCCCTTTTCTGCCACTATAAGCAGAATTAAATCATATTTAATTAGGATTTTAGTGTTCACCAAAAGTCTCGGTTAACTATTTATCACCCACACTGCTGTCTATTCTAAGCAGCCTTCTCTTTCTAAGCAGGAAAGCACTATCTCTTTGGCTCAGTTCTCTATGTTGGACACCATAATCTACCAGGCAGGTGGCTAACTTAGTTCTAGCCATGAATTAGTCATTGGATTAAGGTTCGCCTTAATTCTCCATGGCCAAGGAGGTGCAACGCGGTTTAGAAGACAAAATGAAGTCACACTAACAGTGGCCGATTTATAAGCACAGAAGAGGAGAGTCCAGCAAACTTGAGAAGAGTTCTGAGAAGCAGTGGCTTCTGTGTAGATTCTTCTGGAAGTCTTTGCTGTGTTTTAGTGAGGATGAAAGAGTTGTATACGCAGAGAGGGAAATTGAGAACACACAAAGTTGGGGGAAAAGAAATCTGTGACAAGAAAGCATAAGAAATTAAAGAGGAGTGAACCACTGCTGGGGCACTGGAGGGCATGTCAGCTTCAAGAGTTTATGCCAGACCCCACAGAAACAGAAAAATCCTGCAGGGTTTGTTTGGTTTGGTCTGGCTTCACTTTTCTTTCTCTTTTCTCCTTTTTCCTCTTTCCTCTTTCCTTTCCTTTCCCTTCTTTTTCTTTTTCTTCTTTTCTTTTTTCTTTTCCTTCCTTTTCTTTTCCTTCCTTCCCTCCCTCCCTCTCTTTTTTTCTCCTTCCTTCCTTCCTTCTAGAAATAAACATAGTAGAAAAGGTGTTTTGAGGAAGATTATTAGGCACCATACTAAATAGTGCAGCTAGAAAAACAACTAGGATTGATTTTTCAGCTTTCTGTTTAGGAGGCAGTGTGGTCTTAGACCAGGGTGTTAGCAGAGATGCACCCAAAAGGGGGTTTTGGTGCCTTTCAAGAGACTTATAAAGGAAGAGTTGTTGACCAATTGGACAGTGTTATAAAGGAGAGGTGAAGAAGAGAGGGGGTAAAATTTGCTGGGCGGATTTTGACCTGGTTCTTACTCTGGCCCCTACCATGTCTGCCCTTCTTTCCCATCCGCTAGGGCACAGTTCCACACCACCTTTTCTGCTTAGTCATCTCTGAGCAAGCCAACTGATCACGACTCTCCCCCAACTGAGTTCATGCAGCCTATATGGCCAGTGTCTTCCCCATGGCAGCCATCTTAGCCTGCCTTGGATGTTTCTGAGCAGGTTTCCTATCGCTCCCCAGTGTGACAAGTTCTCTGCAGCATGTCTGTAATCACCACGTTCCAGGGCCTGATCCACACTGCATTGTAGTGCCACACAGGTATTTGTAAAAAGAATAGTGAAAGTTGATCACAATAGTTTTCCTCAAGGCTTTTCCAAAGGGGCTCAATTCTGGCTAAGTGAATAAAATCTCTCCTTTGTATAAGTGCTCAAGTGCTCTACAGTGACTCAAAAAAGGATCATCTTCTGTCCAGAGCTGCTTTCTGATAAAGGTCAAGCAATTTGAAAACAAAAATGTCCATTTGATTTGACATTTCAAAAGACAGCTGAGGATCTGTCAATGATAACCCATATCTTCTTTTTTCTGCTTCATAATCAGAACACCAGGCAGGTATAATAAACTTCTCATGGATCTCAAATCAGAATTATGTTGAATTTTCTCACTCAGTCAGTGCGGAAGGCAATTCTTTATAGAGAGGAGGCCAAATATCAAGCAGCAATTTGCATAGAGGACAAACTCACTAGGATGCTGTTTATGCCGTGTGTCTAATAACATGCTCTGTCTTATGTTTAAAGGACACATTTGCAAAAATGATTTTATGTGGTACTCACACATCAATAAACTAGCAATATAGCATATGCTTCTGACTTAGTCAAATAACATTTTAAGGTTTATTAAGACATAACAGTAATTCACAGTTGCATCACCCACCATCTTAGGTGTTTCACTGACATCTCAACACCTCCTACTTAACTTCAAGGCCCAGAGTCTTTTGGACTTCCAAAATTACTACTCATGTCCAATCCAGAATAAGCCTGCAAAAGAGAAATCTTGAATTGTTTCCAAGAGGGTTGGGCATGGGAAGTATAAAGCAAAAATAGGTAGCTTCTTGAAAAAATTGAGTCTCCACCCAATAGTTGTATCACTTTTTTTTGAATTAAAATCAAACATTAGCTACATCCATGTTCGAATACAGAACATATTCCAAAGGACAATGCATATTTTTGAGAAAGGGTTTCACTCGGTTGCCCAGGCTGGAGTGCAGTGGTGTGATCCATCATAGCTCACTCCAACCTCAACCTCCTGGGTTCAAAGGATCCTCCCACCTCAGCCACCAACTGCCTGGGACCACAGGGATGCACCACCATGTCTGGCTATTTTTAAAACTATTTTTGGTAGAAATGGGGTCTCACTATGTTGCTCAGGCTGGTCTTGAGCTCCTAAGCTCAAGTGATCCTCCCTCCTGGGCCTCCTAAAATGCTGGGATTACAGGCATGAGACACTGTGCCTGGCCCAGACTTTTAAAAACTTATGACTCACTTTGGATTACTCAGGTTATTTTATTCTTCTGTGTAGATAATCTGGATTTGACCATCATAGGGAAAAATGATTCTAGAATATAGATGCTAGATGGCTGCAAAGAAGGTAGGCTGCTTCCTCACAGGTACAAACCCTAGGAGGGAATGAATAAAGAAAAAAGCCCCAAGTAACTGATTAATGAACATCCCTTCCAGGGTGATTCACACACCACCCCTGCCTGTGTGACCATTATGGATTTATTAACATTAAGGCAATGTTATTCAAACAGGTATCAAAACATTTTAATGCAATGGAACACTGAGTGAAATATTATTCCTACCTCTCAGCAGACTGAAACAAGCTGAGATAATTGCATTGCCAAGGAGAACTGACTCAGCCTCCAGATGCCATTTAAGGCTCTGAGGTTTATCTTCTAAAACTGCAGTAGTTAGTGTAATAATGAGCTAATGGCATGCACAGAATCAGCTGTCCCCATATTGTGGTGCCCAATGGATACTACTGATTGCATCCCTCTGCTCCAATTATGTTTTCAGAGGATTAATACCAGAATCAATGAGGAGGCTCCTGTCAGTCAGTGGCTTGAATTTACTGGGCACCTCCTGGTACAGCCTTGGTTCTCTGAGGCCATGGTGGGGGTAGGAACATCAGGGCGGAAGTCAGGGTGATATCTCCTGAAAGCATCAAGAGGTATTGCATGAAATTATTAAAGAGCAGATGTTAAGCACAAGAGCAAATGCGGAGTGCCAAATAAAAATAAAGACATATTTAGAAAATGTACCAAAAGCTTTTTTTTTGCATTTTTCATTAAAGCTATTTTTCATTTCTGAAAATAAAAATTAATTTCCTCTTCCCTGATTTTAGCGATATCCTTATTCTTTTCCCCATTTCCCCTAGACTTCAAATTTTTTTTTTTCCTATGAAACAGAAGAAAACCTAGCAGTGCCTGCCTTAAGTAATCTTGCCACCATGTTGGGGATCCAATGACTGTCTGGAAGGTGAGCTAGCCATCCATAGCAGCCAGCAATCACCACAAGGTCGCTTTCAAAAAGCCACTCTCTGAAGGTGATAGGGTGTACAAGAATGTCTATGAGCTGGGGGAAAAGAGGAAACAAGCGACAAAGTACAGCAGGTAAATTCAGGAAGTTTTATTTGACTATGTCGCAACTCGTGGTTTACCACATTTAGTACTAAGGCCATTTATTGAATGTTCCCAGGACGGGTCTGTGGCTCAAGAAGACAAAGTTTTAAGGAACATGAGGTGCTTTTAAACCATAATAAACTCTTTTGGCTGGATGCAGTGGCTCATGCCTATAATCCCAGCATTTGGGAGGCCAAGGTGAGAGGATCATTTGAGCCCAGGAGTTCAAGACCAGCCTGAGCAACATAGTAAGACCCCTGTCTCTAAAACACAAGTAAAAAAACCCCAAAATAGCTAGGTGTGGTGGTGCACACCTCTGGTCTCAGCTACTCCAGAGAGAGGATAAGGCGGGAGTATCGTTTCAGTCTAGGAGGTTGAGGCTGCAGTGAGCTGTGATAGTGTCACTGCATTCCAGCCTGGGTGACAGAGAGAGATGCTGTCTCCAAAACTAACCAACAAAACAAAACAAAAAACAAAACAAAACAAACCAACAAAACCAAACCTCTTTTGCTTACTTAGTCCTGCATGCTGTAAAAGCTTGGCACTGGCAGAGTCATCACACCAGGCCTACTTGGCTCCCCAGAGCCACTTCTTTTTATTCTCCCCATGCCCATCTGTCTCCCCAATTCCTGAGCATTTCTACTCTCAGACCCTCCTTTGCTCTGTCTGCCCCAGTAACTGGAACACCCTTCTCATCTCTTCTCCCTCTTCACTCCACACTACCTGATCTGTAGACTCTTGCTCAAGCATCCCTCCCCTAACAGTGCCACTGCCTTCCTATTCTAGTTTCCTGAAACATTTGTCATTTTGTCACTTAATCATTTACTACCTTTGTTGTTACTCCACTTCTTCATGTGACTGTATACTGCATCTTTGATGAGATCTTAAGATGCCCGAGGGCAACAAATTGGAAACTCCTGGCAAGGTTTCCATTCTTGGTTTTAGACCAAACAAAGTCTGAAGATGTGCCAAGAGCTGTGGCTCACTTTGAAGCCCACGTGGGAGCCCAAAAAATGGAGAGGGAGAGAGAACAGGCCAATTAGCAGTGAAGTGACTTCAGTGCATACCATGCTGCAGGAAGTTGTTGGAGTTCCAGAGCAGGTTTAAAGACAGTTTAACCACAATGCTCATGTACGCTTCTTGTCAGCAGGGGATTAATTTAAAAAGCAGATTTCATAGATAAAATGAACAAACCTCTGTGGGTCTAAAGCTGCAGAAGTAGAAGTTAGGAAGTAACCACTCTGTGACATTATGCAAGAGTTTGAGTCGTTTTTTTCCTGCTCTTCCCCTCAAATAAATTGCAAGAAAGCCACCTGTTGATGGTTCTTGGTAGATGGGGAGAATCAAAGAACCCAGAAAGAGGAGTTTGAAGGGGAGAAGTAATGAAAGCAAAATTTTGTCAATTTTACAATTTAGCCAGGACACTTCTACATGTCACCAGATCCTCACAGAGTGAAGAGCCAGAAGATAGTGTTTGGTTATAGTCCTACTTTCCCTTTTCAATGTCTCTGAATATAAAGCACATCTTCAAGAATTCAATCTAGTTGGAAATTTCCATTAGTTCAGTTTTATACATGCCTACTATACTCACAAGTTTAAGAAAAAAGCAAACCATAATCTTAGAAGCTACAAGTACAACAATACTCATAGCATTTCTTGAAATAAAGCAAAATATTACATTTATACAAATAAAGCAAAATTTCGACAACTACTACCACCTTCACAAGGAAAATACAACTCCCATATAAACGCTCTTAGCATAGCAGCCTCAATCCTTCCCCAGATCTTACATTAGGTCTGAGCTACTATTCACACAGTGACCTTTGCAGATTTTATTAAACTAAGACAAGGAAGTTATACGCAAGTATTTAAAAAGGTTTTTACCAACAACTGTAAAAACATTACTTGCTTAAATACAACAAATGGAAAGCTCTATTAACCAAAATATATCATTCCTCACACATTTTGGTTCTTTGGGGTTTTACTGCCTCCATTTCACCATATGCAATATTAAGTATGTCTAATTTTCAAAGCAGAAAATATAATCATTTCTTTTCTTTTTTTTTGTGATTATTTAGGTAGAAATAATCACTAATGTGAACGTTGCCATTCCAGGTTGTTAAATTCAAATGAATATAAATGTGGTTCTTTCTAAATTATCCTTCTAATTTGAGGCACAAAATGGCTTTTTGCCCTCACCTTCAAGGTTTGCCTTTAATATTCTCTGAAAGATAAATTACATTATTATCTTAGGAAAGTCTGCTGAAAATCATTGAATTTTTATTTCTAGCAGCTGCAGATATTTCTTGTTTGACAAAGTATATCAATATCCGTCACTGATACCAAGATTGGATTTTTAAGGCATTTGTGGTGCAAAAGAAACAAAACAAATTTTACCTTGGCATTCTTTTTAAAACAAAACATCTAAATAAATCAGACCTGGCTAAGAACATACCTGAGGCCTTGGCTGGATTTAATTACACAAAGAATTGGCAAATATACAGTCGTAATCAACAAGCAGACTGTGGCACTCCTCAAATCATCTCAACACTGACATGTCACAGGCTGTTGATTTTCCAACAAACGGGAGGCTGGAGCCATTTTGGAGCCAAAGTGGATGAATAAGTATGGAGGCCACCAGTGCATCTCACTGATCATGGGCAACTTTATTCTAGATTTAGTCTTTCCATTACAGTTATGTAAAAATGGTTGAATAGAAATTAAGATGAGTACAAACAATAATAACACAAACACATTTATAGTTTGTTGAATGCTGCTTGCATGCCGAGCACTACGTTTACTGTACATCTCATATTCAATGGATTCATTTGTTTTGGAATTCACAACAACTCTGCGAGCTGGGTATGTTGTTCATTTCACAGATGAGGAATTTTCTTCTCTAGGGGAGATCTAGAGAAATTAAGTCACCTGCGCAAGGTTATAAGGATAGTTCATGTATCAAAAAATTATGTGAAGTAGTAAATGAAAAGCTCATGGAAAAAAAAGGGGGAGGTGGTATTGAAATCTACAGAAATTTATCTGAATACTTCAATTCCATTCACTGTAGCTTTGTATTTCCTACAAGTTTGGGAATGAGGAGACTCTAAGTACTAGTCTCCATCTTCAATGAATCCAGGAGCTGGTTTTTTGAGAAGATCAGCAAAATTTATAGACCGCTAGCAAGACTAATAAAGAAGAAAAGAGAGAAGAATCAAATAGACACAATAAAAAATGATAAAGGGGATATCACGACCGATCCCACAAAAATACAAACTACCATCAGAGAATACTATCAACACCTATACGCAAATAAACTAGAAAGTCTAGAAGAAATGGATAAACTCCTGGACACATACACCCTCCCAAGACTAAACCAGGAAGCAGCTGAATCTCTGAATAGACCAATAACAGGCTCTGAAATTGAGATAATAATAGCTTACCAACCAAAAAAAGTCCAGGACCAGACGGACTCACAGCCAAACTCTACCAGAGGTACAAGGAGGAGCTGGTACCATTCCTTCTGAAACTATTCCAATCAACAGAAAAAGAGGGAATCCTCCCTAACTCATTTTATGAGGCCAGCATCATCCTGATACCAAAGCCTGGCAGAGACACAACAAAAAAAGAGAATTTTAGACCAATATCCCTAGTCTCCATCTTCAAATACAGGTGCATGAGAAATGTACTTTTTCTCCTTTTCATAAAATGTAATAGTAACAATAATAGCAAATGCTTATAAAGCTTTTATTTTATGGCAGGCTCTATTCTAAATGCTTTACTATTATTTATACCTATTTTACAAAGAAGAAACTGAAGCATAGACAGGTTTATTTGCCAAACATCACACAGCTAGTAAGTGGAGGAGTGGGATTTTGAGCATCTATTGTCTGACTCCAAAGTTAGTTTTCTTAGCCACCGTGTATCAGTGCGACTCCCTTCATCCACTTTCTCTAATATCTGTGATCACTGTACTCTTCCTGGTATCAGTAGGGCCACAGAAAACCTGGTGAGGTTATCTGGGACCTTTCTTCCCCTCTATCCTACTCTCAGGTGCACAAAAATCATTCTATTCTGCTGCAATTTATGGACACAGGGAGTTCTAAGGGGCTGCCTCAGCTCACCTTCAGGACGGATTCTGCAGTCATTGTTCCCTGGGGTTGCGCTGCTTCCTGAGTTCTCCCTAGAGCGAGGCACACATCTTTCTAAATCTACCTGCCATCCCCTTGTTGTCCTATCCCTAATCCTCAGCCTGTGTGCAAGAAGGGCATGGAGCCTCTCTCAGGGACACATCAGCCTCTAATCACTCTTTGTTTCTTCCCACAGCTAGAAGAATCTTATTCTTAGGGTCTATCCTCATGAATTTGAGATCCAAGTCCAAATATTACATCAGCTGCTAGGGGTATGAATCGGAAGACCAAACTCCGAATTTCCTTGCCTTCATTTATATTTCAGCAAAGGCAGATAGATATCTAGTTCAATCCAACTTATTCAGCTACTGGATTACCAAGAAGTCTGGTGAAATGTCACCCTGTCACTGACACACCCTGTAGACCCCTTTGGATCTCAGGAGAGAGATTTGATCTGATCCAGTTTCCATAGAAAACTAAAAGAAACAAAGAAATTTATAAGGAAGCCAGGCCTAGAGAGTCAATCAAAGATTGTCAGATGCATGCATATCTTAGTCACTAATACTCCAATTCTGTTGTTGTTGTTGTTGTTTATTTGAGGCAGGGTCTCACTCTGTTGCCCAGACCAGGCTGGAGTGCAGTGGTGTGATCATGGTACACTGCAGCCTTGACCTCCTGGGCTCAATGATCTTCCTGCCTCAGCCTCCCAAGTAACTGGGACTACACAGGTGCATGCCATCATGTCCAGATAATTTTTTTGTTTGTTTGTTTGTTTTTGTATAGACGGGATTTTCACCATGTTGCTCAGGCTGGTTTTGAACTTCTAGGCTCAAGTGATCCACCCACTACAGCCTGCCAAAGTGCTGGGATTACAGGCGTGAGCCACTGCGCCCAGCCTAATACTCCAATTTGTAGTGGTTTCCATGGAAGAGGAAGAAGTGCTTCTATCTCAAAGCCGAGAGCAGGCTAAGAGACTTAGAAACATGCATTGGGAATAGACCCAACATTTTTGTTTCCTTTGAAATGTTTGTATTTTGGGTTATATTTGAATTATGAAACCGTTACTTGTTAAGGGTTTCTTGGAGGAATACTCCACCATCAGTGCATATTTTAATTCATAAGTATCACAAAAACCTCTAGCATCCTGTCTTCTTTTGCCTAAAGGACTATGCAATTCTCGAGGTTTCCGTTTTATCCAACATACTGGAAAAATGTCAATCCATCAGACATTAACCAAACAATGATCCACAGTTAGAGGCTAAAGTATTCCTGTAATTAAATCCTGAACAAAAGCTATACAGTAAAAGAACTTTTATCATTCAACACAATACAAATTACAGTAGACTTTTTCTAAAATGTATACTTAGGGTTTTATTTTCTCATCTTCATTCATGAGCCTCAGATATGCAACATTTGATCGAAAGAAACCTTCTTGTACATATCACTTTATCCTGGGCTCATGAACTGATTTTTCATTCCTTAGAGTTGCAGAGATAAGCAGGCCAATTACATATAGCTTCTAACAAATCCACTAAATGCATGAACCTTAGAATTCCAACTCTGGCAACTGTGGGAAGTTACTTTCTTCAATGAGCCTTAGTTTCTTTGGTTGTAAAATAAGCTCTTGCAAGTATCCAGAATTCTCACAGAATTACTTGAGGTTAAATAAAAATATAGATGTGGAGTTCTTAGCACAGTGCCTAGCATTTAGTGTGGCTCCTCACATAGAAGCTAATACACACACACACACACACACACACACACACACACATACACATACACTTCATATAGAAGAGCAACACAAAGAACACTAACTCTACCATTTCTTTTTTCTGATGTGGCCATTTTAACATGCCCTCTTGGTCAGTGGGTTTGAGGACAAGTGCTAAATATTCAAATAGACACATCATAGAGGCACCTGGCCTCCACGATGATAGTGCTGATGGTGGCGATAGTCTAAGCTCTTACCTGTGCCCTATGACAGAAGTACCAAGAGTAATCCTATCTTAAAAATGAGGAAACTGCGTAGCTGGTATATGGAGCAGCCAGGATTGCAACCTACATGATTTGATGCCATATTCTGTACACTTAACCTCCACAAAATGAAATTCCCATTGTGTCCTGTCCATAACCCAATTCTTGGGGGTAATACAGGCAGAAGCTACTAAACAAAACCAGGGAAGTCTGCCATTCAGTCAACTCTCAAGAATCATGAACTAATGGACTCCATTTAGAAAGTCTGTCCCAACTTCCCTTAAACCACACAGATTTATTGAGACCTGAACAGGGTAACTGTAGGCTCTATCTAACAGACCGTGATATATTTTAGGCAGGCAGAAATTATTTGTTTAATCTGAATATGAACTAACATTGAAAACAACGTAAGAATTACTGGTGTCACTGTATTCTGGGCATTTTCCACTTAACAGTACTTATCTCAAAGTGCTTTTAAGTGGGTGCATATAGCTTTTAGCCATTTAGACATGGTTGTGGTAGATGTATTATTTTTTACAATGTCAGAGAGAATGCTTCATAAAACAAGTGCCACATAACAACTCTACAGTCATGAATAGGGAGAAGGACATATAAAGTTTATTCATTTCTATCATTTATTGTCTTAAATTGAGGAAATTAGTGAAATTCTACATGCCTGCAACTTATACCTTCCATTTACTAAAGTCCCAGTATGTGTCAAAGTAGTTTTCATTCCTCACAGCCATGTTATGAGCTAAATATCACTAACTTTCCCTTTCAAAGGTGAAATAAACTGAGACTCTCGAAGATTAACTTGCCCAAGGTCACCTAGCTCGTTAGGAGGCACAGGTGGGACTTGAACCCAGTTCTTTCTGAATTCAAAACCTCCAAAATGTCTGTCACATCAAGCTGCTTCAATGAGATGCTAGAAAATCAGGACAGTGAGCAAGCTGGAGATAAAGGAAGATATGGAGGAACACGGGAAGTGTGATCCTCACACACAGACCCTGCAGATTTCAGAGCATTTTACTCCATGATAAAGGCTCACCCTGACAAAAAAGATGGAGGACACAGGCTGACGCCCTGGCTGGGGTGAGGGGCCAGTGCTGGGCTTGACCTTCCTGGAGAATTGTGGACTTGAATTTTGGAAGAGAGACAGCTTCCAGTGGGGAAAAAAAGTGGTTCCACAAGACACCAAACACCACACAGCACTCTGGGCCCGGGGCTGCCAGTCAAGAAAAGCATCCACAGGCCCAATCAACCCCCAGACACTTCCACCTTGAGGCAGCAAGATCCAACTTTGTGTTTCCTTTTTATGTTCACTGATCTTTGTAAACTCAGGGCAGATCAAGATGTCTGTTACATTCTGGATTAAATTACTTCTTAAAGACAACATGTAAACAGAGGCCCTGGAAGTAGCTTCTTTGAGAAGCAGTTTGGGCTACTCTTCATGTTGGAACTCTGGGACTCCTACCCCATCTTATCCATCTAACCTCATCTTCCTAGAATCTCCATCTTCTTTATTTCCACTCAACCTTCCTCAACAATGTCATGGAGGAAAAGGTGAACGGAATAGTAGTGTATGCTTTTGGTGAGCAGAAATGTCATGAGGCCTAGGCAGGGAGAAGATGATGGCAGTGATTTTGGAAGTGTGTAAGTGGTAAGTTAGCCCCTCCACCTGCATAAAACTTCCTGCAGAAGCAACATTTAGGGTCACACGAGAGCAGAACAACGAAAAGTGCAGCATTATATAATGCTGCAGAATGGATCCTTTGTTGAGACTATTACAGCTTAGGGAATTCACTGATAAGACTATCAGTGGTCCCACCAACAGTTCTCCAGAGGACCAAAGAAAAAGCAATTGCTATGTCACACAGGGTGCCGTAGGTAGGGCCAAGAGTTTGCAGTAGGGATGGGCAAGTGATGGTTACAAAGTAAAGAGGAATATCCTCAAAGAACATCCTTGGGGATGTTCAGCAGCTACTGGGGAATGTCTGTTTTCAAAGGAAGAAGCAAAGGCAATCATTCCACTATTCAGCTCATTAAAGGCATCTTAGCAGCAATCATGTCCAAGCTGCTATTGGCATTTGCTGAAAACTTAAAGAGGTCTTGACAATTTTTACCAACATCTCCCGTGGTAAATTAAAGTTAGTTGTTAAAATTTTGGCAAAAGGATTTGTCCCTCATAGAGTCAAAATATGCCCTTCAAAGCAAACTCACCTATCCCATGTACTTCCAAGAATACATATTAAAACAGAGGCTGGCCTCTGGGGCAGGCACATTCGGAAAGCAAATGTCTATTCCTGTTGTTGCCTGGGGTGTGGGCAAGTGGTCCCCTAGAGGGAATAAGGACAGATATTTGCTTTATGATGGAGACCTGGGACTCAGGCATCTATTTGCACTTGCCCTGGTATGATATCTGGCAGTTGTTCCCACTTGCCTGGCTCCAGGTCTGCTACAAGACACCCAGGAGGTTGGATGCTGGCTGCTGGCACACTCTAGGCAGGCAAGGCCATGCTCAGACTTCCCTGCTGCTGGGCCTGCTGCTTGCAGCTTCTGTTTCTAGTGCTGTCTGTTTCCATTGACGTTAACATATACAGTAGATTAGTTTGCTTAATGAGCAACATTAATGCATCGATTAATGTGAAAATGTGACAACATTTGCTTTACCCCATCATGTCCTTTGTTTAGTTTATAGGCAGGATGGCCACCTTACTTATTGTCTGTCCATTAAACACCTACTTATTGAGCACGTACTGTGTGTTTAGGTCTAGACTGGACTCTGAGGAAAGCATGCAAAACACTCAGAGGCTGCCACTCTCACTGAAGAGGCAGTTTGCACACATAAGGAAAAGGCACCTAATGACTGTAGGGATGTACCCTGAGCAATGCTGAAAGGCTGTGACAGAATTCACCTACAGGGGAAGCTGGTGAGGCATCAGTGTAAAGGAAGGTGGTTCAGAGCCCCTGGGGTTGAGGCAGTGCCATCGAAAGAATTCTGAACAGTGAGTGTAAAGGCATGGAGTGTGCAGCACTGTATAGGAATAATGAGTTATCTACGGGGGGTCAGAGTGGAGGATGCAGTGGAGGAGTTGGCTACAGATCAGCCTGCAGGGCAGGCTGGAAGCATCTTGGGAAGTGCTGTGCTTTGGGTTTGAACCCAATCATGCAGGCTGGGGGTCAGTAAACATTTTCTGTTAAGAGCCAGAAGGTAAACATTTTTGGACAGTCTCTGCTTCTCAACCTCTCAGCTCTGCCTTTGTAGGCCAAGAGCAGCCATAGACAATATGTAAACAAATGGGCATGGCTGTGTTCCAATAAAACTTTATTGAGAAAAACAGGCAATTTGGCCTGTGGCTATTGTTTGCCAATCCTTACTATAGGTGATGGGAAACCTCCTAGGATTTTTAAGCAGGGGATTATGACCTGACACAGTGAGTATATTAGATAGGTCACAGTGCTGCTGATCAGAGGATATAGTGAAGGGAAAGGAGGTAGGAGGCAGAAGGATGGGTCAGGGAGCAATAATGGCAGGGCTGGGCATTTCTGATGCCTCTGTGAGTCTCACTCTGTGGTTCACTCCTCTGTACAGTGCCCCTCTGCCCTCAGCACACTGACTCATAGCCACACTTCACTTGGAAGTTCTACAAACTAAGGCATCATTCTCAACCCGGTTGCATTTCCTAAAGTACATTTTGGCAAAGATGTCTCTTAAATTAATTAAGTATAGATCAGCACAAAGGTAACTTGTAAATTTGACAGGATGTAGGAGATGAAAAGGATGCCTTGTAAAGAAAAATGTGGAAAATCAGGGTTTAAGGTAAAACAGAGACCAGCATGATAAATGAGCACAATCAGCCCTTTTATCTTTTAATATTGAAGTGAGAAGAAGGACTTGGATCAATGCCCCCATCAATAACTAACTCTTTTCTCTCTTCTCAGAACAACACTAACTTGCTCAATGTGGAGACAGTGGGGAAAAAAATCCTTTCTTAGGCATTTTTCTGAAGAGGGTTTCCAAACAGAGGCCCTGGTTGCCAGCACTACTTTTATGAACACATGAAAATTCCGTGGCAATTAACAAAATCCATCTGCATTAATGTGTTGAAGTTTCTGCAAACCCAGAATTAAATTGAACATGCCAATTCTAAATCAATTATTATGGGGAATTGTGTAGCAAGTCTTCATAATAGGACAAAGGTAATCTTCGGCACAGCTTGAGTAGAAACCGAGGTTTTGGAGTAATGAGGCTTTATGATAAATGAGGACCTGCTTTTATTTTTTTTAATCACTCCAGTATAGGTTGTCCCTATCTGAAAAAGAACTATGTTCCAAAGTTTTCAGTGCAATTTGGATTATATTTTCTCTCAGGAGCATGGTATAAACGTGAGTCAGTTCCCAGGCTAGCCCTTCAACATTCATTTAAACCCAAAGAGAAATGACATAAAAACAGTAAGAAGCAATGGCTTTGCAGTACTAGTAATTAAGCAAATCAAACACAATTTTAAGATTAGAAAATCTTTTATTTTCAAGTTTTCTTAAAAACAGAGAATTTAAGGAAATACAAGAGAGACACAGGATTCATTCCGAGGTTCTTATCAGTTACAGCACTCTCCTCCTACCTGTTCATTTGACACAAGACGCACTGGCCTCTATTCTTTGAAGACTCCAAGCTTGTTCTTAACTGGGCCTTAATGGTTTCTGTTGCATTAGTCTGCAACACATTTCCAAGTGAGTTTTAAATGTCTACATCCTTCTAATTACCAAGTTCTCTTAGAGAAGCACGCACCATGAGTATCTAAAGGAGACCCTCCCTATCCTAGTCAGCATCTGTACTGTCGCACTGGGTCAGTTTCTTCACAGTGTTTATAAAAATGTTTATTATTTATTTTTCTATGTATTTATTGTGTGTCTCCTCCATTTGGATATAAGTTTCACGCAAGCAGGGACTTTGTCTTCTTCATCCCACAAGTGTTGAATTTTATATGTATAAAAATGTATATAATGTTAAACTATAAAAATTTATTATTATATTAATATGGATATGTTGTATATTAATATAGGTATATGAATATATAAAACATATATGTATTAATATAGATGTGATATACAAAATATATATATATATACACATATATATATAAAACTGTTGACTGGACCTTGAGGGGTTATATAGTTGCTTTCCAGGGTTGTGTAATTTGGGGGCAGGATTTCTCTATTTTCTCCAATTTAATTCCAAAACCAGTGGCCATCAATTATTTGATAGAGAGACCCAGGCTGAGAACCATTCTTTTAAGTTCATTCACAGACATCAAAATAGCTTGGTTCCTCATAAATGAAATAATCTGTGGTCAAGAGAGAGAGAGTTATTCCTTTAATCCATCAGTCAAATTTGAAAGAGAGATAGAGGAAAGTGAGTTTTTAAAAAGTTTACATATGTATCAATAAGTAAAAACAGTATGATGTTGACTCAACTAATTGTATGTCTGTAAAAGCACAAAAATGGAGATCAATAGGTGAAAGCAAAATTTCCCAGAGAAAAAAACGCAAGCACTGAGGACGACAGACCAAAATACTGTCACAGGCCTCCAGGGGGTGCCACCGGCATAGCACATAGTTGTCATTTTACACTGAGTAGGAAAGGATATGCTAATAGGAAGCAAAGAGCAATTAACAGAAACATCAGAAACCTACCATGAAGACTGGGCAACATGGAGAGACCCCATTTCTACAAAATATATATATGTGTGTGTGTGCGTGCATGTGTGTGTGTGTGTGTGTGTGTGTGTGTAGTTAGGAGTCTGTAATAAGCAGATTCTGTTATATATATGTTATATATGTGTTATATATGTGTTATATGTTATATATGTTATATATGTTATATATGTTATATATATGTTATATAGGTTATATAGGTTATATATGTTTTATATGTGTGTTATATATGTTATATATGTTTTATATATGTTATATATGTTATATATATTATATATATGTTATGTGTGTGTGTACATATACATACATATATATATATATATATATATATATATATATATATATATATATATATAGTGGCACATGCCTGTGGTCTCAGGTACTCTGGAGGCTGAGGTGGGAGAATCTCTTGAGCCAGTGAGTTTGCGGCTGCAGTGAACTGTGATCATGCCACTGCACTCCAGCCTGGATAACAGAGCAAGACCCTGTCTCAAAATAAAAACAAAAACAAAAACAAAACACTACCATGAACCAAGAACTTGGCTGTTTTTATATATAATCCTTACAACAATCTTTTGAAGTTCATATTCTATTATCTTTATTTATCCTAATGAGGAAACTGAAACTCAAAGTCGTTTAATCAAGAAAGGCTAATTCTGGGTTACGGATCCAGGTTTAAATCAAAGTTTGCCAGGATTTATACTTTTTTTTCCTATTTCATTTCTCCAGAAAGGACATACATTAGTTAGGTATTTACACTTAAAAATCTGAACATAAAAAATTTACGAAATAAATAATGGGCAAGTTTGACTGGACATTTTCTTTTCTGAAAAAGTAAGCTTTTGCTCGATAAAATTGCTTTACATTATGATAATAACTGATTTTCCTAGGGTCCATAAGAATGACTTTAATTACAAAGCAAGTCTATTGTGTACTGTGGCCGTGTTTTCCAACTGTCTTCTGGAATACATGTTAGAGTTAGGAGTCTGTAATAAGCAGACTCTGTTAGCGAGTTACAGGTGTCAGTGTCACATCATAGTTCTTTCCTATTTTCATGGTAAGTGAACAAATAAAATAGCTGAAAAATTACACCCAGAAAACACAAAGCAGGGAAAACTAAAAGATCAAATAAACTATTCTCCCACCATAACTTGGGAAAGTTACTTCTCTTTTCATATCTGTATCCACAAGAATTGAAGACTCACTGTAATAGTCAGGATGCAAGTAGGTAACCGGATCAATCCTAAAAAAATGTAGCTATGGACATTTTATTTTATCTCCCCTTAGTCTAAAAATGCGTGCTTAAAAATGAAGCCCCCTATTTTTTGGTTTTCTGAGTCCTGTTTTTTCCCCTCTGTTTACTTAGTTTTGTATCATTTATTTCCATGCTTTACCCTGCAAAATAAGTGCAACTCAAGCTCTTTCAAAGAAACCAGGACAGAAGCGAATGTATCATTTTGACAGTGGAAAATGACAAAACATCTTTCAGAATCTCTCCATACGTGGCTGATAAATGAGCCGCATCAACCACAAATTCTAATACCAAGCAAAGCCTAGTGAAAACAAGTGAGCCCATTCAGAATATATCGAGGAAGACAGCACAGAATGTTTGACTGTTAAAAAAAAAAGAAAGAAAGAATTGTTTCTTTGTTGATTTGTAAACGATGAGCAAAATGAATAAGTAATATTGCAACTTAAATATTTCAGTTAATTACTTATTTACTAAAGTGTGACTACAAAATGATGATCATGCAGCTTTTATTTCTAAATTAATTTCTAATTGCTTATTTTTCTAAAACAAGCAGTGTGAAAAACTTGAAATCTATCCAAATTAGCAAAACATGCATATGATGCGTGTAAGACAAATTCACACTATAGCCCTTTGCTCTTAACATTATATTTTACTTTTAAAAAATCTTAAAAACGATTTTAAATATGTTTACATAATTATAATGAGGTTTATAAATATCCATATAAATATTACAAATGAGGTTTCAAAATGTAATTGTAGAATCAATAAAAACAATTAGAAATTTCAGTAATAACTGCTATAATTTCAGAGGAAATGCATCACTAAGAGCCTAATTTTTGCAATTAGAGGGCTTTGGAGTTAAAAATATTAAAACCAATGAGGTTGATATTACCAGTACTAATCAATGTCATAGCCCTGTTTCTTTTCTGAGCCTTCAAAAGAATTAGATGATGTCATGTGACAAATCGTCCCTATGAAATATGAGTATATGCATTTACTCATATGAGCAAGTTAAAAACTTGCATTTTTAAACTTGCATTTAAAAATGACAATGTCATTTCAGGACCAATGTAGTGCAAATCCTCTTTGTGATTCTCCAGGATGCTTTTCTCCTGCATAGTTTACTTAATCATAGAACAACAAGAGTTACTGGGTCTAGAAGAAAAAGAAATTAGGATGAGAAAAAGAAATGCAAATCTAAGAAAACACAGATAATTTTCCCTTTAAAAACTGGAAGGTGTTCATTAAGTTTGAATAAGGCATGAGTCTTAGATACTTAGAGATGGAGAAGCACTTAGAGGTCATCGGATGCAACATCTCCAGTTATAGATGAGAACACAAAGTCTCAGGTTATATTTCATGTCTGCTTCAATGTCTCAGTACCATGAACAATTAAGTTCCTACTGCGTAAAAGGTAAAAGGTTTTGCTTTATATAAGTCAACATCTAGCCAAGCTCCTTTCTCTGCATTAGTTGCTAGGAATTGATATTTAAATATGCGGTCTGATACTTGTAAGTGTGCAGGGCCTTAAAGCCTGATATCTCTGGCTTTATCTTAGTATTTTTTTTTTAAATACTTATTTTCCCATTCCTGGATTTTCTCACTTTCTTTTTGTCTTGTCGTACTGTAGTTTTATCACAAACCACTTCAAATCCTTTCTGTAATTAGCTAGGTATAAATAAATTAACAAACAAAATTAAATAATTTCAAAGCCCCATCCAATTCTGGTATTTTATTTTCTAGGGACTAGGGGAGCTAAACATTTTAGGTTTGAAACTTGCAGCTAATTTTCCCCAATATGTAAAGCAACCAACCAATCAAGAATGTTGGGTTCTGTGCTGGGACACCGAAATGATGTTCTAAATCTCATACTCCACAGGCCCACACTCATGTTATCAGGGTTTTCCTTTTTTAGAGATAGGGTCTTGCTTTGTCACCCAGGCTGGAGTACAGTGGCATGATCATAGTTCACTCTAACCTCAAACTCCTGGGCTCAAGCAACCCTCTCACCTCAGCCGCATGAGTAGCTGGGACTACAGGCAGGCACCACTGCACCTGGATAGTTTTTTAATTTTTTTGGAAATGAAGTCTCACTATGCTGCCCAGGCTGGTCAAAATCCTGGACTGATGTGATCCTCCCACCTTAGCCTCTGGAGTCTCGGGGATTACAGGCTTGAGCCACTGTGTCCGGCCTATCAGAAAATCACACTGCTTTCATCCAAGAGTGTGATTCCCTCAGGGATGTATCACTGAATAATCAACAGGTGAGCAGGTTCTAGAGCCAGACTCCTTGAATTAAAATCTGATGAACTTGGCCATTTACAAAAGTCTTGACATTGAGCAAATGACTTAACCTCTTTGAGACTCAGTTTTCTTTATGTCAAGAGGGCATGATAAAATAGAGCATTGCTGGCAGGGTATAAATGAGATAATACACAAACTATTTAAAATTGTTCCTGTTTCACTGTTAGCTCTTATTGTTAATGGAAGATTATGAAGCACCATGAAAAGATGAAGAATTAGTGACCCCAGAATTAATACTATTTTGCTCTAGGAAAAGCCTAGAGGCGTGTTTCCAACTGCTCCTCATCAGTAGTTGGTGGCTCTTACAGCACTTATGAGCAACTGTGTAGACTGGGAAGCAAATGGACAGATATGAATCAAACTCTTTTCTCCCCTAGCATCCTACTTAAGGCTTCTAGACTGGTAACAATGGATTGTCTATTGATTCTGGACTAAAAGATGAAGGCAACTGGTGACTAACGCTTTACATGACTTGATCTTCAGAACTATTGGTGGGGAAGGGGGAGTAGTGTCCCTTGATGATAGTCATTATTATATGGTACCCGTGGCCAGAGAACAATTTAGTTCTCACAGCACAGGTTAGATGCAAACTTCTAACTGCCAGAGATGACAGATGAACAAGGCTTAAATTCTTGATGGAACACACATCCCAAACAAAGGAAATGGGAAGGGTGGCCGATGTCGAAAGCCAGGGCTCTCCTGATGAATAACTGTGGCAGAGCTCCTTCTCCCTAACTTTGACCCAAGTAATCCGTGCAAGACAAATATACGGTCAAAATGTATGGCCCGAATGTCTTAGTATCATTATTATGAAATGAATGCAACTGAATTCCCTAAGTTAAAACTATCCTTCTCTTCCATAAGAAAAAAACAATATGCATCTCAATGGTAAAACCTTACCCTATGCGAACTTCAGTGAAGGCCTGTTCATGTGGAAGTGGGAATCAAAGTAGATTTTGCATTTGGCAGTTTGAGGCCTGAGTCACCACCCGCTGCTGCTCTGTACTAGTATTTCAGCTGGAGAGTCCCTGCATTACTCCCTTCTTTCCACTGTACTCACCACCCAAGCTTGAGCACCCAACAGGTACTCAGTAAAGGCTGACAGATGAGTTGAATTGAGGCTGAGAAGGATATAATTCCCTCTGGCCAGAGAAAGATAATTTTACACATCACAGACTGGCAAGGCTTATTGAGTCTGAAAGCTCACAAAATGAAAGAAAAAATAAAGAAAAAGAGGGGGAGGGAGGAGAAATCTAGGAAAACAAGTATTTTTAAGATTTTTTAAAAAGCGTTATATTTTAGGTTTCCAACAGAGAAAAATCTACATTTTTCCCCAATTAGTGTTAGTATGTTTGTATTATAATGCACTATTTAAAACTATGCATGTAATAACTGTATTTTTAAAGCATTTTTGATATTAGAACAGAAATATTTTCTAGGATAGCATGATTCCAAATTCAAGCTTCCAGTAAAGGTGGTAATATTAAAAATAGGCAAGTCTAAATAGGTGCTGTTGACCTTCTGGGCTGGATCATTCTCGTGGTGGGGGCTGTCCTGTACACTACAGGGTGTTTAGCAGCTTCCTTGGCCTCTACACATACATGCCAGTAGCACCATTGCCCCAGTTTTGGGAACCAAAAATGCTTGACGTTTACCACATGTCCCTTGGAGTGCAAAACTGCCCCTGGGTCTACATGATAATTACATCTCTCATATCAAAGAAGAGTGAGAACCAGTGTGTGTGTGTGTGTGTGTGTGTGTGTGTGTGTGCATGCATATGCATGTGCACGTGTGTGTGTACGTTTGCAATTACATCACTCATGCATTTATTGATTCACATAAATTAGGGATAAATTACCCCCAATTATTTAGTAAGACTATCCTATTAATACATTTCTGTGAAACACTATTTTAAATATATGTAGAACATTTAAGTTTCAAGCTCTGTGTGAATCAGAAAGTCTAAACCACAGGGAGGAAAGAACAAAATGGCAGTTCTACAGTGGATTAGCATAGGATTCATTGTATAACTCTGAGAACAAGTCTCATATTTAAGAAACAATTTGATCACTGAAAGGCAGGAAGCCATGATGTGCCTAAATGCACTGCAGAAATATGAGGCTTTCCCTTTTTCTTTAAGAGGGCAAGTATGATTGCTGTTCTCTGCATTATCGTGGCTGTGCCCCAAGTGGGGAAGGAACTGGCCAAACACTCTACACCTACAAGCAAACACCTTCACCAAGGAAACAGTGGCTCTTCTGTACTATATACATTTTGGAAGAACGTATTAAATTTCTCAAAGCTTTATTGTCTATGCAATGGGACAATATACCTTTCAGGTCACTGTGAGGTTAAAATGTAATCGTAATGCCTGTGCCTGATACAAAAGCCCTTAAAATTCTTTCAAAATCTTAAATGTATGGAACAAACAAATCAACAAATAGAACTTTTAATCCACTGGGACAGCAATATTTGAACTTGCACTGATGGAAAGGCCTGAAGAAGACACTTTTGCAGCCATCTAGAGAAAGCAAAAGTGCTCTCGAATGGAGACATAATCCGTTTACATCTCAATAAAAAGGAAGGAGCATTCTGCAGAAGGTAGTTGTGTGAATCACATTCCATTGAAATTCAACTCCAGGGTATGGTGTCTTATTCAGTCACAATCCGTCTCCTGTTCAGTTGGCCTGAATTTCTCCCCACAGTTTAGTGAGGAATGGCAAGCAAAAATCCTTGTTATACCAGAGATAGGCATTAATTATATTTAAATGGAATTATTACAGACACATGCCCACAGATTAGAAAAGCTTATAAAATTTTCCTCTTGTGAGAATGTGAAATACATATTTGATCTTCTTCTCTGTTTCCTGACATGTAGTTCCTAAAACCCTTAGAATTTCCAGAGTGATGAGTGTCTATTGTATGTTAATGAGGTGGCTGGGGATCCCTAGATAAATTCAGCTTGGGAGCTGGTCACCAGAAGACCAAGGCATGATTAGAGGATTGGGAGTTTCAGCCCCAACCCCCAACTTCCTGGTAGGGGATAGAAGCTGAAGGTTGGGCGCCTCACTAACGGCCAATGGTTTAATCAATCATGTCTACATAATGAAGTTCCCAGTAAAACCTAACAGGACTGAGTTTGGAAGAGCTTCCAGATAATTTGAACTTGTGTAGCTTCCTTGGAGGGTGGTGCGCCTACAGAGGGCATAGGAGCTCCACTCCCCTTCCCCGTACCTTGCCCTAACACATGTCTTCCACCTGGTTATTCATCTGTATCTTTTGTAATATCCTTCATAATAAACTGTAAATGTAAGTAAGGTATGTCTCCAAGCTCTATGAGCCACTTTAGCAAATTAATCGGACCTGAGGAAAGGGTCGTGGGAATGCTGATTTATAGCTGGTTGGTCAGAAGCACAGGCCACAACCTGTGCTTGCTATGGCATCTGAAGTGAGGGACAGCCTCATGGGACTGAGCCCTCAACCTGTAGGATCTGACACTACCTCTAGGTCAGAACCGAATTGACGTAGAGGACACCCAGCTGGTGTCTGCTGAAGAATCTGCTGCAAAATTGATCTCTTAGTGTGTGGGGGGAAACTCCCACACATCTGGGGTCTCAGAAGTGTTTTGTGTTGACGGTGTTGTGACAGTAGAGTAGGAAAAACTGAGTTTGTTTTTCCAAATCCTTACATCTCTCATATACATGAAGGGTGAACAATGATTTGATGACTCTGAATGAAACCAACTGTGAGGAACAGCTGAAGACCAAGTTCCACTGGAATGATACCATGGAGAGAACCCAGAGTCTGCCTCTAACTCAAAATCATTTTGTTTCACGAATAAGGCAAGTCACTCCTTATCCATTTATTTCAGATTGTTGGTCCAAGTGCTCCGTACCTCATGAAGGATATTCTTAGGGCAGAAAATGAGAAAACAAGCCTCCTCCTCATTCACCGTGTTCCAAGCTCACCAGCCTCTTGATGTTCCTGAACACTCTGGGCCTCAGGGCCTTTGCACCTGTTATCCCCTCTACTTGGTATGACGCTCTGTTCTCCAGGTATCTGCATGGAAAGTCACCTCAATGACACCTTTCAGAGCTACCTAATCTAAGACCTCAAGCTCAGTCTTTACCCCTCCTACGCTTCGTCTGACTCCTCCCCAACTTAATTTCTTCTCATTGATTAATGTCTTAGCATTTTCACTTTATAACATTGCATGTTTTATTTGTTTATAATTTGTATTATCTGTCTCCCACACCAAAATTTAAGCTCCCCAATAATGGGGATTTTGTCCATTTCATTCAGCTTTTGCCTAGAAGAGTGCCTGACCCTTCAACCTATATCTGCTCTAAAAATATATATGAATGTGAATCAAATAATATTAGAAAAAATATCATAACTTCCTCCAACTTTAAATCCTTCTTTGACTAGGAATGCTGCTAAGGGATGATGTTGAAGACTGAAGATGAAGAACTTTACTTAAATGTGGTCAGTTTGAGACTTGGTTAGAGACAGGAAATTATTTTGGTAGCAGAAGTAAGTACGTCAATGTCCAGCCTTATGGTCAAGTCCAATGTCTTAAGTAACACAGAAAATGGTGCCTGAAATAAGAAACGTGTTGAACCTTCTCGCTAACCTTTTAGGATTCCACATAAACCCATTTGCTTCTACAGGGCAATTAGCATTTATTTGTCTCCTTCACGACGGGCATTGGGCTTTATCTTTAGCTCCACTTCTCATATATTATCTCTACAGCAGACTTCTATTATTATCCCCATTTTACAGATTGGTAAACTGAGACTAAAAGAAATCATGCTCAATAAGTTTCCTAAGTTTCCCAAGGTGATACACCTGCGAAAGTTTTCAGATTCAAAATGTAGTTATCTGTGTTTAAAAAAAATGACAAAAAGAGTTGAAGATGGCGACAAAGGGAAGGCTCTCATACATGAATGCCTGATAACAAAAAGTATCACAAAAGTCTCTGAAAACCCCAACCTTGGACAAAGGCCACTGCAACATTACTCAAAAACAAAACAAAACAAACAAACAAACAAAACTAAAGAAACTCCACTCTTGCTTGTCACTTTGATTGACAAATACTTTGTTTTGGTTTCTGTTTGAACTTCTGGACTATCAGGTACTTCTGTGAAGACACAAGCCCAGCAACTGCCTGTCCAACCTTACACTGGTTTCGCCCTTGGTACTGATCCTTGTAGCTAAGGATAATTACCTCAAAACAATTATGTAACACTCCTCAGTTTTTCCTTAAAATCCTTTGGCTTCCCTTACCTCTGTGAATACATACATAGTTTACTATGCCACAGGTTGTCCATTGCAATGCCCTATTCCTGAATAAATATCAGATTTTGGTGAGGCTCTGTTTGTTTTTTAGGTTGACACACCTTAGGAGTATGTTTTCTACTTATTTTCACCTGGGCAAAACCTATTCCTCCTGTTAACAGGCTTCAATATTTTTTTCCAATAAATCTTCTCTGTTCCACCATTTTCTGGCTTCAGGCAACTTACCTCATCTGTGTGACCCTCTGTTTTTCTCTCCTCTACATGGAAGTGATAATAATATCTCTAGCTTGCAAGTACCCAACAGATAGTACCGGCCTCTCTGCCAACCCTCAACATTTCCTCAGGGCCAACTTCGCTTCAGGAAAGACCTGAGAATCCCAGAGGCCATCCATCAGCCTGCATGCCTACCCTGCTTTGTACTTGCAGCATGAAAAACGTGCTAACATCAGCCATTGATTTTGATTAGAATAGGGAAAAAAATAACCAAGAGAAAGGGAAATTAAAATATCTGATTTTGAAAGAAAATGCCAAAGACATCAGAAAGACAGTAATCTTTTTAGCATTACATAGAAAGGAAAATAGAGAATTTATTTCAGGGCAATTAAAAAAAAACGGATTGTTTTTTCTCTTTTGAATGAAGTTGCTGCATGGCCTCTTTCTCTCTCTCAATGGAAATTTGAAATGGGAAAGTTTCCCAAATAATTTTAGATCAATCATGAGTTCATATGGTTTTGACATCATAACTCTTGTCACGTTACCATGCCAACAGGCAGAGAGGAGCTAAAAGCTTTCCAAAGATATGAAAATTACGAGCTTAGATGGGATTCAGTTCTCCACCGGGTGAACACTAACAGTATTGCCAAACTATAAATAACGAGGGCTGCCATAGCACCCTGTCACCCACTCTCCCTTGTTTCTTTCATTGAGCACTGAAAATATGTGCTCTATTTTGGAAACAAAACCTGAAGATCCACTTCCCTAAATGGATGCCCTGCTGCAATAGAAAGTGATATGACTCTTTATTACTGCTCTTGGAATAAACCACCACATTAATCCAGACACCCGCAGCTCTTACTCCACTTGTAACCTAACTCCAGCATATCTAATTTTTACTCCATTTGCACCTAGACGTAAAGACGTGCATGTGTTTGAGTGTCTTTTCCCTGTCTTGTGAAGATCATGCCAGTCAAAGTGCCTAAAATAAAGGAGCACACATACCACGAATTAGAATAAAATACTATTTTGGATGTTGTTGCTCTTAAAAATATCTCCAGAATGAAAATGCCAAATTTTCCAATGTGCAGCATGTTTATACTCACCACTCTTGCTTGTCATTTTGATTGGCTTTGTTTTGGTTTCTGTTTGAATTTCTGGGGTATCAGGTACTATTATAGAGCACAAGTAGAAGCTGTATCTTCTTCTCTATCCTTATTGTAGCGCTGCATAAATGGTAATAAAATGGGTACTTAATAGATTTTTTGCTGATAATAAAACAATGAACAAAGGTTCTGCTCCTTTTGTGTGGCAGACTCTTAACTTTGAACCATGACGATGAACTGTGCCTGCCAGTATTCATGTTCTTGTATGGTCCCCTCTCTGAGTCTGGTTGGCCCCGTGATCTGCTGCAACCAAAGAATGATTTGGAAGTGATGCTGTGCCACTTTGGGGCCCAAGCCATAAGAAGCCTTGGCATTTCCTGCCTTTGTGTTGCAAGAATCCCAACTCACTAGGTGGTGGAGCAATGAGGTTTTCAACTTACAGCCCCAGCTGAGAACTGAGCCAGCAACTAGAACCAACTTGTAAGACCCCCTTAGATGGGACCTCCAGCCCAGTAGAGTTGCTCCAGCTGACACACAGTAGAGCTATCCTTGCTTAGCCTTGTCCAAACTACAAACTCAGGGGCAGACTTAGGAGCAAAAAAAGAAAATGGTGCTGTTTTAAGCCACAGCGTTTCAAGAAAGTGTGTTCCAAAGCACTAAGGCACCATTAAGTATCACATATTTACTAAGAAAAAAGTACAACATAGCTCTTCATGCAACCAAACCTGAGTTCAAATCCCTCTGCTCTCACATTTTTGTGATGTAAGACAATACGTTAAAGCCATATTTCCCACTTCTGAAAAGGGGGATAATTATAAATACCAAATGTATCAGGGTTTGAAAGCAGTAAATGAGGTCATCCATGCAAAGTGCTTAACATAGCACCTGCCTTAGGATAAGTAGGTACCACATAAGAGCTAGCGTTCATATTCTTTATCGAGGCACTGTGGAGATAAAGACCCGCCTCAGAGAAAAACACCATTAATTCAGGAAATGAGATGTATATATGAAACTATTAATAAACGATATAAGGAAATATGATGATAATAGTGATGATAATATGTTATATGCGTGTCTTGAGGAAGGGAAAATAAATTAGTTCAAAGAAAGTATATTTTTGAGTGGAAGGTGAGGGGAGGAAATAGCTGACTATGTCTGTACATTTGCTTTTGAGTTTACAAGAAACATTGAACAAAGACATAGTGAGGTAAAATTCACAGTCCTTATCAGACAGCCTTAGGTAGAAGGATAGAAACAAGTTAAGGATGCCAAAATGGGGCTGTCTCGCCTCCCCAGCATTATACGTCTTTCAAAACAGAAGAACCTGAATTCTTGGGCCAGTGTTTCTGGCCCCAATATCAGCTAGACTACAGAAGCCATTTGTGTAAATGTCCTTGCTAAATTGATAGGACCCAGGAATAAGGCCAAGTAGTTCCACAGACACATTAATCTTGGAAAGAAATAATGTTGTCAAATCACAGTCCAACCTCAAGTCTTTTCCCTCTCTGAGTAGTGATTTCGCCACACTCCTAGGTCTCCCCCTCTGAGTGTGACTTTCAATTTTTTTAGACGTTTACACCTAGATTTCACATTTAGCTTTCATCAAAGGATGAAAGGATGTCAAATTGCTTTCCTCACAGTAATTTACTGGTGCCCTCCATTCTCCAGTATGGCCTGCCACCTATTATTATTGTATCTAATACCCGACAGAATAAAATTCCTGAGGAAACCCTCCCAGTTGCAAATGGAAGGTGCTAATATACTTAACATAGATGCTGTGAATCCAGGAATCAGCTTGGAAACGCTTTTCCTCTTCTCCATACGGAGCAAAACATGCAGCCCCGTAGGTGGTAGCAATGGCCACCGTGGTCTATTCAGGGTATAGCAGAGGAGAATAACAGGCTGAGACTGACATGACTAAGTTAGAATAGGTACAGTATTCTAGAAGGCCAGAAATATTTGGAATTATGTTTCAGAATTAAGACAGGCTCTTTGACACAATCAGCATAGTTAGAATTTCTTCCCCAAGGCATTTTTGAAAAGAGGTTTCAAGCAGCCTCATACCCGTGGAGTAGAAATAAGCCCCTGATCTAGCAAGAGGTTGGCCTGGTGGTGAAGCAGGTTGACTTTGGGGGAGCCTTTCCTCTTGCTCTCCATTACTGTCCTCCTACCATTGCTTGCTCCTCCCATTCCCATCTGAATTCCCTTTCTCTATAACACTGTTCCCAAAGGCTGTTCATTCACCATGCCCCAAGAAAGGCATTAGTTCATGAGGGCATAAATGCTTACCCCTACTAGGAGTATGCACCTATTTACTGTAAGGATCTAAACCTTTCACATGTAGTAACAGTAGAATATCAGTCGCTTTCACAGGTGGTGGGAGTGCTTTGGTCACTTTCAAATCGTGCCATCTAGTAAGTTATTTCTACCTCCTCCACCTCCTCCAAAGCTGTCTTGCTCTTCCAGCTAAATGTATTCATTTGTCAATAAAACCACACTTTTGGCATGGAATATATCTTAGAAACCACAAAGCCAAACAATACCTTGAACAGAATTGTAAAACCCAAAAAGTGTTTCCGATTTAATTGATCACACACAGAGATAAATGCTTTATTTCAATAATCACTGGCCAAGAGTGAAAGGAAAAGCAACCAAAGGAAGACAGAGAAGGCAGAAAAAAGCACAGTGAGTCCCCTACCACCACTGTTTAAGTTATAAGCTAAAGACTCAACCAAAGTATCTATCTGTCTCTATGTGGTCTCCTTAAGTTCTCATATACAGGTAGTTTACTTCTGTTCTTCTCTCAATTTATTTGGAAACATTCCTATGTCTGTAATAAGGATTTTAAAAGGAAGGTGAAACAAACCTGTAATTTCTTTATTTCTGACCTCTTTCTTTTAACCGCGTTATTGAAATCCAGTGGATGGAAGGACAGTCCTCTCTTTAGCCATGTTCTTATGCAAAGTGCTTAGTGAATTAGCTTAATCAGGAACAAATGCATATAATTTGCTGTCCTTGAATTTCAAAAGAGCCATCTTTAGAGCACGGGGCTCCAAAAGAGGCACAAGAAATAGTTGGCTTAGTTTGTTGTTCCCCCAAAATATTGAGTTCCAATCCCTGGCCAGCTACCTAATAAATGTGTGCTCTTCTTGTTCACATTAAAATTTTTTTGTTGTTGTTGTTCTTGTTAATTTAGTCACTTAAACTGGATTTAATATTGGTTGGTAGTGCACAAGGAAAGCCAGCATAATTTAGTCATTAGATTTGGTCCCTGAAGTCAACAGTCTGCACTCCATAAGTAATGATGTCTCTTAATAGATGGTGTGACCACAGACAAACTGCTTACCCTGAGCCTACTTCACCACCAATTAAATAAGGATAATCATAGTATCTGTCTCATAGGGCTATTAAGACGAAAAATGTGATTATGTTCAACAGTTTCTTTAACACAAATGGTCTCAATACAAAAAGGGGTAGTTGGAAGATCAGTAATGAAATCTGGAATAACACTGGAGCAACGAAGGGATTCAAAGTAAAAAAAAAAAGAAGGGTCATGCCATGTAAACACTTGAACTTCAACTCTCTAAATAAGGCGAAGACAAATAACTAACATACAGATATCAAGTAACCATACGAAATGGAATTTTTGTCAAACAGGTATTTTTTCCTTGTATATCTTTATTTTGTGTGGGGGGATTGTTTATATTTTGTTTTTTGTGTTGTTTGGTTTTGCAGAGTTGAGGGTCTTACAATATTGCCCAGGCTGGTCTCGAACTCCTGGCCTCAACTGATCCTCCTGACTTGGCCTCCCAAAATGCTGGAATAACTCTCAGCCTCTTAATCTCCTCTGCCATTTCCTGAATGGACCACGGAGACTATTGCTACCAGCTACTGGGTTGCATGTTTTGCTCCATATGGAGAAAAGGAAAACTGTTCCCAAGCTGATTCCTGGGTTCATAGCCACCACTGCACTCAGCCTATTTTAAAACTATTTAATGAAACAATTTTCTGTTCTCATGAATTTTGTATTTTACAAAGAATGCCCTAAACAGTGGCTACTCTGTCAGCCTGGGTTCTGAGACTGAAAATGACCAACACATAGAGCAGGAATTTCAGCTACTCTAGATGAGGGTGTGATATAAATGAGCTCTGTTTTTTTTTTATTGAAGTAAAATTAACATAAAATTCATCAATTTAAAGTAAACAATTCAGTGGTATTTAGTACACTCACAATTTTGTGCAACCACCACTTCTATCTAGTGTGAAAACATTGCCATCACTCCAAAAGGAAACTCCAGGCCTGTTAAAATTCCCATTTCTCCCTTTCCTCAGCCCATGATAACCACCAACCTATGTTCTTTCTCTATAGATTTGCCAATTCTGGATATTTTATATAAAGGGAATCATGCAATATATAACCATTTGCTTTGGCTTCTTTTATATAGCATAATGTTCTTGAGTTCATCCACATTGAAGTATATATTGGTTATTCATTCCTTTTTAATGGCTAGAGAACATTACCGCAATTTTTTATCCAATCATCTGTTGATAGCCATTTGGGTTATTCCACCATTTGGCTATTGTGAACAACACTGTGATGAATATGTGTGTACCTGTATTTGTTTGAGTGACTATGTTCAATTCTTTGGAGTATATACTTAGGAGTGGACTTGCTGGGCTATACAGTAATTCTATGTATAACTTTTAAGGTAAATCTGTTTAAATCACTGAGTTTTATGGATTGTTTGTTGGAGAAATTAGCTCATCTTGTTGATCCATCAGGGTAAGGCATTAGGATTTTATTCGAGAAGGCTCAAACAGAAAAATGGGATGTTTTCACGTGCATTTATAAAAGATCACCCTAGCTACTATTTGGAGAATTGGTCATCATGAGGCAAGAGAGGAAACAAAGAGACACATTAGAATCCCTTGCATTAGTTGAGGAGGTGAAACTTGTTGGGCTAGTGAGCCTGTAGAGATTGAGACCTTTTGAAGGAGAAGACTACAGGACCTGCAGGTGCATTGAATGTGAGGTAGGAGGCAAGCACAACTCCTAAGTTTGGGACCTAGACGCCTGGATGATCAGCGGTGCACACACTGAGATGAGGATGGTTGGGGTAGGAACAGTTGGAGAGGAAGCAGTCTTGATTCAAAAAACAATGATTCTAGTTTACACATATAAAGTTTGAGCTGCCTGTTTGACATTGCACTAGAAAGCTCAACTATGCAGTAACATACACACACACACACACACACACGTGCGTGCGCGTGTGTGCACGCATAGGCTTGAGCACAGAGAAGTCAGGGCTGGGGTTATAAACTTGGAAGTCATGAATGGACAGGAGGAATTTACAGCCTTGGAAACAAATAGACAGGACCTGCTAAAGAGTGTGTTTAGAAGGAGAAGAGCCAAGGCACTGCGAATTTTAGAATCAGGAGCAGAAGAACCTCCAGGAAAGTGGTTCTGGAAAAAATGCCTGGTATGGTTAGGGGAAAAAACAGGAAGGTGTGTGTCTCAGGAGGAAGGGAAGGAAGGTAGGAAGGAAGGAAATAATAGAATAAAAAAAGTTGCAATAAAGGCATAGTAATCACCTGGTTTGAATGTTGCTAAAAGTCGTAAAAGATACGACATTTGGATTTGGCAAGACAGAAGTCACTGATGCTTTGAAAAGAGCAATTTCCATGGAGTGGCGAGGACAACAATCATTCTGAATATCTCTTCATTGGCTGCCTTCTTTCTTTTCTTCCCAGCTTTTTTCCTTCCTGTTATGATCACAGGTATGCTCTTGCCCCAGAGGGCTGTTAAGGTTAATGACGTAGGTGTAAAGGTCCCAGTTACAGGCCAGGCACAGAGGCTAAAGCCTGTAATCCTAGCACTTTGAGAAGCCAAGGCGGGAGGATCAATGGAGCCCAAGCATTTGAGACCAGGCTAAACAACATAGAAAGACTTTATCTCTACAAAAAATAAAAATAATAGCTTGGTGTGGTGGAGGGGGCCTGTGGTCCCAGCTACTTGAGAGGCTGAGGTGGGAGGATCGCTTGAGCCCCATGGTTCAAGGCTGCAGTGAGCCATGACTGTGCCACTGCACTCCTGCCTGGGTGATAAAGCAAGACCCTGTCCCCCAAAAAAGATTCTAGTCACACATATATATATATAAGACGGAAGCAAGGAGAACATAACCATCAAGTGCTAGCAACATAAATAAATACCTTATCTAATAGAGGAAATAAAATACCTGCCTGTTTGAATATGGCCACAAACTTCAATAAATGATATTAAAAAAACTCACCATAGAAAAATGAATGGGTTACGAGCATCTCTTTTGGATATGAAGGACAGCAAATAGTAACATACCCAGAATTTTGTGGGCAAGCAAAAAATATACGTATGTATTCCCCTCACCTATCACCAGTAATTATTTTATTTTTAGATGTTTCAAGATACCAATATCTTGATTATTAAAACTTGTCAGTTTCTTTCCTTCTTTGTCTTTTTCTTTTTCTTTTCTTTTCTTTCTTTTCTTCTTTTTTTTTTTTTTTTTTTTTTTGACATAGTCTCACTCCATCACCCAGGCAGGAGTACAGTGGCAGTGGTGCCATCTTGTCTCACTGCAACCTCTGCCTCCTAGCGTCAAGTGATTCTCATGCCTCAGCCTCCCAAGTATCTGGGATTACAGGCATGCGACACCACACCTGGCTAATTTTTGTATTTGTAGTAGAGACAGCGTTTCTCTATGTTGACCAGGCTGGTCTTAAACTCCTGACCTCAAGTGATCCGCCCCCCTTGGCCTCCAAAAGTGCTGGGATTACAGGTGTGAACCACCGAGCCTGGCTTGTTTTTATAGACAGTATGCATTAGAAAGATCCACCATAATTGATTCTTCCAATAGTGTGAAGCCATTTACTTAGAGACTAAAGTCTGTAAAGTCATGTTCAATATGTCAAATTTTTATGGTAGAGCTCAAGAAAAAATTCATTTGAAATTGTGAAAAATGTTTTAGACATTTTAACTAATCACGAGAGAATTCTGACCCACATATTCCATGTAACATTCCCAAGGGATCTGTGCTTTAAAATTTTGTAGCTTAGCATATGTCAAGGCATGCTAAATATCACACAGCCTGGCAGAAAAAGGTTGCATTTCACATCCAATGTCATTCAGTTTGAGCTCTCTTTTAGCGGGTGCCCTCCCACGATGTGTTACAGGGAGTGCTTGTCACTTACATGCCATAAAATCCTGAACAGACAGGCAAATGAAAATGACTCCTCGGAGTGACTTGAACAGAGAGAAAAATTCTTGGAATTAACAGTGCTTCGAAATGCCATTCAAGCACAGGGATTTGATTCTGCCAATTTCTTAAAAGTTATACTTTAATGGAGTGTTATTTACATTTCAGGTATCCCTTGCCACTTAATGTGGTTTGTAGAGGTGAAATATTGGCATCCCACCTACACATAGGATGAGTTAGACCATGTCACTTATTTTAGCTTAGAGAAACTGGAAAAAGGGGATCCCTGGGTTATCATGTAAGTTTCACACATCTAATTCCCACCTTTTCTGAAAAGAATCAGGTAAAATGAAGAGAAGCAACGAGGCTGGAGGGGTGGGGAAGAATGAGGGTTGGCACCATATGAACTGGGCAATATTGCACCAAATCAAGTTGCATAGGAATTCTATTCATTATTGTCAGCACATTTACCCAGAACTTGTGTAATTCGTCTATCTGCATCCTTCAGAGAATTACCTTACCTCTCTCTAATTCATTATTTAGAAGGAAATCACGGAATAAGGCACATCTTTTTTTCATAAACTAGAACCCACAAAGGTTTGGATTATTGGAACAAAAACAAACTTTTAATGACATTTTTCAAAGAAAAATTTCATAAAGACTTCTTTTTCTCATGAGTTGCTAAAAGGGGAAAAGTAATATCCTTCATTAGATAAACAGCTTGGCTTTTTTTTTTCCAAACCCATATTTGAATGTTGGCTCTCCCATTCATAAATTTAAGCAATATTGTGAAGATCATCAGTAAGTGCCTTAAACTCTATTAGCCTTGGTTGTCTCATGTGAAAAATGAGATAATAATGCCCATGTCTCAGTGGCATTATATGGATTAAATGAAATAACTGTAAAGATTCTGACACCGGTCAGGACATGTGAATTTCCTCTTCCCCTTCAATAAGATCAACCTAGTTTAAGTGAGACAATAACAGAAGATAGAGGAAAATCAAGATGTGGGATTTCTGAGACGAATCAACTGGCCATGCAGGTATTCTAGGACATGCTCTGTCTGCAGAATGTGTGGTCTTAGAGCTGATAACCACTGGAACACCCCAAGGTATGTTTCACAGGTTTGATGTTAAATTTTACTCCATTCAAAGGCAATTTCCACCCCCAACCCCTTCCTGAAATTACCAGCAATAACAAAGGATTAGATAGGCAGAGCTCCAGATAGATACAGAAATAGAAACATGGCTAGACATCAGTCAGAAAGATAAACGCTACTTGCTTGAGAATCAAATTTCCAAAGGTCTACCTGGCAGGGGTTTGGCTGTGCTTTGTTATATCATTTAGGTCATTTCTACCAGCTAAGGTAAGATGCATTTAGCACTGACTCAATCACAAGGGAAACGGACATTTTGTGGCAAAGTAATTACTTAGCCCATTGTTTTGCTGGGATAATGTGGGTGGGCTGGCAGGTGTGACGTGTACCCTGTGGCCCACATTAAACTCATGTCTATTTCTGCTGGCAGCAAAGCAGCTCTGCCCAGTGGCCATTAGAGTGATCTTCTAGGGTAAGGGTGGCAAAAGGCAGTTGGATTCCTGTTGGTATGACAGCAGTGAGTGACTGACATGGGCTATCTGGAATGCAGTGTTGAGATGCATTTTGTGGTTTCAGAAAGAAAGCTCTCATCAAGCAGTGATGGCTGGCATGAAATGCTGCTGGATGTATACATCGTATTTGTCTACCCTGGTTTAGGAACCTTTGCTGCAAGAACTTACCTAGACTGTGGCGCTTGACTTAGCCTTCCATCAGCACCATCCTGGCATAACATGAGAATGTGTGTAACACTCATCTGCTCTTTATGTACATGTTTCCACTTCACTTACACAAGACTGGCAGTCATACAATGTAAACGAACACACATATGCATAGGAGTAATGTGAGACTTCAGGGCATTTTATTTGCAAAAGTAAATTGGACCCTATCAGATATTCATTTAGAACACAATCTTTAGGCAATATGGCAATATGTGAGACACAATTTTGTGTAACATTTTTTTTTTTTTTTTTTTTTTTTTTGAGACGGAGTCTGGCTCTGTCGCCCAGGCTGGAGTGCAGTGGCGCAATCTCAGCTCACTGCAAGTTCCGCCTCCCGGGTTCACACCGTTCTCCTGCCTCAGCCTCCCAAGTAGCTGGGACTACAGGCGCCCGCCACTACGCCCGGTTAATTTTTTATATTTTTAGTAGAGACGGGGTTTCACCATGTTACCCAGGATGGTCTCGATCTCCTGACCTCGTGATCCGCCCGCCTCGGCCTCCCAAAGTGCTGGGATTACAGGCGTGAGCCACCGCGCCCGGCCAATTTTGTGTAACATTAATTCATTGCAAGAACAGTCAAATTTCTGCACCTGGCTCCAATGTGCACCAACATGTGCTCCAATCATATCTATCAAACTAAAAGAGGGACCTACCAGTCGGAACTTAGCACCTCTTTGACCCCCATCCTAACCTCTCCAGCACAGTTGGTTCTCCACTGTGTTGGGGATTAATATGGCATATTATATGCAACACATAATACCTAAAGCAAAATGAAAAACAAATAAATCTGTGGTTATGGTAAAAGTGACAGGAAAGACAAATTTGAATTTAGGCTCCAAAAAATAAAAGATGATAAATGCACCTGCTATGGTCTGAATGTTCGTATCCCTCCAAAATTCATATGTTAAAACCTCATCCCCAGTGTGACAGTATTAAGAGGCATGCCTTTGGGAGGTGAATAGGTCATGAATAATACGATTAGATGCCCTCCTAAAAGAGGCTGCAGAAAGCTATCTTGCCCTTCCATTGTGTGAGAACACAGCTAGAAGGCACTATCTATGAGGAACAGGCCATCGCCAGACTCCAAATCTGCCAGTGTCTTGATCTTGGAATTCCCAGCCTCCAGATCTGTGAGAAATAAAAGTCAGTTGCCAGCCAATTGTGGTATTTTGTTATAGCAGCCTGAACAGACTAAGACAGTACCTTTGAAAGATGGCTACTTGTCTAGCATATGGCTTTGATTTAAGGCCTCAGTGGCTTCAGGTTGCCTCGTCATGGCAGTAACAGACGAAGAGCTAGTTATTGTGAATTTACTTCCCACTCTAGCCACCCCCAGGTATGTGATAGCAGTCAAGGATGCCTTTAAATTATACCTTTGGAGACTTCAGGTCACTTATCTGGATGAATTAAAAATTTTGCTAGCTGGCCAGGGAAAGGTCCATCTGAATCACTTCTATATCAATTTACAAAAATGGCAACAGAGCCAGCTTTTTTTTTTTTTTTTTTTTTTGAGACGGAGTCTCGCTCTGTCACCCAGGCTGGAGTGCAGTGGCACGATCTCGGCTCACCGCAGGCTCTGCCCCCCGGGTTCACGCCATTCTCTTGCCTCAGCCTCCCGAGTAGCTGGGACTACAGGCGCCCGCCACCACGCCCGGCTAATTTTTTGTATTTTTAGTAGAGACGGGGTTTCACCGTGTTAGCCAGGATGGTCTCTATCTCCTGACCTGGTGATCCGCCCGCCTCAGCCTCCCAAACTGCTGGGATTACAGGCGTGAGCCACCACGCCAGGCCGGGCCAGCTTTAAGGTAGACCTCGCCTACTTTTTCGCTAATTTGCATACTGCTCTCAAGCCTTCACCGTTGCAATCAGAACTTCACTTTGCTGGGTAGGTTTCAGAGCTCTTTCCCACTGGCTCTCTATTGTACTTGACTGATGAGGCTGGTAATAAGGGAATCATGCCTCAAGCACTGGGTGATAGAGTGATAGAGTGCTGGGAGCTGCAAGGGACAGTACTGGGGCTACAGGGAGACAAAGGTAACATGAGCTAATGGTTCGCATGCCAAGAATTTACTTAAGTCTGTGCCCAGCACATAGTAGAGGCCCAAAAAATTCTAGTCTGTCACAGAACAGCACATTATACTATGGGGAGCCTGCAACTCACACAAAGAAAGAAAAGCTCACTATCTTAAATATAATACATCCTGAGATTTGCAAACAAAACTTCCTATTTTCCTATTCTACTTTTTATTTCAGAAATCAAAGATCTTATATCCATCCACAATTTTAATTCGCATAATGAAATATCTAAGTTCTATTAAAAAGGCATGGTGTTGATTTTCCATGTCTAAAGAGCCTCTTTGTGAAACTACAGTGGCCATGTAAAGGTCACTGTATCACCCAGTGATTACTGAACTGGGAGCTCCTACAAATACATGCCTGTCCTTTAATGCACAGCAGGCTGTAATTCACCCTCACGGGCCAGAGAAACGACTTATACTGCTCAGAGTTCAAAGCCAAGTCCTTGCTTATCGCTCCAGTCAAACAATTTCATTTGTATCAGTTGGTGGTTGTACTTCAGATTTTATAGATCCAATGGGCCTAGTGAAATTTTATTACCCTGCAATACAACAAGAAGAAAAAAAGCTCTGAGAAAAAAAAATCAATGTAATGTTTAAGGTCTTTGTTACCTTTATAACCTCCAGTGTTCTTTTACATATAAACTAATAAATCAACCTTTTAACGGAAGATGCATTCTTCAGTGGTTGCTCAATACTAGGTGCTAAGTCTATTCATAAAAACTATCAAGAAGTAGCTAATGGCTTTGCTACCTGAACAAGCAACATTAAAGCAGAATCAATCGCAGCACTATAATATTGTTTGCTTGTAGGTGTTTTCTCCTAGTTAGCACATGATAATCAGTAGGTACCAAATGAAGGTAGCAACTTATGAAAATTAGAGGGCTTCTATAAACAATATTGTGTTTCCTTGAAATTGCAAATGTATGTGAGTTATATTAAACATGTCAAACACCAAATTCCTTACTACTGGCCACTACTCAATTGTATGAGATGTACTCATTGTAACTTTACAGTTGAGTCAGCAGAATTGCAAGACAATCTTTCCCCAACCTTCAAGAGAATGGCTTTTTCTTTTGTCAGGATCTTAGAAATATGACCTGAGCAGATTTTCTCTAGTGGATTTTAAAAGTAGCTATGAAGATGCTAAATATTAAAATAAAACTAAAATTAAGTTCTTCTACTCATCTCAACAATAAATACACCTTCTCTCATAAACCTCTTTGTCCTGACATACTCTAAGGACTTGAATTCCAAACTCAGACACTTTTAAACATGAATTAGCATCATGTAGCCAATTTGAATATTCTCCATTAAATTAAATTAAATGAGAAACAGGGATGGAAAAGCAGTTCACCTATTTATTAAGAACAGAGCTTTATAGCTCACCATATAACATAGTAAGTACCATTCAGCAGCTGAGACAAATTGATATGGATCCCATTCCAACCAAGTGCCTAGCAGAAAATACAAGGCTTTCTGCGCAAGAAGAAAATATGATCCAATGAAAAGAGCAAATCTCACTGCTCCTACTTGTGTAAATGGCTTAGAAGGGGCCACAAAACCACTAATGCCCAAAGCAAAGTAGCACAGCAGTTCAGGAGTTACCCTCATGACACTATTAGCAAGGTAGCTGATTGTTTACTTGATGACCACTAATACATGAAGTTGCTTCTGCAAGTTCCCAAAGGATTGCGCCTTCCAGGAATCCTGCATTTTCACATAGAGGCAAGGCATTAAGAGTGGCGTAAGACAAACCCACTCTAGCTATTGAAAAAGGAGATGTAAAAGTAATTAATTCTGGCAATGTTTCTTGTTCTTCTTTGTGTGGATTATCAGGCTACAGAATGGTCATAAGTAATGAAATTGGGATTTTAATTTGAAAGTTTTTTCAACTGTGTTCTAAATTACTCACTAGACTACTCTGATATCAATTTTTGATAGAATTACTAGAGTAGTAGATAGGGGAGATGGCAAATTTCTCTAAATATGCTTCTCATGAAAAAAAAGTAACAAATCTGTCCTGATGGTCTGGTGGATAATATAGACAAATAGTAGCTAAAGGCCCAGTTACTCAGGAGGCTGAGGTGGGAGGATCTCCTGAGCCCAGGAGGTTAAGGATGCAGGGCTACAGTGAGCTGTGATCACACTACAGCCTGGGTACAGACTGAGACCCTGCCTCCAGAAAAGAAAGAAAGAAAAAAAAACGGAGCTACAGTCGAGTAAGATACGGTTACAAATGGTGTTGATTAATACATCCTTGCGAATTTAGAGAGAAATGCCAAATATCAAACCTTTGGACTTTTATCAGGATCCAGCTGTGGCCAAGACCTACATAAGTAACATGGTTACCATGCAGAACAAATTTAGGAATGAATGAATCCTCAACAGACACTTAATCCAATAAATAATAGAAATATGAGTAAAGATATTCTCAACAACCTGGAATGATAGGGCCAATCTTATGAAAAGAAAAAAAAATGAGATCAATGTTTCATACAAAGTGTATTGTTTATTCTTGTGCTAAAAAAAATTACCACAAGTTCAGTTGCTTAATACGACTCAAATGTATTATCTTATAGACTTATTTTCACAGGTCTATAAGACATGGGTCTCACTGGACTAAAATCAAGGTGTTAGGAGACCGGCATTCCTTTCTGGGTGCTTTAGGGAACAATCTAATTCCTTGCCTTTTCCAGGTTTTAGAGGCCTCTAACATTTCTTGGCTCATGGTCCCTTCCTCCATCTTCAAGCCCAGCAACAGCAAGTTGAGCTCTCATATGGCATCACTCTGACCTCCTTTTCTGCCTCCCTCCTCCTTTAAGGACCTTTGTGATTACCTAGGGGCCACTCGAACAATCCAGGACAGTCTCTCCATCTCCAGATCCTTAACTAAATTACATCTGCAAAGTCCCTTTAACCATGGAAGATTTCTGTAACATACTCATTGGTTCACAAGTTCTGTTACTAATTCATAGATATTAGGGCATGGACATCTTTGGGGGGTCTGTTCTGCCTAATGTACAAGGTTAAAAAAGAAAAAGGAAAAAAGTGCTGCAGAGAAGAGGCTGATAGACAAACGAAAAGGAAAAAATAGTTAACTCCTGTCTGGTGAGATGATATCTGGGATATTGAGTCAAGTTCTGAACATTACAGAGGAAATGATCTGGAACTGGGATGTGCGCAACAGAATGACTACAATGGAGGAAAAACTTAAAACCAAGTCATGTGAATAATATTTGAAGTAATTTTGACTGATTAGCTCAAAGAACAGAAGGCCTGGGTGCAAATGCCACTGTCTTTAAGAATCTGAAGAGCTGTCAATGATTACATTTAATCCCTAATATGAAAGGAGACATCATATTAATGTACAAGCAAGTTTAAGATAATAAGTATGAGAGCTCAATGAAAAAGAAATGGCTAGTTTGGTACAATAAGGTTGAAAAGTAACAGCTGTAAAATTCTTAAAAAGCCTTCATATAGTACTGCATTAGAACTTCTCAACAAATCTGAGAAAGACTAGTTACTGGGATGAGACAGGGTCCTGACAGGAATGAGAATCCAGTGCAGGTGGTTCAAGACACTTTGAATGGTTGACACAGAGGTCAGAGCAAAGAGAACAAGAGACATAGAGATTCTCAGAGATTGCAACAGCAGGAAGGAAGGAGAAGACTTTATTACTCCTGGCCCTGAAGAGGTATGGGAAAGAACTAACTTTACAGGAGCCAGGAAAGACCCTGTTGACATAAAACCAAAGCAGCTGTAGACAGGGAAGGATACAGCCAGAATACACAGCCCAGAGCAGTCAGAGACCAGTAAAGAAGTACTGTGTTCTCTCTCCTTGCGCCCTCCTCCATCTCCTGCTGGTGCCTTCCATGGACACAACCCAACAGGATGCTGGTAAGCAAAGAGACATGGAAGATGCTTTCTGTAGAGGTCAAGCCTCCTAGGGCAAAGAGAAGGACAGAGATAAGGGTAAAGAATGAGGGACAAGATGCATAATGACCAGCACAGCACTATATGTTTATTTTACAAATGAAGACATCGGGATTTGGAGAAGCTGAAAATTTTCTCAGGGTCTCACTCTAGAAGGAGTCTTGTAGGGCCAGAACTCAAATGTGAGCCTTTAAAGCATGAGATGCTAAGCATTTCCCATGACAGTGCACTGCCTATCTCTCAGGGGCTTCTCTATCACTGAAGTTACAGAAGAGGATCTGGGGATGTTGAAAAGGAATTCACATTAGTAATCAGTGTTTGGATGAGATTTTGTTACTTTTCTCCATGGAATTCTCTGATTCTCCGTTTCCTCACTCATCATTCTGCACTAGATCCACTTTATTTTTTCATTTCCTTTCAAACCTAACTGCCTTAAATAGCTTCATACACTGAAAAAAAAAAAAAAAAAAAAAAAAACCCACACGTATTCATAGTAAATGAAAACTACTCAAGATTCTGTAAACTCTCTGGATAAGACATTGTATTACTCTTTCTGTCTTTGGAATAGCTATCTTTATTTGCCTGCCCTTCCATCCACTAAGGTGGCCAGGGGAATATTCTGAGGTATGCATTGAAACTGGATGACTTGAGACTTTCAAGATACCTTTGATAGTTCAGAAAAATGGGTTCGATAAATTCTCTCTCATCGCTAAAGCTTAATGCTAATGAATTTTGTGTTCATTATTCAACCCCTAGAAATTGACAATAATTATGAAATAAAACTCTCCTGCCTTTTTTGCCCAAACCTTCAAATAAGGGAATACTTTATATTGATAAAGGAATGGTTCTTAAAAGTTGTATGAAAGCACTTTTCCTTCTCAGAGTTCATTTTCCCATCAGCTTTCAATATACTGTTGGTGTGTTTTCTTTAAACGTAAATATTGTCCTAAGGTATTATAAGATCATGTTTATAATCGCAAAATTCATAAGTATTCTGTTAAAAGGAAAGTATTTTGTATAAGACTAAAATGCAAATCATAAAACACAAGCAGAAATTGACTGATTAGGGCAGAGTAAAATTTTAAGCAAAATTTTCTGGAGTCTCAGTGTGTAAAACACATAAAAGTTGAGTTGCTTTGGATGAGTCAGGAGTGGAGGCAACAGGGAGGTTCCCATTCAACCTCTCTCTGGCTACTTATTATAGCCTGAGGCTCCACAGCTTCTTGGGTTGAAACTACTATGCCTGGTTTTTGTATTCAGTCATTAGCCTAAATCTATGCAGCAGTTTAAGCATAAACAGGAATTGCACACATCCTGTTATTCTGGTGAACTGAGGAGGACAGAGGTGGCCTCTTTTACTTCTTATCAGAAACCTGGTATGTAAGCATTGTCCTCAGACCTCCACTTTCACCAGTGACTGGCAGGTGTATACTCATCGGCTCCTAGCAGAGGCCAGGTGATGTCCATGGGAGCAGCCTTGTGTGTGAACCCATAGGTCCCCTGGGGGCCGAGTGTGGTGGCTCACACCTGTAATCCCAGCACTTTGGGAGGCCAAGGCAGAAGGATCGCTTAAGCCCAGGAGTTCCAAACAAGCCTGGGAAATATAGGCAGACTTCTGTCTCTACAAAAAATCAAAAAAAAATTAGCTGGGCATGGTAGCATGTGCCTGTGGTTCACTTAAGCCTGGAAGGTCAAGGCTGTGGTTGCACCATTGCATTGCAGCCTGAGTGACAGAGCGAGACTCTCTGATGTCACCTGGGGAACTCCAGAACTGTTTGCAGACAAACTGCAAACAACTGAAATCCTGACCAAGCAGGTGAGGGTCAGATAGCTGCATTTCAACTGCCCCTGTTACCGTGGTCTTCTCTACACTCTGACCTGTGGAATGAGGACACGGGTATCATGAAGCACATCAGACTTAAAGAAATAAAGTCATCCTCCCCCTTTCTTTTTAGATCCCTCTCAGAGCACTACAAAAGCATAACACGAAACTCCCCTTCATTGTTTTAATTTTTTTCTGGCTTCTAAAATTTAATCTATTAAACCACATGAAGGGAAGAGAGATCTTGAATCACAATAAAAGGGAGGTAGCAGAATTGGGGAGTGGGACATTTATCAAGATGAAGAGATCTAAACATATGGTGCTGCAGATATTTAATACGTCATACTGCTCCATACTTTCAGATTCTGCCATAATAAAACATGTCAAATATGAAAATATGTGCTTTAAACTGGTGCAGTCAGACTGAGGGTAACCTCTGGTTTGGTTTGAAATGATGTCCAAGAAATTACAACTAATGTTAAGTTTGAGGCAGCATTCCTAGGAACAAAAGGGCATCATTTTAATTTTCATTTTGTTCAAAGAGAAGGGTATTTCTTCTGAAGTTGGTATGTACTGCTCCCAACCAACTCTGAAACAGCAGATTTTAGGTAAAATATATCACAAGTATTCATGCCTTTGTCTACCTCATAACTCATTTATGTTCTCTGAATAACAACGATATTGAAAAGAAAAAAACCCACAGGTCTAATCAAAATAAGATCCTTGAAAACCTGGCATATACTTTGCATCTCTGCATGATCACCACAGATTTTAGTCTTAGACTCATATGACTTAGAATTCATGGGACCAGTGTGCACAGTGTAGTTGACTCACAGATTCTTTTTGTTCCATTTGTATTGCTGCTTGAACCTTACAGTGAAAAACACACAAAGATAAACAGTTTGCTGAGTCTAATTATGCTCTTGGAAGGGTTTAGGTAATTTGTGCAGCCAAAAATTATACGTAACAATCAGGTGAGGTCAATGGCTTTACAAATAGGAAGACATTTATATGACAGCAACATCTGTAACACAGAGAAATGAAAGAGAAAGAGACAAGGAGTGAAACAAGAGAAGACTGGATTTGAGATCTGCAGTCCAGAGTAGAAGAGCTGAATTTATTTTTTAATCATGACAATGAAGTAAGTCATACCCCTTTTATGGACCAATTATAAATTGCTACGTATTTGATATGGTTTGTCTCTGTGTCCCCACCCAACTCTCATCTCGAATTGTAATCCCCACGTGTTGAGGTAGCAAAATCACTGGATTTTTGGGGTGGTTTCCCCCATGCTGTTCTCATGATAGTGAGTGAATTCTCACGTGATCTGATGGTTTTATAAATGGTAGTTTTTCCTGTGTCCTCACTCACTTCTCTCCTGCTGCCTGTGAAGGAGGTGCCTTGCTTCCCCTTGGCCTTCCACCATGATTGTAAGTTTCCTGAGGCCTCTTCAGCCATGCAGAACTGTGAGTCAACTAAACCTCTTTCCTTTATAAATTAGCCCTTTTCAGGTAGTGTCTAGATAGCAGTGTGAAAATGAACTGATACAATATTCTATTACTTCATAATATTCTGGAAGTGTAAACTAAGTGGAGAACCATAACCTATGATACTGGCCCTCATTCTAACTACCTGACCTAAAAATTAGTGAATAAGCACTGAGCTAGAAATGAAAAATGAAATAATAATGGGTAACATGTTCTGACAGTTTCATACATATCCAGCAATGTTACCAAATATCATTCCCTTCAATCCACATGATAACCCAAAGAACTGGGTTTCCATTTTACAGATAAAGAACGTGAGGTTAAGTTCACACAAAAGTTGTTGGAGGAGCCATGATCCAGAAGCAGGCACAAGATGGCAGGACCCATACTCCTACCCAATAATCGCCTGTCTGTGTGTCAGTCGTACTTCACCAGTGGACTTAGAAAAGTGCTGGAGCGAGGGTGAAATTTTGACAATCTACCTGTGTGGTTCTTCCTTGTTGATGCAGAAGAAAGCAAACAGTCATACAAATTGGCTACAGGTAATGCAGAAAGGAGAGGGAAAGTGGGGGAGTCCAAGAAAGCTGGCTGCCTTCATGAGGACAGGAGTGTGAACTCAGGCGTACATACCATATCACATTCATCTCTGTGCCTCCCTCGTCTGGAACTGTGCAAAGACCGGTATTTATTTCAGGTTTTTGGAGTGAAAATTATGCAAATAATTTCCAACCAAGGTACAGTGAAAGAAATGCTTCAGGGAGAGGTGCCAAACGTAAGAAGGGTTAAAAAGTGGGAATCTACCTTCCAGAAGAGAGTGAGGGTCAACTCACTAGGAAGAGTGGTGTTGGAGAAGGGCTCTGAAGGACAGAGGGGATGGAAGTGAGAATTGAACGTCAGCAGAAGGACCCACATGCCTCGATGTCAATCGCTGTGCTTGAATTAACAAAAACTCTGAAGAAAGGGATTATCTTCATTCATAGGATGTTAGTTTCACAGGGCTACATCCTGAGACATCACAAAAACCTTGTCAGCATCAGAAAGACTTTGTTAAGAATTTTAGCTTCTCATGAGTATGCTGTATAAATAATACAAGTTAACATAGCTTCACGCATACATTCTAAAGTAGGGATAGGCAGACTGTTTCTCCATAGAACCAGACAGTAAATACTTTCATCTTTTCAGGGCAGATGGTCTCCATCACCACTACTCAACTCTGCCCTTGTAGTGTGAAAGCAGCCACAGACAACATAATGAAACTTTATTTACAAAAACATGCGCCAGGCCATAGTTTGCCAGCCCTGTTCTCAAGTTTCACATAACAAGAAACACCACAAAAACTGCCAGTCCTCAGAATATTCCCAGACTAGGATTCAATTTCGTTCTTGTATTATTGTTTTATATCTTTTCTTTTGCTAGAAAAGTAAAATTCACATTTTCAAAATGTCTTTCATAAAATTTTTTACCTCATTTTTTATAACAACTCTATTGAGATGTAATTTATATGACATGAAATTCACCCCTTGAAAGTGTTCAATTCAGTGGTTTTTAAATAGTCACAGACTTCTACAAGCATCACCATTAATCTTTACCTCCCTTTTTGAGCACAATTATTTCAGCAGTTATTAATTGAGCATCTAGTGTCTGTCCATCCCTGTGCAAAGTTTCGGTTGTTGTTGTTGTTGCTTTGCTTTGCCTGTTTATTTGGGTTTGGACTGGCACGGTGTGGGGTGGCTTGGTAGAAGGTCAGGCTAGTGGGTAGTAGGTAACAGGACAAATATAAGACATGACATGCCTGAAGCAATCAGTGAAGACTATAAAAAATAAGCAGTGGGAGTGCTAAGTTAGGTGGCCTGGAGAGACCACAAATACAATACAAATTTACTTTTACTAGGGTTGGGTGGGGATCCTAAGAATGTGATTTAGAGACCTAGGGAGAGAACTTGGATTTGGATGGAGGTGGCAGGCAGCAAGAGCAAAGAATGCATTCCAGGGAGAAGGCACAGCTGTGAGCAAAGACCTAGAGACTGCAACAGCATGGCCTATGAAATGAGCAGCCATGGTACAGACTTAACTGGGGAAGTGCCCAGAAATGCACATGCAATTGTCAAAAGAAAATGATCCAGAAGCTGTAGGACTGTAGGAAGCCGAGTTTAGAGTTGACAGCATTGGCATCAGGATCATCAGAGGTTCCTGGGGAAATGAAAGACGATTCAAGGAGTGCTTTTGGAAAGTTGATAGTTGTGGGTAGGATAGTTTGAATGGAGAAACCTAGAAACAAAGATGCTTTTATGGGTACTTATTTTATTTTATTTTATTTTATTTTAACTTATCTTATTTTTTAATTTTTGAGACAGGGTCTCACTCTGTCATCCAGGCTAGAGTACTATGGCACAATCTCGGCTCACTGCAACCTCTGCCTCCCAGGTTCAAGTGATTCTCCTGCCTCCGTTTCCCATGTAGCTGGGATTACAAGTGCACACCACCATGCCCAGCTATTTTTGTATTTTTAGTAGAGATGGGGTTTCACCATGCTGGCCAGGCTGGTCTCGAATCCTGACCTCAAGTGATCCGTCCACCTCAGCCACCGAAAGTGCTGGCATTACAGCCGTGAGTCACCACTCCTGGCAATGTGTACATATTTTAAATGCAGGGGTAAATTTAATTATTGGGAAAAGATTACTAACCCTGGCTGTACATTAGAATCACCTGAAGCACTTTATCTTTGGGCGGGGTGGCTGTGTATATGTTTTGATATCTGTACTTTTTTAGTAAGTCCCACAGATTATTCTAATATATGGCTAAATTAAGAACTATTATTGCAGGAGAATGGATAATAGACTTTACATTGTTTGTGAAATTATAGTTAGATATGTAGTTTTCTGCTCTTTTGCTAGAATATTTCCATTAATTAAATCAGAATCCTTTAAAAATTCTCTGATGATTTGGATTTTACGAAGTAGCCAACAGAGGATAATGATTTTAAGGACAGAGGGGCTGAATAAATTATATAGTATATTTTGGCAAACTCTTAGAATATCTCCCTAAAATAAGTCCTTAAACCCAAGCATGTTTTAGAGATTTCAAACTTTTAGACTGACTCTACAAATGATGCTGCTTGTTCTGAGTCAGAAGCGCAGTGCAACCCAAACACCTGTGTATGGTGGGTAAATGTTAATGTATTCTGTCAACAACAGATTACCTTACATGGCTAAATTACTCAATGCCATTATATGTGCCAGCCATCTGTAAAGCTAATCCCCTCTGTGTTCAAAAATCCCGAGTGCCTGCTACACTATTTTTATTTTACATTCCTGCATAAATCTGGTAAGCTCAATATGTTACCACAAATTCTCAAAAATCAAAGGCAATCTGCTGGCCTATAAAACACTGGTTGCTGAAAATCGAAGGGTATAATATGTTAGCAAATCAAGCAGTCAGTAAACATTCTTTACAGGAATGGGGTTGAACCACAAGCTGACTGAACCCCTTAGGTAAGGCCTGCCGTAAAGTCAGATATGTTCTTTCAATACACAGCGAAGCCTCTGAACCCATTCATGTATTTCATATCTAACAAAAATCTGAACAGTTGGCCTGATTGGATTTTAAGTGATGCAAATTTGAAAATCAAATAGGAAAACTCCCTTTAGACTTCATCTATTTAGGCCATAATTGTAAAGAACTACAAATTACATTTACCACACTATTGAATTCTCCTGAGATTCAATATGAAATTTACAGAAAGGGACAAATATTTGCAGGTGTGGTTTTTTGTTCGTAATGAATACAATTTTTCTCTCACATAGGATGCTTTCTCTCTTAATGTCACTACATTTTTCTTAATACAAGGATTAGTTTATGGTTTTTTTTTTTCACAAAATCTGTATTGATCTTAAGTAATAATGCTAATGCTTACATGTAATGCCAACTTATATTTTAGCTAAGATTAAATTTTTCTTTACTCCAGTAACTATGCAGCATACATTTTCTTTTCCATGTACATTTTCAGTCACATAACTATATTGCTTAAAGAGGAATCTACTCTCTGGAAAGATTTCTATAAACGTTCAGAAAAAAATCAATCCTCCAACAATTACAGTTAATATATTAAAGATATCTGGCTGATGGTATTCAAATAACTAAAATATGGAAAAGAATTGAAAAGTTAGCATTCTGACTTCAAAATAGCACTATCAAGTATTTTAGAAGCTAATTAGTCTCCATGTTTTTTTTTCTTAAGACAGGCTTTCACTCTTTCACCCAGGCTGGAGGGCAGTGGTGTGATCATGGGTCCCTACAGCCTCGAACTACTGGGCCCAAGTGATCCTTCTATTTCAGCTTCCCAAATAGCTGTGACTATAGGCAGGTACCACAATGTTGGCCTAATTTATTTATTTACTTACTTACTTTGTAGAGGCAAGGTCTAGCTATGTTGCCCAGGCTGATGTCAAACCCCTGGGCTCAAGTGATCCTCCTGCCTTTGCCTCCCAAAGTACTGGGATTATAGGGATGAGCCACTTCGCCAGGCATCTCCTCATTTTTAAAATGAACCCCGTTTTCTTGAAATCTGAACAAATCTGAATACCAGTTCTGAAAGTTAAAATGGTCTTCCACATAACATATGTACAAAGTTAACATTTTCTGCATAAAACAATCAGTCTAGAACATTCCTGTTTCATTTGAAGTATTTTCAAATATGAAAGACATTTACACAATTACAGAGGCAATAATCCCACGCACGTTATTCCTTCATCAAATCTAAACAAGGCCTTGGGGGTCATAACATACTTGCTCCTTACAATATGAAATATAAGTGATTATCCTATTGAGACTTGAAATGCAAAGCAAAGATAATTAAATTGTGTATACTGTTTCTTTCAAATGCATCAGCATTTGAAAGTTTATATAATATCTTTCTTGTTCAGATAAACATCTCCAACTTCTATGGCTCATATTTATAAACAATATGATAGGGATTATCAGGCTGACAGGTTAAATTTATTTATTTATTTATCCATTTATTTTATTTATTTATTTATTTATTTTTGAGACGGAGTCTGGCTCTGTCGCCCAGGCTGGAGTGCAGTGGCACAATCTCAGTTCACTGCAAGCTCCGCCTCCCGGGTTCACGCCATTCTCCTGCCTTAGCCTCCTGAGTAGCTGGGACTACAGGCACCCGTCACCACGCCCGGCTATTTTTTTGTATTTTTAATAGAGACGGGGTTTCCCCGTGTTAGCCAGGATGGTGTCCATCTCCTGGCCTCGTGATCCGCCCGCCTCGGCCTCCCAAAGTGCTGAGATTACAGGCGTGAGCCACCGCACCCAGCAACAGGTGAAATTTAATAGGTTGAACAGTCATTAATATTTTCCTGGAATAGACATGGACTGTCCTCTTGGATAAATTGTCTCCTCTTTCTTCTAACTAATTGTCAGAGCTTAGCTCTCTCACATCAATATCTTCTCTTTTAACAAAACAAAAATCATAACGCTATGCGCCATGCACTGTTTGCAGCACTTCACTGTCATTAATCCATTTAATTATCACAACTACGAGGTAGGTACTATCATTATTCCCATTTTATAGATAAGGAATCTAAGTCATGAAGGCTATTGTTAGCAATTAGTTTATACTGCCATCATAATGACGTGGTATTCCTCTTAGTCACACTTCAATGCAAGAAATACCAACATTTTAATTTCATGATTTAGGTGAATTTGATGTGATACACTGAGATATACCAGCCGGCAACCATGGATGTACTGTGAGCATCCTTTGTATGCAGCTCTGTGCTAGGGAAGATGAATGCAATGCAGGGCAGGACTGCTTTCCATAGGGATCTCACTCTCTTGTTGAAGAAACAACTCCTTAATGGCTATGGAAATAACTATAAGTCCTCTTCCTTTTATTCACCTAGCACATATGCATTGAGCTGCTAGTGTGCATAAGGCACTCTGCTGTGTGATGAGGGGACTGCAGACATTACCACATGACCTAGCCAGACCTTTCTTGCAGGGCAGGGACGGGAACACTGGGCACCTCAGTCATCTAGGTGATCTGTGGTCACTGTTGCCACACAGTCCCCTGAGTTGCTGCCTTCATTTTTTACCGCCTTATCAAATCTGCCTCTTTAAGTCCATAGCAAACATTACCTCTTTCATAACACTCTTTTAGTCCTCTTTACCTCTCCTTGCCCCTTTCTTTGGGGCACTTACACCACTTCATGACATGGCCTATGTGCACTCATCTTCTAGGTGCTGAATTACTACAGACTCAGGGAACAGAGGGTGTATCCTATAAAACCTTAATACACCCTCATCTCCCTGCACCCAGTATATGGAAAATACTTATTTTAATAACAATACCATGACAAGTAGCAAACATCTGACAAGTGCTTATTGTAGTAACTTATTTGACTAAAAGGAACTTACACTTGAAACCAATCTAATGGTTTATCTGTTCAATGGCAATGCAAATCCTAGGTATTTTTTGGTTTTGTTTCTGTGTCTACTACTTTATAAGAAAGGCTATTACCTTATAATCCTGTCTGTTATATGAGCACTACTTTGCATCATTACAATGTAGGGTATTATTTTTAAAAACTTAGAAAACAAATAAGCATTCCAACCCTCAATTTCAAGAAAATAAATCTTCTAGACCCAACTGGACACACAATCTATGAAAACATAACTAGGATATTTGACCCATCTATGTGTTATATATCCTAATAGAACAGAAACCTCTCTAATAAACATGAATAAAGGGCTTTAGTGAAAAAAATGTGCTCATTAAGGAGTCAGATTTTCCACTGAAATTGATAATAAATGTTTTCCTGAATTATTGCAATTTATTTTAACATACTAAATATGATCCCAGAATTTTGAAAGTTATCTCTTCTTATGTAGGATTTAAAGTGTAACAAGGCAGTACTTTTAGACCTGAGATAATATAACCACTGTGAAAATATAATTTATATATGCCAGAGACTTAATACACCAGAATTTTTAGTGTGTATAATTCTGGATATTTGATTATTTTCACCTAAATTAGTCCCTTTATCTTTGGATCAGCAGAACATAACGATGTCTGTCTCCTTCTTGGAGACTGGTCTCTTCCACGCCTGAAGGCCATTGCTGTGAACAGTTTTTGGTGCTTTTGCAGAACAACAGAAGCTTTGGCTCATTGTGCTGACCCTGAAAGTGACTTTCTGAAATAAATCTCTGTCAATTCACTTCAACTATATGCTCCCAATGGGCACCCCTCTTACTGAAAGTAACAAAGAGCTTTCAACATATCAGGTAGCCCACTGTGGGGGCTCAGAACACAGTGCCTGACATATCTTCAGCTTGTTGTCTGATAACACACCTCTTTCATATGATTTCCTCTCTGAAAGGAAAAGCAAGATTAAATTATAATGGAGGGCTGTGAAATTTTTATTTGGCTAATTGAAATTTTGCTGTGTTTAATATTGGACTACACCAGACATTTCTATTTATATCATTTAGATATATACTTCGATATTCAACCTTAAGAAAAATACCACTTGAAAAATCTCCTTCATGGGGCAAAGTAATGACTCAGTGTTCGGTTTAAAGTAATAGACTCTCAGTTCAGTTCTCAGTGTAATTAACATGGTGAGCCAAAGGGTCTCCAAATATTTCTATCATTGTGAAGTATAGATCATTCCTCTCACTTAGTGTTAAATATGAAACGGAATAAGGAGGCTTAATTTAGCCTTTGTTCCTGGCAACAGCTCCCAGTCTGATAGGATAGAGTCAAGAGACATGGCTCTAGTTCCCATTTTGGCTTTCATTAGTTATTTGATGTTGAGCACATTAACCTCTCTGGGCCTCAGTTCTCTCCCCTGGGAGGGGAGAGCATTAGACTTGATGGATGCAGGGGGCTCTGACCACTCTAATGAGGTATTATCTTTTAATTTCCTTCTTTTGCCATGTACTTCCTTCTGCCTAGAATATTCTTTCTTACCTTTTCATGTAACTCCTTCAAAAATTAGCCAAACTATTACCTTCTCCTTGAATTATTTCACCCCTAATTCACTAGGTCTAATTTAGTTACCCCATGTTTTCTGCTCCCATAGCACCGTGTGTGCAGCTCTGTCTTAGCAAGCATGACACAATAAAATGAACACTGAAGCACTTGGGAGCCTCCCCTAATAGACCGTCTTGACCATTGGATTCTTGGTGCCCCGTACTTTATGAGGACATAATGGATACTGAACTAAATGTCTGCTGGATAAATTAATTTCTCTAGAATCTCAGAGGATATGGCTTGTGACTTATTTTACTATTCATCTCCAGGACTAAGCATGATATTTGACATATGGCAGATACAGAAGTAAATGGATATAATTTAACCAATAAGTCAAAAACCTAGTGCTTTGCTGATTTCAAATAGACAGTTAAATGGTCATGTCTATTAAAAAGGAGAGAATTAAACACATTGGTCAATGAACGCACAGGATGCTAACTAGGTAGGAAAAGAATATTAAAACCTTTGCATAGAAAAATAATGGAAATATTTACATCGAATGTTAAAAGTAGTTGTGTTTGAGTGATGAGATATAGTAGTCTTTTTCTGCCCTAATTAATTTTATATATTCCAATACAAGGAGTATTATTACCTTTAAGATTCAAATAATTTAAAAAAACAAATAACGGCAAAGCACAGTGGCTCACTCCTGTTACCCCAGCACTTTGGGAGGTCAAGGCGGGAGGATTGCTTGAGCCCAGGAATGTAAGACCAGCCTGGGCAACATAGCGAGACCCTGTCTCTACAAAAATAAAAAATTATCCAGGTGTGGTGGTGCATGCCTGTAATCCCAGCTACTTGGGAGACTGAAGTGGAAGGACTGCTTGAACCCAGCAGGTCAAAGCTGCAGTGAGCCAAGGTGGTGCCACTGCACTCCAGCCTGGGTGACAGAATGAGACCCTGTCTCAAAAGACAAAACAAAACAAAACAAAAAACAACAACCAAACAATAAACTTATTTATGAGAAAAGGTAAATGAAAACATTAAGTACTCTCATTTTTGCCCTTCTGAGAATGGCAATGTATATTCCTGCAAACAAATGTTGATACATGAAATACAAGGAACTTATATGAAACATGTGTTCATAAACTGTCTTTAATGAACCTTAACAGGCTTAATGAAATGTTTAAAACAATGCTGTCATTGTGTATGGAGGACACTGTGTGAGCCCTTTTTCTCCTTCTCTACTTATTGAATATGACAGTTTCTTATGATTAATGAATATAATTTGAAGTGTTTCACCCTTCTACTCCAGGATTCTCCTCATGTGCTTAGATGTTGGTATATTTCAAAGATGTACTCATGGATCTCCTTATGCTAAAACTTTTGTTGCAATCACTTTCAAGCTTAGATTTCCAGGTCCCTACCCCCACCCCGCTCCACACTGCACTGTACTTTGTGGTCACTGATTTCTGTACCATGCCCCAGTATTTGTAGTCCCCATTATACTGGAGTGACATAGTGGCCTATGTGACCATTTGACAGTTCACTGAGGTATAAGTGAAAGGACAGACATTGTGTTTGAGTAAACTCCTAGAAGTCCAAACTTTTTTTCTGAATATCTGAGTCATCACTTTAAAGTTGGGTACATATATGACTTGTTTACTGAATTAATAAAGTATATAGCTCCTAGTTTTTACAACTTAAAGGAAACAAAACATTTTCATCCAAAAACACTGGCTACATCTAGTGGGTTGTTTCAAGGTGTTAGGGTAAGGTTTTTTAATTAAATGATTAGACTGTGCAGGTTTTAAAGTCTGTGCTTGCCTAGTTCCCACCCTCCCATCCCCCAGTACCTAGCCCAATGCATGGCACGTAATAGGCTTTCAATAAATAATGACTGTGAATGAGATTATTTCAGAATCCTCCTTTGTTAATTTCCCTGTAAGTTATTTGTTTCTTTTATTTTAGGCAATTTCAGGCTGCAGCATTCTCATTTAGAAACAGACACAAGGGAAGAAAAATTGGCATATTAATTAATGGGTGAACTCATTCTCAAGAATCTCCCATCCTTAAGTATATTATATCTACATGGATTATACTAGAACTAACACATTATGATTATATATTTTATTGCATATCTTTAAGCATATTATAGATTAATTATGGCAGAATTATCAATTTTGGTTACTGTTAATTTTTGGACACTGTTTAGGATCTTCCCATGCCTTGTGGCAAAGGCTATCATTTGCTTAAACAATGTTCATTTTCAAGCACTCTTTTATTTATAAAGCCTTTATATTTTTGGAGGTAACAATGTACCCAGGTAAAAATACTACACCTCTCTATATTTCCAGCTTTCTTTATGGAAAAGAACTGGCAATGAGCAGAGAGGAAGTTACATGGTGCTTTGGGAAAACTTTAAAAGGCAAGTGCTGAGCTGGCAAGTGTCCTCTTGCTTTTCCTGTCTGGAATGGGGATAAGAAGTCTGAACCTAGGTCTATGAGACAACCTTGAGAATGGAGTCAGCACTATGGATGTCAGTGCTGAAACATAGAAGGAACCTAGATACTGATGATACTCAGAGTCACCAGGACCATGTTTGTCTCTGGACTTCTTTTTTTTCTACATGATATACAAACACTCATCTTTTTAGTATTTGGTATTTGGGTCTCCAATAGTAACTGAATCTAATTCTTAACCGATTCCCCTCTTCTGGGGTGAGTTTGCTAGAAAATCCACTTTCTTTTTAACTTTCTCTTCTGCAAAGTTGTTTTATGAACTAAGTGTTCTGAATGACTTCCCCCTGCCCCACCCCCGCTCGCTTTTGTTGCCCAGGCTGGAATACAATTGCGTGATTTCGGCTCACTGCAACCTCCACCTCCCAGGTTCAAGCGATTCTCTGGCTTCAGCCTACCGAGTAGCTGGGATTACAGGCACGTGCCACAATGCCCAGCTAATTTTTTTATTTTTAGCAGAGATGGGGTTTCAACACATTGGCCAGAATGGTCTTGAACTTCTGACCTCAGGTGATCCACCCACCTCGGCCTCTCAAAGCGCTGGGATTACAGGCATAAGCCACCATGCTCAGCTGACTTCTCTTAAATTAGGATTCAATGAAGACTAACATTCATAAATGGAACTTCTTGTTGTCAATGTGTCAAGTGGACCAGTCCATGCAGGGTTTTTCATTTCTACATTTCATCTCATATAATTTTCCTGCATGCAAGGATAGGATGCAGGAAAATTTTTGTAGAACACAAAAGAGATGTGTTGCCAGACAGATAGGGGTCCTAATTAATCCCAACTCCACCACTTACTGGGGATATGGCAAGTATGCCTCTTGGGTTGGTAACTGTGCCTCTTGGGTAAGTTGTCCTTTAGTGTATAAGAACAATAAATGGTAGACATTATCAGAATATTATTGGCAAGACCTCCTCATTTGGCACACTGTTCCTACCATCAGAGTACCTGGCCTGGTAGAGCCAAACTTTTAGGATTCAGGGCTCGCTATATTTTATTTCTGCTGCTTTCAGTGCTACCTATTACAATAATGTTTTCCCTTTTGTTTTCTTCGTGTCTCCTACAAATGATGACTGAGAACAACCTCTTATCAAAACAGAATCTAAAATATCACCAAGAGAGGCATGATGGGCAGCCATATACTGGTCTGGGAGCCATGGACCTGGTAACCTGATCATCTCTGCCATCTACCAGATGTGTGGCTTTGAGCAAACCACTGCCTTCCTGGTTCTCGGCTTCCTGGTCTGTCCAGCCATCTAGAGTCAGTCTGCATGGACCTGATTCCTGGCATAGGCACTTGCTGGCTGCAAGGTCCTGGGCAAGATAGTGACCCTCTCTAATGCTCAGTGCCCTCACCTGTAAGATTTGATTAATAATGGTTTCTCCCCATCCTGTTGGGGTGATGATTAAATGAGCCAGTTGATAGAAAGCACTTATGCCTGGAGCTTATGCCATAAACGACTTATGCTTAGACCTTATGCCAACATGATGTTATGGTTGTTATTATTATAATTAATTACAATATGAGAATTTGGATTGTAGGATCTTTAAGAATTTCTACAGATCCTTTAAAAAATAGTTTTCTGAGCTGGGCGCAGTGGCTCACACCTGTAATCCCAGCATTTTGGGAGGCTGAGGGAAGGAGATCACTTGAGGTCAGGAGTTTAAGATCAGCCTGGCCAACATGGTGACACCCCACCTCTACTGCAAATACAAAAATTAGCCCGGCATGGTGGTAGATGCCTGTAATCCCAGCTACTTAGGAGGCTGACACAGGAGAATCACTTGAACTTGGGAGGTGGAGGTTGCAGTGAGCCGAGATCTTGTCACTGCACTTCAGCCTGGGTGGCAGAGTGAGACTCCATTTTAGGAAAAAAGAAAAAATAAGTTTTCTGTCTTTGTTCTACAATCGTGTGGTTTAAAGACTGATATCATCCAGCACTCACTGCTAGCCCACCTATAGAAATCTAACTCAGTGGGGATTCCTGCTACTTGTGGGGCAATACCATTAGTGAGATTAATGCATCATGTTTATCATCAAGTAGCACTCTAGGTGTCCCATGACAAGGTCTCAGAATGCAATCAACGGCCCGGAACACCAGAATGGTTGCTGCTGGAGCACTCTGCATAACTGGAGCAGTACAGGAATAAGAGAGGGAGTGGCCAGAGTCCAGATTGATGCAATCTGTCCTGAAATAGTAGAGTTAAGGACAGGCCAGTCAAAATAAATGAGTATAAGACCACATTGAAAGGTTAACATTCAAATATAGGCTATAGGGAAATAAAAGCTATTGCTGAGAAACAGGCTGGCAAAGTTGAGGATGTCAATTTTTCAATAATGGTGCAAAAGAACATGGGAATAAAAGTCAAACACGAGAGCAATGCTGGGATCTGCAGAATCCACATAAGCTGGACCTGGCAGCCACAAAGCTGATTAGAAATGCAGAAGCTCAAGACTACCAGTCCCTCAGTAGGCTTCTTGTGGCTTCTGAAATTCATGCTATAAAGATCACTCTTTTGGGATAAAGCAGTATGCATGGTCCTCGACTTACAATGGTTCAACTTAGAATTTTTCAACATTTTGATGGTGAGAAAGCAATATGCATTCAGTAGAAATCGATTTTTGAGTAGCCATACAACCATTCTGTTTCTCTTTTCATGCGATATTCAATAAATTACATGAGATATTTAACATTTTGTTATAAAATAGGCTCTGTATTAGATTATTTTGCCCACCCATAGGCTACTGTAAGTGTGCCGAACACATTTAAGGTAGGCTAGGCTAAGCTATGATGGTCCACAGGTTGCATTTGCACTACAGACCCCTTGAGCACACCAACAGAAATGTGCCAGAGGAAAAAGGCACAACATCAGAAAGAGAGGTTGCTGACAGCTCCCCACACACATGGATGCCTGGGTCCTGACTGATTCACAGTTTTCATGGCAACCTTCATCTGCTGCCTGCTAGAAGGCTTGCTTTTTTCAGGTTGCTAGGCAGAGGAAGCACAGGGATAGAAGAAGTGAGGATGGGGTGAAAGATTTATAATAGCAGCAATGAGTATTCCCCAAGCAAAAAATAATGCCAAAGATCAAATCGGTATTTATCTGCAATTTCACATGTATAATAAGCATTTTGCAATTATCTTTAAAAACACAACAAAACAAAACCTTTCCATCAGAAAATTTCAGAAAATCTGTAGAAAATTTCTTTAAAAGCTTGTCTTTTCACTTTCTTCTTTATTTTCTTGGTAAATAAATTTGTTCTTGGATTTTATAAGCTCCTGCTCCTAAATACTAAAACAATACAAAGTATATTCTAACACTATCTAATTTATAAAAAGAAAAGATTCTATATTGACTTTTCTTAAAAATATTTTAGGCAAATTAGTAGGGTCCATGTGGGTTTTTGTTTGTTTTGGTTTTGGTTTGGTTTGGTTTTGTTTGAGACGGAATGGTGCAATCTCGGCTCACCACAACCTCTGCCTCCCAGGTTCAAGCAATTCTCCTGCCTCAGCCTCCCAAGTAGCTGAGACTGCAGGCATATGCCACCACGCCCAGCTAATTTTGTATTTTTAGTAGAGACGGGATTTCTCCCTGTTGGTCAGGCTGGTCTCGAACTCCCGACGTCAGGTGATCTGCCCACCTCGGCCTCCCAAAGTGCTGGGATTACAGGCATGAGTCACCATGCCCAGCCGGGTCCATGTGTTTTTAAGAAAATCATGGTTTCACAATTCTGTGAGTAGGAATTTTATTTCTTTATATTTTCTAATTGATTATTGCTAATATGTAAGATCATTCATTGATGTTTACATGTATCTAGACTTATTGCTAAACTTTTAGTTCTAAGAGTTTTCTAATTGAGTTTATTGACAAAATGGCTAATTGTAGAATAAAAAAATAGGATATTACAAACAAGGAAAACAAACAACTAAAATAAAAATAAAATTCCCAAAGGAAACAGCATTTTGGGAGAGAAAGTAACAAAAGATTTCTATAGCTTTTTTAACAAAAGATCTCTAAATATTAAGGAAAAAAAACTCATTTTAAGACTGCAGAAAACAAAATGAGTTCAGTGTATGTATTTTATAAACATTGTAAAATAACAGTCATTTGAATATATTTATTCCAATGTAAACAGGTAAATACTGCGGTAATGGACAGACGGATGGAAAATAACAGACTTACACAGAAAGTTAAGTCTAAAAAGTCACAAGTCTCAATTTGGAGTCAGATGCTACAAGCTACTTCAGCTACCCATGTCTACACAATCAGGCACTCAACACACTCAGACATAAACAACTTGGTGCTGTGCCTTGAATATTTTTTTTAAAATTGCTAACAAAACAATAATAAACTCTGTGTTTGAGAGTCCTATCAGGCTGGTAAAACTCCATTTCATTTTGTGTTCAAAATTCTATAATATAACGGAGAGTTCAAGTCAGGCCTCTGTTTTTCCATGGCTCCAGGTAACATGATTATGTTGGAACCCAGTGCACACTCCACCTGTTAATATCGATCTTTCAGGACCACTCCATGGCATTGTCTGTCAGTGATAGCTGCCTGGTCTTTAATGCAAGAGCCTTAGAGAACCAAAGGTTTTATTACATTAGTATGTTTTTGACCAATTCTACCTTATCTACCTATTCATCTTAGCTTTAAAACCCAATTAAAATCTAATTTATCTGATCTCTGAATTCTGAGTACTATTTGGCAATGAATCAAACAGCCTTGTAGTAACTACATTACTACACATTGTGCCCTAAAGTGTTCTAGATAATACTTTTAAAAAAAATTGGCAAGTGCCATTTAAAGCCATGGCTATCTCTTTGGAGCCACCTCCATCTCATTTGAAGAACAAATGCTTTGTCTTTATGCAAAAAGTGCATACTCTGATTTTATGCCTGTGATTTTAGTCATAATTTAAGTGCATAATGCGAACAGATCGCTCGCTGTTCTTACAATTCGGTTCACTCTCTAAAAATGTTGGATAATAATATTTTCTGACAGCTACAAATCCCTCCAACACACATAAGCACACACACACATACAGGAAAGTGTCTTAAAATCTTCCAAATTGTGAATCTACTCATATGTATAAATGTTACACTGAGAAATATCTTTAATTAGACTGTCAATCCAAATACATCTTCATCACTGTTTCTGATACTCCATTTTCTGAAACTGTGAAAAAATCATATAATGAGGATCCAAATTCTGTTCTACAAATCAAGCTCTACAATGTATATGTTTATTCATATTATTACATATCTATAAAAACAAAGGGCTCATTTGCTTTACACAATGAAATAGGCGACAGTGAGCTGGTTCTCCCCTCCTCCCTTACTTCTCAGCTCCTCCTTGGTTGGGAGATGGGAGCAGATTTGAGGGCACTGCCATTTTTGAGGGAAAACCACTGTTCTAGGCTTTTTTCCATGTGTTTTCTAATTTAACAGTTAAAATAGCCATGGGAAGTTGGTGTCATACCAATCAAATCTGAGTAACATAGAGTTTAAAAAACATGTCTGCCTCAACACATCATGATTAATCCCACCCTCTAAAAGGTCAATAGAATGAATCTCGAAAGGCATGTGGAATGTCTACAAGAGTAAAAACAAAAACTTTCTTCATCAGTGTTTCTCAAAGACTATTTTAAATAGAACCAGGATGGGACATTAAGCACCACAGAATTACTTAGAAAGAAATGTAGTCCTCTTTTAATTGTCTTTTCAGTCTTCTGATTAGCTTTAGAATACAGTCTTCATTTCTTTTACTTTAAGCCTCTCCAGCCTGTTCTAATCTTCCTTTTTAATAGAGGGAACAGGGCCCTTGGCCGGCTTCAGTATCTTCTTAATATTTAATTTCATTTTCATGTCATTGTATTTTTTTCTGTGGTTATCTTCTAATTATGACAAATGATACTAATGTTCCTTTGAAGGCATAGTAATATACCATTAGCCTTGTAAATACAGATGATTTGAAAAGTGAGAAAATTTAGAGAAATATGAAATAATGAGGGGTATGTGCAGATATGTCAAGAAATCATGAGTGAAGACATAGCCTGAAGATTGCAGACACTACATGCAGAATGCTAAGTGAAACGATGGATTGTCTTCCACGTCACGTAGACTGGCCCCATCTTATGAGCAGGTTGTTTTCTCAAATTTCATTTCTAAATTTGTTGTTTGTAACACTGATAGTAGTTTCCTTTATAAAAGTGCTATATGTGGCTGTTAGTTCTTCCAGCCAGGCCAGAAAACCCTAACTTAGAATGTAAGTCAACTGGCTTACATTTGAAACAAAAATTGATGTTTAAAGCAAAGCACTACCAAATACTATTATGATGTTGACAATTAAGTAGAAATGACAAGAAATTGAATAAGAAACCTCTATGTAATTTTTATGAATATTTGTTTTCCATTGGGAAGAATATTTAATAAGAAGGGAGGAAGAGGTCATAAAAAGACATCTGGAGGTCAATGGCATTATTTTCTATGTGTAATTTCATCACAAAACAATGGAAACTACCTTCACATCAATACTTAGCAAACAGGATAAGAAAAGTGGCTCTTTCGCGGCTTACTTAGGTCATGTAACATGACAGAAAACGAAAGAAAGGTGAGTGTGGGGAGGAGATAAGAGAAAAATCTAAGAGACTTCAAGCTTCAAGACTCTTCATCTGCACAGGCCTCCTCTAAATCCTGGTATCTAATGTTTATTCATGATTTTGTATTATTTTTAACTAGAGTCTCCCAAGTGTATAAATTTTAGACCTCTACCCCTGGAAAGACTGTGAAACTTCTCTAATATAATGAGGCAAGATGGATTAAGGTGAGGAACGATGGCTTAAGGTAAGGAAAATGGTTATGCCAGTATCCAAAAGAAAGAAGCTTCCTTAGACAACTTTAATTAAGCCTGTCTACAACTGAGGTGGGTTGAAAGATGCTAGGAAAAAAAAAAAAGGACGCTTGGAGTTTCCAGAAACAGCCACTAGATGGTGGCACTCGAAGGGCCAGAGGATGCCGGTTGCAGGCAAGAGCCAAGAGGAGGAAAAGGGGGTCGGGTTGTCTGTAACTCTGTTCCCACAGGGCACATTCAGGAAGTAGAGGCATAAATAAGGGATTTTCACCATTCCTCCTTTCACAGGTATGACAATTAAATAATACCGTAAACTGTAGATAAACTTTGTACCTTTATAAGGCATTCAAAAGCATTCACCACTGAAAATTCTCTGGGTGACTACAGAGAAAAAAAAAAAATCCCAGCATGAGAAAAAAAATAAAAAAAAACAAACTCAGAAATACTGAGGAAACGAGTACTGCCTCAGAAAGAAAAAAAAAATAGAATCAAACGAATATGGTTTTCTTCACATTTAGAATACACTAAATAGAGCACATTGTTCTTTTAAGCCTCTTTGACTCTGATGTCTTATTAGAAATCCTGTACCAAATAAGCATAAGCCTTTCATTTTAGTTATTATTAAATCTCTCTTCATTGCCATTCTATAACATCAGCATGCAGATTGCTCAATTACACGGGAAACGGTTGCAGCATGCAAGTCTGCCCTCTTCTGGTCATGTCCTTTGACAGTCCAAAGAACTGTGACTTGCATTTAATTTTGATTTCAACAACTGGGTAAATAAACCTAAAAAGGGAAAAAAATGCCACTCAAAAAGGAAATCTCTGCAAGGAAAAATAACACAAGGTGTATTATTTATTACTGCCAGGCCTCTGTCAACATTCTTTCGAAAATAATCAGCAAACCCCAAAACGTTTTAGAGGGACAATTTGTAAAAGGTAGTCATTTCTCCACCCCAGTTAGATTTATGCATTCATCTCATGTATAGTCTTCGTATAACTACAATGTGACACCAATTCTTCTATTTCAAAGATATTTGAAATGTAGAATTTCACTAGAGCATTGAACAAGGTGAGCCAGACTGGGCTGATCATGAGATCAACTAAATCCAGGGCACTAAAAATAAATGATAGCCTCTCTTTGTGAGGCTGCAGTGTAACAGGAGAGTGTGGGGTCAAAAATAGGGCAAAATGTTAACAGGCAAATCTGAGTAAAGCATATATCGTTCTTTGTACTTTTCTGCAACTTTTTGTAAATTTAAAATTATTTCCAAATAAAAAGTTAAAAAAAAAAAAAGAGAGAGAGAGAAAGAAGAAATACGGGCTCTGGGCAGACCAGTCTAAATTGTGGTTTTGCCTCCATGTGACTTTGGACAAGGCATTTAATTTTTTGGAGGCTCTGCCCCCTCATCTATAAAACAAAGACAATAGTGTTCTTCCCTAGTATGGCTGTCAGCAGAATCAAAAGAAGTAATAAGTGCAAAGCACCTAACACCACGGCTGGCAGAGAATAGCCTGTCAGTAATGTAGTCATTATTTTCATTGTTGTTATTATTCATTAGGGAGGAAGATGGGTGTCCGTCAAGGAGATAATGCTAACTCTGCTCCCCCTCTCTGGCAAACATCAAAAAAATATACCAACTTTAACTGTATAACTTGTTAAGGATCTATGCAACTGCAATCTCATCCAAATAACTATTGAGCCCTATTTATACATCCATTCTAAAATTCCTCTTAGCAAACTCATTCAAACTTCTACTTATCTTTGAAAGTAAAACCTTGGTGCATTTATTCTAAATCTATCTCTTTTCAGTAATGCTACCTACATTTGTAACATAAAATAGGATTTAAGCCATTGGGCTAGGTTCTTTCATTACACCAAAGGGTCCCATGTCTTTTTTGGGGGGAAATGAGGAAGAGCTCACCTTGTTCCCCTCTGTATATCACATCTGGTAGTGTCTAATCCTGAGCTGCAGAGCAAGGACACAGCTTTCATCACAGAAGAGGCAACCAGTCCCTTAAGCCACATACCCTCCCTACTTGGGATGCTCAAAGACTTCTGGGCTGGGACTTGCCTTTGGAATGATGTAAGGACAATGGGCTTAGAATACAAGGAAAGCTGAGTGTAAACTCAAGTCCCACCTGTAGTAGCTCTTCTGACCCCAATCATATTGACTTATTTGAGCCTCAATTTATTTATCTGTGAAATGGGAACAACCACTCAACAATTTTGTAGAGTTGCACAGTTAAAGATAACACATGATTTTAAAAGTAGGCAAATTATTATTGCTATTAGTGTTTGGCTGTTGCTGATATTATTAGATTGGTGCAAAAGTAATTGCTGTTTTTACAGTTACTTTTGCACCAGCCTAATATAGTTAAGTTCTGTAATCAGGCCAAATTGATTTTCATCTTCTTAATTCAAACACAAAGTCAGAGAAAATAGAATTTCTTTTTAAAATGTATTTGGATGATAGGCAAAATTAAAATAGTTCAAGAATGTTTTTCAGACCATATAGGCATATAATTTTAAAGCTCAACCTTAGAAATTATGTATCTCTGCTTTCTCATTTTATACATAAATAAAATATTCAAAGTTTATAGTTACAGCTTAGTGCCGACCTGAACCTAAAACATAGACCTCTTCTGTTTTCATTTTGGAATGGTTTCTATTACCTCATGGAACTTCCTTAAATTTTATATTTATTACTGATCTTTAAATGCTCCATATGCAATGTTATCTGGAGATGTGATCAAGCTGTCACAACTATTCAAAAAATGTTAAAAAACTAAAACCACACAAAGCATTAATGCAGGTAAATGAAGCACAGAAACATTTTAAGTGTGCTTAAAAGCATACAGGTGGTTAGACCATGTAAAGAATAGTAATTCCAGGGCTGGGTGCGATGGCTCATGCCTGTAATCCCAGCACTTTGGGAGGCCGAGGCAGGTGGATCACCTGAGGTCAGGAGTTCGAGACCAGCCTGGCCAACATGGTGAAACCCCGTCTCTACTAAAAATACAAAAATTAGTCAGGTGTGGTGGCAGGTGCCTGTAATCCTGGCTACTAGGGAGGCTGAGGCAGGAGAATGGCATGAACCCGGGACGCAGAGGTTGCAGTGAGCCGAGATCTTGCCATTGTACTCCAGCCTGGGCGACAGAGGAAGACTCCATCTCAAAAAAAAAAAAAAGAGAATACCAGAAGCCCAAAGATCTAGATTTGAATTTCAGCCTCTTTGTTTCACTAGGTCTAGTAGCTTAACTCTGTGAGATTCAATTTTCTCATTTAAAAAATGAAGATACAAATCCTAGCCGAACAGTGTTGTTAGAAAGGTTCAATATGATAGCCCGTAACATGGTGGGTACACAATAAATATCCAATAAATATAAGCTTCCTCTGCCCGCCCCTTTTTTATATTAAACCCATGAATCTATGACCTAAGAGAAAATGTCTACCCAATTTACACAGAGGTTGCTCAATAAATACCATTGTGATTATGGTGGTAGTGGTGATGTTAACACAGAAAACAAAAACCCTATAAAGCATGAAATGATAACTATAATTGTCCAAGATATCCACAAACAAAAATCTCCACTTAGAGCTAATCAAATATATATGCTAGAAATATTGACAACAGAGAGCTGACCTAAAATGACGTACGTACAGACAAAATAAATTAATGACTGGTGAAACACACACTTCAAAGATCACAGGGATCAACAGGATCAATGCACACTATTACAGTAGACACATTCAAAGTTCTTTTTCTGGGTATCAACAGGTGCCTGTCATGACCACGGCATGAAATACAAAGTGTGGTGGTAAAAATGCAAGGAAGAAGATGGGGTGGTTTGTCAAGTTTGTAACTCAATGTATGTGATGAAAAGTTTGAGGATCTAGTTTTTCAATATTCAATTAAAAATAGGCCTTGTTAAAATGTACAAAGTCTTGAGTACTCATAAACTAGCAGTTACATAAAATGTAAATCATACTTTATTTACACTTAATATTGGGAATTATTTTCATATTGTAAATTGAGTAGTTCATGGTGTACACACAGCAAGCTTACTTCAATAACTGGCTCACTTACATCATAAATTCAAGCTGAAACAGTATTTTCATTGATCTAGCATTAAGAAAACACCAAAAAAAGAAAAAAAAAAAAAGAATCTCACACACAAGTATCTCAGCATAGGTGGCTGAGAGGTGGCCGGAGTTAAAAGACAAAACCTTAAAGGTTTTAAACTATGATTTCACATACTCTCAAATCCCAAGTTCACTGGTTCCCTCTTCTCCATCACACAGTTAGCTTTCTCCCCTGCTCCTCTTTCCCTTTTATCTGTTTCTTCTCTTTCCTCTCATCATTCTTCTTTTCCATCCTGTATAACTATAATAAAGCATTGTTTTTTCAGAGAAAGGGAGGGCTCTGGAGGTAGAGTGTGGGGAGGAAGGGCAGGTCCCCATAGCCTTTAGGGCTCAGGTTCTGCAGTCTGGGTGTACAACAGTAAGAGTTGCTCCACTCAGCCCCAGGTGGGTGAGGCTCGTCCCCACAGAAATCCATTGGATCAGAATGTACCTCGGTCCTGAGCTTTGTAAGCCAACCTCATCAAAGAATCTGAAGGTGTGAGAGAGGCTCAATGGGCAGTTGCTGACCGCATGCATTTTAAACAGTACCTTCCATACGCAACTGTTTTTGTCTAAAAAGCTAGTGCTGGGGATTTGGGGCAGTAAGACTGGGTAAGGAGAGAGAGATTCTGAGAGTAGGTGACCTCTCCAGGATCCACAAATCCCTGGATTCCCATGTTTGGATTAGGAGCCTTGTATAGCATTAAGCTGAACTTGCTTGCCTGTATTGCCTTTGCAAACATCTGCTTGTATTTTTGTGGTTGTCTGCCTCTCTCCCCTTTTAGGGTACTACCAACTGAAAGGTGAAACGAGGCTTCCCAGACTATCTGGGATGAAAAGTAGTTAAAAAAACAAACTTCCAGTCCATTGAGAACTGATCAACCTTTGTAAAATTCTGTGCCATTGTTGAGGAAATGCAAAATTACTACAAAAGTTTCTAAATGCTGACAATTATTGTACATATCTTGTTGAAGACTAGTAACAAATAGCTTACAGACTAGTGCTAGTCCTCACATCACACTTTGAGGACCATGGGTACAAATCAATTAAGAAATGCATTCTCCTCCATGACCTCACTTATATGTGGAATCTAAAAAAGTCACAGAAGCATAGAATAGAATGGTGGTTAATAAGGGCTGGGATAATGGGGTAAAGGGGAGTGGGTATAGGGGAGAAAAAGAAAAACAAAAGAAACCCATTCTTCATAATTAAATTTTGCATTTTAAAACATATCCGATATTCATAGATAAATATAATTAAAAAGACAAGATGAATTTAAATGATATAAAACTACAACTTATTGGTGAGTCAATAACATACAAGGTCTTTTAACCACTAGTTAACACATACACAGTGAACAGTTGCATTGTGCAGGATATTAATGCATATTGCAGAGTTTAATGGATTGAAATTCTGCATACTGAAGAGTTTAATGGATTAAAATTATCCCATGAAATTTCATAATTTAAAAATTGTCTAATCAAAATCACCAGATATAAAAAAAATCATATATTATTTTTACAGTTAACAAGTCAAGTCAAATACAGGTTGAATAAAGAGGCAAATTCCAAGTCCAATTGCTCTGCCAGAAAGCAAGCTCTAAAATCTGCTTCATACTGTTGAGTAATACTTGCTGCAGAGAAAATTCTTAACAAGCCAGGGATATTCCAAAGACCTGCCTAACTGTACCTTCAACAGAAACATACTTTGCATTTTAAGAAGTAAAATATTAATTTGATGCTTAAAGAAATCATACTAGAGTTGACCTCCCTAGAGGAATGGACTCACATTAGGAATGACTTCATAGAATAGAATTGATTTTCTGGCAGCAACATCAGAAAATATAACTTCCAGTTTAGCCTTTGGAGAAAACTTGCCCAGAATCATTATCATTAATTGACAGTCAGAAGATCTGGGCATCCAGGAAGTCTATAGTGGGTAGCCAGATTCAAAGTACATTGCAGAAATCCAAAATGGACGTCCAGGCATCATAATGCAATCCTTATTTCGCAAAAGTTTCATTCTCCACCAGTTGCACCAAGGCCTGGTTGCCTTTACTGTCTCCAGGAACAAAGGCAAATATAAGAGAACCTAAGGTTGCTCTACAAAGGTTATGTCAAAGAGTCCTCTGAAGTGAGGGAGGAGGTGGCTAGAACCCGTGTTCATTCTTTCTTTCTTTCTTTCTTTCTTTCTTTCTTTCTTTCTTTCTTTCTTTCTTTCTTTCTTTCTCTTTCTCTCTCTCTCTCTTTCTTTCTTTCTTTCTTTCTTTCTTTCTTTCTTTGAGACAGAGTCTCGCTCTGTCACCCAGGCTACAGTGCAATGGCATGATCTTGGCTCACTGCAACCTCCACCTCTGCCTCCCAGGTTCAAGTGATTCTCATGCCTCAGCCTCCCAAGAAGCTGGGACTACAGGTGCGCACCACCACACCCGGCTAATTTTTGTATTTTTAGTAGAGATGGGGTTTTGCCACGTTGGCCAGGCTAGTCTCAAACTTCCAACCTCAGGTGATCTGTCCACCTTAGCCTCTCAAAGTGCTGGGATTACAGGCATTTGCCACCACGGCTGGCCAGGAACCCAGATTACTTTTTATGATATGGAAGAACTATCCTCATCTTTGCTAAATCATAGCCAGGTTCTTTCTGTGTAAATGACCTACTCAGCCAGACACTAGGTAAACTGCAAAATTTTTCCGTCAAGAACTGATGAATAAGCAATATGGAACTGATTATCATTTCCAGCCTGATCATCTAAAAGCCCAAACTTCCCTCTCATTTTTCAAACCAGCTTCTTGTATAAAATGGACCAAAGAAAACTAGACAAGTAGAATACAAGGAATGAAGAATTTCCTCGATGATGGGGCCATCCTACAACCAACAGATGCATGTCTAGAAAATTATGAAAGTGATAATGTCAGGGAAAGGAGAAACCTTAAAGTTCAGCCTCATGTTTTAATTTCTAGTTACAGCATTCCTGCTAAATGCTCACAACACACAATCCAGTGAGAGAGAACTCACTAGCCTTTGAGGCAGCTCAGAGTGCTTCAGATGATAGAATTTGTTGGAGAGCTCTGGCTATTCTAAAGTTTTTGCTTTCTATTGAGCCTAAATATTTCCCTGTGGTCATACATACAGTTTCGGAATACGTCCCTTTTTTTCTTTTACAAAAGAGTTCTTTAAATATTTGAAGGCAGTTATTCTCCTCTCACTATCTTTTTCTAATCAAAACATCTCTGATTCCTTGAATCTTGCAATTTTGAGTACCTACCTGTCTGGTTACTCTCTGAAAATTACTACTATAAATTTCCCCCTGGAATTAATTTACTACCTACTTTTGGATGAAATGATATATTCAGTTGCTAATCCACCAAAATGCCCCTAAAGCTACCCAGAAAGACATTAAAAACGTGGAAAGTCTTTGCTGGAGCCCCAGTCCCTGTCACATCTCCCTGTCAAAGGAAGGTTATCCTTACATGGCTTGTATTTAGTAAACACATGTAGGGCTGTGGTATTTACAGATACTTAATCTATGAACCCACAAATCATCCCTTTAATAATGTGTTTTGCAATTTTGCCTGTTGTTATTATGAAACAGACAATATATACCTCAAGGTCAGTATTAACTATTAACTATTTTTAGTTATATTTATAGTTAATAGGTAACTATTAACATTTTTTTTCATGTATTGTTTCAGGAATGGTTGGACTATATCACCTGATAAATCTATCAAAGGAAGAAGTACATTTCCCAGTGAGATTTCAAACCAAACTAAGAGGCGTTGACCCTATCTGATAAGTATGAATATACATGAAGCTGCTGGATGATCCACCTCTATCATCTGTATCACCCATGCAAAATGAAACTGGCTTCAGGCTGATTGGAAATTGGGCAGACACATTGGTTTTCCAGTGGTAGGTAATAGTTTATTTCTTGGATAATAATGTATCAAATTTCATCTGACTCAGATTCATCTTAATCAACAAAATACCCTATTCTCTATCATGTCATGAACAACCTGAACGACCACAATGTTCAAAATGTAGTTATTTCAAATCAGAAATAATGAATAGAATAGTATATTTCTGGACACTACAAGGTATAATTTCCTTGAAGGTACAGTCAGTGGCTCACTTATTCAATTTTTTCCTGTTCCAAAGTATCTACAATAGTGTTTTGTATAAAATGGATACCAAATAAATATTTGAACACAGTTGAATAATAGAAATACTACCCGATGTAAGTCAACAAAGTGCATGACAATTAAAACCACAGCTGCCATAGGACAGAGAACAACCTAAAGGAAGGCTCCAGGTAACAGATCACACTTAGACAAGATCCTTGAGCTTCTTAAGGGGTGTATCCTGAGGTATTAATGAAATTTAATGCTCACAATCCTTCTCTAACACACAATTTAAAAGGTACAATTAAAGAATACCTGTGAAAGCTAAATGACCCCTTAAGATTCAACAAACCCAACGTAAACATGAGTATCTTCTATAAGGCCAACCTTTTTCCCACAAAGAAATAATTTTTTTTTAACTTTTAAAATAACAACCTGGAAGTTATTATGCTCCATATATTGAGCCAAAAATGACCACCAAAGAGGCAGATACTGGCCTGTCCACTAGGCCATGATATCAGAGCCTTCAAAGAGACCCTGGAATGTGAGACCCAAACCCAGGCCTCAGCAGAACTGCAACATGCTTCATACTATGAGTTTTGATAGCATAATGATTAAATCAAAAGCACTAATAGTCTACTGTGTGAATACAATAAGCAACAGGTGAAGACAAATATTTACAGAGTAACATTATATGATCAAAACCTAATATATGACAGATTTTAAACACTGTTAAATGCTTTTCTTCAAAAAATATTGTCAATGAATTTGATCAGCCCTAACTTAGCTGACATGTGAGTTCAATGAATAATTGATAAATACATCTCATGAAAAGAGAAAGGCAATATTTTGGTTCCTTCTCCCATCTATCTTCTTGTTGAAAAAAAATCCATCTTCAGGTTATTTTAGTTATTCTCCTTGAATCTGTTTTTCTCCTTTTCATTCCCACTGTCTTCTCTGTAGTTCAGACTCCATTGTCTTCCATCTGTACTTTCCTAAAAGTCCACTAGTAGGTCTCTATGGCCTCTTATCTCCCATGGACACTCTCAAGAGCCACTCTCCACCTCTGCAGGCAGGATAGCTGTTCCCAAACACTGCATATATTACCTAATATGATCATGATAACACCAAGCCCAACCAAAACAAATCAAACCAAAACAAATAAAAATTTAATAACTGCCTACCATAATAAAGCATGCATTTCTTAATTTAGAATCCTATCCCTCTGCAACTTAATCTCAACTTTCCTTTGCAAACATATTTTTTCTCTATTCGATGTCCTTTAATCTAATCAAGCAGGCTTCACTGTGCTCAGAATGTACCATACACATTCCTATAACAAATTTTGCTTTATGTCATCCCTAGCCCCAAAGTATACTCTCCATCTTTGATTTCTCTTATTGCTGTACACCTTTCAAATATTTCAAGCTCTACTTCTGTCATGAATAATTCAGTATCTCAACCCAGCTCTCTCTCTGAAAACCTAACTCATATCTACCTATTTCTATCTTGATATGCATTTGTCTTTATTATTTGGAAGGGACTTAATAGGCTTACAACATTTAAGACCTGCACAATAAGTCTCTCATTCTATTGCATATTATTTAATACTGTTGTATCTAGTATAACTCCCAAAACATAACACTCAATAAACTCTTAATTTTTTTTCCTGTTTTAGATGTTCAATTCTAAATTTTATTTATAAGGAAATAAAATTGCCCTTACCCTTGTCAGCAAGTAGCCCCCGCAGCACTGTTATACTATAATAACTATACACATTTAAAACCTTATCCTCAAGTTCATTAATTATCATTTCCTTTTTGTGTTAAAGAAAATATGAACAGCCTGATTTATTCAGCCAGTGGGTAAGCATTCGTTCTGCTAAACTGTATGGGTATAATTCAATGTTTCATTACAGGATAAGAAAAGGCCTCCAGTTCATCTGTAGCTATCAGGAAAGAACATGCTTCACAATAAAGGAAATAAATAAAAGGTCTTACGGGATGTTTTGGAATATTATAACTTATGTATGCTGCAAAATATTACATCTATATTCTTCTAAAAACTAAAAATCCTGACACTTTCTAAAGAACATGGTGAAAATGATGCATGCCAAGAGTTCTAGTATCGTACTCTATAAGACAGCATGCTATTCTTCACCTGGAAGGTATGGCATAGAGTCACTGGGGAATAATGAAGGAAACCCTGTGGAGTAGAATATTTAACCAGGAACTGCTGAGAAACTTAGGTTAGGCGTGAAGAGGGGGCCAGAACCATTCTCATTAATTCGAAGAGATTTTATACAGCCAGTATAACTTGATAGCCAAACAGTGATAAGAAGCTCATAATTTGTGAATTCATTTGGATATTTCAGGATAGGTCTGCTATCTGCAAAGAGCTGGGCTTCTCTATTCTATCGTAATCTTCAGATCCATGAGTATTATCACAGATTGGCCGAAAATCTAAATAATTCATATCTCCCAATTAACTTCCCTGTCAATTATCTGGGTATTTCAGAAAAAAAAAAAGTCTTAGATGTATAAACAAAGAATGCCATTATTTTAAAAATCTGTCTTAAAAACAGGATCTGGTTTTTTTCCAAATACAATTTTACATAAAAACCAAATATTGAATTCAATTAGTGTCAGGGATTCTCAGGGAAAAACAGATCTGGGGGACAGAGGGAACTAAGAGTCACACTCATTCCTCTCTCCTGGTCACTTACTAATGGGGACCCGGAAGCACCTAAGGCTCCATGAAATGCAGCATCAAAACTAATAAATTAACTAAATTAAAAGCAAAACAAATTTTGCTTTTTCTTATCCTTTAAACATATAGATGTGTCAAACTATATGTGATTTGCTAGTAAATAATCCTTTCATTAGTAAGAATTATTTGGTGAATGGGTGTTAAATTTTTAGGGAAATTTTAAGGAATGCTAATAATCACAATACATTAGGAATATATCACAAGAACTTCCCTAATGGTTGTCCTGAATTTAAATATTTCATGTATATTTCTCTTGTCACTGTTTCTGGCAGGTGAGTATACACTTTATATAAAAATATGAATTGTTAGAAATATCAATGTGCATGTTTATAAATCAAATCATTGGGTCACATACCTAATAAAAGTTCTAAGGATTAAAAAGACATAAGTTCAAGACTAATATGTAAAATAATATTACAGAGGAAAAAACAGCAATCGTACAAAAGATAAATGTAACCTTTAGTAAACAAATAAATGCAACAAATAAATGGGAATAATCCATTTACAAGGATCTTGTGGTTCTAAATATACTGGGAGAGATACTTAAAATTATAAAATGGTTGAGATAATAACATTGGACTCGATTATCCTTTAACACTGTGCTATGGATCATATTGTGATATCACTTGTGCGACTGTTATCAGCCACTAAGGGGAATGTAGCATTCAACAGACTCTGAAACAAAGTTTCTAAAGAATTATCATCATGTGATAAATGCCCGATTTCTATAGTTACGTTACATGAACAACAAAGACAAGGTATTCACAACCACACTTTCTTCAACCTCTAAACAGGAACAAGTATCTATAATGCTGTCATTAGGAATGAGATAGACAATCAAATACAACAGAGTGCCTAGATCAAATAGATCCTCCAACTAAGCTTTATTCCAACACATTTTATCTCACCTCTACTTTTATCCCAAAATCTCAACTCACTTTGAATAATGCACTTTGATCATTTTATCTTGATTCAACCCCTTGGTCAAGTTAGGGTACAAAACAACCATCCCTATGTCTAGTTATAGCCCCTGAACGTAGCGATGGAAGAAATCTAAAACCTTGCTTAAAAACAAAAGCAAGGTGTGGCTGAAGATGGCTGATTGATTTAACACACATATTTATCACTGCTCTTTTCTGAAATTCCATTAAAATTATCATATAAGCCATTTCCTTTTAAAGACATTAATTCTAAGGACAAAGACAACAGAAGCAAACAGCAGTAGTATTCTGAAAGCTGGATTTCAGAAAGAGGTGTACTAGCCTGTTTAGCAGGCCAGAGAAAGCCAAATCCTAAGCCAGCAATGGGGAAGCTCAGAACAACACAATTTATACTGCAAAACCCCAAAGATGTAGAAATTTGAGACATCAGCTTCTCCTGGAATAAAGAAAAGAGAAAGGTGAGGTTTTAAAAAAGATGATTCCTTGAAACTCTATTTAAAAAGCAGTTACACCTCCAGGTTCATCCCCATTGCCAAAAATGACAGAATTTCCTTTTTTTTAAAGACTGAATAGTATTCCATTGTATGTATACATCACATTTTCTTTATCCATTCATCCACTCATGAACACTTGGGTTGCTTCCACATCTTGACTGTTGTGAATAATGCTGCAATAAACATGGCAGTGCAGAGATGCCTTCAACATACTGATTTCAATTACTTTGAATATATACCCACAAGTGGGATTGCTGGATCATATGTTAATTCTATTTTTAGTTTTTTGTAGAACTTTCATTCTGTTTTCCAAAATAGCTGCACTAATTTACTTTCCTGCCAACACAAAATGACAAATACTATACAATCTCAATTTTATGTGGAATCTACAAAAGCGGATCCCATAGAAACAGAGAGTAGAGAAACAGTTCCAAAGGCTGAGCAGCGAGGGGGATGAAACACGGGGAGATGATGGTCAAAGGGTACTTTTCAGTTAAACAGGAGGAATTCATTTTAGTGATCCGTTTCACAGCATGAAATAGTTACACAGTACAATAGTTAATAATAATGTATTTTATATTTCAAAGTTGCCAAAAGAGATTTTATACCTGCTCATCACACAAACAAATGGTAAGTTGGTAAGGTGATTGATATGTTAATTAGTTTGATGTAATCTTTCTAGAATTTATACACATATCCAAACATCACATAGTACCCCATAAATATATACAATTATTACTTGTCAATTTAATTAATTATTAAAAGCAGACCACCAGATCTTCTCTCCTACTCAAAATTGCAAGCAACTAGGTGTTTATTTTCAGAAAAAAACAAAAGTCAGATCTCTGTACAGAAATGGCTAGCTGAGGGCAGAGCCACTGCACTGAACCCCTATGGAATTATGAAAAAGTAGATATACTAGTGCTGGCTGCTATGGTTGTTGCCTCTACCATTGTCTCTTACATGATCGACAGTCTCCAACTAGATACTGAAGCCAATTCTGTATTCTTGAAAAATATACGATTTTCTGCATTAGCTGCATTAACACCTACTCCTGACAAAACAGGCTCTTCTTTGCCCCTCTGTAAGAAATATCCCACAAGGCTGCTGCTGTCTGCCTTCTATTTGGAGTGCTGGCAGGGTTCTGCTAGGATCTGTAGATACCTACAGATTGGATATTTGTCCAGAGTCTACCATCTAACTAACTCTGAGGGATTCAAAATATACACATTAGGGAAAAGATGGGCACTACACAATGTAGGGCTTTAAATGGAGAGAATAGAATACCGAAAATCCAATGTTGTCTCTAGATTCATTAATATATAACACAAAGTAATGAAAAGAATCACAGAGTGGCAATAAAGAGACGAGAAGACCTGAGTTCCAATTTTAGTTGTATCTAAACATGTGACCTTGGGCGGGTCCTTAACCATTTGTTTCATTGAAGATAGCATGCTACTCATTTTCATCTAAATAATCTGAAATCACAAAACAGAGGTTTTAGGAAAATGGGTGGTGATCCTTCCAGAATCTTGAAAGAACTAAAAAAAAAAAAAAAAGTAAAAAACTGATATGGTTTTAAAGGTTTTACAAGTGGTTGAAAATAAACAGATGAGGAAAAGGGGCAACAGAAGAGATTAGAAGCCTAAAATTAGGGCAGCGGTGGAAAAAAAAAGGCAATGTCTGTAATAAGAAGAGAAGGTCAGAGAATCAGCATCTCTTTAATTTTCTCATGGGTGCAGCATTTACCACATCCATAAGATACACGGAAGAAGAGGTATCTGTCTATTTTTCAGGAATAATAGTGTGAAATTAATCACCAGATCACAGGACTGATCCCTCCTAACACCCAAGTGTGCAGACAAAATAATAAAAAAGGCCAATGTCTTTTTTTAAAACTATTGAGGTGAAACTTACATAATATGCAAATGATGTCTTCTTGAGTCACTTTAGGGGGAAAAAGAAGAAAATATTGGCCTCCAAAGGTCTTCACTAGTTCCATGGCAAGGAGTAGTGGAGGATAATTTAGACAGTGAAGAGAAATAACAATAAATAACACTGTGAAAATGTGATTAAGAAAACGGAAAAAGGAAATGTATGATACCTGTCTCTGAATCCAGTGTTGATTACGTCAGATAATTCTCAATACTGGCATAGTCCAAGGCTGGTGCAGGACTGGAGGCAGGAGAATCCTCTGGGATATTTGCTAAAATAAACCTTCCCAGCTCTTTCCCTGGAGATTTTATCATTTAGGACCAAGGCAGGAACCTGGAATATGTGTTTTTAAAAATCTCCTCATGTCCTGATACACAGATATAAGAATTGCAGGAGCAGTCGGGCAAAATGCTCCTTCCTCTTAGAAGCTGTTCCCTACAATAGTCACCAAAAGAACCTAGAACGAAAGCTCAATTCAAGGTGTAAATGGCATAGCTCTGGGTTGATGCTCTAAGTCTCTCAGCTGCATTCAAACCAGCAGAGTTAATAGATTACTGAAGTCAGCAATTAAGCTGTTAAGAAAGAGAATTTCTGAATAATCCATGAGGCTTGATATTCTCCTTCTGGCATTTGAGAGTACAGTCCTTCCAAGGATAAAAAATGACCTTTTATAAATGGAAAAGTAGATGAGTAGGATGAGGTGTGTTTGAGAGTGGTGAGGTGAAAGTTAGAAGTTTTGAAAAACAACTACCCTTCAATTAGTATCTCGCAGGGCAAAGTGCTGGTGAAGATTTGCTCATCTGTTTCTAAGGAATTCAAAGAAGAGATTAACTATCCAGCTTCACGAGTCTCCTCTCATATTGTGAATGTCTAGGCTGACTAATATATAGCCCAAAAAGGCTTCCCGAAAGATATTTCACTTGATGATTTCTTACAAAGTTATTTATCCCCACTCACAAAAAGAAACCCCGTTTTTAACCCGTGCTATATTAAATCAACTCTTGATTTGATACACTTACTTATTACATCAGGTGTTCCCTAACATGCCTGCTCATAAGAATCAGCTGGGGTACTTGCTCAATTTAGAGATCAAAACCCCCTCAGCAGGAGACTGTTATTCTGTAGGTGGGGCTGGGACTCTGCAAACACAGTACCTACTTTCAAAAAGCTTAACTGTGACCCTTGTCTTCTGTCGATGTATCTCTTCAGGTACATATGCAAATTATTTTGTGTCTTTTAGGAAGTGATGAGTTAAGAAATTTCCAAAGTCCCCAGTCCAGCCTGCAGAATGCTGTGAACTAAAAATGGTCCAGCTCCTCCAAGCCCTCAGACACATCCTTAAGAGCTCATGCCGAAACAGGTCACTCTGTAGCGACAGAAATAAGAGTGAGCAGCTTGGGGGAGCCCTTTGAACTGAAAAGCAAGCAAGTGACATGCTTTGCATCACTTTTATCTCTACTAATAGTTACTGGGATCATTCTATCCATTTCTTGAAAGAATTGATGTGGCCTCTGACAGGGCCTTAAATAAAGCTTTAACTATAGTGAAAAGCCTGGGCACTGCATAGTGAGTCATGAAGAAGCCAAGCATAGTTAACCTTAGCTAATGCACTGAGTGTTTTATCAGGTAGTAGAGCAGAGAAAGAAGATCAATCATTGGGTTCCAAGCTATGTGACTGAAAGTTCTCAAAACACATAGGTTATGTTGTTTCTTTATTATTAGAGGAGAAGAGGGGGATGAAAGGGAATTCATTTATTTGTTCAAAAAATATTTATTTGCAGCCTCCTATGTGCCAGGCCAAATACACCAGATACTGGGGATTGTAAACAATACAACATCCCTCTTCACGGAAAGTAAATTCCAACAGAGGAGCAGATGATAACACAAACAATAAGATGATGTGATTTTGGAGTGTGGCAAGTGTTATAGTAGAAATAAATGCACTAATGTAGTCAAGAGCAACATATTTGAGCTGAAACTTGGTGGGAGGAGAAGCAGCCATCTATGCAAAGTTTATGAAAGAACACTTGTTTTTGTTTTTGTTTTTTTGAGATGGAGTTTCACTCTCATTGCCTAGGTTGGAGTGCAGTGACACAATCTCAGCTCACTGAAACCTCTGCCTCCTGGGTTCAAGCAATTCTCCTGCCTCAGCCTCCCAAGTAGCTGGGATTACAGGCATGCGCCACCACACTCAGCTATTTTTTGTATTTTTTGTAGAGACGGGGTTTCACCATGTTAGTCAGGCTGGTCTCGAACTCCTGACCTCAGGTAATCCACCCACCTCGGCCTCCAAAAGGAAATAACATTTTAATCAGAGAGATGGTAACTGTAAAGTACTTGGTGTGATTGAAGCATGGAGAGGTGTTAGAGACATCACCAACCAGTGAAACACTCAGTTCTTAGAGTGTAACAATTTTCGAACTGAATCAAGAAAAATACCTCTCAGAGTTCAAGGCCGCATTGAACCTGAGCAAGGAGGGGCCCCAGCAAGGGAGCTTATCTTTGGAACAAGCCATTCGGGAACGAGAGATCCAGCGTTCAGATCTTCTTACATACTTTGTTAATTCAAAGGGAAGGTTTTCCCAGGTTCATCATTTTGATGGTGGAGTGCAGCCTGCTGCTCTCCCTGACAATTTTGTGAGGTCTTCTTTGAAATACCAGAAGCCTCTTCCGAGAAGATCAATTGTGCTGTCCAGGTATGTGCTGTCCAGACTGGCCAAATCTGATGACTTGGCTGTCAGCTCTGTCAACAATCTCAGCTACTAAGTCAGAGAAAGCCCTTTCCTCTCTCATAATATTACTTGCTCTTCCTCATCCTATTGACCGAACCACCTTTCAAGGGCTCAGTAAGGAGTTTGTTTGATAAGGAGAGAAACTAGCTAGAGTTCTAAGTGCGGAACTTAATTTTGCTGTTGAGGCAGATTTTTATTTCCATCTCCTCTTTCATTTGGCAGATTTTCTTTTTCCATTCTGTTACCAGGAAGAGTTCATTTAGAGAAGTCTGCCATGGATAAGCTGAATGATACCCAACCACAGGGTTGCTAAGAGATTACCAGATCCCAGTCAAGAGTTTACCAACAGCACCGCTCTGAACAGCAAAGGCCAGACACTCTCAGCTACCATGTTTCCTTCTTCCTTATTTGTCCAGGCTTGTGGCATAGAAGGCTACCAAGAGGAGGCTTGGCCAAGAACCGCCTGCCCCACCCATTCAAGTAAGCCCATATCCCTCTAGCACCACAACTCCCAGCCCTGCTTTCCAAGTCTGCCCAGTCAGTGCTGACAGCCTCCTGCTCCTTCATCACATGTCCAATATTCTCTTCAATTTCTTTGAAATATTTTATAATCTGTACCTAATAATTGCAAACTTGAAACCCTGTAGGGCTAATCCATAACCGGTTGTTATTGCCAACTCTCATTCACAGTGGCTTGTTCTGTTTTGCTTTTAGGGATTCTGGAAGGTCAACTTATGTTCTTTGTAACTTTATCTTTGGAAATTTTTTGAGCCCCAGGTTTAAAGTATGTTCCTCTGGAAGGCATTAGTATTTGCTTCTACCAAGTACCTGGCAACCCACCACCCAAAATGCCTTTAAAATACATTCTGGATAAACTTTAGGTCATGCTGGAATCTAGCTTCTGGCCCTGATACTGAGTGATTATGGGCTTGTGGTTAGAAATTTTTAGAGGATAAGGTGTTTTTGTTTTATAGCTCTTTAAAGGCCAAGACAGCACACATTCCCATTTTTACTCTCTGTATGGAAGTTTTACTTTCTTAGATCAAACCCCAATGGTTTCATTAACTGGGAATCCAGACTTTCTGCTGAGGCCCCTAATCTAGCTGGCCATCTAGCTGGGTCATCAGGCTTTGTTCTTTGAATCAATGTTCTTTGTCCTGTTCTTTGCACCTAATGCCTCACTTAAAACCCAAGTCTAGGCCATGAAAAGTCTGCAGGCCCATCTCCAGTTAATTACTTTCTTGTCATTTCTTTTCTTCTAGTAATGCCCTTACATTCCTATGAGTTCATTCATGAATTCAAAAGAGTTTTTAAGGATTTCACCAGGCATACAGTTGGAAGGAAGAAAAAGAGGGAGGGAAGGAAGGAGATAAAATGTTGGGTTAGAGGGCAGTGAGTGGGGGAATGAGATAGAAGTATTGATTGTTCAATACTGTTTTTTCACCGCAATGAAGGCAACAGGGAGCTCCTGGAGTTGTCATACTTTTCAGAGGACCTAAGTCCCCCACTTGAATAATCATCCCATACCTTGGGCACATTAAGGCCCAAGAAGACCTGCCATGTTCCCACAGGGCCTGGATGTTACCTACATCTGTGTTCCATAGCTCTGATGGGTACTGTATCCAGAACACCCTCATGCCAGTCTAGATCTCCTCCTGGAACTTTTCAAAGCCAGTGCACACATGCTCTGGGCAACACCTGAACCTGACACAAGCTCTCACACTCTCCCTGTCATGATTCTACCAGAGAAGATGTCCTGCCAGCATGACTGGAGATTCTCCCACCACCTGTGCCTGGGTCAGCACCAGCCAACATATCCCTGCACAACATCCATTGGCTCTCTAAGATCGCATTACAGTAAACACAGTTGAGCACCTTTAGAAAGGGAGTATGATCATAATAATGTAAGAAAAAGGAAGTAAGAAAAAAAACCCTCTACCAGTTTCCCAGTTTCTCTGGGAGTTAGAGTGAAATCTACCTAGAAATGCAGCCAAACAGAATTGTAAGTGCCATGTTGCAAGGGCAGAAAGACTTCCGTGCCAACTATGTATATTTCTTTTGAGGAGTAGATTCAAAGGATAGTTTTTCACCTCAGAGAAAGGATTGGTAACATAGCTGTACTCTGGCAATATCTGAGCAAGAAATACCAATTAAAAACAAATTTAAAGGCCAGGCACGGTGGCTCACACCTGTAATCCCAGCACTTTGGGAGGCCAAGGCAGGCGGATCACGAGATCAAGAGATCAAGACCATCCTGGCCAACATGCTGAAACCCGTCTCTACTAAAAATAAAAAATTAGCTGGACGTGGTGGCAGGCACCTGTAGTCCCAGCTACTCGGCAGGCTGAGGCAGGAAAATCACTTGAACCTGGGAGGCTGAAGTTGCAGTGAGCCGAGATCGCACCACTCCACTACAGCCTGGCCACAAAGCAAGACTCCGTCTCAAAAAAATAAATAAATAAATAAATAAATAAGGCTGAGAATTGCTTGAACCTGAGAGGCGGAGGTTTCAGTGAGCTAAGATCGCGCCACTGCTCTCTAGCCTGGGCAATAGAGCCAGACTCCGTCTCAAAAAACAAAACAAAACAAACAAACAAACAAAAAACAAAAAAAGCTGGGCACAGCGGCTCAAGCCTGTAATCCTAGCACTTTGAGAGGCCAAGTTGGGCGGATCACTAGGTCAGGAGATCGAGACCATCCTCGCTAACACGGGTGAAACCCCGTCTCTACTAAGAATTCAAAAAATTAGCTGGGCGTGGTGGTGGGTGCCTGTAGTCCCAGCTACTCGGGAGGCTGAGGCAGGAGAATCCTGTTGTCCCAGCTACTAGCGAGGCTGAGGCAGGGGAATCGCTTGAACCCAGGAGGTGGAGCTTGCAGCTAGCCGAGATCATGCCACTGCACCACTGTACTCCAGCATGGGTGATACAGCGAGACTCCTCCGTCAAAAAAAAAAAAAAGGAGAAGGGAGGGGAGGGGAGGGGAGGGGAGGGGAGGGGAGGGGAGGGGAGGGGAGGGGGAAGAATTAGAAAACTCTGTTCAAGGAAGCAAAAGTTTTGCATGGGAAGTGTAAATGCACAGAGGAATCTGAAGTTCAAAATTAATAGAGATGAGGGCATTGAACATACAGTGAAGAAAGAGAACAGGAAAGAGAAGAAAAGATACAAGTAAGAAAAACGCAAGGAAAACCTCACCACAGGCACCAATGTAGAATATTAGGACTCTTCCCCTTGAATGAAGCTACCAATCTCATTAGGCAGCTCTTAATTTTGCGTTAGAATGCAGGGCCATTAGGCAAAGGTATGGGCAACATTCGATCTCGATTGCCCACAAACATTTTCAAACATTACTTTCTATATTGTGTTGTCACACCTTTTAATAGAGAAAGTTATTATTAGCCAAGCTGACTTCAGGGAGTTGCATTCCCTCATCTACATAATAATAGGAAGGAGAGAAAAGAGAAGATCCAGATAATACTCAAAACAAATTTCATGTTTAATCAACGATGAGCCTTATTCTTAAGTAATAAGAGCTACTCAGTCTTTTTCATGCTTCCCATATGGGAGAAATGTGGCAGTATAGCAATTCCTATGGCAAAGTTATCTTTCTGATGACAGTCCCTTCGGAAGGTTTCGATCTTTCTCTGGGATTTTAGATCAAACCCAAATACTGAACTTGCCAACTAGTTGTTCTGGGCCTCTCTCGGCAGTAATATACAGCCAACTTAAATAAATTCTGATAGATAAAAATCAGATTTATATAGAAAATGAATATAAATAAACATAAGATTATTTCAAATAGAATCCCAGAGGCACTTAAATTTTGTTTATATGCAAAAATCCGATTGCACAAGACTTGTCAGGGATCCCCTGAACCACAGAAACTGTAAAGCTGTGTCCTCACTTCGTTCTCATTTTGTTCCTAGTCACGCTTTGGGTCTAAAATCAGAACTCTGTACTGCCAGCAGGAAAAGTTTTCCCTACTTATCTTTTCCAAGGCTCTTCCCTAAAAATACACTCAAAATGAATTGCTTCTAAATGAATTATCACATATTCATATAATAAAATGCTATGCAGCCAGTAAACATAAGGTTAGAGAATGTTTATTGATATGGTAACATATTCACAATATATTGAGTAAAGAGAATAGATTGCAAAACAGCATTTACAATATGAGTCCATTTTATAAAAAATAAGCAAAGTGTAATGTGTGTGTGTGTGTGTGTGTGTGTTTGTGTGTGTGTGTAAATATACCACTCCTATATGCTCAGAAACATTGGAAAGACACATACCAAATTATTAGCAGTTATTTTGGGGGATGAGATGTTTTATTTTCTTCTTTGTCTTTTTGTTCTTTCTAGTGAACATATATTTCTTTTCCACTATACAAAAATGTAAAAGCCACATTCTTAGAGATCTCGTGGCCCTGGATATCATCTCATGTATTACTCATCTAGTGTTGTGGAACAGCATGCTGGAGGCTTGCTGTGTATAGGCCATAAAACCGGGCTGGAAATAACCTTTTTAGATCCTATTTTAGTCCTCAAATCCTCACAAGTGGGCTCCTTCAGGAACCCACTTTATGTTAAATTCTACTCTCTAACAAAGGCTATGACAATGCTTCAAACACTTGTAATATGTATATATGTTCCCATATCAATATGTCTTCATGTGCTTTTAATACCTTCTATATATTAATGGTTTATAAATTGTTAACCCCAGGGATCCACTTAGATGCTTCAAGAGGCTTGAAAAAAAGTTGGATCCAAAATTTAAAAAAATATACAATTGTAATTATTTTTAAAAATACAATTAAAAATGTCTCACCATATTTTACAGCAGAGAACAGCAGCATTACTTTATGCCACCAGGATCTCTGCCATCATTTGAAAATAGTTTAACTGCATGATTGTTTAAGAAAACTGTAGCTCTAAATTAGTCTTAAAAAAAATTCGAGCTACACAGAGAGTTTATGCATATAAAATTGAAACAGGTTGTACAGCAGCACAAGACACAACAAGGACCAGGCACATCTGCTCATTGCATATTCTCATCATAGGCCTAACCATGAATTGTGCATAAAGAAGTAACAGTTTAATGAATTTCCTTATTGTTCTTCATTTACAGTTTTAGTACCTAGAATAAGTAGTAATTTTTCTCCTTACAGTTCTGCATTACAGTTTAATACTTAGAATAAGTATTAAATTTTTCTAGTCTTTTATAAGAATGTGAACCATACTTAGACATTTTTGGTGATACAACGTTGAAACAAAATTTTTCTACTTAACTCCCCTTTCAAATGCAATCTGTCTAGCAGAGTGTCCAGGCATTGCCAAGTAAGCTACTTTCTTTTTTTTTTTTTTTTTTTTTTTGAGACGGAGTCTCGCTCTGTCGCCCAGGCTGGAGTGCAGTGGCGGGATCTCGGCTCACTGCAAGCTCCGCCTCCCGGGTTCACGCCATTCTCCTGCCTCAGCCTCCCGAGTAGCTGGGACCACAGGCGCCCGCCACTACGCCCGGCTAATTTTTTGTATTTTTAGTAGAGACGGGGTTTCACCGTTTTAGCCGGGATGGTCTCGATCTCCTGACCTCGTGATCCGCCCGCCTCGGCCTCCCAAAGTGCTGGGATTACAGGCGTGAGCCACCGTGCCCGGCCCAAGTAAGCTACTTTCAACACCCAAGTAAATCAGAATTTCCTGTGCAACCAAAACCAAATGAAGATATCATATGAGCTGCAATTGATACAACTGCAACTGTCATTCAAAATGCAAATCATCCAAAATGCAAATATTGATTTTATGTTCATAAAACAGACACATTCTTCTTACTAGTTAATTTATAAGCAAATTTTATTTATAGTCAGTATTTGAATACTTTATGCCACTTCTATTGCTATCCCCTGGCCCAAGAGACCATCCTCTCATGAATATTACGGGACGCAGGGCCTCCTCACCTGTCCTCCTGCTTTTACGCCTTTTGCCTTTGTGGCCTGTTCTCAGCACCTGAATCATGGCATTTTTCACTCACTACTGTGCAATGGCCTCTCATTCCATTAGAATGAAAGTCAAATTCTGTATAATGGTTCACCACACCCTGCACCGACTGATGCCTCAGCACCATACAGACGCCATCTCCTGCTACCCCTCTACTCACAATAGCTGCTGTGACTCCCATGGTGCTTCAAACGGGTGGGTGCACCAGGCACCCATTCACAGCAAGGCCCTTGACCTTGTCATCCCTTCCTCCTCAAGGCCTCTTTGCTTCCTCACTTCTGAGAAGTCTTTGATCTAATGTCATCCTTTCAACGCACCTTCCTAGGCCATTCTTAACTTCAGTACTACCCAGCGTCCTCTAACTCCCATGTTTTAGACTTCCTCTTTGCATATATCACTATCTGAAGTGACTCTTGCTCATATCACTTAGTATTTACTGTCTGTCTCCTCCCACAACAGTGTAAGCTGCATGAGAGCAAGCAGAGAATTTTACCTGTTCTGGTACTTTCTGTATCCCCAGAAGCCTAGAGCAATGCCTGGCACAAATGGCCAGCAGACAATACACATTTGTTGAATGAATAAAATATTCTAAATTTGCATTCCTCACAATATTCTTATTAATAAAACCCATAAAATGTTATGTTTATACTGCCACCAAAGAAAGCTGCATAAAATTATAAGTTCCCAAGGAAGGTTTATGTGTTCACTATAATTTGGAACTATTTAAAGTACTCAGCATAATACTTCAACCACCACACTGACGGCACTCATCCCAATTAACATCTATAGGCCGCGCATCCTTTTAAGTCTCTCTCTACCCATTAGTCTTCACATATGTACAATAATAATAGTTTACTTAAAGGGGGATTATTTTTTAAGAATCTTTTCACTTTGGATTATATCTTCAACTTGATAAAGCAACTTAAGTCTAGCCAAGGCTTTCCTAAAAGAATTCCAACCATCCTTTCTACCACCGCCATGATCTGTGATGATTTTCACCCCATGCCTCTGTTCACCCAGCCTTTTTTCAAATATCACCACTTCTTTTAACTGCACAATTCTGTTGACATCTTCAAGTTGCACACCCACGTTCATTAAGTAGAATACACATTTGTGGAAATATCTAACATGTGACTGCTATCCTATTGAGCTCAATGGAAGCTACGTGGCTAAGTCATAGCCCATGCTCCATGAAGACCCTTTTTCTATCAGGTGTGATACACAGCTTCTCTCCACAACCTCTGTCTCCCTCTGTGTCATACAATTTGGCATGTATACAATTTTAGAACAGCTTCAGCCACAAGCAAGCATTGTGTAAGTGGAATGTTCATCTGGGACTGATGAGGAGATTTTTAGAAAACAGAAATGTCAGTTATGCTGATTTTTAAATATTTTCAGTTTAACAACTTGTTTATCCTAATGGTACTGCCTAGCACATTAGGATGAAAACTTGCAAGGTGATCATTTGATAATACCTTTATTCTCAGAGCTTATGAAATTGAAAGAGAAAGATAACAGCCCAGGAACGATAGACTGATTTACTGTTTGCTGTTAACTACAATAGACTTTTCAGTCAGGGCATGGATGTGTATGTGTTTTTGTATTCATACATGCTATATCAAAATAAATACAAATTGACTGTGCAGCAGGAGAAATGAGTGCACTGGACAGGAATTATGAAGGTGATCTGGCTGCATCCAATTCTACCTTGAAATCACCAAACAAGTGTGAAGTCCAACTAAATGTTATACAGTTTACATAAATGTCAAGTAGGAGGTGTTTTATTTCAGGCTTTGATCATGATGGTTCAATGTGAATAGAACTTGTGCATTTTGAAATTTAAGCACTATACCCATTGATGTATTGTCTGTAACCATGTCAAAATAGAAACTAAGATTTCAATAAAGCACAAAACATTCCTGCATCACGAGGCTGCGAACAGAAAACAAAAAGTGCCTGGAGTCAATAAAATACAAAAATCCATCAGCTCTGCTGATCTGCATGAGATTACACTGAAAGAAAAACTTCTAGTTGGCAGGATTCTAGACACCAAACTGAAAATTACATGTCACGTGTTGATCAACTCTTATTTAGTCACGTTCTGTGATTTCTATTTAGAAGAACATACTTTTTTGTCTGATTTATTTATATTGAGATCTTAACCATCACTGTGATCTCTGTAGTTTCTACTTCCTTCTTTGGCAGTAACTATTCATTAATAGAACCACTAGCGTGCCTTAATGTAAAACCAAATTCCACATCCATGTAATTAGCCCTTTGCTATTTTGTTAACAACAACAACGAACAAACAAACAGCGTCTCAGATTTCATAAGCATTCTTCGTTGACACATCTGCTATTCAAAAGATTCACTCAGCTGGGAGACTGTGGGGTCAACATTTCTAGCTGCACCCTACGTAATACCATGGATCAAAATTACAGAAAGTGTTGGTCATCCAGGGTCCTATAGAGACGTCCTCATAAGCAGCTGGGTGCCACATGATGCATCCACATTTTATTCTTTGTGTGCTGAAAAAGGCCAAGTCTTCCAAAATCAAAGAATCTGAAGGTTCATGGAAAGGAAACAAATTTTGTTTTTTTTAGTTTGTTAGGTTTTCTCATTGACATCTTTTTGCTTTCTCAGTGAGTTCTCTGGAGGGTCAGCAGGAGGAGCACTGCTACTGTCAACACTCATTCCTTGCTTGCATGTCTGTTAGCTACATATTTTTACTCATGATGGGAGTGGTAAGATGCTGGAGGGAGAGACACTGAATGGCTGCTTTGTTTCAGCATTGCCTCGGGGTGTTCTAATAATACCTAACATGGACTTCAGTAGCTGTGAGCAGATTTTCAGTGTCTCTGTTACCCACCTGGTAGCTATACAGGGCATTCCTTCAAAATGTAATATCGAGACCTCACTTTATCTACATTTTTCCCCAATTTGTGCTAAATTATCTCAAACCCGAAAGTCCAGGAAAGGGGGAAGCACAGATCATCCACTGTTGCAAGCATCGCCTCTGCTGAATGAATGTAGCAAATCAATACAGCCATAATTTAGTGCCTTTCAAGGCAAAGAATATGAGTTTCATCACCTTCTTGCAGGTTACAGGTACACAGAAACTGTCACATTTTACAACTATAGGAGAGGATGGCTATTATGTGCCAAAATACAATTAGATACCAGTCATACATACCTATTTGAAAACTTAAGAGACTCACTCTTATAAGCAATTCCTGACTATGAATCAATAAAACACCTCCAAATTTTACTACATTTAGAACTTTTCCTTAAACAACCCTATCCACACGTTTTTTAAACCTAGTAGATTTATTAATGCCTCTTAGGGGTGAAGATTCGCATCTACAGCTATCCTTAGGTTTAAAAGTGCTCTTTGTAACAGAGGACTTACTATATCCTCAGCTGTTTCCATCAATCATCTACCTTTACCAATTGAAATCTTACCTACTTCAAAATGCAGCCACTAAAATGACCGAGAAGAAATCAGCCAAGTAAAAAGTGAAAGAGCTTATTCTCCATCCACCTGTTCCATATTAAAACAAACAAACAAAAAATGGATTCAGAAACAACACACACGACACGCGCTCTCCCAAAGCAGTTCTTTGGTTTCACCTGACTCTCTTTGGTAAACACCTGGTCTGTTCTCTTTTCCTGCTATCTATGCTTCCAAAAGAGCAACACGATTGCAGAACAGAATCCACCAAGACATGAGAATGGAGATCCCAAGACTTACATTATTCATGTACTCGCTGAGCAGGTCCTGGAGCGCCTGCCGCACGGCGTTGCACTCCGCCACGATCCTCTCGCGCCGGTCGTCTCGCGTGCAGGAGGAGTCGGCCATCAGCGCTGCGCCGCTGATGATGCTCTCCAGCCTCTCCTCCAGGGACGGCCGGAACCTGGCCTCGCTGAACGTCATGGGGTCCAGGATAATCTTATTCTGAAAGTATCACACACACACACACAAAAATCAGCAGAGAAGAGAGGTCTGCCTTGGCACCCTGTTTTGAAACCAGAAATATCTGAGGCAAGAACAGGAGTCCCCAAGGAGGAGAAACTGGTTACTCAAATTCTAAAGTTGCCTTGACAAAGTATTAACTTTTTCTAGATATTTTGTCCTAAATGTAATCTTCAGCTAAAAGAGCACATCTTATTTGAAGAATATGTTCTTGGCAAAGGCTATCTCAACGGAAGAGCTTTCAAATAAGATTAGGACACTTTTTTGGCATTTTTAAAATACGTAGCCTTTAAGGAAAGAACATTTCAGTGTAATGCTTTGGGGAATTATATAAAGATTTTAGAGCTAAAACATGATAAATAATCAACATCTTAATTATGCATTAGCTGTGGCTTGTATACACACACGTTAATCCTCCTCATGAGAAGCAGATATTCCCATGGCAGGATGCCTTTTGAAACTTGGGCACATAACACCCAACAGGCATATTCAGTACAGGTTAATTTATGCTAGTGTTCTAGAAAAGGATTCCTAATGTGTGTATGAGACTTGTCACAAATAACTGACAGTATCCTTATAAAGGTATTTACCTGTTTGGAAGGAGCCTATATAAGAGGAAAATAGTGATATTTCCTAAAAGGAAGGCGTCACATAGAACATGAGCTTAGCATTTCCCCAGCCAAGTTTTAGGAGCCTGGAAACATGTGGGCAGAGATGCCCCGAGGTAGATGGAAATATGCGTCCAAAATTCAGGAGCTATAACAGTCTTTATAGGGATCTGGTAAATGTCAGGGGTATTTGGACATAAACTAGTGAATTACATACTAGTAAAGTGAATAGAGCCAGAAGAGCAGGCCAGAGAAGACCCCTATACAGAAGGACCAGAATCAAAAAGGAAGACAGAAAGGGTAGTCAGAAAGATAGAAACAGAACTTGGAAAACTCCCAGCAAATGAGGAGGGTAGAGCGTGATGGTATGTGATCATTAACTGTGTGAAGTCTAGAAGCAAAGGTGACATTGACCAAAGGCTGGTTTCCTTTGGGGAGCCTTTTCTGCCTGAAGCAAAGAAGTTCATTCCACAATGATAAGGTAGAATGACCTGCTGCAGGAAATGGTGTGCTTCATTGGGGGTGCACTCTCAGAGGTCCAAGAACCAGAGTGGCAATGATGGGGCAAATGGTCTTCCAACTGTAGAATACTATGGTGCAATTGCCACTCTGTTACTGCTTCTTTTGACGTTCCTTATTCCTTATATATTCACCAAATTTAAAGAGTTGTAAGAAAAGAACAATTTACCATATTTACAAATACAATACGAAACATAAATGAGAATAGGTAGTTATTCTATTGCTAATCTGCACCTGCCGAAGACCTACTATATGCCTACTACTGTACTTAATGCTAAAAAGAAGGGGAGATAAAAGATGCTTTTATGGATTTTTTATGCTGATGTAGTATATACAATAACTGCTTAAGTTATTACAAAGTGAAGTCCAGCTGTATGCTCTGGGAAAGTTTGTTGTAACCCTCCAAAGCATCCTAGGGTGTTTGTTCAGGTTGTGTGCAGAATATCTGGGCTCCAATTCTCTGATTCCTGTTAAAATGCAAATCTCCAGAGCAGAGAGATAGAACCTTTGGGCACAAGAATGTTGAAGTCTTAAGGAATGAGTGTAGGTAGGTTGGGACTTAGAAAGGAACAGGTATACACCAAACACAGACCATGTCTGAAGTCCACTGGAATCTTGGATTTTTTAGAAAATCACTAATTGGTCAAAGCCTCTTTTCAATTTAGAAAGCAGTGCATGAAATCTTGCAGATAAGACAGCTATTCTGTGCCAGCTTTGGCAAGATGATCATTCTTACATTTGTACTCTCTTATATCTTAGAAAACGGATGAAAAAGGGATGTTTACTTTACCCAAAATGTGCTATTTGGGTTTTGTCCTTTGTGCCTTGGTTTTAGGCACAGCTGTTGAGCGTCAAAAAATCATGTGGAGGCTGCAATACAGTGGATGGCCCTATAGGGTTCATTATTACAGGTGAAAGTCCCAAAGGAAAGCTGAGAGGGGAGCACAGATATTCCTGCTATACGTACTAGTGTTGTGTCTGCAATGTCTCTTTCCAGGGGCATCCATTGGAACCATCTCTCTTTCTCTCACATACTCTCTCTCGCTTTCTACTGCCTTTCTGTTGATGCATTTATGATGAACATATGTATATATGTATGTGTGTGTGTGTGTGTGTATATATATAATCCATATAATATACGTTAAGAAATAATATTCTAATTGAAGAAATACCTGGTAAAAATATAATTAGACTATCTTACTTATAAAGATTACTGATTTTCAAAGACCTATTTTATAGAAAACCATATTAACATAAAACATAATGAAAACCATATGTTCTGCTTTAAGATTTCAGGAGACTCTTCAGAATCATATACTGGCTTTAGAACAGGTATTTATTGTACTTTAGGACTAAACGTGTCAAGAACTGCAAATGTGATGGAAATATGGGGAGGTAAATTTGAACTCTTCAGTAAGGACAATTGTAAAACAGTTTCTCTGCAGTAGAGAGAATGTACTAGTGTCATTAGAATACTATTTCCTAAATTATTTTCCATGGAACACTGAGCTTAGAGATATAATGTTTTGATGAAAAAATAAGGTTCCCTGGCCAAATATGTTTTGGAAATACCGCATGACCTACAGCAAATTATCATATGAAATGCTTTGGGGAGCTCTGCACTAAAGGAGTCAGTTCACTGTAGCGTTTCCCAAATCTATTCGAGCATGGAAAGTGCTGCTTTTAAAACGCATGAATTATCTATGAGAACCCAAGGAACACACTTTGGGAAATGTGACAAGAGAGACTTTGGAGTGTCAGCCAATTGAGTTTCCTACCTGCCATGGCCTGGGGCTGTTGTGAAAGTAAAAGCCTGAAACATTGAGCTTGACAAACTCTGCATAAAAGTTACACTATCCATCACATTTCTAATGGAATTATTCATTATTTACAGATCACAGTGGAAAAGCTTTTTAAAAAATCTCCCTGGAAAAGAAACAATAATTTTACAATATTCAGATCTGTATCTGCAGTACAGATGGGGAGCATTGCAATGATGGATGTGAAAAGCAGCAGGGAGAAGCCGCTCGGGAGACAAAAGGCACAAAGAAAAAAGGCCAGTGCACGTGGGCCTGTGTAAGTGTGTGCATGCACATGTGCACGGGAAGAGGTACTGATTGCATGTGGGTGTGTGTCTGTGTGTGTGTGTGTGTGTATCCCGGATGAGATGGGCACTGGTTGTGTGTATGTGGAGCTGTGTGTGTATGTGTGTATGGGGCAAGATATGTGCTATTTGTGTGTGTGTTTATGAATCTATGAATGGGTCGGTACAGTATGTATGCATGGGTGGAGTGGATGCATGTATGTGTACGTGTGTGTATATGCACACGGGCATGTGTATGGAAGGGGCTGTGGCTTATTTGTGTGTATGTAGTTGTATGTGTCTGTCTCTGTCTGTTTTTAGAGAATTGGCCAGGTTTCCAACAGGCTCCAACAAGCGAGAAAATAAGGAAAAAACAGAAATGAAACCAGAGGCTCAAGAGCTAGAGGAAAAGGCTGTATCTATAGTTCCTACAAATAAAAAACCAACCCCTGGAAATGAATCCATCCTGAGCAAGAAATATACAGAGAATGAAAAAGTGAAAAGAAGGAGGAGTATTTGCCATTGTATAATTTGAAAGTAATTAAAAAACTAAGAAACACCCAGGTAAGCCATCTATCCTAACACACTTCAGGGACATTCAGATCAGCAAACAGCCATGAACACAGGGCTCTAACAGGCCTCAGTTCTCCATACCAGCTCTGCCTGTCCTCACCTCTCTGAGTGGCTGCCCTCTGCTAGCAGGAAGGGGCACCAAATCACCACCACCACCATCATCACCATCATCATCATCATCATCAACATCCAGGAGCCAGATTCCCCTCCCTGGTCACAGAAGAATACTTTAAGAGGGCAGCACACCAACACCAAAGAGTGAAAGGATGAGGAGAAGCCTTCCTGTCTCTCCCTTCGCAGCAAAAGTATGCTCCTGTGACCGGCTCTTATGCTGTTTACAACTTTACAGACTTATTTTAGTTCATTCTTTTACATTGTAAATATCCCCATCTCCTGTCGGCATTCTTAAAGCTCATTTAGTCATTTTATCTTTTTGACCTTTTAGTTCCATCTTACATTGTCATTTTAGTTCATTTACAGATAGAGGGCCTGCATTTCTTATTTTATCTTTTTCTTATGTTTTAAGTTAATCTATGTTTATCATGTCTATTTTCTTATTTGCTTATTTGCTTTGCATACTATTTTGTGCTTTATGAGTTTTACTTATTTTTATTAACATCTCTACTTTAAAAAATTATTGTTTTCATTCTTACAGTTTATGGAGTGGCAATTGGAATGCATGGACATAAAGATAACAGCCACAATAATTCACCCCCAAGCCAACAAGACTAGAATCCTATTCTGCCTTCAAGTCGGTGCTATAACAGTCTCTCTAGTCTCACATAATTGATCTCCCATTTGCTCTCATGTGGCGCTCTATAAAAATTTTAACCTAAAATAATTTAGCAGACTATGTAGTTCGAAACTACTTCCCAGAATAATACATTTACCAGCACTCACCACACACACAATTGTTGTAACAGCACTACTTTTAAATTGCTCTTATCATTCATTGTCTCCACAAAAAGCTATGTGATCTAAAATTTCAGTATACAATGAGACACCGAGCTGGCTTGATGCAAGCTCTGACATAAGAGGAGAAAACAGACAGACCTCCATCAAAGCAAGTATTTGGATGTATTACAAATGGTTTGATGGGTTCAAAATGCAGTGTCTTTGAGATCCCTATCTTCCCATCTTATTGAATAGGGAAATGATGCCAGAGATGTTGTCCCATGGTCATTCAGCTCACAAATAAGGTCACCAGGATTTGAGCACAGGTCTTTTGATTTCAAGCCCAGTGTTCCTTCAACTGTATAAGATTGTCCACATTTAGGTGAAATGAGTCTAATATGTCATAATTACAATTATAAAGTATATTACTTTAAAACGAAAATTTAATTCTTTTAAATTAAATATAATACTTAAGTATTATCTGTCATGCTGTCCTTTTTATGCTATCTGAGTCACCTAACCCTCCCAATAGATAACTGAGAGTATAATCATTCATTCAACAAATGAGTGCCAGTTACTGTAGGAGTCTAAGAGCACATATTAAATAATCCTTTCTTCAAGAGGTTGACTCTCTAATCAAGCACAAAAATATGTACAACCAATTGTAATGGAGAAATGGCTAATGATGTTATGGAATGACTGAATGATGGCAATTTGCACAGTTGAGAGGTAGAAAGTAAAAAAATACTTCCAGAAGAGTTTATCCCTCAGCTGAGACTTAAAGAGTGAAAAGCGGTTGGCCAAGCAAAGTTAGGAGCAGGAAGGGGCAATGCAGATGGGCTAGGAGGTGAGAGATGGCATATTATATGAAAAATATTACAAGAGATCAACTGAAGCTGGTCACATGTACGGTGCCATAGAGGGGCCCCAAGCCACTCTCCTCTGAGTTAAACTGCTGGGGGGCATAGTTAACTGACCATCTCCATCTGCTGCACCTGTAGTTCTACTGCAGTCTCATGTGTAGGCTGCACTTGACCCCAGGCAGCGCCAGTCAATCACTAAGCACAGGCGCATGCTCCTGCCCAACAGGGACTCCTCCAATGACCAGCTTCAGCTCCTGATCCGGGCTCCCCACTGGCCTGACTGGGACTTGCTGGGAACAGTGCTGAGCCTCTTCCTACTCAATCCACTTTCTTTCCTGCTCTCCTTTCAAAGGTGTTTGTCCCCATAGCAGTCTAAAAGCTCCACAAAAGCCCAGTCACTCCTATTTTATCCTTCACAGGCAATTCCTCCTTATACATAAAATCCCATCTACCTTGCTTCCTCAAGGGCCTGAATGGACATAAATAGGAATGGGAGATGCAGTTGGAGAGAGAGAAAGAACCAGGTTCTGAAGCGACTTCTCTGCCATGTTACAAAGTTTTCAATTTGAGAACACCCCTTTAGGCAATGATGAATCATCAGAGATCTTAAAGCAAAGGAGTGACATAATCCTGTTTGGGTTTAGACAGTTTCTTATTGCAGCTAAGGAAGTTAGCTTTGGCAGGACTGCAAGCAGAAGGCAGGACAGCATCAAGCCTTCAGAGCCCAAAAGAGAGGTGAGGAAACTACAAATCAGGATTGTGTCTATATGGATAAAGAGAAGGTAATGAATTTAAGAAAAATGTAGAATGTCAATCTGGCAGGATTTGAAAATATATAGGCTATGACAATGAGGGAGAAGGAGACAAAGATAAAACCTAGACCTCTAACACTAACAACACCAATAATGCAGATATCAGCAAACTACATCCTAGGAGTCAAACTCCTACTTTGCAAATAAAGTTTTATTAGAACACAGTCAGGCTCATTCATTTACATACTGTCTATGCCTATTTTTACACTGCAATGTTAGAGGGGAATGGTTAGGACAGAAACTGTATGGCACACAAACCTTGGAATATTTACTCTTGGCCCTTCAAGAAAACATTTGCTGACCGGGCGCAGTGGCTCATGCCCGTAATCCCAGCACTTTGGGAGGCTGAGGCAGGCAGATCACAAGGTCAGGAGTGCGAGACCAGCCTGGCCAATATGGTGAAACCCCGCCTCTACTAAAAATACAAAAATTAGCCGGGCATGGTGGCACACACCTGTAATCCCAACAACTTGGGAGGCTGAGGCAGGAGAATTGCTTGAACCTGGGAGGCAGAAGTTGCAGTGAGCTGAGCTCGCACCACTGCACTCCAGCCTGGGCGACAGAGCCAGACTCCATCTCAAAAAAAAAAAAAAAGAAGAGGAAGAAAACATTTGCTGATCCTTGAACAACTGTGAAAGATAACAGATGAAGAGCAGGTGAAGTTCTTATGAGCCCTTTAACTGGAGAAGTCTGGTGGAAGGTTGATTATAAGTATATGAACATCGGGTAGTGGTATGGGCACCTGTATTAATATGCAAAATCTATCGCCTTCATATAAACAAGGAATACCCAATAGGAAGACCTAATATCCAATAACAAGAAATGCAAAGCAAAAAAACACACCTAGATGTCAAGTAGATGTAGCAAGAAATGTGTTCAGAGAGATGAATTATTGTGCAGGCATGACCTCAGGGCAAAGAGCAGGGCTGGAATTGGGATGCGTGCCCTCTAGCTCTGGCGTCTATGCTCTTAGCCACTGCACTAATTGTTTACCTCATGTATCCTTTCTGCATGCACGATGCTAATCATCGTGAGGGAATCAATGCAACAGCCATTTCCCCATTTCAAAAACTAAAGTCACAGTAGCACAGTAGCATATTATTCTTTCATACTTCAAGAGGGGATCAAAAACAGCAAATAATCACCAGGAATAAAACCTCTAAAATGCTACTTTCTCCTAATTTTAATCCTCACCTCTGTTTCAAACTGGTCAGTAGGTATTACAATATATTTCTTCTACCAAGAAGGTAAATACAAATATTGCTCAGTCTTTCTTTGGCTAGGAGTTAACCGTCTTAAAGCTGAGTTTGTATCTAATTGTACTCAGCTGTAATTGAGAAAGATGGGCATACCTGACAAGACCTGGAGCATAAAGTAATGTTTTTAATTACAGTTAAGTCAGTAGGAAAGCTCTAGCACACATAGAACACTAATTCAATGGTTTTACCCACAGATTATGTTTCAAAGACTTTTAGTGCACAGCTGACAATGGTCTTTACTAGCCAAGAAACAGCTTGTTAAAGAGTAGGAAGAAAATCTTACTCATCTTTACACTTTCTGGCTTTCAACATTGGTTAAACCTTTAAGTGAACTACTTAGTCATCTGAAACGTACACAGAATTTTCAAAATGCCAAGAAAGACAACAAAGAAAGCAATTTGATAATATAAAGTGTGGCTGATTTTCATAACTTTTTTTCCAAAATCTAAGCTAATCAGCATGGAAAATGCAAATGCTAGTGGTATGAAAAAGTCCTGTGATTCTGTGATTTTCTTTGTTGATTGTGACAATTCTGTAAGACAAATGTGTCCTGGATTTTTACTACCTTCATAGTTCAAGGCAACAAGTAAGGAAAATAGTAAATTGCTGTTCTGCCTCATAAACACCAGGCACTTACCACCTGCTGTCCAGCATGACTATTTTGAATCAAGCAAGCAGAAGAAAGAATAAATGTCAACATGCCTCTATGCAGTCATTCACTTTTATCTTTTAAATCTTAAAAAAAAAAAAAACTGAAAGAGAAAGTTAACATTAGTCAAAGTCATTCTTTCAAAGGAATATGTCCTTCTGATATGGGGCAATTAAAGCAATGAAAACCAGAAAACCTAAATGACAATGCATGTTTAAATGTAGGTATATTTCTCCATTAATTATTCTGAGCTTTTCCCAGCAATGTGCTACAATGTACCCATGTCTTCACTTTCTGTCTTTTGTAACTTAATCATCATCCCCATTCTATGTACCCTTTAAAAAATTTATATTTTTAAATTTTTAGTCTTTAAGGCTACATAGTACGTGTATCTATTTATGGGGTACACAGGATATTTTGAGACAGGCATACAATGTGTAATAATCACATCAGGGTAAATGAGGTGTCCATCACCTCAAGCATTTATCGTTTCTCTGTGTTACAAACATTCCCATTATACTCTTTTAGTTATTTTTAAATGTATTATGAATTATTATTGGCTCTTCTATTTACCTTTTAATATTTAAATTTTGTGGTTTGCCTTGTCTTGGGGTATAACTGGGTAAGTTTTATATTTCACGGATACCACAGAGCTTCCTTCCTTCTTCCTCCCAAGCATTAAATTCAAGATTCTGTTTCTTTCCACATAACGAAGAGGGGGCAAAGCCATGTAGTCGCAGGTACCGATGCCATAGGTCAGGTGAAATATGACAGTGACTGAGCATGACTATAGAAATGTTAGCTTTGGTTTAGCTTAGGACTTCATGCTGTGTTGACCCATTACCAAGTGTCTAGGTCACAGAAAGCTTTAGTGGGATCAAAATTTGTTAAAGCATTTTATTTTATTCATTATGTTATTTTGATGCACTGATACAATCCCAAACCAAACAAAACAACATAAACAAGTCCAGCAATACCTACTGATTAACTCTTCACTATGGAATCCTTCTTAAAACAAAGAAAAAAGTTTGCTATCCAGCTTAAAATACTTGACTAGTAACCCCTGAGGCAGCCTCTCCCAGTTTCCCATTAAAATGCCTATAAACAGGGAAATAAAATTGGAATTTTACAGCACTGAAAATTGAGAATGAAAGACACCTATAGACAATGAGGCATGATCATAATTCTGGCTCTGAATGCTTTAAATACTTATTTTAAAGACTGGACTCTGAGATAAAAGCATAAATCAAGATCATTTAAATAAATTAACCGAGGTGTCTAAATCAAAAGAATGTTATTTGTTTGGTTTTAAACACTTACTCTCCCTGTAGTGTATCAATAATTAATACAGATACATTTTCATCTTTTTCATTCTGTGCCAAGCTTTCCCAGGGTGAATCTTTCTATCTTTACATGAAAAGTTTCTCTTGACGTAATTGGGGTAGCACTAGGAATGAAAGATACCAAGGACCTTGAGTTTTAATCATGTATTTTTTATTAAGCTACAGAAAAATTCTAACCACCATTTTAGATTTGCCTTAATTTTTAAATTGCAAAGTATTTTATAAATAACTTTTGCTTCGCAGGCATATAGTTAAAAATAAACTAATTATGCCATTTATCTACTTAAGATGTTATTTGTAATTAAACAGTTCAGTTTAATTGGAAATAAATGACAAAGATAATGACTTAATAATTAAACAGCACTTTCTATCCTTAGATACTTAATGTGTTTTTTAAGAGAAATTTACCTAAGCTCACATTAGCTTCGTTTTTGAGAAGAAGCTTATATTTAGAAAGACAAAGTGATTTACCAAAGCAAATGAATAAACTGGGCGAGGAAGTTCAGCTCTGGGCTGTTCCTACTGGATTGTGAAATCTAGTGGATGCCAACTTCATTTTCCCTAATCCCATCATCTCTGTGTGTTGCTGAGTTGCTATGGCATTTCAGGAGCACATTCTCTAGCTCCGACAAGGATACTAGTTTACAATTAAGTACGTAAAGCAGGGCAAAGATAATAATCCTTAGCTTTATATTATGAATTGATTAGAAAGTGAGTATCCAAAATGCACTTAATCAAATCAGATTTTTAGAGGGCTTAACAAAGGAAATGGATTTTATTCTTTTCCTGAAAAAAAACAGTCATGTTATCTCTAGTCTCCTGGAACGTTCTACATTCTTGACCATCGTTTTTATTCAGTATTCATCCTCTTTGAGCTCTGTGTGTTTTGAACACAATTTACCACCCGCTGACTAAGTTAAGCCTCCCCTATGCTTTACAAAACCCTGCTTTACTGTGGTTCTATTCATACTCCTCCTTCCCTTCACTTGCCCAGTTCTTCTTCCTGGATCTACCTCAGTAAGTTGGTATATCTCAAGGCCCTGCTCCCTGTTCTCAGTAGTCCTCTCAACAACTCTTTCTTAGAGGGCTCAACTACTCTCTACTATCACCTGCTTGTGAAAGAGAACCAAAGTACCATGTCCAATCCCGACCCTCTAAGAAGCTGGCCCTTACTACAGCTGTACACTGGACATGATCTGTTGGGAGTTCTGCCATCACCTCAAATATCAGATGTATGAGAAAGTACTTCTCATTTTCCTCCAAAACCTAACACTCTCACTTATAAGGAGGAAAAATGGAAGTAGAAGGGAAACAAGAATCCATAATCTCCCTTCATTCTCCTAATGAGAAATTAGAATTAATGAGAAATCTTCACTTTATAAATGCAAGAACCGTTCCTCGGTCAGGTTAGGTGACTTGATGAAGGCCACACAGTGGAAGACTTGAGAAGTCTTTCTGACTCCAAGGCCCGTGCACTTGTAGCTGTGTTCTCTTGGGAACCTATGTTGAAAGATCAAGCATCAATATAATCTAAGACCGGCCGGGCACAGTGGCTCACATCTGTAATCCCAGCACTTTGGGAGTCCAAAGCGGGTGGATCACAAGGTCAGGAGTTCGAGACCAGCCTGCTCAATATGGTGAAACCCCATCTCTACTAAAAATAAAAAAAAACTTACCTGGGCATGGTGGCGGGCACCTATAATCCCAGCTACTCGGGAGGCTGAGGCAGGAGAATCACTTGAACCCGGGAGGCAGAGGTTGCAATGAGCTGAGATCACACCACTGCACACCAGCCTGGGTGACAAAGTGAGACTCCATCTCAAAAAAAGAAAAAAGAAAGAAAAGAAACCATATATATAATCTAAGACCAAGGTATAAAATGTTACAGGGGTTAAGAGTTGGATGGTGATATGGTTTACATGTGTCACCTCCAAAATTCAGGTGTTGCCAAGGTGATAATATTAAGAGGTGGCACGTTTAATAGCTGATTGGGACATAAGGCTCCTCCCTTTTGAACTGGATTAAGGCACTTATAAAAGAGGTTTCAAGGAGCATTTGGCTAGCTTGCCCTTCTGCCTTCCGCCATACCAGGATCCAGCATTCTTCCCCTCCATAGGGGAAGGGCACCATCTTGGGAGCAGAGAACAACCCTCACCAGACAACCAAACATGCTGGCACTTTGATCTTGGATTTCCCAGTGCTATAACTGTGAGGAAACAAAATTTTGCTCTTTGTAAATTACCCATTCTTGGGTATTTGGTTTTAGAAGCACAAATGGACTAAGATAGATGGCTTGGATTAGAAACCTGGCTCCAATTCCTTCTAGTTGTAATTCTTTCTAGCTGAGTAGGTTGCTTAAATGCTAAAAGCGTCTCAGCTTCCTCATTTGAAAAACAGGAATGAATCTTAGCAGTACCTATACAACAGTGTTGTTGAGAAAGTTAAATAATATAAGTAAAGAGATTTGAACAATATATGAAATGTAGTGAGTTATAGATATTAAACATCAAATCATTTCAAATAGCTATTTTTAATGTAATACTTTATATTTCCATGGTCAGTCCATATTCCCCCCTTATTCAAGTCATGATCATCTCCCATTTCCTTCATCGAGACTTTAAATTTATCTTTTTTTTTTCTCGGTAAAGCATATTTTCCTAACAGCCTAGTCTTAAAATCCTGCTTAACCACACTACCCCACTGGCCTCAAACCTTCAACGGCTCCCCATGGCCTGTAATAGGTTATTATCTAGGACCCGACAAGTTTCAGATGCTGGACTCTTACCTAGTAATTCTCCAATTTCATTTCTATTAGATTAATTTTGTGAGTTATATCAAAATTCATAAGGGAATAAAGCAATGAGTTGCATTTTCATCCAGCCCTTGAATTGAGATGTCATTTTCAGCAAGCATTGTGTAAAAAAAATATAATCTCACCTCTACTCAGTTCATGACTAAGATGCCTGGCCTTCAAGATTCTCAGCAATCCGGCGCAAGTCTCTGCCTCTCAAACTTCGTCTCTCCTCATGAACCCCCGGCTCCTGCCAAAGTGGTCTCTGCATTGCCCCACCCCAGTATGCTTCATGTGTAACCGTGTTATTAATTCTTCTCTGCTGACTGTTTCAGCCCCTTCCTCTCTGATGCTTCTTGGCAGCGTATGTGGATCCTTCTCTGGAAACACGATCTTTAACTCTCTTGTGTACAAAACTTTCCTCTTTAATTCCCATTATTAAGCTTCTTTTCACTTATTCAAATTTCCCTTTTGGCTCTTGTCTGATATTACCATGCACTGGCAGCAGTGCGCCTGTGTGCACACACGTGTGTGTGAGAGAAACAGATCACCAGTTAGGATGCTTTCCTTATAGGTCGGTATCTTCTGCTCCACCCAGCTGAATGTTTCATACATAAGTATTTGATAAACATTTGCTGATTAGTGGAGTCAGGATTCCTAAAACAAGAATATCCTTTTCCCAACCTTTACCAAAAGGCTTCTGGAGCAAAATAGGTCACTACAGTGAACCTAATATTTGCAGATGAATATATGTGGATGGCCTTTTAGTTAGATATGTACATTTAGGTCTACAGTAGCAATTGATGTGGTTCAGTGTACTTGAGATTCAGAATTATTGGAATGGGGATGAGTAACCTATTGTCATATGACAAACGTTAGTTCTCCTTTTTTTTTTTTGAGACAGGGTCTCATACTCTGTTGCTCAGGCTGGAGTACAGTGGCACGATTTTGGCTCACTGCAATTTCTGCCTGCCAGGCTCAAGTGATCCTTCTATTCCAGCCTCCCAAACAGCTGGGACTACAGGCACATGGCACCACACCTGGCTAATGTTTGTATTTTTTGTAGATACAGCGTTTTGCCACATTGCCCAGGCTGGTTTCGACCTCCCAGACTCAGGCGATCCACCTCCCTCAGCCTCCCAAAGTGCTGGGATTATGGGCATGAACCACCACACTCAGCCTAATTCTACTTTCAATGGGCAGGAGACCAGCTGAGACAGCCACCTCCTGTGGTTGGTAAATTCTGAGAATCTCCTCTGAAGATTTGATTAAGCCAGGGTCAACAAACAATGGTCTGTGGACCAAAATAGATCTGCTGCCCATTTTTATATGGTCTTAAGCTTATAAAGCTAATAATAATTTTTACATTTTTAAGTCGGTGGATAAACCATGGGCCTACTACTGATATGTTACATTTCTGTCCAAAATCCTCTCCCTTACGATACCCATAAATAGTCAAAAGGCATGCAGCCAAAAAAAAAAAAAAAAATTAAGAAATTTCACAAACCACATAATCCCACAATTAAATAATTAGTAACTGGATGATCAATGGTTGAATTTTTTTTAAGTTTAATACTAGGAGAAACAAACTTCTTATCCCAGAAATTAGTTAAACTCTATGTCGGTGGTTTGAGATGCTAAATTATCCATTTAAAACGGAAAGTCAATTCATATTTCTCAGAAGCAATTGTGGCTTAATTGCTGTTATCAACCTAATAAATTAGTAGGTGATAACCACAAACTGGTTATACACTCAAATTTCATGTCTGATGAAAGAATAATTGTACCAATATTCTGCAAATATGAAAAGGAAATGTGTTCACGGGCCGCAAGGGAAATGCATACACCTTGAGCATAAACTCATCTATCTTCTTCTGTCTATTTTTAAGCAGGCAAATTAAGATGGGAAAGAAACAGTTTTTGTCTCACAGGAATAATGTGTGATATGTTAATTGCTTCTCAAGAAACATTGCATGGCCTGAAAATACGCTTTTTGCTTAATGAGAATGTCATGTTCTCTTTTGAACTCTGAATTGTGATGCACATCTGTTAACGATCATTTAAATTATATATAATAGATTTTCTGTGTAACACTGGAAAAGAGAAGCCCTAAGAGAGTTAACTCAAGAAGATGATGCGTGCCCATTGGAACATAATAGCATGATCATGTAGCCATGGGCTATCTATTGTGATTGGTATGGCATATACCAACATTCCAGAAGACTGAGAAGTTAGGATGGATAAACTGATAGCTACTAAGATCAAACAGTTAATATATTCATTTAAGCAGCCATTCAACAAATATTTCTTTAATGTCTTTGTGCTAAAAGTGCATGTGAAAGTGTGAACAATACATGATCTCTGTCTATTTGGTGCTCACATTTGGAGAGACAGAAACAAAAAACAGAACAATATTCTTAACAATATGCATAAAGTACAATAGTAGCATAGAAGGAATAGTGGCATAGAAATTGGGGTAGTTAGGAAAGGTTTCAAAAAATAAGTAGATCTGGAAGGCTGAATATAAATTTATTATTCAGAAAAGAAGGGAAGGAAGGAACAGACAGAGGAACTCCCATGAGGGCCAACACATGGATTAAACAGTGACTATGTACCTGAAAATGATAAACAGTTCATTACGGCAGAATGTGGAATACAATGTGTGGAAAAGGAGGCTATGCAATGGGAGATGTATGCAGGGACCTACGGAAACGATTTGGTACTGTGCTAAGAGCTTTAAAGTTGATCCTGAAGACAGAGTTTTACTAGTAAATAATATGTGACTAGCATTTTAGAAAGGCTGGGCTTACCAAGATGATGGAATACAGAGGGAAGGAGTTGGTGGGGCGGGGGGCAGGGCAACCAGTTAGGAAGTTATTGCAATGATCCAGGCAAAAAATATGGGCCTGATTAGCCAGTGTTCATGAAGATGGGAGAAACAAATCAAGAGTTCTAAAGGGAACTGAATTCATAGCATATCAAGGTTAACTGGAGAGAAAAGTGGGCAGGATTCTCAGTTTTCTGGATTCAATGGCTATATTACCAAACGTAGTTCCTTTAGCTTAAAAAAGAAGAAGAGGAAGAAAGAGAAGAAGAAGAAGGAGGAGGAGGAGGAGGAAGAAGAAGAAGAAGAAGAAGAAGAAGAAGAAGAAGAAGAAGAAGAAGAAGAAGAAGAAGAAGAAGAAGAAGAAAACAGCCTAAGCTTGACAGAATAAAAATGCTCAATTTAGTTAGAGAATTTTTCAGATACTTAAAAATCATTCAAATTCAGATGTTACATACACAGCTAAACAGATGTCTAGAGCTCAGGAGAAAGTTTAGTTATCCTCAGATAAAGTTAGTCTAAAAAACTATTATTTGTATAATTATAAATGTAAAAACATAAATAGCATAATTGACTTAAAATATCTCTAAAGAACAAACTGCAGGATTAGGGTTGTTGACATTAGCAAAAGTAATAGAAAATCAAAGTTACACTGGTTTGAGAATCAGTTTGTTGGAAGCTTTTGGGTCAAAGACTGATACATATGATTTATACCTTATTTCCTAGCATATTATTCTCTAATAATAAACTCATCATTTACTTTTTCAAGGGTGTGGCAATTGGCCACCATATATTAATTTAGGTTGGATTGTAAATGTCTAAAATTGGGGAGCCCAAATTAAAGAGTTGGTCAATATTAACTCAATGTATAGCATACATTTTGTTAAAGTAACAAATATTGAAACTTAATATCTTTAACTTTTAACCAAAGAGGTAACCAAGGCAGTTCCACTTGAAAACCTCACAAGAACCAGCAGCCTCCTCCTCTTCCCAATCCCATAAAAAAATAAGTCAACCTACTTGTAGTTGTGAGTGGGACCTCTGGAAAGAGATTCTTGTGTAAGCAGAAGAGAAGAGAGGCATGGAAGCCTATGATTTTTAGAAAGTTAACTTTAGTGGCCATGTGAGAAAACGGGCTGAAGGAGGACAAAACGGTGGAAAAGATATCACTTAACAGGCTTTTTTTCATAATGAGACACAACAGTCTGGCACAATCAACTATTCTCAAATATTTTTTTACTACCTATCATATGTGAAAAGTGATCTGGGGAGAGATTGCTATGAGATTTTCTCATCAAGGATTTCTCAGCCACGTCATGGAAATAAGACATGTCTGTGACCATAATAATAATGTGGTAAAGTCTAACAATCAGGGACGGGTATAGTGCTTTGGTAATTTACTTTGGAAATGTCAGTGTAAGAAGAAACTCTTTCTTTATTTTTAACAATTAGAGCTTTTAACAATTAGAACAAGTCATCTGCCTCCACCCCAATATTTCCTCTCAATAATGTCCTGCAAAGACAAAAGTCCAGATGTTATGGATGTTGCAGTGGGAACTTCCAATATTATGAAAGTGATACTGGATGGCCTCAAATATCTTTCTCAATTTTGAAGTTTTATGGGCCTATGAGAAAAGAAATGCAGCATCATAGTAGCTAGTTATCTTCAGAAATGAATGGATTATGCAGATCTCTGTCTGTCTCTTTGTCTGCCTGTCTCTTTCTCTTTCTTTCCCCTACTGGGGATAAAATACAAGTGCCCTATCTTTAAAATGTCATGTGTTTTATTATTTACACTGACCTAATTGGAAATCACATTCTATTATATTTTAAATAATGTTTCTTAAGTAAAGGTTCATAAAATACGGAAAAGAAAGTTTTCAGTATTATTTCATAATCCACCAGGAACAAATTTTACTCTATTTTGTGGGGTTTTTTTTTAATACAGGTAATGAGAATAGGCGTGCATGAATTAGTATAACTTTGGTTAGTGATTATTTGCAGGGACACAATGTTTCATGGCCATGACTGTCTAAAGTCAATATTTGCAGAGGTTTTGTTATACATAGCCTTCCATTAAATTAATACTTAAACTAGGCAAAACTAGCAAGCTTACAGGAGCTCTGGTACAACTCTTCTATAAATCCACAAATCTTAACAGAATCAAAGAAATATTCTCTGAAGTGTCTGTATGTATATATATGGATGTAAAAATGTAAAATAAAGTTGATTTTATCTACTTAAAAATAGTTAAGGAGTGTGTGTATGGGAGAAGAGCAAACATGTATACAAATGACAAGCCAATATGATAAAATATTAACAATAGTTAATAAAGGACATACCAGTGTTCCTTATACTACTTTAATATTTGCAACATATCTGTAAACAGATTTAATTTTTCGCAAATACTATGCATATTTTTTATTAAAGAATATTCATGGAAAAAAGTTTGGAAAATAATAAAAATAGGAAAAAATATTCACAGTCACCACAACTCAAAAGAAAAATCATAAGCATTTTGACATATATATATATATTTTCAGGTTGTTTTGCATTTTCAGTATAAATTTGTTTCTTCCTACTTACTTCAGGAAAACTAATTTCTAAGGTATTGTAATATTTATTAAGTGTGCCTTTGCCTATGTCATTTTAAGTTTATTTTGCTGATCCAGATTTTGAAAGTGATTCTGACATGTAGACTTGAGAGAATCTGAAAATAAAAACAGCATGCATCCACTGGCCAAAGGGCTGCCACACTCTGGGGGTTGGTGGCAGATAACCGCGTTATCTTCTCCTCCCTAAGAGACCTACCGCTCCATCAGATCTCTACAAATGTCATCTTCTTCAAATCTGTGACAGATCTTTGTAAAAGAAAAATGTCCATGGAAAACTTGTATTTGGTCAGTGATGTTTTTTATCTTAAGTACTTGTGCCAAACACAAGATTGTGTTGTTAAAATGTAGGATCTTAAAATCTTTGAAATATATATTCAAATTAATTAGAGCAAAAATTCTACACAGCGATTCAGTTCTCAAATACATCACCTGAGAAGATTAGCCATGTACTTGCTTTAAAATAAAACACGATTCTTAACTTCCATGCAAATCTGGTCAGTTTTGGTAGGCACAGAAAATATCTTAGGAAACCCTGTAGTTAAAACCTCCCAACTATAAATTCATTTGGGCCCTCAAGTAATATGTATGGGCATCTCCTGGAAGAAATGAAGCTGTAAAATGTAAAGATCTGCGCTTTTTATTTTGATATAGAAAAATGTCCAAATATCCTATGGTCTGAATGTCTGTGTGCCCTCAAAATTCATATGTTGGAATTTAATACCCAAAGTGATAGTATTAAGAGGTGTGGGCTTTGTGGGGTGACTATATCTGGAGGGATCTACCCTTATCAATGGGATTAGTGCCCTTATAAAAGAGGCTTGAGGGGCTCCCTGCCCCTTCCACCATGTGATGACACAGTAAGAAGGCATCACCTTTGAAGCACAGAGTGAGCGCTCACAAGAAACTGAGTCTGTCAACACCTATCCTGAACTCCCTGGCCTCCAAAACCATGAGCAATAAATTACCATTGTTTATAAATGACTCAGTCTAAGGTATTCTGTTACAGAAGCCCAAACAAACTGAGACAACATATTTTATATGCTGTGTACTTGTGAAAGATTATCTTAAAACTTTTTAAACAGATGCCAAAACTAAGAGAAGAAAGGAAAAGAAAATAATATCCAGACGATCACCAGTGTAGACCTCAGTGTCCCAAATAAGCTTAAGAAGCATGATTAAGGTTGTAGATGATAACAGCAAGAGATTTTCAAACAGATGGATGGAGAAATAATGTTTTCCTGGTCCTTTCATAGGATCTGCTAAAGTGAGGAAAGTACTAAACCTGGAAAACAAGCAGTGTCAGTTTCAAACTCCTTCACAGGACACTTGGGGAAGAGACAATCTGGTTGGGAGGGAGACAGGACCTGTCTTCAAACTGCATTTGCATACCATGCACATTCTTAGATTGCATGATTATTTGGCAGCATCTTTTGGACAGAACATGTTTAAAATACGATAAACTGCTTCAGGCTGTGGTTCCTGGATTCATCAGGGACCACAGTCTATGTCATCTTTTCTCCCTTTATCCCTACCCGCTTTCTGCCATTCGCTCCTCTTTATTCCAGGTGCTCGCTGAGCAATCTTCAGAGACCAACAAAGCAGAAGAAATCTCATATTTAATGTGAAACTAAAAATGGCATTCACAGCATCAGAAGCTGGTTAAGCAATAAGAATTCCCAAATAGACACAATGGAGAAACTTACATTCTTAGTATTCACACTGGACTTGTTAGGTCTCACGTTAAGAATCACTCTTACACCAAGAGGTAATTTAATCTGTTTGGAATTTCTCCTGTCACATAGAATGGCCAGCCTCTCAAGACTGCTTTATGCTTTGGCCAGACCTTCTTTGGAGTCTGTTATGCATTAGGGTTTGGCTATAGGCAAGGGAGAGCAAATGACATTATAATATCAATAGCTACTCTCCAGTGGCATAACAACTTTTCAGTCAGGAGCTTTTTCCCAGGGTTTTTCTAGGGAATAGCTTCACAGCTGAATCTGGATGAAAGATGTCTGGCCAACACGTCTATTAAGATGGGTAGGAGAAGAAGAAAACTAGTATTTATGAGTGCCTACTATAGATTAGACACATATAAATGTTCATCCCACAAAACTACCACCAACTTGGAGTCAACATTATTATCTCATTTTATAGATGAAGAAACAGAGGCACAGAGGGAAGAGTTATTTGGTAAGATTCAAACACAAGCCTGTTCTCTGCCCTATGAGATGCTGTCCCACCATTGTTTAGCATGGCCAATGTAACCAGGTCAAACCACAACCGACTATTTATGTTCTCAGTTATGTTGGGTGCCTGCTAATCATACGTGCATATGAGTAATTGTTTTTCTACAGCCTTAGCTCAATGAATTTATACAATCAGAAAAAAAGACAGTATCAGAGAACATTTGGGGAAATAAAGAATGGGACTCAATAGGTTATAGTGAAGTTTCCATAATATTCTGCTGGAAAAGAAGTTCAGGAAATACGTTGAGCAGTATGGTTGAAAAATCCAAATGGATGCTTCACGTGCAGTTGTTGCACGTGTGTGTGTGTGTTTGTGTGTGGTTTACTTCACCACTGAATCAAACTAAATCTTAGAACATTTAAGTAACTCCCTATCACGTTCCCAGCACTGTAACATAGGAAGCACACGAGAAGTCATAATCCTGGAGGGAGAAGTAAAGATTAGCAGTACTAACATAAGAAATCACACAGAAAGACTAAAGTATTAAATGTATTTAAAGATTAAAAAATCAAACATTTTAAATAAACCACATGTTGCTCTAATAAAGAGTTCACTAGATAAGTGGCCTTATTTGGGTCCGAAATTTGAAAAAGTATAACTAATAGATAAGTGACAATCAAAATTATACTTGCCATCACATGTTAGACAATTTTGAATATCATAATCAATTACATCAGTATTCATTATTATATTTGGTACTAACTTGAAATAAAGGTGAAATCAGACCTAAAGAATCTGTCAATATTCTCAAAAGCAAAAATCAGTCACACTAGGAAGAAAACAGATTCTTACATTTTTCGCTGCCTCAAGAAATAACCCAAGATTGGAAATATAATAATTTTGATTAAACCTGATAGGGGGCCAAAAAATCAAGATATAAATTGCAATTATAAAAAAAAGTACTTCAAATTTCATTCTTTTATTTGCTCAACAATTTTTAGAGATCTTTAGTGATTGAAATGCGCAAGAGAAAAGTAAATTGTTTTGGAATATTTCTTAAAGCAAGTAAAAAAATTGAAAGGTAAATGATTCTATCAGAAAATACTCCTAGATTTATAAAACCTTAGGAAAGAAAAGCTGTTTAGAAGCAATATCAGAGGTATCGATAACCTATACAAGAGGTGTCAATAACCCGGAAAGAGATTTCTGGGCAGAAAAGATGGATTCTGGAAAGTGAAGCGGTATAGCTCAGGAAGCAGTGAAGACTATGTTGTCTACGATGATGCCTAACCTGGTCCCCAAGCACCCAGCAGAACCAGCCTTGACTCACCACCCTACCTTGCACTCCTCTTCCTATAAGCTCACATGTATTGCATCTATCTTTATCACCATCCCAGAGGTAGGGATGGTTTTAAGAATTAGCTGGACTTGCATTGCATAACATTAGTGTTCAGAAGGTTGTCATAGGTAGACTAAACACTTTTTGACGGATGACTACACACTGTCCATATTTGCATCCCTTGGGTTTGAGCCCGTATTACATATATAAATTGTAGTATGTTTACAGGGATCTAAGAACCCACAGGAGTGTTTCTTAATGCTTTGTTTGGCCACCAGATGTCAGTGTAGGATAAAGAATGCTGGAACGCTCCTGCTTGTTTCCAGTTAGAAAGAATTGAAAAGGCAGTTTTGATGAGTTTAATTTGCCATTGAAAAAGAAGAAATAAATTTGGAAGGTACTCCACTGGGAGAAGATACGATGAACAGGTGAGGATTTCTGGTTCCCACTAAGCATCAGTTACTGATACTATGCCCTAAAGATGGAAAAGTTTGTCTCCACTTTTCAAAAAAGTATCAAAAAGTTGTTTTTTTCTTTTTTAAGAAGTAAAAAGAGCATGCTAAGCACATAGTAGGAGCCCAATTAAGCACAAACAGATTAACCTAAGTTAGAAAAATCCTAGACTTTGTAGAATTTTGTTTAAGAATATTCAAAATATATAATATCTGCATAAATGACTAGGGATTTAACAATCATACTGATGGGAACGGAAATGAACTAAGAGCCAAAAAAATCAGTGCAAGAAAGTTATATTATGTAAAAACATCAAATTTTCCAAAAAATGACTGAAATTTCTCAAGATTTCATAATTAGACCTAGAAAATGTTTGGTTTTTTAATTAGCTAAAGCTTACATGACAATACAAAACACTATTTCAATATATGGAAATAAAAAGTACAATTCTCATGACCTGTTGATTCTACTTCCTCAGTATGGTTCAGATTCACCCACTTCTTCCTAATTCTACTCTATTGATATACTGCAGACATTCCTAATTTCTCACGCTTATCTGTCTCCCTACTCTGCAGCTTTGCTTCTTCAAACTCATTCTCCCCCCGGCAGCCACTGCAGCCACAGGGATCTTCAAAAACACAAGTCTGGGCCAGGAGCTGTGGCTCACGCCTGTAATCCCAGCATTTTGGGAAGCTGAGTTGGGCAGATCACTTGAGTTCAGGAGTTCAAGACCAGCCTGGACAACATGGCGAAACCATGTGTCTACTAAAAATACCAAAACTTGCTGGGTGTGGTGGTGTGCCTGTGGTCCTAGCTACTCGGGAGGCTGAGGTGGGAAGATTACTTGAGGCAGAGGTTGCAGTGAGTTGAGATCATGCCACTGCACTCCAGCCTGGGTGACAGAGGGAGACCCTGTCTCAAAAACAAAAACAAACAAAACAACGACAACAACAAAAACCCCACAAGTCTGACCATGCCATTTCCTTCTTTTTTTTTTTTTTTTTTTTTTTTTTGAGATGGAGTCTTGCTCTGTCACCCAGGCTGGAGTGCAGTGGCGTGATCTCAGCTCACTGCAAGCTCTGCCTCCCGGGTTCATGCCATTCTCCTACCTCAGCCTCCCGAGTAGCTGGGACTACAGGTGCCCGCCACCACGCCTAACTAATTTTTTGTATTTTTAGTAGAGACGGGTTTTCACCATGTTAGCCAGGATGGTCTTGATCTCCTGACCTCGTGATCCGCCCGCCTCGGCCTCCCAAAGTGCTGGGATTACAGGCGTGAGCCACCGCGCCTGGCTGCCATTTCCTTCTTTAGATCACCAGTAACTTCCTAAGGCCTTCAGCATGAAGCCCAGCCACTTGCAAGGCTGAATAGCTCTTCAGGATTGGTCTCCTATTTGCCCACTTAGACTGACTTTTCCCCATCCTCTGTACCCCAGAAATAATCACTTTATGCAGGCTTTACCCACCATACAACTGCATGCAATGATGATCTTTCTACCTGAGAAATACTCTCATTCACATTTCATCATGTTTATTCTTTCTTAGCCTTTAGATGCAGCTCATTTACCTCCTCTTCCAAGAATTATTCCACAATTTCATCTTGCCCAATTCCACCCCCTTACGCACACATAATAGGTTAAGTGGATACTATATACGTAAGCGTATGCAGCAGCATTTATGCATTGCAGCGTCTATAGCTGTTTACTAAGTATTTTCTCCTTTTACATATGACACTCCCTTATTGTTCTATCTCATCTGGCACATATACACTTTGAATGAATGATCTTAGCTATCTGGTGGCTAAACCTTATCCTAAGAGATATAAAATCCAAGGCCTAGAGATGGGCTTAGTAGCCCATGCTTACACATACTTAGTTATTTGTAGAGCTTGGAGTAGTAGCCAATACCTGAATCCAAGTCCTGGACTCTTTCCAGTGTTCTTGGTTACTTCTATTGGCCATTCAGTGGGAATCACTTCTCAGACACATAGCAGAGATAATTATTATGGAGCATTAATAGAAGGGCCCTGTCATCTCAACTCTTCACCTTCATTCTAATGTAATGTAAGATATAGGAAACTTACAATCTTCATAGCCTAACATGGAGGGTTGCTAGATGTCTGTAGTCAAATGACTTTATAAAATATCGAAGTAGATAAGGCCTGGGGCAAGTTTCCCTGATAAATAAGTATATTGGTTGCTACAGCAAAAGGAAATACTAGAATTGAGAAGGGACAGAACAAGATCCTTGGTGAAAATTTTATTTTCCCAGGAGACACTTATCCTTCCCTGATGTTGAAGAAATCATAAGTCAATAAAGCATATTAAGAATCCATGAGCCAGTCAGAACTCTGGGCCATGGCCCCTTAAGGGACCAGAGCTTACACAGCAGTATCTGTCTGATTCTAGGAACAATAAGAATTGATTATCACAATACTCAAAAAACATAAAAAAGTGGCATTTGAAATGGAGGCACAACAGAAAAACCCTCACTTATTCGGAAGCCTTCAGTGTAGATCTCCTAGGTCTTATATTTGGGCCTCTGACTTACCTATACAGCGTTTCGTTCTCCACTGAAAATGCACTCCAACCCTGGATCTCCAAATACTAATCTTGGGTTGTGAATCCCCTCAAAGGTCCTGCAACCTCTTAATGTCCCTTAAATGGGCTGGGAACCTGAAATGACTGCTGCCATGTGAACTACTACGGCTGAACTTCATTCTTTGGCCTGGAGCTCCTTGAATATCTGTGTGCACCCAGAGAAGCCTACAACTGGGATAAGCTTTGGGCAGTGACCACAGAAGCATGGCCCGTGCTCCCCCAGTAGACAATTATTTTATCCTCACAGTTAGCCTACATACAATTCTTGCCAGCCAGGGATTATTTTTCCGTGCACCAGTCTGAGATGCAGATGTCGCATCACTGCTCATGTTAACATTCCAATATTTCCATCCACTGAATACCAGATCGGAAAGAGAATTACAATTTGACCAAGAACAGAAAAAAAAAAAAAAGCATATTTAAAGAGATGATGAAAAAGGGAAGAAAATGTAAGAAGGTAAAGGCAGGTAGGGAAAATTAGGTAAAAATAGGACGGGGAACTTATGTAGAGTTGCTATACCAGGGTAACATTTCAGCTTAATGTGGTTGAGAATAGAATGTCTTATTCCTCAAGTGCAGATATTTAAATCTTACAAGAGATATTAGTGGTAATAGAAAGAAAGAGGAGGCATGGTCAGTATAATAATGTGCTCCCTTCCAAAGCTGAAGTATTCGAAAAGTAGAAAATAAAAGCCTATCAATTTTGTGAGTGAGTGACAGTCTCTGGAGACACTCAGGTAGAGTGCCTGAGGAGCAGGGAGGAACCGAGGTTAGCATAGAGGATTGTGGATTGTCAGGAAAAGAAAAGATAACGAAAATATGGCAATATGGTAATTTTAGCAGCCCAATGCTTTATTTTCTTTTTAGGTTGTTAGAATTGGAATACATTTTCTGTAGGTTGAGGAGATGGAACAAGTGGAGGAGAAACTGAAGGAGCAAGAACAAGAGAATTACTAGTCAAACAAATTCCCAGGGCAAGTTGGGAGAAAGAAAGCAAATCACAAATAGAAAGCTAAATGTTAGAAGAAGTCAAGATAATGTGTACTGTCTGACTTAAAAGAAAACAACATTTTTAAAAGGTGAATAGCTAAAGATTATAATGTACCTTTGCAAATGGTGTCACTTTTAATTTGTTACAGCAATAGCTTGTAATATACATCTGTCCTGAGTACTAAATGTTATTCTCAGATATTAAACAAATTGATATTTTATTGGGTGAAAAACTTACTCAAACTTCCTGTGGCTTATTTTCTGGCAAAATTTATTACTGATTCTTGGTGTAATACCTTTCTAATGTAATGACAATTTAAATAATTTAACATCTTTGAGATGTTGAAGCATCTCAAAGATATTGGAAAGGAGCTTCATGAACAGTGTCAGTTGAAATTTTTTGAAAGTATCTTCATCTACAAAACAAGATTCCAAAAACAAGATATGGTATACTCTCTTTTCTTTAATAAAATAAGAAAATTCTGTAGGAATTGCTTTTAACATTCCTCTCTCCCACTATTGAAAGTTTGTTTTCTGGCAGTCAAAATCGACATTATGTTTTACTTCTGAGCAGTCACTATATTTTTCTTAAATCTTTTGAATATTCCTTTGTAGATAGTTTTACTAGATTAAAATTGACCATCTCAAGCTGCCACATCTAAACAGAGGCTGAGTTTTCCATTGATTATCAATTATTTTACTTTTTACTGTTATATCATTGGAAACTCTCTTGACAGTTGCAAGTTGTTAAAATACTGCTTTTTTCCTCATTCTTTTGCTTCATAAATCACTACATCAACTATTCATGTAGATGCCAGAAAATAGGTCACCAAGCATTTAGCCACAATTATAACTACTCAGATAGAAATCAATCCTGTAATTTTAGACAAATAAATGTGAAAATACTATTTTTATCTTGTTCTCATCAACTATAAAATGTTAAGACACTTCTGCATCCAGCCTCCCATAAAACTGGGTTTGACACACTCGTGACTATTAATATGAAGTGTGTTTCAAATTCAATTTTGGGAGGGCAGGACCAAGATGGCCAACTAGAAACAGAGGCGATCGGAGGCTCCCATTGAAAAGAAACCTAATAAGCGTATGAATCCTTCACCGCAACCAAAGTATCAGGTTCTCTCATCAGAACTGACTAGGTGGCTGGCGTGATCCACGGAGAGGAAGAGCAGGGTGGTGCGGCCCACCTCAGAGCCACATGGGGCATGGGAGCCCCCACCCCCAGCCAAGGAAGGCAGTGAGTGAGCATGCAACACAGCCGGCAAAACTGCTTTTTTCATGGAAATGTGCAACCCACGGATCGGAAGACGCCACTTGCAAACCCATGCTACAGGCACCTAGCATCCCAACCCCAGAGCTACGCAGATTCTCAGCAGCATCTCAGCTGGAACCTGCTTAAGCCTGCCAAGCTCCCAGGGGGAGTAGTGACCAGCACCACAGCTGTGGCTGCCTGCTGTCTAAGCCATTTATGCTCCTTGGCGGAGGGGCAGCAGCCAGCCCTGGGAGGTACAACTGCCTAACACACTAAGCTTCCTGGGAGGGGTAAGGGTGACATCCATTTCTATAGCTCCAGGCCATGCTTTTCCCCTGCTGGAGCCAGGGAGGCTGGACAGCTTGGTCCCAAGACTTGTTCCCCATAGCCCAACACACCGGCTGTGGCAGACTGCTGCCAGAGTGCCTCTTCAGGCCTGAGCCTGACCCATCCATCCTCATTGGGTGGGGCTTCCCTGCAGCAACTCTAATAACTCCAGCCAGAGACTCAGGGACAGAAAATGGATCTCTCTGGGCCTGAGCCCCTAGGGGGAGGGGTGGCCACAGTGTCTGTGGTGTTAGAAAACATCACTAAGATACTCCATGAGAAAATCAACCCCAAGATACATAATCATCAGATTCTCCAAGGTCAAAATGAAGGAAAAAATGTTAAGGGCAGCCAGAGAGAAAGGCCAGGTCACCTACAAAGGGAAGTCCATCAGACTAACAGCAGACTCCTCAGCAGAAACTCTACAAGCCAGAAGAGCTTGGGGTCTAAAATTTAACATTCTTAAAGAAAAGAATTTTCAACCCAGAATTTAATATCCAGCCAAACTAAGCTTCATAAGCAAAGGAGAAATAAAATCCTTTACAGACAAGCAAATGCTGAGAGATTTTGTTACCAACAGGCCTGCCTTGCAAAAGCTCCTGAAAGGGGCACTAAACATGGAAAGGAAACCCAGTACCAGCCACTGCAAAAACACACCAAAATATAAAGGCCAACGACTCTATGAAGAAACTGTATCATCTAGTGTGCAAAAGAACCAAATACCATCATGATGACAGGATCAGATTCACACATAACAATACTAAGTTTAAATTTAAATGGGCTAAATGGCCCAATTAAAAGACACAGACTGGCAAATTGAATGAAGAGTCAAGACCCATCAGTGTGCTGTATTCAGGAGACCCATCTCGCATGCAAAGACACACATAGGCTCAAAATAAAGGAATGGTGGAAAACTTACCAAGCAAATGGAAAGCAAAAAAAGCAGGGGTTGCAAACCTAGTCTTTGACAAAACAGACTTTAAACCTACAAGATCAAAAATGACAAGGGCATTACATAATGGTGAAGGGTACAATTCAACAAGAAAAGCTAACTATTCTAAATATATATGCACCCAATACAAGAGCACCGGATTCATAAAACAAGTTCTTAGAGACCTACAAAGAAACTAATAGGTCTCTACACACAATAATAGTGAGAGACTTTAACACCCCACTGTCAATATTAGAGAGATCAACAAGACAGAAAATTAACAAAGATATTCAGGACTGAACTCAGCTCTGGATCAAGTGTACCTAATAGACATCTACAGAACTCTGCACCCCAAATGAACAGAATATACATTCTTCTCAGTGCCACATGGCACTTATTATAAAATTGACCACATAATTGGAAGTAAAACACTCCTTGGCAAATGCAAAAGAACTGAAACCATAACAGTCTCTCAGACCACAGTGCAATCAAATGAGAACTTAGGATGAAGAAACTCACTCAAAACCATGCAATCACATGGAAATTGAACAACCTACTCCTGAGTGACTCCTGGGTAAATAATGAAATTAAGGCAGAAATCAAGATGTTCTTTGAAACCAAAGAGCAGAGATAACATACCAAAATCTCTGGGACACAGTTAAAGCAGTGTTAAGAGGAAATTTATAGCACTAAATGCCCACATCAGAGAGCTAGAAAGATCTCAAGTCGACACACTAACATCACAATTAAAAGAGCTAGAGAGGCAAGAGCAAACTAATCCAATAGCTAGCAGAATATAAGAAATAACTAAGATCAGAGCAGAATTGAAGGAGACAGAGACACAAAAAACCCTCCAAAAAAATCAATGAATCCAGGAGCTAATTTTTTGAAAAAAATAACATAATAGATAAACCACTAACTAGACCAATAAAGAAGAAAAGAGAGAAGAATCAAATAGGCACAATAAAAAATTATAAAGGAGATATCACCATTGACCCCACAGAAATACAAACTACCATCAGAAAATACTATAAACACCTCTATGCAAATCAACTAGAAAATCTAGAAGAAATGGATAAATTCCTGGACACATACAGTCTCCCAAGACTAAACCAGGAAGAAGTAAAGTTATGGAATAGACCAATAACAAGTTCTGAATTTGAGGCAGTAATTAATAGCCTACCAACCAAAAAAAGCCCAGGACCAGATGGATTCACAGGTGAATTCTACCAGAGGTACAAAGAGAAGATGGTACCCTTCCTTTTGTAACTATTCCAAACAACTGAAAAGGAAGGACTCCTCCCTAACTCATTTTATGGAGCCCGCATCATCTTGATACTGAAACTGAGAAGAGATGCAATAAAAAAGGAAAACTTCATGCCAATATCCATAAGGAACATCAAAGCAAAAATCCTCAATCAAATACTGACCAACCAAATCCAGCAGCACATAAAAAACTTACCCTCCATGACCAAGTCAGCTTCATCCCTGGGATGCAAAGCTGGTTCAACATAGGCAAATCAAGAAAAGTAATCCATCACATAAACAGAACCAAAGACAAAACCACATGATTATCTCAATAGATGCAGAAAAGGCCTTTGATAAAATTCAACATCGCTTCACATTAAAAACTCTCAATAAACTAAGTATTGATGGAACATACCTCAAAATAACAAGAGTTATTCATGACAAACCCACAACCAATATCATATTGAATGGGCAAAAGCAAGAAGCATTCCCTTTGGAAACCAATACATAACAAAACTGCCCTCTCTCACCACTCCTGTTCAATATAGTATTAGAAATTCTGGACAGGGCAATCAGGTAAGATAAAGAAATAAAGCATATTCAAATAGGAAGATAGGAAGTCAAATTTTCTCTGTTTGCAGACAACATGATTGTATATCAAGAAAACCCCATCATGTCAGCCCAGAAACTCCCTAAACTGATAAGCAACTTCAGCAAAGTCTCAGGATACAAAATCAATGTGCAAAAATCACAAGCATTCCTTTACATCAATAACAGACAAGCAGAGAGCCAAATCATGAATGAACTCCCATTCACAATAGCTACAAAGATAATAAAATACCTAGGAATACAGCTAACAAGGATGTGAAGGACCTCTTCAAGGAGAACTACAAACCACTGCTCAAGGAATTAAGAGAGGACACAAAAAAATGGAAAAACATTCCAACCTCATGGATAGGAAGAATCAGCATTGTGAAAATGGCCATACTGCCCAGAGTAATTTATAGAATAAATGCTACTTCCATCAAACTACCATTGACATTCTTCACAGAATTAGAAAAAGAAACTACTTTAAATTTCATATGGAATTAAAGAAGACCCCGTATAGCCAAGACAATCCTAAGCAAAAAGAACAAAGCTAGAGGCATCATGCTACCTGACTTCAAACTAAACTACAAGGCTACAGTAACCAAAACAGCATGGTACTGGTCCCAAAACAGACAGACCAACGGAACAGAAGAGAGACCTCAGAAATAACACCACACATCTACAACCATCTGATCTTTGACAAATCTGACAAAAACAAGCAATGGGGAAATAATCTCCTATTAAATAAATAGTGCTGGAAAACTGGCTAGTCATAGGCAGAAAACTAAAACTGGACCCCTTCCTTACACCTTATGCAAAAACTAACTCAAGATGTATTAAAGACTTAAATGTAAAACCCAAAACCATAAAAACCCTAGAAGAAAACCTAGGCAATACCATTCAGGAAATAGGCATGGGCAAAGACTTCATGATGAAAACACCAAAAGCAATTGCAACAAAAGCCAAAATTGACAAATGGTATCTAACCAAACTAAAGAGCTTCTGCACAGCAAAAGAATCATCAGAGTGAACAGGCAATCTACGGAATGGGAGAAAATTTTTACAATCGACTCATCTGACAAAAGTCTAATATTCAGAATTTACAAGGAACTTAAATTTACAAAAACAAACAACCCCATCCAAAAGTGGAGAAAGGATATGAACAGACACTTCTCAAAAGAAGATGTTTACATGGCCAACAAACATGAAAAAAAGCTCAACATCACTCATCATTAGACAAATGCAAATCAAAACCACAATGAGATACCATCTCAGGCCAGTCAGAATGGCAATTATTAAAAAGTCAAGAATAGATAGATGCTATAGATGCAATTGGTGCTAGCAAGGCTGTGGAGAAACAGGTACGCTTTTACACTGTTGGTGGGAATGTAAATTAGTTCAGCTATTGTGGAAGACAGTATGGCAATTCCTTACAGATCTAGAACCAGAAATACCATTAGACCCAGCAATCCCATTATTGGGTATATACACAAAGGAATATAAGTCTTTCTACCGTAAAGCCACATCCACATGTATGTTTACTGCAGCACTATTTACAATGGCAAAGTTATGGAACCAACCCAAATGCCCACCAATGATAGACTGGATAAAGAAAATGTGCTACATATACACCATGGAATACTATGCAGCCATAAGAAGGAATAATATCATGTCCTTTGCAGGGACGTGGATGAAGCTGGAAGCCATCATCCTCAGCAAACTAACACAGGAACAGAACACCAAACACCACATGTTCTCATTCCTAAGTGGGAGTTGAACAATGAGAACACATGGACACAGGGAGGGGAACAACACACACCAGGGACTGTTGCGGGGTGGGGGCAAGGGAAGGGAACTTAGTGGATGGGTCAATAGGTGCAGCAAATCACCATGGCACATGTAAACCTAGATAACAAACCTGCACATTTTGCACGTGTATCCTGGAACTTAAAGTAAAATTTTTAAAAAATAAATTTTAGGGCAAACTAGCTGTGCTGTCTATGAAAATATATTTTGCATTTTTATGGTTCCTTTTACTTCAGCATTTCAAAGACGTTAAACTTATTTAAATTTTCACTATATGAGAAAGGTATTATACCAAGTATCAGTAAGAGATTTTGCCAGAAAAGTAAACCACAGGAAGTTTGAGTGAGTTTTTCACCCAATGAAATATCAATTTGTTTAATATCTGAGAATAGCATTTAGGACTCATGACAGATGTCCATGAATTCAAAATCAATTTCAAGTTAGCATGCCTAAGAAATTTTTAAAAAAACAGTATTCATCATACAACTATGGAACAGAAATTTATAATTTAGTCATAAAATAAAGAGAAACGGTATATTATTTTAATGAGAAAATTTCAAGTATCATTAACTACTGTCTAGGTTTGCTGATGTCAGAAGTGATGGAAAATCTACAGCAGGTGAATCACATTACAGTCTGTAAATTCAATACTAATTTACTAGCATTACTACTTTTGAGAAAGTGCTGAAATTAAATTGCATTTGTTAAATGACAATTGTTAGGGAACCACATCAAATGGAATTATTGTTTCAAAACTGCAATTCAGACAGCCTCCACATTTTGATTTTTGTTGACCTCCAAGAAGTAAAATGTTGACCATTAGATAACGCTTTATGTAATTCTCATAGCTTGAGAAACAGTATACATTTAATAAGAATATATTACCTCATTAATATACTTAGCTAATATAAAATATAATTTTTTCATTCATATATAATATACTGAGTTAATATTATAAGTAATATAATTAGTTAATATAGAAGTTTAAAGTTAATAAAATATAGTTAGTGACTTATTTACCATATTATACTTTATATTTTAATTTTTCCAACTGTTTCAAATATATCATGTTTTATAAAAAACATGTTTGATGGTTATATTCATGTGTTAAATTTCCAAAGCCTTATTTGTCCAGCATGAGGAGATATCACTTCAGGAAAAACAACAACAACAAAAAAAAAACCTTGAACATTCAACATGTTGACATACTTTGCTAATAGATTTTCCCCACATGACCTCAAGTTTGATTTTTATGAATGAAAGCCTTTTGCACTGTTGCACTGACGCATCGGTTGTTACATTAATTGGGGATAAAAGGTGCTTTTAATGAAAATCGTCTGGAAACAAAAGGCAGCATGGGGAAGCAGCAGTTGTCACACTCTTGGACAGAAGGTGGCAGCAGCTGAAGTTCCTGGACTGTTCACAGGCCTTCTCTCTGTGCTTCATATTTTCACTCTTAACCAGCTCCTCACTTAGGTTTTGTTGTTTATTTTTGATTATAAAATAAATTATAACTAGAATAATGTAATTGTGTCAAAATCTGACTAAATAATCCATTCTTAACTAATTTTAATAAACACCAATTTATAAAATAATTTTGTATTTGAGATTGCCTATGATTTTTATTCTTTCATGGATGAGTCCATTTGTGTTTCAATACACACCTTTAAAATTAATGTAGCATTACAATGTTTTAATATCTGTGTGTATGACCTGCTCATTTACTTTTCCCTGAAATATGGGCTCATTCATTCTTTATTCTAGAATATAAAAAAAGACAAACAAACAAAAATCCTTTATCACTCCTCTGTCAAGTTCCAAAAGAATCCTCTTAGAATTTGTATTGAGATTGCTTCAACATTATGAAAACTGATAGGATCAATAGTTCTCCTACTCAAGATCATGATATCATTTACTGACAAGTAAAACTTGTCCCTCAATAAAGTAATATAATTTGACTTTTTAGGTCCTTCACATCTATATTAGACTTATTTCTAGCAGATATAAGAAATAATAAAATAAAATTAACTTTTTAAAAATTATTTGTTTTGTGAATATCTCCTCGTTATTCTACTTTATTTTACATGATGAAAATCTAGAGATTTTTGTATATTTATGTTATATAAAGTAAACATTATTTTGAACTCTCATTATTTTCTATGAATTTTCAGTTGCTCGCTGCAATTTTGTGAATAAAATTACCTATTATTAAGTCTTCATTTCTGTAGCAAGTGCTTTAAATATATTATCATATTTAATCCTCACAAAAAAAACCTTAGGAAATAATATATGGTGTGAGATACATATAACTAACTGTAAAAATATGGGAAAGAGGAGAGACCACTATGAAAATGGTAAGAACTATTTGAGTATGAACTGTTAAAATTATTCCTCAGTTATATCATCCATCTCCAAGCCTTGAACAATCATTGCTTTGCTCCTGGACCTTTTTTTCCAGCTGCTAACTAGTTATTTCTTGCCAAAAATTCACATCAACATATTCAAAAGCAAGCTCATCATCTTTCTTCATGACCATTAAGTAACCTATTTTTCTTCTATGAATTCCTGTAACATTGTGTTTTATCAATTAAATGGTGTTTAGTGCATTCTACTTCCCTCATCTCCCCTGCAGGGTTATTTAACCCTGGAAAGTAGATGCTAATTATTTATAAATCTTTGTAGGCTTTCATTGATCATAAGATAAATAAATTCCAACTTCTCACAGGTCCTCTGACCCGGGGGGAATGGGGGCTGTCATCCCGGGGTGCTGATGACATGCGTGCAACCTTCTCACTCACACTGATGCTTCACATATGGCTCAGCACAGTGAACAATCCTCCTTGCTTCTTCCCTCACCAGGACACACCTACAGAAACAGCCAGTGTAGAATGTAGGACTTTCAGAGAACTAACACAGGCTCTCCCCAGAGGGTCTGTTCTAATGAAGACCAGGGTCCTGTGTGGGATCATAGGGCAATGTACTTTATCACTGATTTAAAACAAAGAAATTGATGGCAGCTTTTCACGCAGGCACAACATAGAGGCAACGTACATCTAGGCTGCCCATAACATGTGCCCCTTTAATAATAAAGATGATCGTCAAATTATGAACTGTCCCTAAAATAGCCTGTAAGTTATCTCATCTACCTGGAAGGGATTGGGCACTCTTAAATACAGTTGTTTCTTCTTTTTTCCCCGAGACGGAGTTTTGCTGTTGTTGCCCAGGCTGGAGTGCAATGGCACGATCTCGGCTCACCGCAATCTCCGCCTCCCGAGTTTAAGCGATTCTCCTGCCGCAGCCTCCCGAGTAGCTGGGATTACAGGCATGCGCCACCACGCCCAGCTAATGTTTTACATTTTTAGTAGAGACGGGGTTTCTCCATGTTCGAACTCATGACCTCAGGTGATCCACCCACCTCGGCCTCCCAAAGTTCTGGGATTACAGGGGTGAGCCACCGCAGCCACAGTTGTTTCTTTAAAGACAAGTGATAATGGCTTAGCCAATATATTACAGAAATGCATTATGTAGTTTATCTTACTATTAAAACCTCCAAAAGAGAAAAATCAATGTAAATTATTGTAGTGGCCCTTCATCCTCAATACATTTTTTTTTTTTGTCAACACCAGTGCCCACCCCTCTGTGTACCTCACCAGGATGCTTACGTCAAACTCATTAAGAGCCGCAGCCAGCTCGCCGATGCCCGTGTGGCCCTTGGCTTCGTCAGTGGGCGAGGTAGCTTGAGCAGCATTGGAGATGCCGGCGATGGCCTCCTGGACTTGTTTGAACACATAATCTCGGTTGGCTCTCGTAGCGGCGACATCTGGGTGGCGGAGAAATGCTTGAGAGGCCGTGTACAGCATTGTGGCATTCTTCTTCAGAGCCCCTCGGGCGGCTGCCATCTCATCCCGACAGTGAGGATCCTTCAGCTCCTGTGTGTGTAACACATGAAAGCTGTCACACACATGAAATTTGCATAGAAATATTTGCAACACAGTTTGGAGTCACAGACTCTTAGTAACACACTGAACTTCAGAAACCCTTGTGCTGTTTCTAGCTGCCAGGCCTTTGCATATACTCTTTTGTTTGTTTGTCTGTTTTATAGAGACAGCTAGGTCTCTATAGTGACCTAGGTTGGAGTACAGTGGTGTTATCAAAGCTCACTGCAGCCTCCATCTCCTGGGCCCAAGTGATCCTCCCTCTTCAACCTCTTAAGTGGCTAGAACTACAGGTGCATGCTTCCACACCAGGCTAGTTAAAAAAAAAAAAGTTGTGGAAGTGGGGTCTGGCTATGTTGCCCAGGTGGGCCTTGAACTCCTGGCCTCAAGGGATTCTCCCACCTCTGCTTCCCAAAGTGCTGGAATGACAGCCATGAGCAACCACACCTGGCCTACTGTCCCTTCTATGTGAAATGCCTGAGCTTTCCTCCTCTGCCCTACCCTTTCACCTGACAGGGCTCCACTGACTTGGCACATCCTCCACCCAACTTTCTAAGCTGTGTCCCCTTTCATCTGTTCCCACAAGACACTCTTCCTCTCCTATCACTAACACTTCCTACTTTACTGTATTTTTTGAGCATATATTTCTCTTCTATAACGTACCTCTAATGACAGCAGGGAGCCCTAGTTTTCTTATTCAGTGGCTCTTTAGTCATTAGCAAAGTGGCTGGCCTATAAGAGGCATTCAATAAAATATTGCTGAGATAATATAAAAACCAAGCCACCAAGAAGGTAAATTGATTGCATGGGCCATACAGTTAGTTATGAACAGACAGAAAACCTGAAAACGTCAGTCTTCTGAGGCCCTACTTGCCTCCATATTCAATTACTGTTACAAATGGGAAACCAAACTTCTGATTTTTGCTCAACACATCAGTGTCCCTTAATTATCATTTTCAGAATAGGGTTCCTGCTTTGTTGTTGTTGACAGCCTCTAATGGCAGCTCATCATTAAGTTTAGAGAACAGAAAATAACAGGCCAAAGATGATTTGTTTTCCTAGTTTTGGATGACAAAATAATACCACTAGGGAGTCTCTTTATTTCCATCTTTAAAGGCTGTTGTTAAGAAAATGTTCAAATGATTTTCAGAAATGTTAAAGCAGTGTTGCTCTTTGAGAGCCATGCAGGATTGCCAGCTGTGTTATCTCTGGGAGAATATTCTTCCAGCTGGAAAACATCAGTAAAGCGTATTTGAACCACTGGGCTTCTCTTCCTATTTGCTCATTTGGCACATGATAGATGAATGACCTGGTAACAAGAAATCACATCTTCTGTTTTGTTGGTCAAAACAATTCTGAGACAAACACATTATATTTGATATCTAAGATTGTCACGAAAATTGGTAATAAATAATGAACAATTTACTGAACCATCTTTTTCCCCCTTTGCTTAAGCATTAAAAGATGGATGCTAGGTAACACAATTTCTAAATTGGGATTATCTAATTTGAGCCCCAGAGATGAAAATGGATAAACAGGTAACAAATATTTGAATGTATTCTCTACTGGGCAATGATTTGGGCACGAGAGGTAGGTTTCTCCCAAACAGTCATGAAAACCTTTATTAATGTCAGAACATCTGGTCCAGAAATTCCATTCCTGGGTATCTATACTAAAAAAAATAATAAAATGGTAAAATAGATCTAAATACAGAAGTGAGAAATGCGGGTTGTGAAAATCTCTCCATAAAACACTTGAAGAAACATGTTTTAATCATAAGAAGAAAACTGGAAACAATCTAAATATTGAATTACCAAGAATTGGTTGAAAAAAAACTACTGAAACATTCATATTGGAGTATGTGATAATTAAAATTAGTTTTCCAAAAATTAATAACATGAATAATATTTATAAGATAAATTAAAAAGCAGAACACAATACGCATATTTGTATGCATAGTATGATTTTAAATGCATTAATATGTGAAGATAAATATCTGAAAGAAAATATACCAAAATATCAGCACCATATTCTTTGTGGGTGGTAGGGTATTATGTGTTTTTCCCCTTTCCTTCTGTTCTACTGTTTTTCTAAATTTTCTTGAAAGAGTCTGAACTAACAATCAATTAAAAACAAAGTATTAATGAAGTAAAAATAAATAATGTAGGCATTTTCATATGAACATCATATATATTCTCGTGGCTTTTAATGTCAGCTACATGCTGATGGCCCATGTTTCCATCTCCAGGCAACACTTCTCTTCTATTTGATGTTTCAATGTGGATATCTCAAAATCGGCACATCTGTGTTGGTTATTTTAGGTGTCAACTTGACTGGATTGAGGGGTATCTAGAAGGCTGATGAAGCATTATTTTGAATGTGTCACTGTGAGAGTGTTTTAGGAGGTGACTGGCATGTGAGCCAGTGAATTAAGTGGAGAAGCTTCACCCTCAGTGTAGGTGGGTACCATCCAGTCGGCTGGGGGCAACGACAGAACAAAAAGGTGGAGGAAGGGTGAATTCATTCTCTCTCTCCCTTCCAGAGCAGAATGCCCTTCTCCTCCTGCCTTTGGACATCAGAACACCAGATTCCTAGGCTTCTAGACTCTGGGGCCTGCACCAGTAGCCTCCTGGGGCTCTCTATCTCTCTCTCACTATTCAGAGTAACTTTGTTCCTGTTTATATTACACATTGGGCTACCATACAAGATTCCCTTTCAACAAGGAATTCTGCTGATAAAAACATACTTAAAAATAACCACATAAACTAAAATCACATTTATGTGCCTGTCTCACTGAGGACTGGCTCTTGGTTAAGTTCCTAATCCCAGCCTCACTTAAGCCTGGCACAGAATGAACATTCAATAAATGTTTGTTGAGTGGAACTTTCCTGTTGGTCAGAGAGAAAGTTAGAGAAACTACGAATGGCCCAAAATGTTTTAAAAAATTCTGGAAGCAGTCAAAAGGATGGGTGAAAGGATTTTAGGAGATCCTTCCACATTTGGAAATATTTTTTCTATGGCGAAAGAATAAAAACCCACTCGATGGGAACAAAATACTAAAGGTATCCAGTGAGCAAACAGAGTTAGCTGAAACTGAGAAATCCCTAGACAAAAAGGAGGCTGATATGGTTTGGCTCTGTGTCCCCACCCAAATCTCATCTTGAATTGTAAACCCCACATGTGGAGGGAGGGACCTATAATCCCCATGTGTCGAGGAAGGGAGGTGACTGGATCATAGGGGTGGTTCCTCCATGCTGTTCTCGTGATAGTGAGTGAGTTCCCACGGGGGTCTGATGGTTTTATAAGGCAGTTTTCCCTGCTCTTGCTCACTCTCTCCTGCCACCTTGTGAAGAAGGCGCCTACTTCCCCTTCCACCATGATTGTAAGTTTCCTGAGGCCTCCCCACCCATGTGGAACTGTGAGTCAGTTAAATCTCCTTTCTTTAGAAATTACCCAGTCTCAGGGCAGTTCTTTATAACAGCATGAGAACAAACTAATACTGAGGCTGAGGAGATCCCAGGTCACACAGCATCATGAGAGTGACTCACGCTCACCTGCACTCTTCTCACCCCTTTTTCCCTTCCTCCCCTTCCCCACTCCCCTCCCCTTTTCCCCCTGTTCTCTCTCCCTTTCTCCGTTCCCCCACCCCTGCATTTCCTCTCATTTTGTTCATGTTTTCTTCTTCTCTTTCAGAAAAATTTCACCCCACATACTACATATCCTGGGAGTGTATATGTGTGGTGGTGTTCACAAGACTAGGAGACAAAAAGTGAGGGCAAAGGGTGACATCCAGAGACTGACCACAGCACTACCCCACAGTTTAATATTTTTTATTTGACATCAGAGCTGTGTTCCTACAGTGGATAGAAGATCAGAGTGTGGTAGGGCTAGCAGGGTGGGTCCACCAGTGAAGCAAATAATCTGTGGCCTGCTTATAGGTGGGGGCCAGAGAGTGGTCCAGAGCCCACCAAGGCATCACAACTGGCCCCTGCAGGAAGCAACCTTTGTCATCACAGGTTCTTAGGGCATTTGATAGCAAGCAGATGCAGTTGATCCATTGTTCAGGCCTAAAAAGCTACAGGGTTATTTAAACTCACCCATTTTCTCCCCTAGCATTTCTAAAATCTTTCCCACCTGTTGTCTTCTTGCTGCTACATAGTTAAGTTTCACCATCTCTTTCCCAAACTCTTTAAAACGGTTTGCAAGGTCTTGCTCATTTGTAGCATTTTTGACAGCTTCCAGGGCCTCTTCCACCTGCAGTGGTGAAAAACAACATATTTATTAGTGGATAGTATTTAAATATTATTCAACATGTTAGAAATGGAATTTGCACCCAAAAACTCTAAAACACTAGTATGTGTTAACATGTAAATGAAAAAATAGGAGAAGAGTTCCTCTAACAATCATGTGTAGTCAGATTAAATAGTTATTCAAGACTTAAAAATATTTTGTATATAAAAAAGCAATTGCTGAACTCCTGGTGCATATAAAATCCTGTGTTTATTATATTTTATTAAAGTATGATTTGGAAAGATATCGACCTTTAAGTAGAAACACTAAGGAAAATATATTTGAGAAAAAATATTGAAGTTAAGAAAAAATTCTAGAAGCCTTCAGAAGAGAAAATGGTTTACAAACAAAAGACTGGAGAAATTCCTGAGCTGCTAAAAATTTAGGACAGCATGAATCTGCAACCAATGTTGACAACATCTCTAGCACCGGGACTAAAGGGATTATAATTTTAGGCTGAGTTTATACCTCTCCATCCAATGGAAAGAGGAAATATTGATTCCTTGAAAGCAAGTGAATTTGAAGTTTTGTTGCTATTTGAAGGTGGTATCAACTGGAGTGGAATGGGGGTGGAGAGGATGATGGCAAGCACACCGCCCTACCAATGTGCCATGCTTCCAAATCGCTGCAAACTGTCTCAGTGAACTTTTCCATAGTAGCATTGGACCTGAATTGTGAATTTCATCAAAATTCCTTTATAAATAATTTAAGTTTTGAAAAATATTATTCTCCCCTCCACAATGATCTTAACTTCAATATGGTATGAAAATTTCCACAATTGGTAAACCTTTAAGTTATACCATCTGTGGACACCATTAAACTAAAATTAAGATATTGTGGTGAAGGAGTCCGCTCAGTCCCTGTCAGTCAGATAGTGTCTTTATAGAAATAATTTCATCAATGGAAATAGCCAAGAACACAGTCCTGAGTGAATAAAGCACAAGACAGACATGTTTTTGGAAAATCAACTGTTCTTAAACATGAAGGGAGTCTGACAGAGGCCCCCGACTAGTTCCATTTCCTGAGAGAGGAATGGAGCGAGAAGGCAGCTTTGAAAGAAAGAGTAATGAGAAATGCAAAAAATACTTGGGCAGAATTCAGATCGGCTCTTGTAATTTTGGGCAAATTAAAGGGCATTATATAGACAGTGCATTGTTTGACAATTCGGAAACACAAATGACAACTACAATGGCTGAAAATAACCATAGATTATATTAACTCAGATCTGAACTTAATTGAGGCTTGACGCAATCACAAAGGTGGCTAATTTCACTTCCTTATCAAGTGCACTGAGCAAAGGAAGAGAATACGTATCTAAACCAGTAATAATGAATATCATCAAGCCTTTTGTCCCAGAGATATGTAATACCATTCAATTTACCAAATAGGCTAACTCATTTTAGTAAGGAAAGAGTTGTAGCAAGCAAAGGAAGTTATTTGGAATGATACTGGTGGCAGGGGTTGGGGGGAGGTTAATCTAGATGCCACATAACGTTTATGTCCTGGATTGGGAAATTTAAGTTTCCATTCTCATCTTCTATGGAAAGCATGCGTCTTCTTTTTTTCCCTAATTATAAAAATATGAAACGATGATGTAAATCCTCAATGTTAGTCATTCCCAATTCCTATCTAGGCTCTAATAGTGCTCATGTGAAAAAGGAAGTACAGTTGAAAAAGGAACTGCCATGTGTCAGGTTTTTTAGGCACCCAAGTCAAATTACATTTTATGGTATGGAAAGGCACTTTTAAAACATTGTTATAGTTTAAAGAGAATCTCGTACCTCAGATCTTTAAAACACCAAAATCAATGGTGTTGTACATTCTAATAGATTTATAATCATCTTAACTTGGCTATCAACAGCATCTTTGAAAGGACAGTTCTTGGCAGCTAATTTGTTCCTGCTGCTTATTTGAGATGTAAATCTCTTCTTGGGACATAAAAACTGGTTCCAGGGAAGAGCACAATAATTATCTCAGAGGGAGCTAAATTCTGGATTTGTTTTCTAATATATATAAAACAGGCTTCTCATAGGCTGTTAATCAGACCAATTTGGAATACTTATTTTACGGTGTTACACATAACTTATTTTCTCAGTGGTTTTCTCTGAAGAATCTAGATGCCAGTTTTAATTTCTTATAATTCAATAAAATATTTTTCCAAAGAAACACCAAGAATGGGGTCTTTCCGTGTAAAGGTAAACTTAAGTTACATGCAGAGTTTGAATCCAGAAGGATCTAAGAAGTCTAAAAGTTCTCACAAAGAATCACGGGGCAGAATCTGTCCAAGGTCCCACAGAAATAAAGGAAATGGAACTAAAGTCTGGATTATGGGCACACACTACTAGTAGATAGATGAGAGATGGAGATGGATGGATGGATAGGATAGATAGACAGATAGATTAGATAGATGATTGATGGATGATTGATAGATAGACAGATAGATAGAATATTGAAGGGACGTAGAAAAAGAAGAAAAAATAAGTTTAGTGAACAGACAATATTGACAATTCAAAATTAATATAAAAATTAAGTCTTTATTTTTGAACAGTCAAGGATTTTGAACAGTCAAGGATCTTTTGTCCTTTCTGGGCAGCTAGAGAAAGGAAAGTGACTCCTATGGCCCAAACAAATACCTTGCTCTCAAACATTTACTGTTCATGGAGGAGTTCAGGACTGCGAGTTGAACAAAGAGCAGAAGATACAGAAGAAAACCCTGGGACACTTTAACCAAGATACACCTGTCTGGGCCCCACCATGAAGAATGTTAAGTACAACTGTGTGAGGAGGGCTATGAGGTCAGATTGGTCTGGATTTGAACCCCAACGATGTCATTGGCAAGCTCTGTGATCCAGGGCAAGCTATTTAACTTCTCCAATCCTCACGTCTTCATTAATAAAATGAGGATAATAATGTCTACACACTATGCACAGATTTTGTGGGAATTAAAGGAGATAAGAAATGCAAAATATCAAATCATACATATTAGCAAAATCATACATTTGCTTAGCAAAATGTATGGCAAGAATTAGGGGCTCATTAAATAGAGACACCAACTTGCTGCATGGGGGAAAAATGCCTTAATAATTTTGAAGATAAAGGTTTTTATCTTACTCTTGGAAAGTCTGTGGATGACAGGGGCTCTGGCAGAACTAGAAAGAAAGCTGCAGAGAGAATACAGGCAGTGGGCTGCCTAGTGATGGCTCTAAGAAGGACACTGGTGTCAACGGCTGAGCCCTTTGATAAGGGGGAGGTTTGGAAGACACTTATGTCCTGGATTGGGAAATGATTTCTAATGAGCTGACATAAAGGGATCCCTCAGAGGCAGCTGTCATACCCTTTCCCATTAAAAATGCCCTCATGATCTTGGACATTACAGCCAGGCATTCTTCTCCCGCTGACCAGGCTGGGCTTATAAACACCAAAGCCAGAACTCTTTGCTAAACCACGTATTTTTGTCCTTAATATTTATAACCAGTGCATAGATAAAGCTGAAAAGACTGACACTTCTAGAGAAGACACTAAAATTTATTCCCAATTTAGTGGGTTAAGAAATTCTTTTCAGAACTTGTCACTTACAACTCTTAAAATCTTGGCCTTTTCGCAGGCCTGTTCAAAATAGCCTGTACCACCATTCCTAAAGCAAGCCTGTCTACTCCTATTATTTAGTCTAGAACTGTGTCATATTGTTTGAGATAGTCATTAAATCAGTGTCTAATTTTCCTGGTTGAAACTGTACTTACTTACTTCAACATAAAAAAGCAGGCTGGCCGCGGTGGCTCACGCCTGTAATCCCAGCACTTCGGGAGGCCGAGGCGGGCGGATCACGAGGTCAGGATTTCGAGACCATCCTGGCTAACACAGTGAAACTCAGTCTCTACTAAAAATACAAAAAATTAGCCAGGCGTGGTGGTGGGTGCCTATAGTCCCAGCTACTCAGGAGGCTGAGGCACCAGAATGGCATGAACCCGGGAGGCGGAGCTTGCAGTGAGCCGAGATCGCGCCACTGCACTCCAGCCTGGGCGACAGTGCGAGACTCCGTCTCAAAATAAATAAACAAATAAATAAATAAAGCAGCCCTATAATTCATTTATTCATTAAATATTTATGCAGAGTCTACCATAAGGTCGGCATCTGGGGATGGGATAGTGTGGAATTGAGGAGTCTGATACATCCCTGCCTGCACTGTGTGTTCTGGTTCCCTGTAGAAAATTGCTGGCTATACCATTACTAGAAATCGTTGCTGTTATGATTATCATTTCTGTTTGGACAGACTGACCCCATTCCAGGGTTTACTATTGTTACCTAAGTTGACTGGATTTTAAGTGACACTGACAAAACTATTTAATGGATCATATGTAAATCTCTTGTTACAGTCTACTTTTACAGTGAAATTTAAAAATAACTATCTTGGAAATAGGAGTTGGCCAAATGCATGAAAGAATGAATGCATGTAAGACCCGCCATCTAACTATTGTACTTATTTAATCAGATACTCTGGTATGGCCATTGGTGTCTCAGCATTATCATACTTTATATTTCTGCCCCATAAAGTTAAGTTGGTCTTCTTGATTAAATTGTGTCTTTCCTTGTCAACAAGGGAAGAAAAAAATGATTTCATCAGAAGCAAAGAATGATTACATGCTAGTGTCATTGATGCTTAAAGCGCATCAATGTGTGTTATACAAATGTGTGTATAAGTGTGTTATACAAAGCACAACAATTTAGTTTATTATATATTTCCAAAGTTATTTTCAGTTTGTACAAAAAAAAATGACACCAGTGTCATTGAGTTCTTCTGATATACAAGATAGTGTTCTAAATGGCTTACGTCTATCTTATTTAGTCCCAAAAAACAGTTCTTTGAATTTGATGGTTTTCTTATTCCCTATGCTTATCCGGTAGAGACTGAAATCGGAGGAGAGGAGTTGTATAACCTGTCAGAAGTCTCACAGCAAGTAAGTGTAGGAGCCTGGATTTGAGCCCAGGTAGTTTGCTCCAGAGCCCATACTCAATTTCTGAGCTATGCTGCATTGATTTTTCAGAAAGGGTGAGTTTCTAAAGCCTTGCCCCATATGATTGGTCTCCAAGTTCTATTCACTGTGCCTCTATATCCTGAGTATCTGTAAAATCTACCTCTTTTTCACAATAAACACTGCCATTGTCTTAGCCAGCTTTTCATTCATTCATTGGCCTAGATAATTTCAACAGTCTCTTTATGTGTTCCTCTTCTAATTCCTTCTCCACACTGCTACCAAAATTATTTTTCTAAATCACTAATCTGAATCAAATTATTAGTACTACTCAGTGGCTCCCCATAACCTATATATAGAGTGCAAACTAATTATCATGTTATCCAAGACTGTCCATAACCTGGATCTCTCTGTTCAACTTTGTTATTGCCTCTCCCCACCTTGCCCACTATGCACCAACAATAGAATCACTGGTGTTTCAAACACTCCAAGACTCCTCTCTTAATCTCATGCCTTTGTTCTTTCCTTGGTTCGTAAAGCTCTTTCTGTAGTTAAAATCTGTTGCCTGACCTGAATCTATCATCTCCCTTCTTATGGTAATAGAACCCTATTTTCCTTCAGTAACATGCTCTTTTCCTGCATAGGCTATCAAATCCAAATTCACCTTTTCTGCTAACACTATGAAAATATGGATGGGCCGCTGAAATATTACTCCTTTCCCAGTTGGCCTGATGTTAAGCTTTGTCAGTAGAGGGTGTTGCATAGACGCTGCCAGAGGAAAGGGTTTGGTTCCTGGTTCTGGTGTGCTCCTTCAACAGGCTCCTGCAGCAGAGGAAGCTTCTCCAGCACCAGGTGGCCAGCAGCTTCCCTCAGTATGCCCCGCTGTGCAATTCTGTAGCAGAATGCCTCCAGCAAGACACCCCTCCATGAACAGCTTTCCTCAACAATCCAAAGGGCAGATTTCTAGCAAGCTCCATTATATTGTGTGGCACCTTAGTGACTCCTTTGTCATCAAGTGACCCAAGGCCACACCCTCCAACAACATCTGGATCTCAGGCCTGGTAGGGTGGGGTCCTCCCTAGAGTGCCCTATGCCAGCCCCAGGGGTAGCAGCTTCTCCTCATATCTGCCATTCCCATATTCCTTAAGAGTTCTTGTCATTTCTTATGAGCTAATCCCTTGTTATTCCAAACTGCTATTAGTGTTAAGAATTATTTAAATGTTCCCTGTTTAAATGACTGAGTGGTTGTGTTGTCATCATTGGACAGAATGATTCATCCCTCAACTCTGTGATGGGGCCAACTCTTTCCACTTATCCCCAACTTTCAGCCCCCAGCTTGGACTTGAGACTCCGACTTATTGAATCTAGGCCCAGCGATAGGTTCGAGGAGAGGCAAACCTCATTTAGTTCAATGAGACCCAATCTTGAGACCTCCCTCTCCCAACCACATCATCCTTTCTCTTATTGTCCTAAATTGTGCAGCCATACAATATGGTTAAACTGATCCCATTTCCAGCTTGGGGTGAGCAAAGAGCAGGAGTCCTGACCATGTTAACTAAGAAATTAGCATATTCTGTTATCCATCTAAATAATTAACTCAGAGATATGCACATGACTGAGAGGCCAATTGTGCCTAATAAGATTGTAGAACTTTTTTTTGTTGTTTGTTTGTTTGAGCTACCAGGAAAGAGAATTTCCTCTTTTGTGCTATCTTTAGTCTAGGATCATGCAACCTTCAAAACGGTTGGCAAGCACTTTGAGACTATGAGGCCTCCTATCAGGGGCTACAGAGAACAGAGTCCTCAGTAAGGAGGAGAAAGAAAGAAAAACCTGGTTTTGTCATGCTTTTGCACCTTGATCAAGCCTTGCCTGAAGCTATTACCTCTGGACTTTTAATTTGGTGAGCCAAAATATTCCCTTTTTAAAAAACTAGGTAGAATTAGGTTTTCTGTTATTTATGAAAGAAAGCATCATAATTATATTTTCCATCTGGGTGAGACTACAGCAATATGCACCCTTTCCTAACATGCATTGCACTCTATGCTAATGTCCTAATGTCTCCCCAGTAGCCTGTAAGGTTTTGAAGGCAGGAGCCTAGTCTTATTCACCCTTAAAATAATACATCTTGGCACAGTGTTTTGCATATGGTCAGCACCTAATAAATAGTTCTTAAGTGTATAACTGAATAAATAAATAAATCATGAACAATGCAGCTGCATGAAGGTAATACTGTGATAGCTATGACAGAAAAGATATGCTAAAAACCTGGGCCATATTTTCTGCAGTTATAATGAGAGGCAAGGCTATTTTATGATACCAATTGACTACTGTTATTCAAACACAAGAGCCACATTAGAACTTCAGGACTAAAAAGTAGACTTGAGAAATAATACACTACTGAGGCTGCATGAGGCTGTTTGATGCAAAACTCACAAAGTCACAGTTAATGTTAAGATCATCATGTCTCATCAATGCCCCCCACCCCCACATTAGAACAGCAGCACTATATTTGGCCCTTGGTAGCCACTAAGGAAACTTGACTTCTGGAGAAGCTGACTAAGGGTTGCTATTTTGTATCTTGCTATTCCATTTTCTAGAGAGAAATTATCAAATAATCAAGAACATTATTATCCCAGGATCTAGCCTGAGGATAGAAAGGTGATTGTTTCCTCTGACATACACATCTACATGAGTTTATGTGTCCTGCTATCGCTCATGCTAATAATTGACAATATAATCTGATTACACTAGTTCAGAGCCTAGGGAATATAAATGTCCCTCTTCATGATCACTGATTGACATGCAGGATTCCTTTAAAATTCCGGATGCCACATATCAACTTAACACACTGACAATGTGAACTGATTGCAGGATATTCCAGGTATCTGGCTAGGAAATCATTTGTCAGCAACTTCAACAATAAAATTGATTATAATTCAGTATTTTTAAATGGTGTCTGAAATGTAAATGATTACTTTAGCTTTACTCAGGAACATTAAATTCTCACTTGGGTGCTAACTGGGCACTAGAACTCTAAGTCACCCACTGTTCTATCTCTATCCTCCTGAATTTAAAGTAACAGCAGCAGCAAAAACCTTTTGCAGTCATGTGAATCTTTAATATATACTCAAAGAGAACTCAATATTAAAGTACCACAAATACTTGCATGATAGAACAAGTAGCATAACTTGAGCAACTAAGATACCTATGTGTTATCTGAGAAGAACTTCTCAGTTGCCATATAAATTTAAGTTCCTAAACATAATTATCAAGTAGCAAAATGCAAAGACCTGCACACTGCCAAACCACACGACCTCAGCAGGGCTCCTAATCCTTTACTCATTTTTAGAGGCTGAACGACATTTGCCTGTGATTACTCAAGTGACTATTCTTCATCAACCTGGCGAACTGCTGATGAAAAAACATGAATATAAGTTGCTGCGGAAAAAGGTAATTCTCTCTTTGTTCCTCTGAGTTACTCAGAGATGAGAAAAATTAACATCTGGAAAGAACACAAATAAAATTTTGACATATGGCCTGAAAGATAAAAAGTAGAATACTATGTGTAACACTTAAAGGTAAAAGAGATATGTAGCAGTTAACACAGCAGGAGGCTGTAGTCTCACTACAGGGTATTACTCAATCTGAACCCAACTAGAAAACCAGAGTCACTACTTTACTCTTCTTAGAAAGCAACTGTCACTCTTTTCTTTCTCATCTATGTTTTATCATCCAGGTGGTAAAGAAACTCATTGTTTATTTAAAAAAATCCTTGAGAAAGGTGTAAATATTTTCTAACTTGCTTCATCAAAATATGTAAAGCTATTTGACATGTTCTTCATCCTGAGTTACAGAAAAACAAATAAATAGAAGCTTGCAGACAATACGTTACTTTATCCGTCCTGAGAAGATATGCTTCTGCGCAAAAGAACTGATATACTCCCTACTACTGAGTAGAACTATGTGCTATGTTTGTTTGCAATGAATTATTGACGTATTGTCTTTTAGGGGGTAGGGGCAATAGTTCATGAGAGAAAACACCAGATGGCACCAGAAACTGTAGTTCCTCACTTGCTCCACAAGATAGCAACATTCCACCACAGCTGTTTGCTACAGACACTGCACTCTAAGTAGAACAAATGTGTTATTTAGTCTACAATCATTTTTAATTTTACTACTGACAGTCTGACAGGACTACTTAATATTGCCAGGTTGACCTTTCCATGATTTTGTGCTAAATCGTTAAAAAAAAAAAAAAAAAAACTTCCCTTACTCGGCTGTGTGGAGAAGAGATTGCAATTGACTCCCCATTACAGCAGGCTTCTGTGATCTGATGAGCCAACAGCACTGGTCAAAACAGGTGGGATGAGAGGCAGGACTGCAGGAGGCAACTGGTACCACACATGGCGTCATCGCCCTGGATTTATCACACTTCTCGAGTGTGGAGTGTAGGCAGTTCAGCAAGGATATTCAGCCCATCATCACTCCCTGACAGTTGCTGACAGGGCCTTCCACAACACAGCAAACAATGACATATGAGATGTAAGGTTAATTTTGTTAGGTTCAGTCGTATTATTTCCTTGCTGGGGTAAAGGAAGATTGTCCTTCTGTGGAAAGACTTATCTAAAAATATCGCCTTCGGAGACTAACTAGGCTGTAAGGGAAAGATAACACAACCTTTCTTCCAACATGCTTGAGAAGGAAGTTTTGTGTAACTGAAAAGATGGATATAACAGAGACAGACTGGAGGAATGGCAGCCAGTGTGGCAGCCTACAAGTGGTTCCAGTGATCTTACACTCCCTATTCAGCTGCCACTGACAGGACACTCACTTTGTGCCATTCTCTGGGATAAGTGCTCCACAGGAATCGTCCCCATTCAAACCTCCCCACCACCCTGAGGGCTCCACTGCCATTAGCCCCACTTTAACAGATGAGATATCTGAGATTTATCTGGTAGGTTACCAGACAGATGGCAAGTAGATACCAAACCAAGATGAAACCCAGTTACTCTGACTCCAGCAGCTAAATGGTTAATTATAGTACTGTACTGCCCTTCACCAGCCTCTGAAACAGGTAAAGACTCTCCTCAAATTGCTCAGCTTATCCAATTTCAAGAGCCTTTCCTGGCCTTTCAGAACCCATTCCCTGAAACATTCCTAAGGAGGAGAGGAAAAAATAAAAATAAAAATAAAAAAAACTTCCAAGCAGTTTCTTGGTGTCCCCTGCTGCTCAGGGACCTGTATAGAAGCCCTAAACAGATACACTACCTTTATGTTTATGACCTCGGAGCTCAGGCTGCAGGTGTTGGAATTTGAGGCCTTTCATATTTTTCCAGAATTTATACATAATTTGGAAATCTTGGCTACTTTATTGGGGCCACCTTCGGTAAAAGATCCTGCCCAAGGTTTTTTGACAGAGAATAGTTATGATTTAAGTAATTTCTTGATGATTCCTCCTACTGAACAAATCTGAGCTCAATGGTGAGGTGAGAGCACGCTCTTGTTATTCATTTCCTATCTCCCCTGGTCCCTCCTCATAACCTGCTTTCACTGATAAAGAAAATAAGACAGGAAGATTGGCTGATAGGAAACATGATAATCCAGGAATGCCCAGGACAGCAGGGGTAACCAAGCGAGCAATTGGTTGGTTCTCCAAAAAGGAAAATGTGGTTTGCATCTCATCATCTAAGTACCCTGCGATCAGTCCAGAGTTGGTGCCAATTGTTCAGGAATCATATTTCACTGAGGGTATGGAGTAGGGATTCTCTAAGCAGAGGCCATATTCCCAAGCAGCTAAGTTACATCATCTTTGTTAAAGTGTTGAACCATCCTTGTTGCAACTAGATACCAATCAGCAAGTAGAAAAATGGAAGAACGACCCGTAGTCAAGGACTGGGGAGGTAGCCTTAATCACTATTCCATTAAAGTTTGTGATGAGAACAGGGCTTCACCTCTATTAGGAAACAAAAGAATTAAAAGAAACCATGAAAAGCAAGGCACATAGAATGGTGTTCTATGGGTTAGTGGGACAAGTATGTGCCCACCCAGAGAACCAATCCAGGTATGTTAGATGCCAGGCTTGGTGAAACAAGATTGACTTTAGCCACGGGAATTGTGGATGGGGCCCCTTTTTATTGCCAATATATGATTCAAAATCCATATATCTACAGGAGAGCAAGGCTAGAGTAGATAGCAAAATATATTCAACATGTAATCCACACTAAGGTGGGCACAGGTGGTCAGCTGCTCAGCAGAGCTGACCCCAACCTGAACTATCACATGGACCAAGATTGCTCCGAATCTTGAGATAGAACAAAGGCAGGTCCACCCTGTCCAGGCTCTGTAGACTAAAAGAATGTACTGTTACACATTCCAGGAAGTAAGGAGAAATCTAAACTCTCAGTTTTTAGGAAAAAAAATAATAATTCAAGTGAGTCTTACAAAACTCTTTGACTATATTATTGAATATAATTTTATTATTAGAAAAAATTGGACGTGGGCACCACATGGGTAGGTAATGAACTGATCTGGTGAGCAATGAAACATCTAGAGTAGAGGCCAGAGCTGTAATACACACGGTCAAGATTGCCACTCACATAAAGAAAGTTTTGATAAGTTCTACATACGTACAATTTTCAGATGGGATAAAAGTCTCATGACATCTGCCATGTCCGCCAGGATGAGTAAGCGTGTCACCGCGGAGAGCAAAGCCCTTGCCGCCCGTACCATGGTGCCGCGCTTTACCGACGAGCAAGGGTCATCTGCAAACTCGGAGGAGGCGATCCGCATCGTCTCACCTGGAAGACAGACACGGAGAGGCAGGTGGGTAGACAAGAGGCTTAGAGACTGGCCATCCTAAAGATCTGTGAATGGACAATTACTGTTTTTATTGCAAAACTCTGATGACCAGGTGGTATTTCTGCCACCTCTATTGCAGCAAAGAGCCCTTTAAGTCAAGTACATCAGTGCACATGGACAAGTGCTGTGGACCAAACAAGGTGCTCATTTCACACTGAAGTATGAAGTCATGCTTTTCACATCAATAAGGAGTATATTTAATTCCATTTGTCTAATAGTTGAGATGGATTTGCCTTGAGCTTAATCATCCTCTCTCTGCATTTGCCTTGGAACCAATGATACCAGGCAACTTACCATGCAACTCATTGAAGTTACTGACAGTCGAGGTACAAATTGTTCCACATGGAATTGAAAGTTAAGACCTTGGCCTCATTAACACTGTACTCCTAATTGAGCTAATCAGACAAGAACACATCATAGAGGCACCCAAGATCCAATCTTCTAATCCTCTTAGTAACCAATTTGCCAATATAGAAAACATTTAGAAGAGAACTAAACCAATTAAACAAATGTTTACTAAACACACACTTGTGTCAGATTCTGTACTAGGCTCTGCCATTACAAAGTTGACTAAGAATACCCAGGCACAAGGAGTTCAAAGTCTCATGAGTAAACAGGTATGTCAACACATAATCAGAATACAGTAATTAAGTGCCATAAGAGACAAGATTAAGAAAGTAGGCAACACAGAGGGGAGAGGTATTTGCTCATTTATTGTGAGACTGGGGGGAAGCTGTCCATTTTAATGGGATGCAAAAAAGAAAGAGGTGTTCACCAGGAAAACAAAGGTGGGGAGGGGATCTCAGGCAGCATGAACACTTCGTGGGCTCTGAAGCCTGGAGCCCCATGCTGAGTACAGAGACCTGCAGTTCTCTGGAAGAACCCATGAGGAAGGGGGCTGGAGAGAGGCAGTAATGCCTAGAACACCATGTAAGAGGTTTGGATTTTACCCTCAGCAGGGTGGGAAGTTACAATAATAGATTTTTATTTTTGGAAGATTATTTTAGTCATATTACATAAAATAAACTGGAGGGGAAAAAGACCAGGACAGAGAAGTCAGTTAATAGGGTAAATGCAGTTTTAGTCTGAGAGAGCAGTGGTGAGAGCCTGGACCAAGGAGATGGGAGAGGGAGTATAAAATGCATCTGTGTGACACAACCAACCGATCTAAGGGCTGACTAGATGTGAAGACCAGACAAAAGGTTCAAGCTGACGATGAGGGCTGACACGATACAAGAGTCAGGTATATATTTGCATCAAGGGACCCAGGAATGGGAAACAAAGAGATAATTAACAAGGATTGAGACTGATAACCAAATCAGTGGGTGGATATCCACTTTGGGGAGTGAAAACTGTGAGAAACCATAAATGGAGCTTCATATAGCAGAGTGTACACAGGGGTATAAAAGCTTCAATAAACTTGAAGAGTACAGTTAATATGACAGATTTTTTAACTCAAGATCAAACAATTTATTCAATTTTTGTAGTAATGATTACTACTCACCTACTAAGCAAAATCTAGCTCATTTAAATGAAGCCAATGATAGCATGGAAAGTCTGTGCATCCTGTAATTAGTCCTAGTCATAAGAAAAAATAAAAAACACCTCTTACCATTTTATAGGCCGATCAGAATATAAAGTAATTCTCTCAGCTAGTGTGGTAGTTATTTAAACCCTCACAGTGATACTTTTTATACTCGGGAATGTGGGTGTGTAAGGAAATATATTGCACTGTTGGATTTTTAAAAGAGGCTACCATCTACAATAAGCATTTTATATTGCTAACCAGCTTAGCCTTTTTGCCTAGGCACACACAAATAGCTTGATATATAACAACAGCATGGGAGAAACTTAAAAATTCACTACTCTAGTGGCACAATGATGAATTTTCAAGATGTATGGTCCTAGAGCTCAATCCAAGTGTCCTACCCTTGCCACAGGGTTACATACATCTCCTCCTCTTGCCTCTCCTCCTCACAAATAAAAAAAGTCATTGGCAAATATCTGTGTGGTGGGAGAAAGAAAGCCACCTTTTCCCTACTTTATACAGTGCAAGTAGAAAGAACATTATACACCAAGGTAAATCCAACAAACTATTGACAAAAGTGCCACAAGTAGAGCTAGACAAATTTGTGTAAGATATTAATAGGTAAGTCAGCTACTGTTGAAATAGATCCACTTATTCAAGGGAAAGGGGGATTTATTCTGCACACGAACCCAGGTAGCTACATGGTTGATCCCAGTTCCTGCAGGTGAAATCGGTATGAGCCCTAGCATGGTTAAAAGTAGGTCACTCAGGTAGGGCTATTGGCAGAACAGAGATCCCCAGGAGGAGAGGGCAGTCACACCCCTTCCCTGCAGGTGGAGCTTGTGCACTACTTGAAGAACCATGCCTAATCCAATATATTTTCAAGTTGAGATTGAACATTCGGAATGAACCAACATCATTCCAGAAGACAGGTCTTGCCAGAACGAGGGGCTCTGGAGGGCCTAGAACGACTCCTTCCATCTGTCTTAGCGGCACCATCGGGCATCTGGCAGAAGTGTACTGGCATTTCATGCAGATGCCAACCATCTGGTCAGCACTACTGCTTCAAAGCCGATGGGTGACACGTGTCAGTGCAGAGATCTTAGGTGGAGCTAATCAACCTGGGGCCCACGGCAGGCACCCCAAGAGTGGCTCAGCAGATGTCCGTGAGAGGGAGACAGGGAAGAGACAGACAGAGAGAGAGAGAAAGAAAGAGAAAGACAGAGAGAGAGAGAGACCCACATTAGAAAATGCCATCTGCCTTTCTGGATGGAAAACTCACACTAAATTCTGAGATTATTCTAAGATAAATAGAAGATGATTTCATTCAAAGCAAATTAAACTAAAAGCTCATTTTAAGCAGATACAAGTGATTTCATGTTGATAAGGATTCCAAAGGAAAGGCAACCTCAAATCAGCTATAATTTTAATAGGTCTTAGTCCCTGCAGCTTTAAGATTACTGAAGCAAACTGATAAGCAAGTTTATCAGGATAAAATTAGCTACTTTCCCAGGAATGTAGAGAAAAGTGCTTTTTCTATAAGATTGAAATATTTCGCTAAGAAATAGTATGCATGTGTAAGAGGGAAATGGGGCAGTGAAGAGAGGGTACAAGAGATCTGCCTGCTTCTTTTATATACATTCTTGTTCAATCTCATGTACTTGATTATAGACCTAACTCAGAGCAACATTTCCACGGTAAAGCCTTTGATGTCCTCTAGCCACTACAACCTGCTGAAAAGAAGAAAAATTAACATTACCAAATAAGGGACCAACGGAAAATAACAATTTTAACATGTATGTAGTGCTTCTATATAAAGGCTTATTATATAAGTATTGTTCTAAAAGCTTTACATGTATTAACTCATGGATGAAAAAGGATAAACAAAGTCACATTGACCTGGGTTCAGATCTCGACTCCACCCCAACTATTACCAAATATGTGAGCTAGTGCTTATTCAACCTTTGTATTTCAGTCCAGTCAACTGTAAAATGACAGGGAAAATAATGACAGCTGCCTCACAGACTGCCATGAGAGTTAAAATTAGAGACGATGCATTCAAAGCACCCAACATGGGGCCTTACCCATAACGGGTGATCATTATTCATTAATACCACTACTATCACAACCACTTCAAGCATCCAAAATGCAGTAAGAAGAGTTGGTGATCTCCTGGTTACAGGTTTAAAAGTGTATATTTTGGTTGGTTTCACTTCTTGTGTTTCTTCCTTAGAAGCAAGACAACATATGCTCAATAAAAGTACTTATTGTTTGAAGATAGAATATATATAAAAAAAAAATGGTGCTCTGCTTTTAAATCAGTGCTTATTCTGGTTCCTAGGCTACCCTGAAAGCACTGGGATGAATACATAATTGTGCATCAGCTTGAGGTAAGATCAATTCAAATGTGGAATGATGCATGCCAGTAATAATAAACACAAGAAAAGGATGGCATGGGCTGGGCGCGGTGGCTCACACCTGTAATCCCAGCACTTTGGAAGGCAAAGGCGGGTGGATCACCTGAGGTCGGGAGTTCAAGACCAGCCTGACCAACATGGAGAAATCCCATCTCTTCTAAAAATGCAAAATTAGCCAGGCATGGTGGCACATGCCTGTAATCCCAGCTACTCAGGAGGCTGAGGCAGGAGAATCACTTGAACCCGGGAGGTGAATGTTGCGGTGAGCCAAGATCACGCCATTGCCCTCCAACATGGGCAACAAGAGTGAAATTCCATCTCAAAAAAAAAAAAAAAGAAAAATAATAAAAGGAAAAAAGAAAAGTATGGCATGTGGAAGGCAGAGTTTTAGGAACAAAAACATCAGGTAGGAATCAGGTCATGAACCAAAATGGCACAAATATCCTGTGGCTCTTTCCTTGAAGGAGGGGCCTGCGTGTAAGGTCAGCACTCTAAATGCTTGACAACTGAACTGCTGAAAAACTGTGAGAAGCAAGGAAAAATGTGTGGTGAAAAGCAAGATTCAAAGAGTGCTGGGTGAAGAAAATGAAAACCTCAGAATTGTTGATGATCTTAGAGGCTGAAGAGGATTTAACTCGTCTTTTTCATCCAGCCTGGTCAACCTAGTGAGACCCTATCTCTACAAAAAAAATTTAAAAATCAAATTGCCAGGGTAGTCCCTGCTACTCTAGAGGCTGAGGCAGGAGGATGGCTTAAGCCCAGGAGTTTGAGGCTGCAGTGAACTATCATTGCACCACTCCAGCTTGTATGACTGAGTGAGACCTGTCTCAAAAAAACAAAACAAGGTGCAGTGGCTCACACCTGTAATCCCAGCACTTTGGGAGGCTGAGGTGGGTGGATCACTTGAGGTCAGGAGTTCAAGACTAGCCTGGCCAACATGGTGAAACTGTGTCTCTACTAAAAATACAAAAAATTAGCCAGGCGTGCTGGCAGGTGCCTGTAGTCCCAGCTACTAGGGAGGCTGAGGCAGGAGAATTGCTTGAACCCAGGAAGCAGAGGTTGCAGTGAGCCGAGATTTCACCATTGCATCCAGCCCGGGAAACGAGGGTTAAACTGCGGCTGTGCGCGGTGGCTCACGCCTGTAATCCCAACACTTTGGGAGGCTGAGGCGGTTGGATCACAAGGTCAAGAGATCGAGACCATTCTGGCCAATATGGTGAAATCCTGTCTCTACTAAAAATACAAAAATTAGCTAGGCGTGGTGGTGTGCACCTGTAGTCCCAGCTACTTGGGAGGCTGAGGCAGGAGAATCACTTGAACCCGGAAGGCGGAGGTTGCAGTGAGCAGAGATTGTGCCACTGTACTCCAGCCTGGTGACGGAGTGAGACTTCGTCTCAAAAAAGTGAAGCTCCGTCTCAAAACAAAACAAACAAAAAAACTTTTCTTTTCACTCTTTCAGCAATGGCAAGTATTGGACTTACTCCCTGGAATCAAATGATGAAAACTGGAACTAGTGTGAGAATGAAAATGAAGAAAAAGGCAAACCACAGAGCAAATGTAATGAAACAGCCAGAATAAGAGCAGATTAAGACATGAAAAGCCACGTAGGGAAAGGAATTGCAATGTATTTCCTATACCTTCCATGGTAATTTACATTGTCAACATTTTTGCTATAAAATAAATATGTGCTCCTTAAGAGAACTAAAAAAATACAATTAAAAGAAGCCAAAAGAGCATTCACATCTTAATAACCAAGGACAACATCCGATGAGCTAGCTTCTAGACAGTTCTGTATGCATATGTTTTTAACCAGCAGTTTTCACACATAATAGCTACAACTGCATATCATCTTTTGTCTAAATGCGTAATTATCCTTTATCTAATTACATAAATTATCCAACATATACTGATAGTTCATGTTTTTTATATTTCTCCCTGTATTACAGAATTCTTAGAAAAGATGAGAGAAGGCCGGGTGTTGTGGCTCACACCTGTAATCCCAGCACTTCGAGAGGCTGAGGCGGGCAGATCATTTGAGGTCAGGAGTTTGACACCAGTCTGGCCAACAGGGTGAAACCCCATCTCTACTAAACAAAAATTAGCCAGTTGTGGTGGTGGGCACCTGTAATCCCAGCTACTCAGGAGGCTGAGACAGGAGTATCGCTTGAGTCTGGGAGGCGTAGGTTGCAGTAAGCAGAGATCATACCATTGCACTGCAGTCTAGGCGACAGAGTGAGATTCTGTCTCAAAAAAAAAAAAAAAAAAAAAAGGAAAAGAAAAAAATGAAAAAGAAAAAGAAAAAAAAGGATGAGAAAAAGGGCAAAAATTTCCAATCCTCTTAACCAGTTTGTTCCCTTTTCATGATAACCGACACCTGCCTAACAACCTTTTTCACATGTATTTTCCATGAAGTACAGATCTTAAAGGATTCTGAAAAACGGATCTTGTAGAGCAATGCAGAAACTAAAACATGTTTTTAGAGAGGAAAGCAACATTAGTGAGGGAAACTGACCACAGGTTCCCAAAGCCTTAGCCAGTTCTGCAACTCAAACTGTGCATCCCGATTGAGCTCACACACTTACAGAGACTGTGAAGGAAAATACATAACAGAATCTTAAAACGGTAATTCAGTCAACAATGTCCAACTTCAGAACATTTTATCATTTTGATTATTTTGTAGAGTCTGTAAGGCAATGTAATACTTGAAAACCACTTACAGGTCTGGTCAGCTCATTTTCAAAGCAAGGTGGGAAAATATCTTCATTTGAGACAAAACAAACTTAAATGTTAAATGAATGGCCAAGGTGGACAACACCACAGAAGTTACAAGGTCACCACAGAAGATCTTGATGCATTACATCATGCCTCTTGGCTCCTTTTCTTGGAAGAAATAAGTGAGTGGTTCTTTGATAAGAATCAGGCAGAGTTGGATAATGTGTTGAAAAGATGAGGTAAGCAGGTGTTGATGTGGCTGAGGGCCTCTGCTCTAACTACATTTGCAAACATAGGAATGTCTTCTTCTGGGATGGTTCCAGCAGCAAGGGGGTGGTGTAGCAGGGTGGTCCAAGATTCCTTCCACTTTAGGATCTCATTAGGCTGTATCTATCTGGACTTAATATTTTAGCATGTAACTCTTTCATCTATAATAATAATAGCTCTCTTTTTAAGAGCTCACAATGTGCCAAGTTCTGCTCAAAGAGCTTAACCTGTATCAACTCTTTTACTACTGAAGAGAATCTGATGAAGGAAGTGTTCTCATTGTCACCCTTTCTATCTGAGGAAACTGAACACAGAAAAGAAAGATTATTAAGGTTATTTGCCCAAGGTCAAACAGATGGTAAGTGGTGAAGTAGGCATTCAAAATCTGTCTGGCTCTGCGGTCTATCCTCTTAAAACCAGTGCTTTAGAAATATCTTTATTTTAACATCCTGTTTACTCTGTGAAAATTATTTGTTTACATATGTCTGTCTGCACCTGTATTAGGAGTTGAAGACTAGTAAATTATGTTATTCAGTTTACAGGGTATAGGAAGGAAGGAAGCAAGCAAGGGAGAAAGAAAGGAAGGAAGGGAGGGAGGGAGAGAGGGAGGGAGAGAAGGAGAAAGGGAGGGAGGGAGAAACAAACAGAGGGAGGGAGGCAGGGATGAAGGAAGAAAGGAAGGGAGAGAGGGAGGGAGGGAGGGATGAAGGAAGAAAGGAAGGGAGGGGGGAGGGAGGGAGGAAGGAGAAAAGGAGGGAAGGAGAAAGGGAGGGAGAGAGAAACAGAGGGAGAGAGATACAGAGGGAGCGAGGGAGGGATGAAGGAAGAAAGGAAGGGAGAGAGGGAAGGATGGAGGAAGGGAGGGTAGGAGGGAGGAAGGGAAGGAACAAGGACCTAAACAAAGACACTTCTCCAATTATTCCCAGCCTCCACCACTCCTTATTGTCACATGTTAGGGATGATTTGTGACTCCCTGTGCATGCATGCATTTGAGTTTTCCCTCCTTCCTTGACCTGTAAGCTTAATCAGTGAAGAAATCATAATTGTAGCACATTAATTTATTTAATCATACCTTACATCGGTTGACAAGGTATATTCCCTCAAGGAATGCTGTCGAGAGGAGGAAAGGAACGCCTGCCTGGCACTTTACATTTTGAACCATATTGAATTGATACTGAAGCAGGGAGAAAAGACAAATGAAATCCCAGATGCTATACACTCTACAATAAAATAATTGAAATACTTTCTTCTTTTTCATGTTTGAACTTTTAGTTGGATTTCTAAGTTCAGGAAGTAGCAAGGAAACCAAAACATTTGCTAAAGGAAAGTTCTAGTGAAAGGAGCAACTCCTTTGCTTCTCCTCTGTTTTGCCCACATAGGCCTTTGCTAGCAAGAAGGAAAAAGTCTTAACACTTTTTTGGAAACTATCAAGAATATGAGAGAGCTATACATGCATTTCACCCCAGGGTGGCTATGACTGAAATCTGTGATTGGGGAAAAGGTCAACAATCAACAATCAGAATTTTTCTCTAAGGCTCAGGGATGCTGAAGTCCTGTCTTTTCTCAAGCAGAATCTGCATTAAAATAAGCTACCTCCTGTGGACACTTTAAGCACCAAGCAGTTACAGCAGTGCTTGGTACTATTCAGGTCTTGTTATCAAAAAACAAGATAATATTTGGCTTAAATAAGCAGTATTCAGAAGAAAGCCTTATCTGCTTATTAAAAAAAAAAAAAACCCTATCATGCAAGCCATACCAAAACTATGTAAATATTATAAAATAAGAAGGCTGCCTGTCCCTTTGTCTTTCTACCAAGGGTAGTGGGCTCCATGGTCTCTTTATCATTCTTTAGGTTTTTCCAGAAACTCTCAGAAAACAATAAATTAGGTGCAAAATGACAGCAGTCTGATGGGGCCACTGCCTCTGAAGTGATGTTGAGACTGGTGAATTTCAGATCCGGATGAAAACTCCTCAGGCATCATTCAGCACCCCTTTCTCATCTCACACATGAAGACACAGAAGCCCAAGTGCCGTGGTCAGGTGGTTGGTGGGGGTCAGCATCCCTGTCTCCTGACATCCCAGTCAGGGACTCTGGTCTCAGTGCCATTGTTGCTGTGAGGCCAATAAATCCCAATGTGACACCAGCAAATCAAACTCTCCTCACCTAACAAAATCCCACTATAGCCACATGGTTCTGTGACAACCCTAATTCAGTGGCAAGAGCAGCTCCAAATGTGTCCTCATTTGGTCAGTGTTCTTTCCCAAGGTACATAATTAAGTCTTTTCCAATGTAATATTTGCCCTATCAAGATATGTTCAGTATGCAAAAGTACTAGAAATGTCAGTAACTAATGATTAAGTGTATTGAATGTTATGAGCTATTAAACATCGTTAGAGACAGTAATGCGCCACCTTGCAGAAGGCACAGATCATTAACCGTATGGATTTTAATTATTTCAGCTGTAGCCTTTTCCTGGGTTGGGAGAAGAGGGTGTAGGGTAATTTTACATTGTTGTAGCCAGAAAGATTATGAAGCCGCAATATGGCATACTTCACAAATGAGAACCTTGCAAAGACCTGTTAAATGTAGCAATAGCCACATTCCATAAAAAGGTGATTATTGTTTTGGCCTTGAATGCAAGAGAAGACCATAAATTAGGAAACGTTAAACAGTGATGATCTAAGCTTAAGAGAAAAATGGCATATAGAGGACCAATAGTGAACTCAATTTTGTTCAATATTTTTACACATAAAGGGAAGATACACTGATGGAATGTAAATTTCATTGTGCAACACATATATTTCTGAAATAAGGACACTATATCGTATATATACTAAAGAAAACCTATTGTAAGTTATCTTGTAAAGCATATAAGCAGCCAATAAATTAATTTTTCTATAAACCCCAAATTTCAATAAGTAAGTCAAGTCTCTCTATAAAAATCATGCTGCTGACTTATTTATATTCTTAAGTCAATAAATGTTTCTATTGATCAGTACCTGTATTCTCCTACAACCATGACACAAATCAAAACGCACTGAAATGTCAGTACCCTGCTACAGTACTTGGTAGTTGAAGTGTGACTTCAAAAACCTTCTAATGTTATTAGGAAAACAAGAATCAATGCCACAACTTCCATCTAGATTGGACAAGCAGAGATAACGCGAGCATCAAACATGCTAGCATCTAATTCTGAATCAAAGAGACGGCAGCATTCAGAATCAACATCTTGACATGGATATGTAAAGGACATCTTGATTTCCTCATGCTCCTTAAGATACTGTACAAGGAAATGCAGAGTACAGAGGATGGATTTAATGTCCAAATTCCAGACTTTAACAATACCTTGGAGGGCATCATGCAGATGAAATTTTAACAGATGCAAAATCCAGGTGTGACCTCTAGGACAAAAAACGCTTTGTCTTTCTAGGAAACCACTCCAATTTGTTCTAGCTTTTTTTTTTTTTTTTTTTTTTTTTTTTTTGAGACAGAGTCTCACTCTGTCACCCAGGCTGGAGTGCAGTGGCATGATCTCAGCTCATTACAACCTTCACCTCCCAGGTTCAAGCAATTCTCCTGCCTCAGCCCCCTGAGTAGCTGGGATTATAGGCACATGCCACCACACCCAGCTAATTTTTGTACTTTTAGTAGAGACAGGGTTTCACCACATAGATCAAGCTGGTCTCGAACTCCTGACCTTGTGATCCACTCGCCTCAGCCTCCCAAAGTGCTGGGATTACAGGCGTGAGCCACCACACCCTGCCTGTGATAGCTTCAATTGTTAACATTTTTTTCTTCTATTTGGTCTTTGATACGCTCTTCTGAACCACACATAAAAATATAATCTTCTCTTCTATAGGGTAGATCTTGGGAAGTTTGTTTAAATGTCCTTTAAGAAGGGAAATGTCAAGATGAATGCTCATTAGCCATTGCCTGAGAACTAATGCTGAGGTTGCATTATAAAAAGAACAACTGACATTAAAAAATGAGCAAACAACTCTCTCCAGGTTTCCAAATATTAAATATCTACTAATCATTCAAGTCAAGATGATTTGTTTGTTCCCACACTACTTTTTAAGCCAATTAACATGTACATATAAAAAGATATTTCTAATCTGCTTTGGAAGAAATAGATCTGGTTTCTAGCTTGTTATAAAAACAATTAAAACAGTCACAAGTTACTCTGAGCTATTTCAGTATCTAAATTACTACATATATTTGAAAGACATTAACTGTGAGCTCATTGGTGGAACTCAATGTCTGAATTTCAGAAAATAACTATCAAAATCTTTAATGGCTTTCTCAAGCTCAAATAATCAACTAAGGGCACAGTCCAGACCAGAAGCTGGGTCTCTCAACTCTGATATTTGTATTTGCTGCAGTTCCATATACTTTGGAGGAAATATTCTGTTTCTGATACAGTTTCACAAATTCACAACTTACTGTCCCCAAGTTAGTCCATATAGTTGAAGCCTTTGTATATCAGTTTGGATGTCTTGATACTCCACTTATGTGTATGTATTTGTAAGTCATTACGGCATCTCCAAATTTTCATTAGTAAAACTGAATAATACTTGAATAATACTCGCATCACTGATTTCATATCAACTAAAATACAATCGGAGAGAAAAGCAAATGAGAAGTATAAAAAAGGCACATTTTATAATTTGCATCTTATAGACTACAGCTAAATAAACCAGGCTTGAAATTGCTACACAGTAAAATAAGAAGTCAATCTAGCTTTTTCTAAAGGAGTCTTTGGCTAAACAAAGCACAGGAACAATTCTCAGAATGAGAAAAGTTGATTAAAGATAGAAAATTCTACCACATATTTCAAAACTAGAAAAAATGTTCCAAGTAATTGGTATCATGAACATGGTAAATGATGCTATAAAATTACAGCTCAATTAAGTTATATTTTAAAATGCAACGTGGGGAAAACTGATTTTCCTCACTGGCTTGTGGGTGAAAAGACTAGAATGATCAGGTTTTAGGATTTAAATGGCATAGCCTTTAATTTCTGACCTACCACTGATTTTCCATTCTTCACAGAGAAATGGTCGTTTCTTAAATGCGATTATAGCCACAAGGCCTCTTTACTAAACTGTGGGAGGTCCCCACGTCACCACCATTCTATTTCCTATATTAAGAGGATTTAAAGAAGACATAACATTTAAATGAATATCAGTGTATAAACCATAATAAAACACAGCTAATAAAAATATATTTGTGCAGCAAGAAGATCTGACAATGGGTAATGAACGAAATTGATTTAAGGTAACTAAAAACCCTAAATCCAATATGACAAACTGCCAAAATGTGCTATCAAAGCTTTCTTCACTCCTGTGATCAATAGCTTGTCACTAGGGTCATGATGAATCTCAGATGGGCTTCTCTCCTTCCAACTCAAAAATACATTTTTAAAATAAGTAAAATAAAGTTAAAACAAACATCAACCTTGAAAGGGAAAAAAATGTTCCGACAGCCTGACATGCAGCCTTAAGGGTGAGGGAAATTTGGGAGATTTGGATAGCAGTGACATCTTGTCCTTACTCTCTTAGTGCGCACCATTGATGATATGAACATAGCTATATGTGTGCTTGTGTACAAAGTATATAATTATATATCATTTCATTCATCCTTTTATTTATTCAATAAGCATTTATTAAGCACTTGCCATGTAGCAGACACTTTCTAGGTCCTAGATATTCAACATGAAGTCACAATTTCTGCCCTACTTACTTCCAGCTTGATGGTTCTGAAAGACCCACTAACAAGAATCACCTGCAGAACAACTATAGAGAAATGCCCCCTAAGTGGACATTTAGAAATTCAAAAAAAAAAAAAAAAAAAAGCAGCTGTGTTTAGGGAGTTGGGAATCATGAGTATGTAGGGGGTACTTAGTCAGTTATCATAAAAGGTAAGGGTGCATATATATATATATACACATATATATATACACACACACACACAAATGCACACAAATATATATACACAATGTATATACAGATACACACAAATATATGTGTGTGTGTGTGTGTGTGTGTAGTTTGTTTTCATTCTTTATCCCTCCCATGGCAGCTTTTAATCATGACTTTGAGAGATGGCAGAGATCAGTCACACACAGCCCACTCCCCAGCCCACACTCCTGGCTAAGTTTCTAAAAGACAAAGAGTATAGATGAGTTTCTAAAAGACAGAGTATAGATGAAAATGTCCCAGGAAAATACACTGCTGATCATCAAGCAGTCCTTCGGCCTCATATTGAGCAAGCCTGCATCAATAGTTCAAGTTCAAGGCATCTCTAACCTCCTAACATTAAGACCTAAATGAAAAGCGGGCTTTAGGGCCAAAGGTCCCTCTCTGTTGGGCCCCATTTTACTTCTAACAGGATTTCTGAGGCCAAGAGGCCCCAACTTACCACACCAGTTGCATGAAGTTGGAGGGAGATGTACAGTAATAAACGAAAGAATGAAGATCACAGGAAGTCAGTGAATTTTACCCTTTTGTCTCCTACTACTGGAAATGTGACCCACTAACTCAGACAAAATAATGTAGAGTATCCAAAACGTCAGGAAATATTGGACAAAATTATTTATTTCAAAGCTAGTTAAATTTTCAAATAATATGCTCCATATTTTTTCCTTCAATCTCCAGACACTATTCTTATGAAGTACATCAAAATATAAAGCAGGGATCCTATTGTTAAACTGAAAATAAGTAGAATCAATTTTTCCTGTATTTTCAGACTTTTTGGATATTCTTTGGTGTATTAACAATTCAATCTTGACTCATTCTGAGATTATCTTGGCAGTCTCAGGGTCTTCCTGCCTCTTGCAGGCTGCTTCCAAGAAAAGGGAGCCCCATTCTGTGCTTCTTAGTGTTTATTTCCTTTAAAGGAAAATGAGAAAATCATTATAAATGACTTGAAAATTGCACTGTTTGTACCTGCCAGTGAACGTAGGTACACAGTCCCTAGGCAAATATATTTTTCACTACAAATTTAAAAACTCACATTGGGAGTACAATTTAACTTCCCACATAGGTCTGCCTATAGAGAGAATAACCTAGCCTGCTGATGTTCGCATTCTACTCTGTATGACATTACAATAAGGATTAATAAGCTAACATGGATTTTTTTTTAAGCAAACACTCATGGTTGTTTAATTCTTTGTCATTTACACATTATGGAGTTGGAGTTGGAGTAATTTAGCAATTGTGTTGGGGCACTGCTGGAGGGTGTTTCATCGTGGTAAGTACGAGAACTGGTTTTGAACAATGAAGGGAAAGTTCGTTTTCAACTCCTACTCTGAACAGCAAGTGGCTTTATTCACCAAAAGGAGTTTAAAGGTATGGCTGGGTAAGAAAATACAGATGCCAGATAAGCTGTAGATGCAGAGAGCTTGTATTTTAGAGACAGAAAGCTTAAGCATTACTGAGCAGAAACCTAGGTTTAACAAGCAAAATTCTAAGCCACTTCCAGGCAGTATTTAGGGCCGTGAAGGAAGAAGTAGGCATCGTGACATACTGGACGGGGACAATGGCAGCCCAGGCTGATCCAGTTCATGCCCTCACGGAGGCCACCACTCTGTCATGCTAATCCAAGGCTGCTATATTAACATAGAAAAGAAGGCCAGGTATGAATCCAGCATGCATCCATTACCGGATGTCCTGTAGAAACAATGAGTAGTCAACTTTAATTCCTGAGAAGGAGTGTGGTTTCAGTAATTTTTAATAGATCTATTTGTTATCCACACACAATTCCAAGTTAAAGAATCCTTTCAGGTGTAAATGCATGAGCATACACACATCACATCAACTTTCCACCAAAGTGCACACTTCTTAAATACTCCAGTTAATGCTTTGGCACCAATAGCTGGCAAAACCAGTGAATGAAACCATTCACAGAATTTAGCCTTAAGGCTTCTTTTGCCCCATTGTTACACATTTAAATTACAATTGAGATTCCTCAAACCTAATAATTTCAATAATCAACAGATGTAGTTAGAGATTATATCTAAAAATGGCAGCATTGTACAAATCTATTTTGCCATACTCTGTGTGGATCTCTTTGAGATTAAACAATGTCACCTCTTCTCTTCCAGTTACTTTTGGCACATCTCCCTCTGCTCGAGACACTAAGAATAAATAAGTAACAATTTCAATGATGCTTTTGAATTCTATGATGTAAAATACAATAACAGCTGTCTTTTATAATGTACTTAGTAGATACCAGGCAAAATACTAAGCACTTTATAAATATAAAATCTCACAGTGAGGTGGATGACACTAGCTCCATTTCAAAGATTTAAAAAAAAAAACACACACCCAAAACTACGGCTAAATTTAAATTGTTCATTAATTTGTTTAAGGTCACATGAGATAGTCAGCTTCAGTCCTGAGATGTAAGTCTGAAAGTCGGTGATCTTAGTAACCTTGATGCAAAGAGAAGCTCTAAGCCAAGGGTGTACTGTTAGAAAAACTTATAACACAAGGGAGTGGAGATGACAATGATGATGATGATGATAACAATGATGACTTAGAAGCGGATGATGCTAGTAATAGCAATAATAATAGCTTACCCTAACATGGTGCTTCCCTTGTTCCAGATACTGTTCTAAGCCTTATATCTACTCATTTAATACTCATTTAAAACTCCATGGGGTACTGTTCCCATTTCGTACATGAAGAGACTGAGGCACAGAAAGGCTAGTTTTGCCAGAGGCTAAAAAACATTAGGTAATGGAATGAGGATTTTAATCTAGAAAGGCTAGCTACAGAATTTGGGCTTTTAACCATTTCTAAAATAACACACATGGTTATATGCCAACAAAAATAGTAAAAATATACCAAGACATAGTTAAAACACCAATGCCAAATGTATATGTTTATAATTACTTTGTGGCTTTATTTTTGAAAACTAATCTAAATAAAATCCTGATACTAAAATGATGTTTTCATGAACCATAATTTGAAAGAACTGAAACACTATTGAAACAAAATTATGAAGGGATATATAAAGTAGGAGATGCAAAAGAAAAAGACCATTTTCTCTCACAGTGAATTCAGACATATAAGTATTTATGCTTGTCCTGATTTATAAATGTTCAACTAATGATATTATGGATATCATGTTGTAATCAGTCCCAAATCCTTTTTGTTCTGTAACTAGAGACAACTTTACAGCCTTCCTTAGCCTGAAGGTAGCCAATGGTACAAGAGCAAGCACAAACATCTGGCTTTTCCTTTGCTCTGCAGAGGGTAATGAATTCCATTGTTATGTCCCAGTTAATGTTTCTTCATTAAGACTGAAGACATATTTAAAGGATCGTTGATTGCGCATATAAAGATCACACATTGCTTTCCTAAAGAAAGCACACCTTATAGTAGAATGAGAAATTATTCATCATCTATAAAGATTAGTCTGCTTCGCACCTATTTTGCACGTGTGCCCACTAATTTAGACCAAAAGGAGCAACAAAAAAGGACTAATATTTCATCCCATGACAGATTTTCATTAATCATTTTAAATTCCCACCTTCTTAAAAATTAGATATCATTTACTAGTCCTTTTCAGTTAGAACTTGGGACTCCTCTGAATCTTAGGCTTATTTGCCATTCCATAGGAAAATTAGGAAAAAAATTAATAATGCTAATAGTATTTAATATTCCTCTAGGAAAATATTAAGTAAACAAAAGTTATTAGCAGGACAAGCTCTTCAAATAATTGTATTTTGTCTCTGAGAATGTACCAATAAAAAAGTAGGACTCAGATTTCTTGAGTTTAAGTCCCAGTTCTGATACTGTTTTCTTGTTTGACTCTGCATGTTTCTTAGCCTTTCTAAACAGATGTTGCAGTGAGTTGATATCGCACCTGCACTCCAGCCTGAGCAACAGAGCAAGACCCTGTCTCCAAACATGCTTACATGCATAGATACATACATAAGAGAGGGAGTCTCGGCAGGGCGCGGTGGCTCACGCCTGTAATCCCAGCACTTTGGAAGGCCGAGGCGGGCGGATCACGAGGTCAGGAGATCAAGACCATGTTGGCTAACACGGTGAAACCCCGTCTCTACTAAAAATACAAAAAATTAGCCGGGTGCCGTGGCGGGCGCCTGTAGTCCCAGCTACTCGGGAGGCTGAGGCAGGAGAATGGCGTGAACCCGGGAGGCGAAGCTTGCAGTGAGCCGAGATCGCGCCACGCCACTGCAGTCCGGCCTGGGCGAAAGAGCGAGACTCTGTCTCAAAAAAAAAAAAAAAAGAGAGGTAGTCTCGCTGTCCTGCCTGGGCTGATCTCAGACTCCTGGCCGCAAGTGCTCCTCCCACCTTGGCCTCCCCGGGGACTGGGATTGCTTGTGAGCTACTGTACCCAGCCAAGAAGTGGAGCCTTTAAAAAAATGCCATCATTAAAATGAATAAAATAATATCTCTTATAATAGGCTCATTTTAAAGGTAAGATGAGAGAATGTGAGAGATTGAATAGCATTTAAAAAGTCTCCAAACACCTGGAAATGCATGTAAAGTTCAGCAAACATCTTTATACCTGGAAGGAAAACCTCTGAGTCAAAATAAATAAACAAATACAAGAAAGAAAAAGAAATTAGCATGATTGAAATAATGCAAGCTGATTCTGAAGTACTGGTAACTTTAGAGTTAATAACTTATAAGCTACAGTTGTCGTGGCCACACAAGGAATAGGAGAATGTCTTGACCTTCACAGAAAATAGAACTGTACAGTTGTCCACCTAAGATAAAATTTATATTCTTAAAGTGCTATGTCGGTAAAAATATTAACTAGGAAAAAAATGCCCTGTGGCAAAGACAAATGGTAAAGAAACTTGTTGTCTCAGTCCAGAAAAGAAATGTCACAGGAAAAATTGCATGGTTTCATTCATAATTGATAATGATAACTTATTATCACACAGTATTGTCTTCATGTGTCTGTAGAGAATAATTTTATACTTTCTGTACAGAATGGGAAATATGGAGCAGATAAATTATTTAAAAACAGTCTCAGATAAGAATGTTTTAGTGGCCTTAGCCAAAGGAAAACGAACCCTTTTCCAAAGGAAGCACAGGACTCTCACAAATAAGTCTTCATAAAAAAATTAGTATACAGTTCAAGAAAGCACTACAGATGTGCTTAGTGGCAGAATTAACAATCCAAGAACTTCAGATAATATAAGTATAGGATAGAAAATATTAAATGAATATTTAAAAATATTTACAGAACTAGAATAGGACTTGAAAATATGAACTAAGGACATGATACTCTGAATCAAATAGATTTTCTTTAGAAATAATAGAAATAAAATCTCAAAGGAAGAAATAAATAACAGGTTAGACCCAGCTAAGAAAAAAAACTAGAAGATAGCTGAAGAAATTAACCAAAAGAATTTTAAAAAGCACAAATAGTTGAAGAAATAGGAAATAAGAAAAAATACGTATGTTAAGGGTAAAGAGGAATTTTCTAGCATAAGTCTAATCAGAATTGCAAAGAAAAGAATAAGTACAATGAAAAAGAGCCCTTTTTATGAGATAATGGCTGGTAATTTTCCACATTTGAAATATAAAATAAATTCTCTTATTCAGGAAGCCCAATACATACTGAACAAGATAAGTAAAAAGAAGTCCATATTTGATAGCTGCATAGTAAAACTGGAGAATTCAAAGGCCAAAGACAAGGTATTAGTTTGTCTAGGAAGAAAAGACAGACACAACACAATAAAAAATTATACTGTTAGCATCCTTCTGAAATGGAAAATGGAAGCCAGGAGACAGTAGCACAATATATTCAACATAATGAATAAAAATAATTGGCAAACTTTAATTTTATACCTTGCTAAAATATTATTTAAAATTAGAGTAAAATAGACAGTTCCAGAGAAATGAGACCACTTACTGCCAAACGCCATGATTAAAGAAAGTATTACAATTTACTTTTTGTACAGAGGACTGCAATTCAGAATAGGGTGCGCTTAAAAGATTAATAAATTAATATGTATAAAAAAACTTTGCCCAGTTTATAGCTGGCACATAGTAAGCGCCCAGTAATAAGTGGTATTAAGTAGTAATACTAATGGTGGTGGCAGCACAACTGAAGTAGTAGTAACAGTTGTAGTAGTATTTTCTAATAAAGATGACTAATAGTGTTTTTATGGCTTGGAGTCTCTATCATTTATCTTATACATAATATCATGTGGCACTGTTTTCATCTACACGGAATTCATGTAAAGTACTACTAATTCAATCTCATCAGTATTTTCAATAACTACACAGTCCTCTACCTTTCCAAAGCCACTATCATAATCAACACTTTTAATATAACACCCAAGATCTTACAAGAGTGCTTAGTGTAAGTTCCCCAGTTTCTTGTTTCATCTCCTACTTTCTATTCATCTTATGTTCAGGAGTTAAAGCTGTCAAATTAGTCAAATCATGAGAATCAATACCTATAATAATGTCTAATCAGAGTATGTTCTTATGTTAGATCAAAACCTCTAATAATTAGTCTGAAATAACTCTACCAATTATCACTCTTTTATTCAGATATAGCCTCCTATTGTTTTGGCATATATTCCATTCTAGCATGGAAACCCCTTCTGTATTTTTCGAAAACACAACATTCCTTTCTTCTTCTAAACCTGTCATCTTCTTTCTTTACCCTCCACCCTCCTACATTCTTCCTTCCATGGCCAGCATACTTTCCTCTGATCTAAACTGCTTTTGTTCTTCTTTGAGGTGTAGAAAGCTAGCCTATACAATTCTAGTTATTCCAAATAATACACTTTAAATCCTTTCATTAAACCCTCAACTTTCATTAAATCCTCAATGAAAGACTAAACTGAGCTCAATGAGTATAATTTTAATATTTGGTTCACTTTATTATTTTCCAATCTTTTAAAAGTAGTAATCCATTTACTGAGTATAGTATAATTCTATTAAATGGAATCAATCTCATTTTTATCACTGTTCTGGACAGCAAAGAAAGACCAATCAGTGTAGAGGACTTGGCCCAGGATTATTATAATAAATATTCATAATCAGTCTTAATCAGAAATATTGTAGAAAATCACCTTGCATAATATTAGTCTCTTTTGTTTAAACTGGGTAATTTTCTAAAAATAAAATAAGCCATGTTTGGAAATTACAAAAGCCTGAACAATGAAATTATAGATCTTTTGGAGTTGTGTTATTTTCCCATAGGCTAAAAGTATTATTTTCCCATAGGCTAAATGTTGAAAAACATTTCCAACTGTTGATTTTTTTTAAAAAAAAACACACTTTCTACTTTCTAACAATAAATTACAAATTGAGAGTATGTTTTGAGGAGCTAGGGAGTAAAAAGATAACAATTGGTATAGGAGAAGAGAAAAAAAAGTTTTCGCTGACACCTCTCCACATATGTACCTGAAAAAAAAAATCAACGATTGCATCTTCAATATACACCTCTGCCATGCTCATTTGAGAGATCATTGGCACATGGTATTATTCAATGGGTTGGGTTCTGTGATGGTTAATACTGAGTGTTGACTTGATTGGATTGAAGGATACAAAGTATTGATCCTAGGTGTGTCTGTGAGGGTGATGCCAAAGGAGATTAACATTTGAGTTAGGACTGGGAAAGGCAGACTCATCCTTAATCTAGGTCCTCACAATCTAATCAGCTGCCAGCACAGCTAGAACATAAACAGGCAGAAAAATGTGGAAAGAAGACACTGGCCTAGCCTCCCAGCCTTCATCTTTCTCTCGTGCTAGACGCTTCCTGCCCTCAAACATTAGATTTCAAGTTCTTCAGTTTTGGAACTCAGACTGACTCTCCTTGGTCCTCTGCCTGCAGATGGCCTATTGTGGGACCTTGTGATCACATGAGTTAATACTTAATAAACTCCTGCACATACATATATATTCCATTAGTTCTGTCCCTCTAGATAACCCTGACTCACACAGATTCAAATGGGTTTAATTGTATCTCCCTAAAATATATGTCAAAATCCTAACTTCCAATACTTACGAATTCGTCCTTACTTGGAAACAGGGGTCTTTGTAGATATAATTGAGTTATGATGAGGTCATGTTGAATTAGGTGTTCCCTGATCCAATATGACTGGTGTCCTTACAAGAAGAGAAGACAGGAGGCTGAGGCGGGAGGATCATTAGAGCCCAGAAGGTTGAGGCTGCAGTAAGCCATGATCATGCCACTGCTCTCCAGCCTGAGTGACAGAGTGAGATTCTAACAGTACATAAAGAAAGAAAAAGAAAAAAAGAAGAGACCAGATACAGAATACAAGGGGAGATCACATATGACAACAGAGTCAGAGATGAAAGGACTGAAGCTATAAGTCAAGGCACACCAAAGATGAACAGCAAACCACCAGGAGCTAGGAAGAAGCAAGGAGGGATTATTCCCTACATGTTTCAAAGGAAGTGTGGCCTTGCCAACATCTTGATTTTGGACTTCTAGCCTCCAGAGCTGTTAAAAAGTAAATTTCTGTTGTTTTAAGCCATGTGGTTTGTGATACTTTGTTATGGAAGCCCTAGAAAACTAATACAGAGGAAATGCATGCACCTCACTTCTGTGAAATGATTCATCTAAATAAAACATTTGAAAGTGTACTCTGCGTCTTATCCTTGGTTGTTAGAGCACTGAAAAATAATTCAGCCACTGAGATGTTCCACAAGACTTTGAGAAAATGCTATTAAAATTCACACTCAAAGTAAAAGTTTAGTCATCTAGGGACCAGCTTTCCAGAACATCAAGCGTCTCTAATGACTGCTGAACTAAACATAGTCAAGGTTAAAATGCAATCAATTTAAGGAGCAAAAAAAGCAGCCTCCCTGTGTGGTGAGGAAGAGAGACATATTGCCAAGAGGATCTGAAGCTCCAAAGATTAAACCCAATTGGCAGGAGTTGTCTGTGAAAAGTCATCCCTTCCATACAAGGCTGAGAAGTGAGACAGAAGTGGCAGGAGGCCAAAGAAACAAGAAAACTAGAGATCAGCAATTGCAGCAACTAGAAATGGTGCTAGGGCAGTGAGCAGTGAAAACTGAGGTGTGCAAGTCAGAGATGAAAGAAGAGAGTCAAAAACAAAGAAAGGGCTGGGCTCAGTGGCTCACACCTGTAATTCTGACACTTTGGGATGCCGAGGCAGGTGGATCACGAGGTCAAGAGATTGAGACCATCCTGGCCAACATGGTGAAACCCTGTCTCTACTAAAAATACAAAAATTAGCTGGGTATGGTGGCACATGCCTGTAGTCCCAGCTACTTGGGAGGCTGAGGCAGGAGAATTGCTTGAATCCGGGCACAGCAACACTCTGTCTCAAAAAAAAAAAAAAAAAAAAAAAAAAAAAAAAAAAAACAAAGAGAGGCCATTCTGCAGCACAGAAAGTGGCAAGGATCCTTTAGGCTTCACATCTAATGGCCTCACTCTCTCAAGGACACACAGAAGACATCTGTCAGCTCTGCAGCATAAGTAGGCAGATATTCAGGGAGGTATTGCCTGAAAGCTATTAGAATCTCAATTGCCCAATGAACAAGCCAAGCTAGGGGAATATCAACATTCAGTAGCTTACTCTCATATGTCACTCTAGTAGTCACTTCTAAAAGAAGACTCAACGATGACTAAAATGTTGGGTCATTTTCCTGCCTATATTAGCTGACTGATTCTACATGCACATTTCATTGCTATTTAAAATATAAAATTGTATTAGAATCCTGCTTTAATGAGAAAACAGATTTATATGGACTCAGTATACAAAAGTTTTAAATAAACAACTTAAAAATGAAATGTTTAATGTTATTCTGTTCAGATTTTAAGGCGAATACTAAAAAGCTCTTTAGGTGATGATACTCAAGTTTTGATTGAGGAAAAGAGGGCCAATAAATAATAAGCCAAGAGGATTGTGAAGAATTTTTAAAAAGGGGTAATAAAGCATTGCCCTGATAGATATCAATATTTATTAATAAGCTATGGTAACTAAATCAAAGTGGTATACATATAGAAATTGACCTATAGAGTAGATAGCCTGCAAACAGCTCAACTTACATATATGCAAATGTGACATATGACAAATAGGGGTGGATGGACTGTTTAATAAACAGTGCTAAATATTGACTAAGAATAGGAAAATTAATAAAACTAGACTTTAATTCAAAGAGTAAAAAGTCAAAGATAAAGACTTAAATGTAAAAGCAACATTTTTAAACATTTAGCAAAATATTTAGAGATATATTTATGATATTGGGTTAGAAAAAAATTTCTTAAATAGGACACATATACAATAAAGATCAATGCAACTAATTGTATTTTTAAGAAAAATTTATACAACAATAGGCATAAGCAAAATGAAAATATTAGTCATGCACTGGGGGTATATTTGCAAAAAATAGTACATAAAATACAAAGTTTGAATATGAAAATGTAAGAATCATGCTTTAAGATGACAATCAACCCAATGAAAAAGGAGACAAAGAAAATAGCAAACCCAAATGACTAATAAAGATATGAAAAGCATACCAACTGAAGAAATAATAATTAAAGTAACAGCAAGATATAATTTTGCACCCATAAAATTGGGAACTTTCTAACTCTAATAAAATTCATCAAGAACATTGAAAACGAAATCTCATATCCTACTGGGAGGAGTGTACATGGTTACAACTACTTCAGAGAATATCTACTACTGGATAATACAATACAATATCCACTACTAGAGAATACAACTACTAAAGATAAATGTTAGATACTCTAGAACTCATCAATTATACTTTTAGTCAGCCTATAAGAAAAAAAAAGGCAAAGATCTAAAAACAAATTAGTGTCACTGTCCCAGGAAAGCAAGTTTCAGGTTAACTCTTAGAACTTACACTTATTGATAAGCTATATTATTTAACAATTCTACTTCTAAATAAATTCCTACAAGACACTCTCATACTTCTCCACAAGGAAATGTGCAGCAGAAATTGTTTAGTGCAATTGTGTGTTTCAAGCAAAACTTGGAAACATCTCAAAATTCCAACAGTAAGAAAATAGTTAATTTATGTGTCCAATGGAACAAGGAATTTATAAAGAATGAACTAGTTTAGAAAAATGCAGCTAGTTTAGAAAATGAACTAGTTTAGAAAAAGTGCAAATGGTAAACGATACATTCAATATAATATTACTAATGAAAATATTAAAGAAGTTTCAAATAATAATATGTACTATTTATGAATGGATGCATATATGGCAAAAATGAAACCAAAGGATTCTTCATGGCAAGACTGCTCTATGGTAGAGGTTAAGAAAGAGAAAGAGAGCTCTTCCAAGAATATCTGTTTGTCTTGTTTTACTGGTTCCTATTTGGCAATAACATGATGATATAGTGATGTACCAGTATGAGTACATTGGCTTTTTGTGTGGCATGCCATGAGGAGCAAGAAATCGAGTTTTACTAAGTGGCAGGATTTTCCTCACCAGCCTTCTAGGATGATTTCAATCCTCCAGGTTAATGTCTGAAGAGTGTGTTATCTAGAAAGGGTAATGATTACTAGGACTAGTTCCTAACTGACAATTTTCACTAAATTTCACTATCAAGGAAAAGAGAGAAGGATGCTGAAAGCATTACTTTTGACTAGGCAAGAAGTCTGACAAAGGCAGGAATTCCTGTGTAGTGAAGGGAAAGAAAAAAAAGGCATTGAGTTCTTAGGCTAACTCCTAAAGACAAGCAGACAGAAGTGCAATGGCCCTGGAAAGACAAAGTTTTACTGCTTCACTATTTTGCCTAGGGCTAGCCTACCTTTCTGATATAACTCCGTTTTTCAGCCACAGTAAAAATTATCTTGTGATCCACAGAATTGGATTCCAAACTCAGGTTTAGAAACCCCAACGAATTGGAATATTGAGCTTTTGAGGAAATTCTCAAAATCAAATGCCAGAAGACAGTCCAGGTAATCACATGCCTTACATTCTTTCTGTTTGTATTTGGTGAGCCTCCTAATTTATACGTATATCACTATGTTTACAAATTTACCTTTCCTAAAGCTTTACTGTTGGCTAATATTTAAATCAGTTTCATTTTCTAAGAACAAAACAAGTAAAAAGGGGTAACTGTAATCAGTAGCAATGGAAAACAAATAAGGTTTAAAATTTACGAGAATAGTAAAAACACAATGGTCGAAGGAGAACTGTCTGGATATACTGTTGACAGAGTCACATCTGGTACTGGCACTCTTGAATAACCACTGCGAAGCCTTGTGCAAACACACAGGAAGCCATCAACAAATGCTCATCCATTTAATATTCATTGATTCAGGAATGCATGCACTGTGACTCAAGGCTGAAATGAAATCACAAACAGGCCTGCTTTTGTTTGGATGCACATGAAGACAAAGGGCTGACACTCAGTCTCTCTCAAGGTCTCTTGCAGCAAAACAAAGCATGAGACAACCAATGACTGAACTATCCATATAAAGATAATGGCCAGAAACTGCACACCAGAAAACTGTCAAGTTATTAAAGGCTAGGAAAGACAAAAAACAGGCCATATCAATGTAAATGGCATAATATTTATGGGAGAAAGCATATTTGTAATTTAATTGCCCCAAGAAATTAGCATCCTCAGGTGGAAGTTAAGGAAAAAGTATAGGCAATTCTGTTAATTCAACAAATCTGCCCGAAAATCCAGAGCACAGGATTAGTAAATGCTTTATAAAATCAGAGAGGCCACAATCCAAGTCAGAATATTCACCATAGGAAATTAATCACGTATTGTTTCAGGTAATAGCTATGGAACACTTTCAAATTCCTCTAGGTAGTGGAGGAGGGTTTCCTTTCACAGTTTGTAGCACATGGAACATGGCCATAGGCGACACAGGCCGTTCAGTCCATTTCAGAACTGTGCCAAGTGTGATAGATGAGATTGAAGTTGGGGGTATCTCACACAGGGAATGAGTATGGGACTGAAAACTGAAAAACTTAACAGGAAAATGACTGCAGGCACTTTATCTTAGAGCCAAATACTTGAGAGAAAAATGCTTTAAAGACAAAGTGAACTACAATGTGGTTTCATATGCCTGAGAAGGTTATTAAAGAAAACTGGAAATGTTCATGTAACAAATAAAAAACCCAACAAAATGCAGAAATTATTCATCATCTGCTTGAAATTTACTGGATTATTTGTAACGATTTAGAGGCCAAAATAACTAAGCAGGAAATACAAATAAATATTGGAATTCAAACTTTTTTTTTTAATTGAAGGGTAGAAGATTGAAATTACTTTGGTAACGATTTAAAAAAAAAATGTGTACTCTCAGTGAATAAACACCGAGAACAAAAGAATCCATCTACAAAAATGACAGCGGGAATTGGAAATGAGGCATGAGGAAATAGCTGAATTACCAATTACCTCGCAACAATCTTTATAAAAGAAAAGCTAGAGCACTACCCAAATGAGTTATCATATTTCCTGATATGATTTTGGAGTTAAATTGTATTAAGGCAAAATTGTGGGAAGGAGTCAATGATTCTTAAGCTATGTGAAGCAACACAGACAAAAGCACCTTGTTTATCTAAGAACATTAAAAAAAAAGTATTTGAAAAGGAATTCTGGGCTGTTATAGTTAAGGGGCTGAATCACGCAAGGCTTTAGAGTGAAAATATTGTAAATATGATTACGCTGGAGTTAGCATAAGAAAAGAAAATTTGAAAAACAGATTTAAAATAACTCTACCATACAAACCTCGAGGAGAAAAAGATTTTCTTAATTTCCTTATTTCCAAATTTATTTTAATATTTTTTAGTCTATGGAGTAAAACCAAAATTTAACAGTTAATGTAAAAAAAAATCTTAATCTACTGGTAGAAACTTGTAAATTTATAATGAGAAAACAGAATTTTTTTCTAAAATAAAATGATTAAGCAAACTATAGTAATTTGGCCGAAGTTTGTATTGATCAAAATGACAGTAATTTATGGTTTTCAAAATTATGCATTGAGAAGAGGAAAAAAGAGGGGTGGGGACAAGAATGGCAATGTCATATTTGTAATTAAATGTATTTAGAGAAGCCAGCTACCACTAGCACCTTTTTCAATTATCATGAATTAATAATTTTAATATTTCATAATATACACGTCCTACATTACACCAAGCTTAGTTTTCTGGCAGGCACTGAATAATAAAATATCTTTGGAGACTCACAGGGTAAATCTCTGAGAAGTGTCAGTATATGCTAATAGAAACGGGCATCGGATTGAACCTGGGCAGGTTGCATTTAATTTGTAGCCTCCATAAACACCAGGCCCATTCTTTTTACAGCCTCCATTTGTCATTTTGAACGGATGCCGGGAGCTCCAGCTTTCTCCTTCCTGCTGCTAGACCAGCTTGTCAGACACCTCAGGCGAGAAGCCATATTGCTTTCATTATCTTCCTGGGGTGGATCACAATGTCAAGTGCAGGTGAACATTAAATAATTGCTCGTGGATGACGAGTGCCAGGATCATACCTGGGCAACACTGTGAAGTAGACCAAGTTTCCCTTAGAGAGTCCTAGGATTCTTGTTTTGTTTTTGAAATTTTTTTTAGCCCACTCCACTTCTCCTTTTAGGCATCCACTGGCCTATGATTCCCTAGCACCTACCTACATTCTACCGTCTCCCACTGCGGAGCAGATGCTGCCATGCGTGGCCCATCCTCCCCAGAACTTCCCTTTGACCTGCCTGCCCACTTCCAAGTCAGTGCCAGGACTCTTTGCCCATGGCTGTCTCTCTGAAGTCCAAAGTGGAAGCAGAAGACAAATGCACTCTACATCCTCTGCCAGCCTGTCACCAATGACAGGAGTTGATAATAAACTGAATAAATACTCTATCTCCCTTATGTACTCTTGTAGGATAACTTGAGACATGTTTCGTATTGCACCCCAGAGGTTCCCAGGTACATACAGAAGCTGTGCTGGCTCCCTGCCCTCGTCTCTCTCAGTCTCCAGGTCCGCATCGTCTCCTAAATAAACTTGTCCTGAATTCCTTTTCCCAGGGTCAGCTTCTAGCAGCACTGAGACCTAGTCAATCAAAACTTGATATCATTAAATGGAATAAGGTCCCTTATACCTTAACATGTATTTGGGCCATGTTTGAAACCCCATCTCTACTAAAAATAGAAAAAAACTTAGCCGGGCGTGGTGGCAGGCGCCTGTAGTCCCAGCTACTCGGGAGGCTGAGGCAGGACAACGGCGTGAACCCGGGAGGCGGAGCTTGCAGTGAGCCGAGATTGCGCCACTGCACTCCAGCCTGGGCGACAGAGCGAGACTCCGTCTCAAAAATAAATAAATAAATAAATAAATAAATAAATAAATAAATAAGAAAGAAAAAGAAATCTCCCTACGAGGAATACGCACTCCTCTTTTTTAAAAACAGACATGAGTAAGCAGGTGAATAAAAGACACTTTATAGGGGAAGGTTTTCTTTTTTTTAATTATTTTATTTGAGATGGAGTCTCGCTCTGTCACCCAGCCTGGAGTGCAATGGCGCGATCTCAGCTCACTGAAACCTCTGTCTCCCGAGATCAAGCGATTCTCCTGCCTCAACCTCTGGAGTAGCTGGGACTACAGGCGCCCGCCATCTCGCCCGGCTTTGTGTCTGTGTGTGTGTGTGTGTGTGTGTGTGTGTGTGTGTGTGTGTGTGTGTGTGTGTGTAGTTTTAGTTGAGACGGGGTTTCACCATATTAGCCAGGCTGGTCTCCAACTCCTGACCTTATGATCCGCCCACCTCGGCCTCCCAAAGTGCTGGGATTACAGGCATGAGCCAACCGCGCCTGGCCTAGGGGAAGGTTTTTACATAAGGAATAAGCAATTTCCTTCTGTATTCCTCCTACAGAGCTATCTCTGATCATCAAAACATGAGATTCAACTACTTGAACTAAGGATAACATGTTCCTTTTCAAGTGGTCAGATCTCAACTGTTCTCATTCTTCAAGTAGACACTGACCCCTCTTAAATAACTCATAAGAGTGGGGTAGGTTTGAAAACATTTCACTTAAACACATCAATAAGTCCACCAAGGAAAGACTCAACTAAGATTGAGGTTTCTGACAGTTCTTCAGTCAATCTAATCAATGTGGGCAGTTTACCTGGGCAATTCAAACAACTATCCCAATTCAGACCAGTGGTTCTCAATCTTAAGAGTGCATCAGAATCACCTGGAGGGCCTGTGAAAACACAGATTTTCTGTTTCAATGGGTCTGGAATGGGGCCGAGAATTTGCATTTCTAACAGGTTCTCAGGTGATGCTGATGTTGTTAGTTGAAGAAGCATGCATTGAAAACCAGAGCTAATATGTGGCAGATAATTCTCATATTCTTCTCTCAGTGTTTCAATTCAGCAGACTCTTGCATTTCCTTCAGTAAACACTTAGTCCAAGAGCAGAAACTCTATTCCTAGGATTTTCCTCCTTTTTGCTTTACTGGCTGTCTGAAAGGCAATGCCATTACTTTGCAACTGATCTTTAATGTAAGTTTTTCCAGTATTCTTTCTTTCCTGCTAAACTCACATTCTCCTTTAAGACATCACTCTGTATAGTAAAAGTAAATTATCTACATTCATTTTACAGTGAAGGTAATTTTCTGCCAGGCACTGAGTATGACAGACGGGGTCCTCATTTTTAGTTGTATTTGCGTTATTTTGCGCTGCTCTAGCTTATAAATGGACAAAAATAAAATGTCATAATAATCATAATGGATATGTCTCAAAATGATGCATTTTAGGTTTATTGGCAAATATGACATTAGGCAATCTGTTGAAAGTGTTGCCTTCTATATAGAAATGAGAAACCAAAAATAAAGGACCTTCAGGTTATTTTAATATTAACAACTTGAAGGGAAAAATTATCAAATGCAAAGATCTTTAACAAAAAGAACTGATGCAGGTTACTACTTTCTCATTGCTTTCCTTTAACCTCATATGTAAGTTATTGCTTATACTCTATTTCGCAATATATTTAAGATAATATAACTAAAAGGCAATTATTAAGGAAAAGATCAACAAAGAAAAGAATGCATAAGAGACAGTTTCTTTAAGACTCAAGAACATGATGTTTCAGGTGGACCAGACAAAAATTATAAAAACAATTTGGTTTTCAGAAAATAAAACAATGAAGTAATACCAACTTGCTTTGACATAACTCCATTGTGGAAACTTTGTTGGTATTTACCAGGCAATTCATCCCATGTGACTACCTGACAGTGTGATAATAAAAATCACTCATTCCAAATCCTTTTTCTTTTCATATTCCTTTGCCTCTGTTAAGTATTGTTGACACATAAGACTTTTAAAAAAAACCATATATTTGTGCCCAATGGCATATAATGATACATATTCCTTTCAGGGGCATCTACAGAGTTGCTTCTATTTACAGTAGAAGTCTCTATGTAAATGCTGGCTGTAAAGTCAATTTCTGGCTGCAGCTGTCTCTTCAGGTAGATGATGAAGCATTCCATGTGTCATGCTCCTTGGTCATCACCCATATGCAGGCTCACTGCTCCTTGAACAAGAGGTTCTTCAGTTTGCATCAAATAAGTGACTCCCTGCTCCCTTAAGTCTTGCTAATATTCTGGATGACGCCTTGTGGATTTTCCGTCTGCAAGCCAACTACTTTTTGCTCAACTTTCAGCTTATGCTTATCAAAATATTCTAATTATTTGCCTTTTAAAAATTACAATCTGGCCGGGCACAGTGGCTCACTCCTGTAATCCCAGCACTTTGGGAGGCTGAGGCGGGTGGATCACCTGAGGTCAGGAGTTTGAGACAGCCTGGCCAATGTGGTAAAACTCTGTTTCTACTAAAAATAAAAAAATTAGTTGGGCGTGGTGGCGGGCGCCTGTAATCCTAGCTACTCGGGAGGCTGCGGCATAAGAATCACTTGAACCTGGGAGGCGGAGGTTGCAGCGAGCCGAGATCATGCCACTGCACTCCAGCCTGGGTGACAGAGTGGGACTTTGCCTCAAAAAACAAAACAAAAAAAAATTACAGTCTAATTGTTACGTAGGTAATTGCTTGAAAAATATAATTTCCTTGAAAAATGCCATGTGGATTTATGCCATAAGCCTGGTTGTTGTTAATAAAGTGGCCAGTGTCTCCGAAGCCAGTTTAATGACTCTCTTTCTCTTCCTGAGTCCGGATGTGATCCGATTATCTTCTTTCATTGAATTATACCACTCTTTAAGCCCAAATGAAAAGTTGTCCCAATAAGCCACTATTCTCTTTCCTTGATGATTGTGTTTGGAGGTGATTACACTTGTGAACTCAGAAAGAAGCCTACACACAGAGCCCTTGTTGAAATGAAGGAAGTTGAAGGTAATGGAAGAAATTGGCATTTATCTAATAAACTTCTCATAGAAGCATGTGTCCAGATGCAAACATACATACATTTTTCTGTTCTTTGGCATTACGACTTGTAACACTGTTAGCTCCATTCCTTGCTAGATCCCAGAAGACATGCAGATATGAAGATGATAGTGGCTGCAGTTGCTCCAGGAGGCCATGCGTACTTGGTTAATTTGGTTGAGGCCAAATTGCATTTACCTTAGATCCCTATAACTGCCCTCTACTCCAATTACTAAAATTGTGGAACTATAGGGAGAGCTAAGTTATAAGAAACAACATTTACCCTCCAGCCACATAACTTGTCTTTGACCCAGTACATCCTTTCTCTTTTTGCATCCTGATAATTTCATCTGACTGTTATCGAATTTTGTTATGGGCATGAAATGCCCCTTAGTTTCCAACACTGTTTCTCAAAATAGTACTTATGAAAGAAGAAATATGTCATGTAGATGGTCATTTATAAAATCTGAATGATTCAACTAATTACTGTTTTTTTTCTTTTTATTTTACATTGACTACTACAAATATGCAGAGTAATGCATAGGCTAGAATATCTAACATCTAATTATTTTTACTTGCTAACATATACGCCACTTTTTGTGTAGGATATATTTTGTAAGGTACTTCTTTTCGTATTTACAAAAGTGAGTCTATGAGACCCAAACAAAACAATGCAAAAAGAGGTGATGGCACTTGCAGTTCTTCCATCACAACGTATTATAATATCATATAAGATACAGCATTACTATGTTGTATAATGATACATTGATATTTACAGCAGTACATTATGATAGAGCAATCCTCATTTATCCAAGGTAATTGGAAATGGAGTATTTGTATCTTCTCCTAAATGCTTCTGATCCTCAGGGCTTGGTCCCAAGCTTCTTCACTTTTTTCTCTCTCTACATTCTCTTTCCTAGATCAACTTAGCCATCTATGACTTTAAATATCATCTATATGATATTTCCTAAATTTAGATCTCCAGTTCTTACCTTGCCTCTGAATTCCAAATTTGTATTTCCCATTATTTTGTATATTTCCATTTTAGTGTCATAGGCCTTCTTAATCTCAAACTGAAATCTGCATTCCCTCCTCTCCCCGGCTGCTCAAACCTGTTCCACACCTTGTCTTCCCCCTTTTAGTAATGGCAACACTATCCCCTTTAGATGCTCAAACCAGATAATTCGAATTCATCTTTCATTTTTTTTTCCCCTCGCAACCTCCATATTTTATATACACCACACTTTATTTAATCATCACTGTCACTATTTTGAACCATCGCTTATCTCACCTATTTTAAAAATCCCAACTGGTGCACCACCATTTCTACTCCAACCAATTTTCAACATGGCAGAGTAATCTGAAAATCGACAGCATCATCACTTTAAAGTCCTGTAATGGCATTCATTGACTGCCTCCTTCCACTGCACTATGTTCCATTCTATCTTTCTCTCTGTCTCTCTTATGCCATCAACAACAATCCTATGGAGCCAGGATCTCCCTCTGTCACCCTGGTCGGAGTGCAGTGGCACAATCCTAGCTTCCGGCAGCCTTGAACTCCTGGGCTCAAGCGTTCTTCCCATCTCAGCCTCCTAAGTAGATAGGACTACAGATGCATTCCACCATGCCCAGCTAATTTTTAATTTTTTGCAGATATGGGGTCTCGCTATGTTGCCAAGGTTTGTGCTGAACCCTTGTCCTCAAGCAATCCTCCACCTCAGCTTCCCTAAGTGCTGGGATTACAGGTGTGAACTACTATGCCTGGCACTAAAATATATTTAATAAAAAGTATAAAAACAAAACACAAGAATTAACAAATGTTGAGGAATTTGAAAACAAATTATATTTGATATTAAAACCATACCAAAAAAAGGGGAACTTTTTTGATGATTTAGAAGGTATATCTGTATCACAAAGCATCTCAGTGCATCATATTGATTTTTAGGCATCCATGGCAGCTATACAATGTAGGATCTTTGGGTTCGATCTCACTTGCCCCTCTAGAATATTCTACATTTAAAAAATATCTTGTGTAAGATCATTTAGATTGATTTTTACTTTTACATAAGTTGAAAAAGCAATGTCAGCTGTTTGACCAAACTTGACTAAATTTTGAGAAAGTAAGGGAAATAATAATACTGAGTAGTTTTCAGACTCATAAGCACTGGGGCAGTGCTCCTGGAAAGACAACTGGGAAATACAAGACGTGGTTCTAACTGTTCTCAAACTGATGTCTCATCCTAAGATTGATCGTGATGCTCTTGAAAAACACCCTATGACCCCAACACAGCCCACGGATACATTCATTTATTGGCTTGTACAACTACTAAAAGTTACTTCCAATATGGTGACCCATGCTTCAGGCATGATAACCACAAAATAAAATGAAAAAAAGAAGGAAGGAAGATGGTGTTTAGCCTCTGGGTGATTCAGAGAAACTGTATCTGGCAGCAGCACGTTGTGAAAACAACTTTTATCACCATCAAAACTGGACTCCAGGGGAGATCTGATATACTCACCATTATTTGGGCTCTCAGATGTTCAAAAGTTGAAGCACGGTAGACTGCTAAAAAGATAAAGTCTGGGCTGTGCTTGTTTTCATTTCTCCCTACATGCTTTTCAAGATCTCATCTCATTTCCTTTCCCTCTTTTGAGTGTGATTTCTGCCTTTTATTTTTTTTCCCCCTAAACAGACAGAGGTCCTTGCATTTAGCACTGTTTTGGCTTCCTGGAAAGTCTTTATATTCAGTCCTCAGCGGTAAACACACTTCTTCAATCTCTCCAAGTAAGACTAAACATAAAACCAAGTAGTAAGGTTTTTATCTACCCAGAGCAATTGGTGATATTTGTGAGGTGGGGTAAGGAAGGAGATTGGAAAATGACAAAAAAAACCTTTATTTTTTAACGTCATTTTCTATTACCAATATATATAGCTGCATTTCAGTATTACTATAATAATGAAGAGATGACAAATTTGTAGGTAAATGATAAAATTCTTCAGGGTTATATTTAAGTATACAGAATAGAGTTTGACCACAGAATCTACGAATTTTTAAGTTTCTATCTCTATTTTTCTGAAGGTTTAAGAGGTATGCCATACATGTAGTCCATGTGATGGGTTGGTTGTCTTTGTCCTTTTCTTTTTCTTTCTTTTTTTTGAGATGGGGTCTCACTCTGTGACCCAGGCTGCAGTGCAGTGATGCGATCTCAGCTCACTGCAACCTCCGCCTCCCAGGCTCAAGCGATTCTCCCACCTCAGTCACCCAAGTAGCTGGGACTAGCAGCACGCAATACCATGCACGATTATGGTTCTGTCTCTTAAACAGTTTGTAATCATGAGATTTTAAAATCTAAAGCCTTTTTATCATTCACAGACTTAATAGATATTCACAAATATCCTACAATCTTTCCACTTATAACCTATACCTGGGTAATGAAATAATAAGTAAAGGCAGATATGGCTTAGGTCTTCTGGGTCTTACCATCTACTAGGGAAGACAGGCAGAGAAGCCAGAAAGCAAATAAAACTAATGAAAAGTTGCAACAGAGACAAAAGTCGTCGCTCTGTTATGATGCTATGATGGGAGCATCTGACCCAGGTAAAGTTGATAAGGAACTCTTCCCTGTGGAAAGGACATTTTACTGACATCTAAAAGATGAAGAGAAAAAAATTGTATCTGGCAAAAGACCAGCATACATCAGAAAAGAGCCTGTCAAGTTCAGGGGATGGAAGACCTGTATGATCATTGATCTGAATGGGGATGGTGGTAGGCAAGTGGGGTATGAAATGTGTCTGAAGGGAGGGAGAGCAGGCAGATCATATATGGCCTTATAGGCTATGCTCAGGAGTTTTGTCTTTAAGCGTACAGAGAGATTCCTAATGTGTTTTAAATCTGCAGGCCAGATATAAGGTGTGTGTCTTGAAGAGCCCTTTGGTTACAGTGTAGAGAAAAGGCCACTAGCGGCCAGGGAGGATGAGAATAGCCATATGAAGAGACCACTGTAATGGTCAAGAGAGCAATAGGGATTTGGAATTGGAGGTGCTGAGGGTAGAAAAAGGCAGAATGATTTGAGGGATATTCCGGAGGCAAAATGAGCCAGACTTGGTGCAGACTAGAAATCAGAGGCAAAGGAGAAGGTGTGGAGGATGCTTCCTGTATCCTTCACAATATTTAACATAAATTACATTTGATAAAGGAGATGAAGAGAATAGGATGTTGACACAGTGCTATAAGATTTTTATACTAAGCATAAATATTCATATTTGTTTACAGAAATAAAGTACTTTCTTAGGCATATTTAAGTGAATAAAAATTGTCCACTGGACTAACTTGGCAGCACAAAATGTAATGAGCTCATTCACAGTAACTTTCTGAGAAACAAAAGGCTCTGAAATTTTTTACATGTAGAGAAATAGTAAAATATAGTATTAGTTCCTTAAACATCGATTTTCTTTTAATTAATCACTAACCAAAAATTAAAAAAAAAAACCGTTGGAATCAAATATCAACACCCAAGTAACTGACAAAAGAATTCTCATTAGTATTAGTACAACTTTCTGAAATAAAGCTACCGAAGGCTAGGCAGATAATTTGTTTTGAAGTGTAACATCTTAGCAATTATAATAGCAAAAACATTGTATTCTTTTATGTGGAATAAAGTGAATAAAGTATAACTGAAATGATTAGTGAAAAAAGTAAAATACATCATTCTACTTCAAGGATTTTGTTAACCATTGCTATACTTTTCTTAAGTTTTATGTTTATAAACTATGTACAAGAGTGAAATAGAGCTCTAGGCTTCAGTCGATCAAACATCAATTCAAGCTACTCTCTAATGTAGTGTAGTAGGTACAGAATAAACACCAGTTAAGAAACATTCCAACCAGGTTCTTGTTCCATATGTTCTATATGGGATGTACACCTTGATTTTCTACCTGCCAATCATATCTGTTATTTCAAAAACTAAATTTATAATTCATTTTTTCAAGGAAAGTTACATGTATTCCTCTCTTGCCAAATATTTGACATGCAGTAAAAATTGCATCTTATACTTGTTTTTATTCTTTAATTTTTATATATCTAGCGTCCAACTAATTTTATGCATTCAAAATAACTTTCATTTTCTTCTCAGTTTTTGGTAGTGCGTTTAGCATCTAAAAACAATTAGGCCGATGCTGTAGCTCATGCCTGTAATCCTAAAGCTTTGAAAGGCCAAGGCAATAGGACTGCTTGAGGCCAGAAGTTCAAGACCAATCTGGGCAACATAGCTAGACCATGTCTCTACATGAAATTAAAAAACTAGCCAGAAATGGTGATGCACAGCTGTAGTCCCAGCTACTTGGGAGGCTGAGACAAGAGGATCACTTGATCCTAGAAGTTTTAGGCTGCAGTGAGCTATGATCACACCACTACACTCCAGCTTGGGTGACAGAGCAAGGCTTCATCTAAAAAAAATAAAATAAAAACAATTAAAGCACAATAGATAAATGAATGAATTATTGAAGGAATTATCTTTATCTTGCAGGGGAATTAATGGTTTATCCTAAATTTGTTTTGTTTTGTTTTCATTGTGACAAGCTAAAGAAAAGATTTAGATATCTACAAAATGTTTAGTTACCAATTTTTGTGCCATTATTAGGAGATTTATTTTGTTTATGTTATATTAGTAGTATGAAAACTTGATGAATGTATAAACATATTGATTAAAAAGGAACCAAGCATTCCAGGAAATACATAAAAGACAACAACCATTAAAAATTTTCTACAGAATTGCATTTTGGAACAACCCTTTCTCATGTAGTATTTCAGTTAACGGGAAAAGAAAGATGAGGTAAATATTGAATGTGAAATTAGGGGTCCTATGTCCAAATTTCAGATCTGCAGCTAAGCATCAATATTTCCAAGCATAAGTCATTTCATTCTGAGGAACATGAGATTTATTGAAGATGAAAGACCAGTAAACTGGCTTTCAGACATGTTTCAAAATAAACATGGTGAATTTCAAACTTTTCCTTCCTTTTTCCTTCCTTCCCTTTTCAATAAAATTATGTGAACACTTGCTATAATTTGTTGAGTGCATATATGCATACACATTAAGTTAGAAGTAAACATGTCACTTTGACTCCAGGGAAGCTAGGATTGGAAGATTCCCCATTTCTTCAATCTTTATGAGTAAATCGAAAGACATTCCGAAGATAAGGATTTCAGCCAACTTGGAAATCTACAGCTTCCATCTGTTTTAGTACTTGCTATTGTCATAGTGTTTCTTGGCAACTGAACTTCCACTTTTGAAAGTAAACCTTGCTTTGAGTGCTACTAGAGAATTGGGATAAAACTTCCACAGGTGCTAAGAAAAAGAAAAACAAAAACGTATGCAATAACGTATGAGCCAAATTTTCCAGAGAATTAATAGAAGATGCACTAACAAGGGCAATTAATACATATGCAAGAAAGAATACAATAAAACGGCCATTGATTAACCATATAGCCTTCATTACTGTAAGTTATAGATAATCCTAGAAACAGTGTGGCACTTTAAACATTTTTTGATATGTGGCATCATATGGCTTATTTTTTAAAATCACATATTACATATATTTATCTGAGGATTTACAGTCATATACAGACAAATATGTGAGTGGTAAATAAACCAACTAGACGATGAACTAAGATTTTCCTTACAGTTACATGAGATTGCTTGTTTTTGTTGTTTTGTTTTCATTGTCATTTTATTTTTATTTTTAATTATTATGAATATATAATAGTTGTATATATTTATAGGGTACATGTGATATTTTGATACAAGCATAGAATATGTAATGATCAAATCAGGGTAATTGTGGTATCATTTCCTTGTGTTAGGAACATTCTAATTCCACTCTTTCAGTTATTATGAAATATACAATATGTACAATCAATTATTGTTAACTATAGTTGCCCTATTGTGCTACAAAACACTAGATCTTATTCCTTCTATCTAACTGTATTTTTGTACCCATTAGCCATTTCTTCTTAATCTCCCCCTCCCCACTACCCTTCTAGCCTCTGTTGACTTTTATTTTAATTTTGGAAATGTTTTATCCACCATTTGAATTTCTTATAGTCTTATATTCTTAACACACATACAAACATTCAAGTACCTGAGAGACTCACACATAGAACAAACTCTAGGCATTCATTCATTCATTCTGCAAGTGCCTATCATCCCCAAGTATTGTACAAAGGACATACAAAAATGCAAGTAATTTTCTAGATTCTAAAATTGTATCAAAGAGTAGAAGAGACAGAAGTAAGCCCATAAGTTATAAGAAAGTGTGTATGTCATATAACAGCAGTACACACAGGAAGTAATGGCGCACAGAGGAAGGAGTTCTCTACAGTTCTGAAAATGGAGAAGGCTGGGCATGGTGGCTCGTGCCTGTAATCCCAGCACTTTGGGAGGCCAAGGCAGGCGGATCACCTGAGGTCGGGAGTTCAAGACTAGCCTGACCAACATGGAGAAACCCCATCTCTACTAAAAATACAAAATTAGCTGGGCGTGGTGGCGCATGCCTGTAATCCCAGCTACTCAGGAGGCTGAGGCAGGAAAATCGCTTGAACCTGGGAGGCAGGGGTTGCAGTGAACCGAGATCATACCACTACACTCCAGCCTGGGTGACAGAGTGAGACTCCGTCTCAATTAAAAAAAAAAAAAAAGAAAAAGAATATGGAGGAGAAACAGTAGATAGGGATAAAGCAATACTTTTGTGTGTATGTGTGTGTGTGTGTGTGTGTGTGTGCTATTAGTGCTTTGCTTGAGTTTACTTAATATGATACACATACATCCATATATATATATATATATATATATATAATTGCATTTTGGATCCTGAAGTATATGATACAGACTTTGCAGCAAAACTGTAAACAAAACCTAAAATAAAAACAACAGAAAAAAACTTTGCATAATTTGCCTAAGAGAAACCATAAGCAATAAAGGATCTAAAATTCAAGATTTCAGGGTTTAGGAGTTGTCAGTGCTACCTGAAGATCATTAACAGTCTTTTAAAGGTAAATCACAGGCCGGGCTTGGTGGCTCACACCTGTAATCCCAGCACTTTGGGAGGCCGAGGTGAGTGGATCACAAGGTCAGCAGTTCGAGACCAGACTGGCCAACATGGTGAAACCCCGTCTCTACTAAAAATACAAAAAAAAATAAGCCGGGCATGGTGGCGGGCGCCTGTAATCCCAGCTACTCAGGAGGCTGAGGTAGGAGAATCACTTGAAACCGGAATGCAGAGTCTGCAGTGAGCCACGATCACAACACTGCACTGCAGCCTGGGTAAAAGAGCGAAACTCCGTCTCAAAAAAACAAAAAACAAAAACAAAGGTAAATCACAATATCCATTCAAGAAAAACAACAAATATGCTAATTATAATATTTATGCACTATCTTTGGTAATATTAAATTATGAAAAATGAATAATATGAAAGTGAACAAAGAGCAAACTTCCTTCTTCCAAAAAAAGTGAACTTCTTAATGTAATCTGCTGTAGTTTGCTTTAATTATATAATCACAGCCATTACTTAAAAGCTAAAAAAGACTCAGAAAAAGAAACACCCAGTAGGAGTTAAACACTGTATAAATAACCTTGGAAGTAATGAGGCTTATTAAAACGAGTAAATTAAAAATTGAAGCCCAATATGCGAAATGGTAAATGTGATTTTAGCAGAACAGCATAAAATTCTTCATCACATGTCATCATAAAGCTCTCCTTTTGGGAGAGGGGGTTATTTACATCGATGGTGCAATATAATTGGAAGGAGTAGACTTCCAGCCAATGGTTTGTCTCCCTTCTTTAAAGCTCAACAACAATTTGTTGTCAGCACCAGCCTGTCATTAATATTCTGTCCTTTAGTCAAGTTACCTGTTTATTTGTCTCCTGCCTTTTTTACATCCTCTGACTTGGACAAAATCAAATGCACATTGAAGGCACAACTCTCGTGTTCTCGATCTAGGTTTTGCCCTTGGCGCAAGACCCCATTGAACATCTCATAAGAGAAGGTGCCTGTGAGTTGGGCTCCGAAATATTAAGAGAGGTCTCCTGGTGCCAAGAGGAAAACCCAACACAGACAGAGCACAGGGAAAGGGTGAGATACAACACATGGTTCAATGTGGTTAGAGTGCTGCCAGAGGAGTGGAAGTGCAGCCCTCTAGGAATGCTTTGAGAGTGAGACTGGAAATACGAGAGCCTGATCCCAGGCTACTTATTCTATGGCAAGGCAGAACCACTGACAGATTTTAAGCAAGAGACTGACCACATTTAGTCACTGATTTAACTCAGAAAATGGCAAAAAAAAAAAAAAAAAAAAAAAAAAGTGAGAGAGAAATACATTATTCTGCACTTTCTGGTTTGTGTTATCAGAAAAATGAGTTCATTTAATGCATGAAGTGAAATGAAGAGATGACCTCACATCACACACCAGGGACTGTTGTGAGGTTGTGGTAGGGGGAAGGGATAGAATTAGGGGATATACCTAATGCTAAATGACGAGTTAATGGGTGCAGCACACCAACATGGCACATGTATACATATGTAACAAACCTGCACGTTGGGCACATGTATCCTAAAACTTAAAGTATAATAATAATTAAAAAAACAGGCAATAAAAAAAAGAATATCTCCTATAAAAAAAAAGAAACAAAATGCCAATGATTGGCAGGTTTATTTAATGACTGAAATGGGGAATCATGAGGAGGTACACATTAGGACAGGGGAAAAAGTTATGATTTGAACATCGTAAGGTTTGAGATGCTCTTTTGCCAGCTAGGTATGCCACTGTAAAAAGGCTATTTTAACTCTCTAGTTTTCTCATTACAAAATGGGAATAATAACAGAGTTGATGTGAGGATTAAATAATTCAGCAAATTAAGAGTACTTAGAATAGTGTCTGACATCTAGAAAGGCCAAGAATGTTAACATGTATTGCTAGTATCATCAGCAGCAATGTGTGGAGCTACCTGTGGTCAACCTAACACATACATTTGATTTTCAGGGGATTATTTTCAGTGCTTTTCTTCCATGGCCTCGGGGTTGATCTTTGAACTCTCTTTTCTTTTGGCTTCCTAGTAAGGAGATATATGCTCCTGCTCTTCTTGTATCTTCTCATTCTTTTTATATTAACTCTTCCTGCACCCATCTTTCAAACGTTGGTGAGTCCAGCATTATGTCTCTGGAAGTTGGACATGAAAAATTTTTGAATCCTTAAAATGGTATAAAAGTGTTATGGGTTTTCTATGACAAACCCACAGCCAACATAATACTGAATGGGGAAAAGTTGAAAGCATTTCCTCTGAGAACTGAAACAAAACAAGGATGCCCACTCTCATCACTCCTCTTCAACATAGTGCTGGAAGTCTTAGCCAGAGCAACCAGACAAGAGAAAGAAATAAAGAGCATCCAAATCAGTAAAGAGGAAGTCATACTGTCACTCATTGCTGACGATATGATTGTTTACCTTGAAAACCCTAAAGACTCCTCCAGCAAGCTCCTAGAACTGATAAAAACAATTCAGCAAAATTTCTGGATACAAGATTAATGTACACAAATCAGTAGCTCTTCTATACACCAACAGCGACCAAGCAGAGAATCAAATCAGGAACTAAACCCCTTTTACAATAGCTACAAAAAAAAAATACTTAGGAATACACCTAACCAAGGAGGTGAAAGACCTCTACAAGGAAAATTACAAAACACTGCTGAAAGAAATAGATGACACAAACAAATGGAAACACATACCATGCTCATGGATGGGCACAATCAATATTGTGAAAATGACCATACTGCCAAAAGCAATCTACAAATTCAATGCAATTCCCATCAAAATACCACCATCATTCTTCCCAGAATTAGAAAAAAAAAATCTAAAATTCATATGGAACCAAAAAGAGCCTGCATAGCCAAAGCAAGACTAAGCTGAAAGAACAAACCTGGAGGCATCACACCACCTGATTTCAAACTATACTATAAGGCCATTGTCACCAAAACAGTGTGATACTGGTATAAAAATAGGCACATAGACCAATGGAACAGAATAGAGAACCCAGAAATAAACCCAATACATACAGCCAACTGATCTTTGACAAAGCAAACAAAAACATAAAGTGGGGAAAGGACATTCTTTTCAACAAATGGTGCTGGGATAATTGGCTAGCCACATGAAACTGGATCCTCATTTCTCACCTTATACAAAAATCAACTCAAGATGGATTAAGGGCTTAAATCTAAGTCGTGAAACTATAAAAATTCTCAATGATAACATTGAAAAAACCCTCCTAGACATTGGCTTAGGCAAGGATTTCATTATCAGGAACCCAAAAGCAAATGCAATAAAAACAAAGATAAATAGTTGCGACTTAATTAAACTAAAGAGCTTTTGTACAGCAAAAGAACAGTCAGCAGAGTAAACAGACAAACCACAGAGTGGGAGAAAATCTTCACAATCTATACATCTGACAAAGAACGAATATCCAAAATCTACAACAGACTCAAACAACTCAGTAAGAATAAAATAATCCCATCAAAAGTGCCCTAAGGACATGAATAGACAACTCTCCAAAGAAGATACAAAAATGGCCAACCAACATGTGAAAAAATGCTCAACATCACCAATAATTAGGGAAATGCAAATCAAAACCACAATGTGATACCACCTTACTCCCACCAGAATGGCCATAATCAAAAAATCAAAAGACAGTAGATGTTGGCATGGATGCGGTCATCAGGGAACACTTCTACACTGCTGGTAGGAATGTAAACTAGTACAGTCACTATGTAAAACAGTGTGGAGATTACTTAAAGAACTAAAAGTACTACCATTTGATCCAGCAATCTCATTACTGGGCACCTACCCAGAGGAAAAGAGGCCAGTACATGAAAAAGATACTCGCACATGCATGTTTATAGCAGCACAATTCACAATTGAATGATCGTGGAACCAACACAAATGCCCATCAATCAATGAGTGGATAAAGAAACTGTGATATATATATATATGTGTGTGTGTGTGTGTGTGTGTGTGTGTGTATACACACATATATAATGGAATACTACACAGCCATGAAAAGGAATGAATTAATGGCATTTGCAGTGAGCTGGAAGAAATTGGAGACTATTATTCTAAATGAAGTAACTCAGGAATGGAAAACCAAATATTGTATGTTCTCATTGATGTGTGGGAGCTAAGCTATGAGGATGCAAAGGCATACAATGGACTTTGGGGATTTGGAGGGAAAGGTGAGAGGTGGCGAGGGATAAAAGACTACAAATACGGTGCAGTGTATATTGCTTGGGTGATAGGTGCAGGGTGCACCAAAATCTCACAAATCACCACTAAAGAATTTAGTCATGTAACCAAATACCACCTGTACCCCAATAACCTACAAAAAAGTAAAAAATATTTTTGAAAAATTCTTATGGGTTCAGTTGTGTCTCCAAAGTTTTGTCGGACCTCACGATGAAATCATATATATAAAAGTTGGGGGAGCACTCATGTATTAGTTAAGATGAAGTCTTAGTAGGTTAGGGTGGTCCCCTAGTCTTAAGTGACTGCTGTCCTTTTAAGAAGAGGGCAGACACAAAAAGAGAAGACTGCCATGTGACAACAAAGGCAGAGATTGGAGCGATGCAGCTGCAAGCCAAGGTATAGGATTGACAGCCACCACAAGGAGCCAAGAAAAGTCAAGAAAGAATCCTCCCCTGCAGGTTTCAGAGGGAGCATGCCCCTGCAAACACCTTGACTTCAAACTTCTAGCCTCCAGAAGCACAAAACAATATATTTCTGTTGTTTTAAAGTATCCCATTTATATCATTGTCATGCAAACTCTAGGAAACTAATGTAGACATTTTTATAAGAGTGTGCTTTTTTCTTAAAAGAAGGTCCTTAGCTTTCATCAGATTCTCGAAAGAACTTGAAACTCTTGAACTCTCTTCTGAGGGTCCTATTTGCTCCTGTGATTTAAATTATAACCCGAATGTCACTGTCTCTCAAATCTGTACCACCAATCCAGACCTCTCTTTAGCTCTAGAACTTTACGTCTACTTGAAATCTCCACTCACACATCCCAAATTGAATTGAAGGTATAGTGAATCATCATTATATTCCCCATTTCAGTAAATGATGCCACCATTTGCTCATCTGTTCAACCTCAACTCTGAACAGGCTTCCAGGATCCATAATTCAATTCATCAATAAGACTTATTAGCTTGATCTGTAAAATGGATCTTGAATCTACCTGTCTTCCATCTTTGCTGTCACTGACCTAGGCCTGTTACTTTCATAAATTTCTCTGTGGGAATAATGCAATTGCCTCCCTTGATGGTCTCCTTGCTTCTTCTTTTGTCCTTCTGATGTCTATTTTTGCACTCATGTGCCAGGGCAGAGATTAGAATGAGTGAAGTTAAGCAAGGAGTGTGCCCAGGATCAGCAACTGTGGTAGAAAGGAGCAAAGCAGGATTTTAGAGAAGAGTCAGGCTTTGAAATTTTGGGTGACAAAGTCAATCTGCTTTACCCAGGACTTTCCTACTTTTAGCACTGAAAGTCTCATGTCCTGGGAAACCCCTCATCTATGGGAAAACTGTCACTGCAGTCACCTAACTGCAGTGGCTAACCAGTCTAACTAGTGGTAACAAGGTGTAAACTCACCCTATGGGCACCTGTGAAGTTGGACTGGTCTCCTTCAGAATTGCACCTGGAGTGTTACTGTCCCTCTTTGGGGTGTGGAGGCTGAGCTTTCTCTCTCTGCATTAGACATAGGACGTTCCAGGGAAGTTGGCATGACCTACTTAAGGTGGCACTTTCCATCAGAAGGTAACTCTTGGGGAGGGCTTACAGCTGAGGTCTATCACCCAGCAGGTCTCTCAGGTTGGGGACTAGGTCTTTTATGCTTCAGGAGAAATCTGGGTGACAAAGTACAGCATTTACTACAAATATCACTGCTAGATATGAACATAATATATTCAGATAAATGTAAGCAATTCCTTTTACCAAAACAGCCGAAGATGCATGTGAAGAATGACAAGGTTAGAGAAATGTAGGCATGGGTGAGATCATAAGGTTTCTTATATATTAGGGCAAAGAAAATAAGCTTGACCATGAAATCTTTATGGGACCATTTTTTACATTTCCTTTTACTGTGATCATTGTGATCATTGCAATAGATGCAAATAAATGCCGCTGAAAAATATTTAACATCATTTCAGGCTAGTGACTCCTCAAACATGCAATAGGAGATTTCCTAAACCCAATAAAGGAATCTCAGTTAAAACTACAGCTAACATCTTACTTAAAGACAAAAGACTGAATGCTGTCTCTCTAATATCAGGAACAAGGTAAGGATGACTGCACTTAACCACTTCTATTCACCATGATAATGGAAGTCCTAGCCAGTGCAATAGTCAAGAAAAAGAAAAGAATATAGAATGAAAAAACAGAAATAAAACTGCAACTATTTGAAGATAACAGAGTTGTCAATGTAGAAAAATCTCAAAGAATCTACAAAAAATGACATTGGAAATAATACTTAAATTTAGAAGGTCACAGGATATAAGGTCAATTCACGCATACATGCATACATGCACACAAAACTAAACTATTGTATTTCTATATAGAATCAGTAAACAATTGGAAATCGAAATTTTTTAAAAGTATCATTTAAAACAGCAGCCAAAATATTTAAGTATACCTTTCAGGAAATACACACAAGATCTGTATGTTGAAAACTTCAAAGCTGATGAGAAATTTTAAAAGACCTAAACAAATTAAGAGATATATTGTGTTCATGGACTGGGAGTTTTAATAATGTTAAGGTGTCAGTTCTCCCCAGATAGATCCATAGATTGACTATAATCCCAGGATGAATCATAGCAGAATTCTTCCTTTTCTTAGAAATAAAAAAGCTGATTTTAAAAATTATGTAGAAAAGCAAAGAAACTCAAATACCCAAAACCAATTTTGAAAAAAGAACAAAGTTAGAAGGCATTACTTGATTTCAAGATTCTTATAAAGATACAATAATCAATACAGTGTGGTATTGGCAAAGGTATGGACATATAAATTGATGCAACAGAACACATTCTAAAAATAGATCCTTACATGTATGATCAATTGACTTTTAGAAAAGGTGAAAAGGCGAAAGAAACTACCATCTGAGTGGACAGGCAACCTACAGAATGGGAGAAAATTTCTGCAATCTACTCATCTGACAAAGGGCTAATATCCAGAATCTACAATGAACTCAAATTTACAAGAAAAAAACAAACAACCCCATCAAAAAGTGGGTGAAGCATATCAACAGACACTCCTCAAAAGAAGACATTTATGCAGCCAAAAGACACATGAAAAAATGCTCATCATCACTGGACATCAGAGAAATGCAAATCAAAACCACAATGAGATACCATCTCACACCAGTTAGAATGGCGATCATTAAAAAGTCAGGAAACAACAGGTGCTGGAGAGGTTGTGCAGAAATAGGAACACTTTTACACTGTTGGTGGGACTGTAAACTAGTTCAACCATTGTGGAAGTCAGTGTGGCGATCCCTCAGGGATCTAGAACTAGAAATACCATTTGACCCAGCCATCCCATTACTGGGTATATACCCAAAGGATTATAAATCATGCTGCTATAAAGACACATGCACACGTATGTTTATTGCGGCACTATTCACAATAGCAAAGACTTGGAACCAACCCAAATGTCCAACAATGATAGACTGGATTAAGAAAATGTGGCATATATACACCATGGAATACTATGCAGCCATAAAAAATGATGAGTTCATGTCCTTTGTAGGGACATGGATAAAGCTGGAAACCATCATTCTCAGCAAACTATCTGAAGGACAAAAAACCAAACACTGCATGTTCTCACTCATAGGTGGGAATTGAAAAATGAGAACACATGGACACAGGAAAGGGAACATCACACACCAGGGCCTGTTGTGGAGTGGGGGGAGGGGGGAGGTATAGCATTAGGAGATATACCTAATGCTAAATGATGAGTTAATGGGTGCAGCACACCAACATGGCACATGTATACATATGTAACTAACCTGTACATTGTGCACATGTACCCTAAAACTTAAAGTATAACAAAAAAAAAAAAAGAAAAGAAAAGAAAAGGTGAAAAGGCAATTCAATGGCAAAAGGATAGTGATATGGTATGGCTGTGTCCCCACCCAAATCTCATCTCATGTTGTGGGAGGGACCCAGGGGGAGATAAATGAATCATGGGGCGGTTTCCCCCATACTGTTCTCCTAGTAGTAGTCAATAAGTCTCACGAGATCTAATGGTTTTATGGGCGTTTCTCTTTCGCTTGGCTCTCATTCTCCCTCGCCAACTGTGATGTAAGACCTTTTGCCTTCTGCCATGATTGTGAGGCCTCCCCACCCATGTGGAACTATGAGTCCCTTAAACCTCTTTTTCTTTTTTTAATAAATTACCCAGTCTCAGTTATGTCTTTATCAGCAGCATGAAAACGGACTAACACAGATAGTCTCTAAGAAATGATGATGTCTTTTAATTGGGGCATTTAGCCCATTTACATTTAAGGTTAATATTGTTACTTGTGAATTTGATCCTGTCATTATGATGCTAGCTGGTTATTTCGCCCATTAGTTGATGCAGTTTCTTTATAGTGTCGATGGTTTTACTATTTGGTATGTTTTTGCAGTGGCTGGTACTGGTTTTTCCTTTCCGTATTTAGTGCTTCCTTCAGGAGCTCTAAAAACACAAGAAGAAAACCTAGGCCATACCATTCAGGACGTAGGCATGGGCAAAGAATCCATGACTAAAACACCAAAAGTAATGGCAACAAAAGCCAAAATTGACAAACGGGATCTAATTAAACTAAAGAGCTTCTGCATAGCAAAAGAAACTATCATCAGAGTGATAGGCAACCTACAGAATGGGAGAAAATTTTTGCAATCTATCTATCTGACAAAGGGCTAATATCCAGAATCTACAAAGAACTTAAACAAATTTACAAGAAAAAAACCACCCCACCAAAAGATGGGCAAAGGATATGAATAGACACTTCTCAAAAGAAGACATTTATGCAGCTAAGAAACATATGAAAAAAAGCTCACCATCACTGGTCATTAGAGAAATGCAAATCAAAACCACATGAGATAACATCTCATGCCAGTTACAGTGGCAATTATTAAAAAGTCAGGAAACAACAGATGCTGGAGCGGATGTGGAGAAATAGGAATGCTTTTACACTGTTAGTGGAAGTATAAATTAGTTCAACTATTGTGGAAGACAATGTGGCGATTCCTCAAGGATCTAGAACCAGAAATATCATTTGACCCCGCAATCCCATTACTGGGTGTATACCCAAAGGATTATAAATCATTCTCCTATAAAGACACGTGCACACATATGTTTATCACAGCACCATTTACAATAGAAAAGACTTGGAACCAACCCAAACGCCCATGAATGGTAGACTGGATAAAGAAAATGTGGCACATATCCACCATGGAATACCATGCAGCCATATAAAAGGATGAGTTCATGTCCTTTGCAGGGACATGGATGAAGCTGGACACCATCATTCTCATCAAACTAACACAGGAACAGAAAACCAAACACCGCATGTTCTCACTCATAAGTGGGAGTTGAGCAATGAGAACACATGGACACAGGGAGGGGAACATCACACACCAGGGTCTGTTGGGGGATGGGGGACCAGAGGAGGGATAGCATTAGGAGAAATACCTAATGTAGATGATGGTTTGATGGGTGCAGCAAACCACCATGGCACGTGTATACCTATGTAACAAACCTGCACATTCTGCACATGTATCCCAGAACTTAAAGTATAATAAAAAAAAAAGATGATGACAAAGATGAAATCCATTTATAAAAACATTAACCTTGACCCCAAATTTGCCTATAAAAATTAGCTCAAAATAAATTAAAAATCTAAATGTAATGCTTAAAACTATAAAACTCGTAGGAAAAAAAATTGTTGTGACCTTGTGTTAGGCAAAGATTTCTTAAATGTAAAACCAAAATCATGATTCATAAAAGAATAGAGAATTGACAAACCGGACTTTATAAACATAAAAAAGTATTCTCTTTCAAAGACACTGTAAAGAAAATAAAAAAGATAAGCAAGAATTCGGTGATAGCTCTAGCTTCAGATGCTTTGGGATTGACTATGGCCTTCAAGCTATGACAGGCTTTCCCCAAGCAACTTCAGTTAATGAGTAGAGCCCAACCATTTTTGCTTAATGAATGACTCCTCCAAAGGGCAATTTTGGCAATGGAACTCCTCATTGGCCTCGCCAACATATTTTCTGAACAGCAACACAGTGTAAGGCCCTCACTACCCAGTAGTCCTTCCTCCTTCTCCCTTCTCCTCTTTCATACATGCAACCCCCAATATTTTGCATTTTGAACTCTGCTGAACCCAACTGGCACAGTAGATAAGGTCTCAATCATACAGGGCATTGTAAGCTAGGGCAAGAATTTGAAGACAAATTATCTGTAGAGAAAGTGTTCTGAAATACTTTAAATTACTCTCATCAGCATTTCAATTATAAATACTACGTTTTACAAGTTAAATGTCACGTAAAAAGTAATTTTTGTAAAGGAAAATTTAATATCATAGATCATGATGAGTCCTTAAAGACAGCTGATTGTAGCAATCAGCTACTTGAAAAATCTGAAAAGTGATCCTATTTTGGAAGTTTAGGTTATCTACTTATAATTTCTTGATATCAAAGTAAGAAGTTTCATAAATGTAAATCGACAGGAAATCCAGTTACCATACTAGAAGACTATAATTTTCCTCTAACAGTCTTAGCTTTTTTTTGCCCCTCAGAACAATATCTTAGTATTTACAATTCACATAATAGCATTGTGCTTTTTAAAGCCAAATGGGACAGCTGTAACTTCAGTAAATGATTTTAAATACATCAGCACTTTTCTTCCTTAAATGTGTAATGTAACTGCTATTCATTCAATGTAACACTTTAATTCATTTTTTGAAAAGAAACTTTAATAACTTTCAAAGAGCTAATATAATGTTTGAACACTGAATAAAATATAATAAATTCACTAAGTCTGGAAGAATTAACAATGCATTCAGTCAAGTGAAATTTAAAAGAGCATGTTTTCACTTACTAGGAACAGTTTAAACTATTTTTAAGGCTAAAAAATGCTTAAAATTAAGATGCAGAAATATGTTTTTAATATGAAAAAATGAAGATTTTGGAAAAAGGCTAATTTAGCAAAAAATCCAAAGAAACCATATGCTTGATTTTAACCCTCCATAAACATCACTTTAAATGTTATAAAAGTCAAACAATAAAGAAAGAGGATTTATTGAGTTGTCTTTTTGGGAAACAAGGGATAAGAACATTGGAGGATAAAAATCATGAATCTACAAAGAAGAGAAATAGGAGGTAACACAAAAGAAAAATAATTCCCAGTCTAGTAGAATGGATGAGCAAACCAAAAATATATTTGTATTTAAAAAAAGTGTTCTTAAGGGATCAAAGTGAGAGCAATTTTCATTAAAATAACAGTAAAGAAAGGTGGCCTGGAAGTGTAAGAGTGAAGGAGACCAGGGAGAGAGCAGAGAAGTCAAAGGTAAGCTACACTGAGTCCATTTGGGAATAAAGAGAAACAGGGGCGTTGGAGGAATAGGACTCAGGAAAGGAGTTTTGTTTTAGGATAAAGAATGCTTGAGCATGTCAGTTGCTCAGGAATAAGATATCCATAAGAAGGGGATTTGGCATTTAGCTTGATCAGACCTTTACTGAGTCTCTATTATATGAGGCACGTGGGGGATAATAAATGAAAATATGATCTCAACTCAAGAAGAGACTTATCCCAGAGATGCTATAACTTTCAAGCAGGAGGAAGGGGCAGGTTGTACACAGAAGCAACCCCCAAGAGACCACTAGTTTTCCAGCTGACAACTCAGCTCGGAGGAAGAGGCAAAGCCAGAGGCAAACGTGGGAGACTGGGGCAGTCGCAGGGTTCTGAGATCCAGAGAACATGGGAGGAGGTAGTGTGCACATGGTACCCTCTGTTTGCTCAGGATGGCAGGGAAGTCTAAGTCACCTGCGGACAATGAGGGGACAGGTACAGGGTAGGGCAGAAGTTGGAAGGGTCCCAGTCACCTTCCTCTCCCTTTCTTCCCAGTAACTCCTCCAAGCCAACTCTTTTAACATAAAACTTCATTCTCTATTTTATTCATAACACTGTAGGAATCAATTCTTCCATTATCCAGATGTTTGTGCAAGTCGTCTGAACACATACACCTCTCTCTCCACCTTCAAAACGTCCTCTAAGTTGCCTCCCAAGTCATCTACCTGAAATGCCAATATGCTCCCTTCACGTACTCTTAGAAGCTTTTTGGTAACTATAAAATGTCTATTTTTTTTTTAAATAAAACTCCAATGGGTGCATAGCCCTAATGGGTGGCCTTAGTCCCCATTTTGTGCCCATAATAAATTAGAGTTAACTACTGCAACATGGCATTTGAATCTATAGTAGTAGTGAGGAATGTATAACTAACTAAAGAGTTTGAGAGAAGCAGGAAAGAGAATTTATACTGACACCATATGGAAAACTTACATGCAAAAGTCATGTTGAAATGATAATTTTTAACCTACTAATCTTTGAAAATTATAGGCTATTCTTTCTTTTCTTATAAACTTATCTTTTTTTTTTTTTGAGACACAGTCTTGCTCTGTCGCCCAGGCCGAAGTGCAGTGGTGCAATCTCGGCTCACTGCAAGCTCCGCCTCCCAGGTTCACGCCATTCTCCTGCCTCAGCCTCCCAAGTAGCTGGGACTACAGGTGCCCGCCACCATGCCCAGCTAATTTTTTTGTATTTTTAGTAGAAACGGGGTTTCACTGTGTTAGCCAGGATGGTCTCGATCTCCTGACCTCGTGATCCACCCATCTCAGCCTCCCAAAGTGCTGGGATTACAGGCATGAGCCACCGTGCCCAGCCAACTTATCATCTCTTAATACTCTTCACTGCACTCAGCAAAACAGGAGTCACAGCCAAAATTACCTTCTGAGACAATGAGCTCAGTAACGTACTGCTATTATTATTCAAATATAAAAGAAGTTGAGCATGCCTAATCCATAAATCTGAAATCTGAAATGCTCCAAAATCCAAAACTTCTTGAGTGCTAATAAAAATGCCACATGTGGAAAATTTCACACCTGACCTCATGTGACAGGCATCAGTCAAAACACAGTCAAAACTTTGTTCCACGCACAAAATTATTTTAAAATATTGTATAAAATAACCTTCACTAGGAGCAGATGAAACGAAGACATTTCATGTTTAGACTTTGGTCCTATCCTTAAGCTATCCCATTATATAATGCAAATATTTCAAAATCTAAAAATGTGCAAAATCTGAAACATTTCTGGTCCTAAGCATTTCAGACCAGGAATATTCAACCTTTGCTTGGTGGGACAGGGGACTCATTCTCTAGTCCCCTTGGGCTTATTACACAATCGTCAAAAAGAACAGGCCTTTTCCTAGCTACAACTTATCCTTCCAGCTTCTTCTTAAGGTATACCATAAAAGCATTTGATGTTCAATTAATAATGCACTTCCCACAAGCCTTCCTATATACAACCCAGCTCCTTTGGTCATGGTGACCCCGCTCCCCTCCTTCCCATTTGGCCCAGCTCATTCTTGCTCTTCTTCAAGACTCTTCACAGGGGCAATTTCCCCTTAAAAGATTTCTCTGACACTTGTGCTACTCAGAACTGAGACTTTTAAAATGTTCAAAACATTTTCTTAAATCGGTTTTAAAACTGGTTCTCTCTATGCCATCCATTAAAGTGCTATAACTTGCATTTTAATTTTTGGCATTATCAAAGAAGATATTTCTCAATCTCTAATCCATGGTCTAAAATTTTCACAGACAATAATGGCTTTTCAATATCTAAACTTATGTATATTTTCTCATTTTATTACTTAAATATATAAAAAAAATAGTAGGTTACAATCCTTCCTAGAATAATCTATGCTCACATTTCATGACACAGATTAAGTCAAACTATAAATTCCATTAATTTTCCCCACTCAGGCTCTTAACCTCAAAATTTGCTTCAATTTTGCATCACAGAAAAGAAGTTGGCCACTGCTGCAAGAAAAGTTCAACTACTCCAAATAAGAACTATATATTTTCTTTTATTATATTTCTATTGCTTTAACTATTTTCATTTTGCTCAAAAAAATACCAGCCAGGGTGCAAACATAATAAAGTGTGACTGTGTGATTTTGGTTAAAAGAGAAGAAAATCAGCAGTGTTTCCCTTCATCTGGTAGATTTATTTTCTAGCAGTTTGGTATATGTTAAAAGATATACATACTATTTTAGGAATTTTTAAATATTGGCAATATATGAATATAGTTTCTTTGAGGACTGAATAGTCACTGTATGATAAATACAAAAATGTGCTAAAATTATTGAAAAAAATAGGTGTGTTTTCCCATATCTGGGAACATTATTGAGATTACAATTTTAACTTATTTGTTGGAAGAAATAAGCATTTCTGATCTTTTTAAAAACAACTTTCTGATGAACTATAATGGAATTATGTCTTGATTTGAGAAACTGGTGGCCCAACTACCACATGGCCAGCTGCCTCTTAGTCAAGAGTCTAGTGACCTTTATCCAGACTTTTAAAAAACTTTTGTATCCATCTAACAATAAGTATCTAACCATCTTCCTACCCTATAAAATATTCCTACAAAGAATGGTTCTTTAACTTAGCCTACTAGAGTGTTTTCTTTTGCATCTGAAGTTGTAATAAAACTTATACACATGCTCATAGCCAAATTGTCTGATAATTTCTCTCAGCAGACCAAATGAATTCTAAGGAACTACATCATGGTTTAAAGTGCTGGGAGCAAGCCCCCAAAATCTGGCCATAAACTGGCCCCAAAACTGGCCATAAACAAAAATCTCTGCAGCAGTGTAACATGTTCATAATGGCCCTAACACCAGCACTGGAAGGTTGTGGGTTTATGGGAATGAGGGCAAGGAACACCTGGCCCGCCCAGGGCGGAAAACTGCTTAAAGGCATCCTTAAGCCACAAACAACAGCATAAGCGATCTGTGCCTTAAGAGCGTGTCCCTGCTGCAGTTAACTAGCCCAACCTATTCCTTTAATTCGGCCCATCCCTTCATTTCCCATAAGGGATACTTTTAGTTAGTCAAATATCTATAGAAACAATGCTAATGACTGGCTTGCTGTTAATAAATATGTGGGTAAATCTCTGTTTGGGCCCTCAGCTCTGAAGGCTGGGAGACCCCTGATTTCCCACTTCACACCTCTATATTTCTGTGTGTGTATCTTAATTCCTCTAGCGCCGCTGGGTTAGGGTCTCCCTGACTGAGCTGGTCTCAGCATTAAAGTGTTTATTAAGCACACATTTTTTTCAGGATTGCAAAAGAAGAGTATGAATGAAGAACATAAAATCAACTGTGTGAAAAATAGACAATTCAAAGTGGATTCCATCTGAAAATGATGTTATCAATTTACATTTCAGAAATGTCATGAAAGGCTAGTGCAAATAAATACCAATATAACACAATTATTAAAAAGCTTGCATTTTTTTCATTACATTATATGTAATATTACATTTATACAGAACTTATTTTTATATAACTTTTAACCTTTTAAAATGTTTTAAAGCCAATATCTGATTTCATCTCATTTAGCTGGTGTTGAAACATAATTCTGCTTTTTCTTGTGCTTGCACATTAAGAACAGAAACAAGAAATAAAAGATAATAAAGCCTAAAGTAATTTGAAAACCACTTTCTGTCCCCAGAACTGACAATTCATAAACAGTCACACACAAAAAAGCATGTAACTGAGACATTTTACCAAATCAGTGAACACACAGTCAATCTGCATTTCATGCAAAAAACAAATGTATAATATTAATCTTCCAAGTCTTTTTTTCCCACTAATATTTGAGTCTCCTTGCTTCATTCTGTATCTACAACTACTCCTGAAAGGCAACTTCATTACCATTTTCTTTAGAGGCCTTCCTAGGGTAGGAAAAGGCCCGTAATCCAGCCGCATATCTGGGCCAGAGGCAGTTCAGTCACTTTGTAACCTTGGGGTCACTTAGCCTAAGAATATGGATCATCAGGGCCCCAGGAAGGATCACCAAACAAGCAGTAATGAAACTTGGCATGATGTCCTCAAATCACTCAAGTATCTGAGAATGTTACCCATTTGGCAACTTCAGAACTTTCTTAAAATAATTAACTCCTATAGCTCTACTTTGTAAAAATGGAAAGAAATGCTCTGTAGGAGGATATAACTGGTGTTACAATAATTTACATTTAGGATATTATCCCTTTATACCTAGAAGCTTTCTGTGATCCCTCTATTGTTTCAGGAGTGATACAAGAATAATGAATGGTAATACTGAGGGAGAGCATAGCCTCTACGTGCTTTAGGTCTTTGCTGGTGGCACCAATCTATGCAATTTCTCCTAGGATGCAGTACTAGTTCTGATTTATCTTATCCTGGGAAGAGGAGTCAGAAGCTCAGAAGCTTCTGCCTTTTCTTTTGTATCGGAATAGCTTTTTTTCTTTCTTTCTTTTTTCATTTTTTTTTTTTTTTTTTTTTGAGACAGAGTTTCACTCTTGTTGCCCAGGCTAGAGTGCAATGGCATGATCTTGGCTCACTGCAACCTCTGCCTCCCGGGTTCAAGCGATTCTCCTGCCTCAGCCTCCCGAGTAGCTTAGATTACAGGCATGTGCCACCACGCCTGGCTAATTTTTATATTTTTAGTAGAGAAGGGGTTTCCCCATGTTGGTCAGGCTGGTCTCGAACTCCTGACCTCAGGTGATCTGCCTGCCTTGGCCTCCCAAAGTGCTGGGATTACAGGCATGAGCCACCATGCCTGGCCCAGAATAGCTTTTACTCTATGGATTAGAGAACTAATTTAAGGGTTCTACACACTGCTAAGTGGATCCACTCTAATTTTGTATTCAAGAACCAAGGAAATTAACATAGAGTGGGTCTGTGAGCCCCCGTATGCACTGCTACTGCTGGGAATCTGCAGAGACAGGAAAAATGCATCTCAACATCATCTGCCCAAGGCAGGGAAGAAACAGCTCTTATCTATTAGCCCTAGTGCCTTCATTTGTCAAGGGGCCTCAATAACCTGGAACTCAAGCCCTTTCCAGTTTCTCTAAAGAGCATTTAATTAGCACATAAACGATCCACTATTACATTAACTATCCACTATGCTTGACTTAGAATGTCTAGATGGTTTCCCCCAAGAGTTCCAAAAGCTCGTGGCAAAAGCATACCCTGGGGCAGAAAGCAAGAGAAACTGGCTGCAGCTGAGCTAGCTGCTGTTAGGTTCCATCTGTGGGAAGCTGGTCACACCACAGTGGCTGAAGACAATGAGGGAGTGCACAAGAGGCAAGAGGTATCTAGTCCATTCTCTCAACGTTTTTGAAAACAATTCACCCTCTCTCATAAATTTACATTTAGCAAAACCTTTCTCAAGTCCTTTCTAATTTCTCTAAAGAGCTTTTAATTAGTACATAAACTACTATTACCTTTGCTTGGGTGACAAAAAGCACAGATCTGGATTCAGGTATTGCTGGGTTAAAATGTCCTTGTAGCTCCCCCAATATATTAATCTAGAGACAACAACTGAATATTTTTCAAAGTCTTCAGGACCAGTTCTTTTCAGTAAATCTCCATAACCACTTTCTATGACACCTAAATGATCCAAGCCTTTCTGACCAGATTCACATCACATTGCAACAAAACAATAATTAGCGCTCATCTGGTAAGTCCCCTAAATAATCATCCATCAGACTAAAATTGTCTTTCAGCAGGCATGTTATCAAAAAACGTACAGATTACTCAACACTTCCTCTTCTGCTCCTGCCTAAATTTTAGTGTACTCTAGCAGGCTCCCATCACATACCTCTAGAGCTGGAGCCCCTCTCTTTCGCCATCCTCCTTGGCTGTTGTCCCCTTCTGCAGGTGGACGTGATCTGTTGCTGGTGGGCTCCTCTAAACTCCCCAAGACACCGGTCATCTTCCACAAGACAGGAGCTGCTGTCAATATTATCTGAGCTGACTTTTTTTTAGCATTTCCTGTATTTTTCAATTTTGGACACATATTACTGAGGTATTGACAAATAAAGGTAATACTAATAGCAAATGAGAATAAGACAAGGAAGTCAATGTTCATTCAGAGAAGGAATCAGAATTGAATCTAGGTGGGAATGTACATATCTCAATGCAAGGGAGAACATTTGCCTGGAGTTTAGAAAAGAGGTGAGGGGCTAGCGTTTTGCACCAAAAGCAGCACAGCCATCTTTTATAATATAACATGCGAGCTTCCCAGAAATTCTTAGTTTTCTAACTTTCCAAACTACCGTAAAATCTCTTGATATAAAAATAAATTTTCTTTTCAAATTTGAATTAGAATCACCATACTCTGCATCTTAAAGAGTTCTCTTGTATTTTATTTGACAAAATTATAGCTTTTAGCAAATTCTGATATAGTGACATAAGTTACAGATTAATCCATCTGCATGTGAAGTTCCTTAGGAAAAAAATCTTATGCAATGTCTGAAAAACTGTATCAGTCACTTGGCCTTTCAGATCATGTGATTGCTTCTCCTTTCTACTCAGTTTCACATCCCTGAACTTTTCCCCTCTAAGCAAAATGGTCATTATTATGCCAATCTACAGAGTAAGTAATTACCATGACTACTGACCTACATCTGTGTCTAAGATGTTGCTATTTTTATGACATATAAAATAAAATACATTTTCATAATGATCACTACCATAACCCTGTGGAAAAATAAATTAAATATAGTTTAAAGAATGAAAGGAATATGCTAATGTGACATTAAGACTGTGAATTTGAAGCTCCTTTCAGTTCAGTGATGCTAAACAATTTTAAGAAAAAATTTAAAGCCTACGGTAATAGCTCTTTTTGCTCTCTCACTTTCTAAGCTTCATTATCTGTTCCAAAGATGTATCAGCCTAACTGATACCTCCAAATCTTTGTTATGTACAGTAAAATCGTGGGGGATTTAAATTTCTGCAGTATTTTTGATTGTCGTACAAGAAGAGATTCTTCCACAATACAATAGGGCTCATTTCTACATGCCTTTCTGGACAAGAAGGCAATGAGAGTTTTTGCAGAAAAAACAAAAACCCTCAAACTATATGAAAAAGGTTCCTCTTCAGTCTGCATCTGTGGAGGCCAACTCTGTATCACAGTCTATATTACAGGCGGGGTGTGGTGTTTGGAATTAAAGGAATCCCTGTTAAAAAAAAAGAATAAGGCATCTCGATACATATCTAGATACATAAGCATACATACAATGTTTATATATACATGAACATATTTAAGAAGAGGGGGAATGAGGCTGGCAGAGATTAAAAAAAAAAAAACAAGATCTGAGACTGCATCGAATTATAACTGTGAGCTGACATACAAAACATCGACTTTACTTTCCCAAAACTATAGGCAGGAGCTGCCTAGGAAAGTATCCCTTGGGTCCTGGATTGCAAATCTGGGCTGGGGCTCACCAGAGAGAACAACAAAAGAGAGTAAGATGTACTATAGCAGGATAATTTATCCTCTTTTCTTCAACAATAAATCAGATCACATGTTTTTAATGCCAGATGCGTACTTTCCATGCATCACCTTGGAACACTGTGAGATTCATTGAGGACTCCAGAGTCTGCTCTTTTCTTACTTTCTGGAAGTGAAAACAAATGAAACCACTCTCCTGGGGAGAATTTCCTTTATAAAACTGTGTTACTCTAGTCTGATATCCTCAGTCTTATTCAAAATCCCTGTCTTTCAGAAATTTGTGCCAATGCTTTTACATTTGCTTTCATTTTTTGATATTCAAATATCTGTCTATGCTCTTCAATTAGTGATAAAGATTTCTTTTGAGTCATCTTCGAAGGCCCCTTTTGGTCACATCGTAATTTCTAGATGCTTCCAATTAACTTGCTATTCTTTCAAGAATGAGTATTTTTGTAAAAAAAAAAAAAAAAAAAAAAGTCTTATTATATAAATTAGTTGGCTTTTACTACAACTGGTTTCACTCCAGTGCTTCATCTCCTATTCTGCATTTTTAAAAAATAATTAAGATTTCAAATAAAGATAAAAATCTAACTGAATAAAAGGAAAAAAGAAATATCTTATTATACTGTTAGATGGTTCTGATAAATTTTGGAGATCCATGAGGATTGGAAAGTCCTGAAACCCACCAGGAGACTCACATTGTGTTCTTAACATGGACCTTAGTATAGTGATGAAACAAACAAACAAAAAAGCACTAGAGTAGGAGTCCGATGCCTAGGGGATTAGTACCATCTTGCTTTCAACCTGTTCCCTGATGTGGAGACATAAGAGTTGGACTAGGCCACAAATTCAGAATTCTTGGAATATCCAGTTAAAATACAGATTGCTGGGCCCCCACCCCAGAGTGTCTCATTCAGCAGTTCTAGTATGGGGCAGGGAACATGAATCCCTAACAAGTTCCCAGAGAATGCTGCAGGTCTTGGGACTATGCTTGGAGAACCAGCAGACTGGGTGATTCCAAAGATCTATCAGGGAATATACATATGAGAAAAAGGGTAAATTTGTGTCAGTGTCAGTAAGAGGGATGCAGAAACCATTCATGTAAAATCTGGTATAAATATAAAAAAAATTAAGAAATAATGAAGAATAAATGATTCATTTAATAAAATCCACCCCAGAGAACAGTGCAATCCTAAAGCATCTAATAATAAACCATTAACTTTTACAAATAAGGAAACTGGAACATATTTAATGGAAACTTTTAAAATGTTTCACTCCTCATCATGAATTATTTCCATAAATCAAAACATCTAAATGTACAAACACAACAGGGGCAATTTTTCTGTTAAGCCAATCATTTTTTTTTTTTTTTTTTTAAGACAGAGTCTTGCTCTGTCACCCAGGCTGGAGTGCAGTGGTGTGATCTTGGCTCACTGCAACCTCTGCCTCCTGGGCTCAAGCAGTTCTCCTGCCTCAGCCTCCTGAGTAAGCTGGGACAACAGGTGTGCACCACCACACCTGACTATTTTTTTATATTTTTAGTAGAGATGAGGTTTCATCATATTGGTCAGGCTGGTCTTGAACTCCTGACTTTGTGATCCACCCGCCTTGGCCTCCCAAAATGTTGGGATTATAGTTGTGAGCCATCACACCCAGCCAAGCCACTCAATTTTAAGAAAGCTGAAGTCTCCCATTTAAACAAAGGAAATGAGACCAATCATGCTTATTTTAGATGACCACCTGGGCCTGCATGCTTGGGCTTTGGTGATCTCCATATCTTCCATTACATCCTACCTACCCACCTTCCACCTGACTTTATACTGGATGTCTACATAGGTACTTTCTCATTCTAGTCCTTCCAATATTTTGTGGACAAAAACAACAACAAAAAGCCTATTTCCTACCACTCTGGCATTAATAGCTTATGTTGACAATGTTTTACAATTGTGATACATTGTTTGCATTTTGAAAGGTACTTTTAAAGACATAATGTAATGACCTTAATGGGAATTTTGGCAACAGAGCTGGAAGTGAAAAAGGAAAAAGTGCCTCTATGGAGGGAGGGCAACTCTCATTGAAAGTGATCAATTTAACCTGCATAACTAGACTGAGCTTCATGAGTCATATCTATCTCATCCCTGCACTGTTCCATCTCCTGGAGGGCTAACACAGTACTCCAGGCCACAGCAGGAATGCATAATAAAGACGGGGTGGATTGCATCTTTTTAGCATGGACAGGGAAAAATCTGCATTTGCATTCCTAGTAACCCGCTTTGATCACACTGTGCCACTTCTCATTACCTAACTGATGCTGCTACATGCATTTTTCTTCCCAACCTGATTCACATATTTGGCTTGAAACCCTGGACCTGCCCAAAAGCAACCATTCTAACCATCACACATCTGACAGCTCCATCTGATGGGCAGAGATGAGCCCGTTGGATGCTGCCTGCCTCCATGTGTCCTTAAGGCAATCTGGTTGTATGCCCCGCTTGTGGTCAGGAGTCAGTTCTCACGAAGTGTATATGCTGGGTTCCTTTTCTGTTTATGTGTTTTTGTTTCTATTTGTTGTTGCTGTTGTAGGCATATATTTATATCACCAACTTGGGCATAGTTTAGGCCACTTTTTTTTTTTTTTTTTTGAGACGGAGTCTCGCTCTGTCGCCTAGGCTGGAATGCAGCGGCGCAATCGCGGCTCTCGGCTCACTGCAAGCTCCGCCTCCCGGGTTCACGCCATTCTCCTGAATTTAGGCCACTTTTAAAGAGCTGTTAAAGGGATTACAATATTAAAATCTTTCTTAAGTTCCAGAAAAGATTGGATATCTAATTTTCTCCCTGTTTGACAAGGTCTGTCTCTGTCCTAACAGTGTTAAGACGGGTGCCTGTCCAGGGCCCCTTTATAGTACCCCAAGTATCAAAAACATACAAAATATAAATGTATTAAAGAGCAGATGCATCCCTGTCACTTGGGATCTGGTGTGTCCAGCACTGGCACAGTGAAACTTGCAGCCCTAAATATCCATTCTTATGACTAAGACATTTTAGGGCCCAGAGAAACCGTTTCCAGACATACTGACCAATGTCCTCATAACAAAACGGAACTGAGTCCAAATACTAGGAACTCTTTTGTGTTGTTAAAGACAGACATTTCACCCGAGGACAAGGAGATTTGAAGAGAAGCATTTATTTCACTGAAAAGACTAATGAATGCAGTAGATTCTTGCATGGAAATGCATTTTCTCATAGTAGTGTTGAGTAACCCTTTTTATGTCTCTTCTTTCAAACTGTGGTTCTGAGTCCTACACAAAATATCGCAGCACTCACATCAGTACTGTACTCTTAAATTCACTATATTCTTAAATTTGTACATATTGTACATATATTTGAGTCGCAATGTAGCCTGTATAAAACATGATACAGTCCTTTATTTTGGCAATTAGAAAGTCATTTAATAGTACAATTGCTAATAATTTCTTTTCATAAACAAATTAAATGAAATTTAATTTAATACAATTGATTTAAAAATGTAATATTTATTAATTACATTTTTCTTATACCCTTAAATTTTGCAAGCTAATTTAAAATATTTATAAAAAATAACTTTTAAACACATACATAAAAATATTTTGAATTTTTATAGTAATTCATTTTGATTTTTGGAAAATATATTTAAAGTTTGTGTACTTTACTATTATATTTTTAAATCTTTTAAGACAATTAGTCTCAACACAACACAAATTACGTAAGAATCTTTAATAACATAATATACAATTTTGCTGAAATGAAGGCAAGAAAAGTCAATGTTATATAAAAAGATATCATAGTTTGTATAAATTGACTTTATTTCTTATGCATCCCATCAACAGAACACCTAACTGGATAGTCATATTTAAAGTTAGATGACCCTGAGACTTTGCTGACTTTCTGTCATAGAAATAGTATAGCATTGCACATATTTTTCACTATTGTGACAGTATGCTTGTCAAGATGAGGCTAGAACATATTTTTATTCACAGTTAGACTGATTCATAAAATATTTAGACATATAGTAGGTAGGCCTCCAGTTGTACTATTGTCCTGGGCCCTACAAATATTAAGGTTGTGCCTATCCTGTTCCGGTATAGGACATGAAAATCAACCGCACGGCTCCATATCCTCACATTCTCAATGGTCAACTGAAGAGGGAGCCTGAAGTAAGATGCTGAAGACAATATGCATGGAAAGATATACTAGACTTTGGTTTCAAGCAAGGTAGATTTATCCTACCTATTACATCTTGGCAGAATGTACATACTTACTCTTATTCATGGAGTATATTACTTAAATGCTCACTTTACGTTTCAGTTATTCAAGATAAGTAAGTTATGGAGATCTACTGTACAGCATAGAACCTATAATTAATGATAAAATATTGTACGCTTAAGACTTGCTAAGCGGGTAGATCTTATGATAAGTTTTGTTACTGCAAAATAAATAAAGAAAGAAAGAAAAGGCAGGGAGGAAACTTTGGAAGGTGATGGGTATGTTTATGGCCTTCATGGTGGTAATAGTTTCTCAGATGTTTACTTATCCCAGAGCTCAGAGCTGTATACATTATATATGTACAGCTTTTTATATGTAATAAATGAATAAATAAATACTCACTTTGAGGTTCATATTAAGCATTCTAATCTTCAAAAGTAATTGCTGTTTTTGCCATTAAAAGTAAAGGCAAAAGAATTAAAAATAATGGCAAAAACCACAATTACTTTTGCACCAACCTAACAGATGTCTAAAGCCATGATGAAATACCATAAATCCCTATATCTGCTTTCTCATTTACTTTTCTCTGAAGTCCTGTTTTCTTTCTCTCCTAACCTCCTTCTCATTCTTTCCTCTTCTTTTTTTATTTTTTATTTTTTTATTTCCACAGGTTTTTGGGGAACAGGTGTTATTTGGTTACATGAGTAAGTTCTTTGGTGGCGATTTGTGAGACTTTGGTGCACCCATCCCTGAATCGTACACACTTAACGCAATTTGTAGTCTTTTATCCCTCACCCCCTTCCCACCCTTTCCTCCCACAGTCCCCAAAGTCCATTGTATCATTCTTATTCTTGTATGTTTTATCTCCTTCTTCTGTGTGTGTGTGTGTGTGTGTGTGTGTGTGTGCATGAGTGTGTGTGTGTGTGGTATTGGGGAAAGTTGGAAAAAGAAATGAAAAGAAAAATGAAGAATAGTGATTTTTGTGCAATAATAAAATCTGATTATGTATTGTAATTTCTGCACTATAATTTGGGTTGGCCCAAGACCTAATGGTGAAGGAGGCTAAGATTTACTTTAAGATGCCTCCCCTTCACCTGGATATTGGGTGGCGATTATCCATATGGGTCTTCGATCTTTTTGCACATCTTGTGAGCATATGCACTAACTGCCCCTTTATTCGAGACTCTCTTATCACAGATGTTTGCATAATGAAAACCTTGGAAGATAGAGAGGGTACAGGCCAGCTTTACTTATTACTTCCTATAATAAAAATAACATCTCCCTTAAGGGGAATGTTTACTATTCAAAGTAAAAGATTCAGGTTCCTTTAGCTCAGGGATGGGTGTTTCCTGTCCAATATAAAAGATAAAGCTTCCTGTGGCTCAGGTACCCTCAGTTGGGGTGCAGCCCCACTGCATGCCCAGCTCTACATGAGTCGCTCTGTCTCACCCCCATGGGACTCAGCGTAAGGGGATCCAACATGAATTTGAGACTCACACTGCTTTCTGCGCTGTGAGTAATAAAGGCATTTGTTTTTGATGCAGTCTTATGTCATCTACCAGCTTTTCTGAAACTGGCAAGTTAGCTTGCTGGCACTGCAATACTGCACATGCTGCAGAGCTCTTAACACAAGGCTTCTCTTTTTTCCTTCATCACCTTCCATTTCAATGTCTCCATGCTGCTCACCAGAGATATTCCACTTAGGCCCATATTCTCTGGATTGGCATCATACTAAACATACATACCATCCAAAATTCTCTCTATATAATGCATAAAATATTGATACAGCTTAGCACATAGATGTTCCAGTGATTTCTGTTAAGTAGAAGAACAAATGTAGTACAAGAACCAATGAATTTGGATTATGTAATAAATGACTTATAAAATTACAAGGCATTGTTTAGTATAGGTATTATAGAAATAAATATTTTGCATATATACGTTTTTATCATTGATCAGGTTCTTTGGATTTCAGAAATGTGTCATTTTGTTGAGTACTCACAAGTGACAATGTCATGAGTATCCTCATCTCTGTTTTACTGATTAGGAACTGAGGGCAGAATGGTAAGTGATTTTTCTAATATCACAAAACCATGAAATGTTCAATCTAGGACAATAATTGTGATCCTAAAGTCTGAGATCTCTTCACTATTTCCAAACTTCACAAGC